>NC_000008.11:66552265-67177265 GCF_000001405.40 Homo sapiens | reverse complement strand
ATCCCAAAGCCTCTCCAATATGACCAGCCTTCCTATGTGTTCCTGTGAATAGTACATTTTGCCCTTTTTAGATACTGCCTTTGAAAATAAACAAGCTGCGAATGATAGCCTGTATTCCTTCTCAGATATTTTAATAGACATGTTTGTGATTGTTTATAGTGAGGCCATATTCTTTTTTTTTTTTTTTTTTTTTTTGAGACTAAGTCTCACTCTGTTGCCCAAGCTGGAGTGCAGTGGCACGATCTTGGCTCTCTGCAACCTCCACCTCCTGGGTTCAAGCAATTCTCCTGACTCAGGCTCCGGAGTAGCTGGGACTACAGGCACACGCCTCCATGCCCAGCTAATTTCTGTATTTTTAGTAGAGACGGGGGTTTCACTATGTTGGCCAGACTGGTCTTGAACTCCTGACCTCATGATCCGCCCACTTCAGCCTCCCAAAGCGCTGGGATTACAGGTGTGAGCCACCACGCCTGGCCAGTGAGGTCATATTCCTATGAATTAGGTCTTCATAGTGTCTACTGGAAGTTGGGGAGTGGCTGCTGTGGGAGATAGATACCTTCAGTGCTAAAATGTACCTGTATCCACATGGGGACTACTTGTGGGCTAATCAGTCTAAGCTGCCAAAATCCCACAAGATCAGATCTTCATTTTGAGACTAAAGAAAAATGCCACCAGACTGGGTACAAAGGTTGAAGAATGCACTTGCTTCTCTCCTCTCTCCAGATGATATACCTACTGCTTATCCTAGAATTAGGCTTATTCTGTCACAGGGCTATGAGGCTGTTATTAAAAATTCTGTACCAGATGAAGGGACGACAATCCCTATACAAATGTTTATTGAAGTCTTGACCTATGATCTGGGCCTAAACTGCTGCATCACTTACTCCTGTGATGCTATCTCATGAAGTCAAAAAATCTTCCTCAGATTCTGCAAGCCAGACCAGCCTCCCAAGATAGGGTCTTAACTTTTCTTAAAAATAACTAGCAGGAGCATCCCTTCCACTCTTGTTATCTGATTGTTGGGTTTTCATTACTCATTTTCCATGGTTAACCTCGATGGCCTGAAGGCTGGTGAAATACAGATGGGAAGGCCATGCAGTACACCTGGCTATCGTCAGGGCCCATCAGTGCTCTCTGAGACAACTAGCCCCACTCTGCTTCTAGGTGCCCACCCACCCCAACCCAACAGCATCCTAGATTTCTTCTGTGCGATATTCATCACAGTTGTACTTCTTTAGCATCACACTTCTCCAACAAAATATAACCTCCTCAAGAGCAGCAGCATATGTCACTCATCACCATATCCCCTGGATATAGGCCAGTACCTGCACTCCTAGTAACCACTAAGTATCTTTCAGTTAGTTGATTATACGAAAACATATTCATAGTCCAGTCTGATGCTTTACAGATTTTACGCCACATCAAAACTTAAACACACTCACACCACAGTAGACAAATGCCTGACATGGCACAGTAGGCAAATGCCCGACACATCATGACAGGGCACTGATATGTCTGCCTGACACTCCTTCCTTTGGTTCCTAGTTCCTGATGCAGACGTCACCTGGCCTGGTCAAAGTATTCAGTCCTCCTGGCTACAGTGAATGACTGGGCCCCTCTCATGCATGAATACACCACCCTAGTGGAGCCACTCAGAGCTCTCTCTCATACTTGTTCTTTTCTGGTACTACAGACCAAACGGACCCTGTGAGCATGGGGCTGCCAGTGAAAGGAGGATGCCTGGGAATGAAATCAATAGAAGAGATGCAGAAAGCCTACGGAAAAACAGCGTGCTGATACTATTTGACACAGCAATGATTATTTCTTACCTTTGGCACCTTCCTGCATTTTTATTCTGTTCAGCCTCTTCTGCTGCTCTCTTAGCAGGGCTTGCTGCTGAATCTCTAAGGTGTGATGATCTCTTGGAGGATCCAGGTACATAAATTTCAGATCAACTCGTGTTTCTGAATCTGGTATAAAAAATATGTTATATAACTAAGTTAAATGTTGTTTTCAAATGGGATTTTGTAAAACTTCACTGTAAGTAACATGAGTAACCTAATTTCAAAATCAAGGAAATGATAGAAATAGTGAAACATCACTAAAGTCAAAGGACAGTAAAATAGCCACAAAACTAAAGAATATGAAATTAATATTCTTTAATAAGTGTCTTTTCACAAACTTACCAACATAAGGAATACCCCAGAACAAGCAGTGGATGTTGCATTGTCCATCTCTACCTGTCCTAGCCCTGCCAGGATGCCACCCAGAACACAGACTACGTGCAGGTATATCCAAGCAGATGGTCACATGGCTATGACTAAGGCAGCCATGAGACACTGTAATCACGGCTGATCTCTAAAATATACTGGAAACGTGAAAAAATAATGTTACTGGCCAATTAATATTTTAGTCCTTACAAATATCATGCAGAAAGCAAGATAAATGTAGACTGGCTGGAACTTGAGGGGGAATGCCATTTCTTTTTTTTTTTTTTTCTTGAGACGGAGTCTTGCTCTGTCGCCCAGGCTGGAGTGCAGTGGCACGGTCTTGGCTCACTGCCAGCTCTGCCTCCTGGGTTCATGCCATTCTCCTGCCTCAGTCTCCCAAGTAGCTGGGACTACAAGCACCCACCACTATGCCCGGCTAATTTTTCTTGTAGTTTTTAGTAGAGACGAGGTTTCACTATGTTGGCCAGGCTGGTCTTGAACTCCTGACCTCGTGATCCACACGCCTCGGCCTCTCAAAGTGCTGGGATTACAGGCATTAGCCACTGTGCCTGGCCAAGAATAAAAATTTTTTAATCTTGAGAAGAAACATACAGTTCATACATATAAAAAGCCTTGAAAATATTATTCCCTTTGACTCACTAATTACACTGCTGGAATATAAAGAAATGATCCTAAATATATATGTAGTTTTATGGTCCTAAATATGTATAAAGCTTTATGATCAGAAATTATCAAAAGAACAAAATAGTGAAAATGGTTAACAGCCATTTTCAGAAGTTAACAGAAGTTTCTGGACACATAAACTTGGATTGGTCCCTGGCTTCACTGCTTCCAAACTCATTAAAAAAACAATACCAACCACCAAGTCATGGGTGAATGAGGGCAAGATGTAGTAACACAGGGAAATGAACAGCCCAATTCTATGGCTTAAACCTTTTTGGTCTCAAGATCTTTTTTACACTCTTAAAAATTGAGGACCCCAAAGAGCTTTACTTATGTATGTCACACACACACACGCCATATTAGAAATTAAAACTAAGAGATTCCTAAAACACAAGAATACACAAGGACACATTTTGCTAGCTTCAAAGAGATGAAATCATTACATGTCATGTAGTCTCTGGCCAATCTATATACACATGAGAGAATGAGAATGAAAAAGACAAATAATGTCTTAGTTTATAATACAAACAGTTTTGACTTCAGACCAAACTCCTCATGAGACCCACTGGGTTAACACAATGCCTGGCAGATAGTAAGTAATCAATATTTGATAGCATAAAAAATAACAGTATACGTAATTGATAATACGTGTAAATCTAGGTGAAAAACAATAGAGAAAATTAAATAAATAACACAATTTATCTTTTTTTTTCTTTTAATTATGCTCAGAAAGACTAGAAAACATCCAAAATGATAATGGTACTTACATATAGGTAGTTTGACTAAAGTGATTTTTCCTTCTTACTATCTTTCTGTATTTTGAAAATTTGCTATAATAAACAGATAGTATTTTCAAAAGGATAAAAAGCCTAAATTCCAGTTTTCTGGCCTACGTCATACGACCACACATCCCATAATCTGCCCCTTCTGCTCCAACACCTGCTCTGCTGAATATGCCTAAAGGAAAATTACACAACACACATTTGGTTCCTCCACACATTCTCCATCTCCCAGGCCTCATGTACCCTGGAAATCTCGTTTCCTTACTAAACTTTCTCTTCCATTAGCCCTAAGTGGCTACATCAAAGCTTCTCCTAACTCTTCCCTCAAATCCCCTAGATTTCACTTCAACAATCACTCTCCCTCTCCTAGAGCCTGAACCTCTTTCTCCTGCATAGCTCCTCACGTTCACATTCTAAGGACTCTTCCAGCTCCTGATCCCTCTCCTTCCCTTCCCTTTCCCAGCCAAGGGTCTTCTAAAAGTCTTATGCCTATTGTCTCCAACATCTTGCCTCCTAGTCAATCCTCATTCCAAAGTTAATCGGCAATCATTCCACTTAAAAAGCTCTAGCTGAGGTCACCAATGACCTCATCCAACTGACATTTTCCGGTATTCACCTTACATGATCCTGTCTCCTTGATACTCCTTCCCCTCAGGTTTCAGGATCCTACATTCTCCTGCTTCTCCTCCAGTCTCTCTGGCTTCTCCTCAGTATTTTTCATGAGCTCATCTTTGTCTGTCCATCCTCCATTAAATGCCAAGTTCCATTCTTCGTACTAGTCTATGCGATCTCATCCATTCCAGACTTTAACACTGTATGCTCTCCAAAAGAAAGCAGTTAGTCAAACTAAAGCTTCATCTACCAGACTGGTTAACTGAAGACCTAGAGAATACATAAGTTTCATTTCATTTTAACTAAAATACATACCATAGATAAAATTCCACTTTAGAAAAAGGGTACAAAGATCTTTATAGATATTTAAATATGGGTAGAACACTTCTGCTACATCTTTAAAAGAGCAGCAATCTACTCACCTCTATCTTTCAGCTCATTAAAATCATGAACATTCTGAAAAGTGGCAGCGTCTAAGCCCTTAGGGGACTGTCTTCTGACAGGAGCTTGCAACCGATGTCTAGCCATATCAAATATATCCATGGGATTCCTTTCCTTTTTCCTATAGATAAATGACAAATCATAATATGTGCTTCACAGGAAAAATAGGTGAGTTCACATCTAATTCACTGTAAAAGAAATTTGGTCTTTTTCACCACATCATATTATTAAAAAATTACTCTAGGACAGGTGCTGTGGCTCACACTTGTAATCCCAGCACTTTGGGAGGCAGACAGGAGGACTGCTTGAAATCAGGAGTTCAATACCAGCCTGGCCTATAAAGCAAGACCCCCTCGCTACAAAAAAAAAAAAAAAAAAAAAATTATGAGGCCAGGCATGGTGTCTCATGCCTATAATCCCAGCACTTTGGGAGGCCAAGACAGGTGGATCACCTGAGGTCAGGAGTTCGAGACCAGACTGGGCCAACGTGGAGAAACCCCATGTCTACTAAAAATACAAAAATTAGCTGGGTGTGATGGCGCACACCTGTAGTCCCAGCTACTCGGGAGGCTGAGGCAGCAGAATCACTTGAACCCAAGAGGTGGAGGTTGCAGTGAGCTGAGATCACACCACTGCACTCCGGCCTGGGTGACAGAGCAAGACTCCATCTCAAAAAAGAAAAAAAAGTTGGCCAGGCATGGTGGCTCACACCTGTAATCCCAGCACTTTGGGAGGCCAAGGCAGGCAAATCACCTGAGGTCAGGAGTTTGAGACCAGCCTGGCCAAAATGGTGAAACCCTGTCTCTACTAAAAATACAAATATTAGTTGGGCGTGGTGGTGTGTGCCTGTAGTACCACCTACTCGGGAGGCTGAGGCATGAGAATTGCTTGAACCCAGGAGGAGGAGGCTGTGGTGAGCCAAGATCACGCCACTGCACTCCAGCTTGGGTGACAGAGCAAGATTCCATCTCAACAACAACAACAAAATTAGTCAAGCATGATAGTGTGTGCCTGTAGTCCTGGCTACTGCTGAGATGAGAGGATTGATTGAGCCCAGGAGGCCAAGGCTACAATAAGCTGTGATCATGCCACTGCACTCCAGCCTGGACAACAGAGGGAGACCCTGTCTCTTTTTTTGAGGTGGAGTCTCGCTCTCTTGCCAGGCTGGAGTGCAGTGGCGTGATCTCAGCTCACTGCAGCCTCCTCCTCCCGGGTTTAAGCAATTCTCCTGCCTCAGCCTCCTGAGTAGCTGGGACTACAGGCGTGCACCACTAGGCCCAGCTGATTTTTCTGTATTTTTAGTAAAGATGGGGTTTCACCATGTTGGCCAGGACGGTCTCTATCTCTTGACCTCGTGATCTGCTCACCTCGGCCTCCCAAAGTGCTGGGATTACAGGCGTGCATGAGCCACTGCACCCGGCCCCCCGTCTCTTAAAAAAAAAAAAAAAATTGGCCGGGCACAGTAGCTCATGCCTGTAATCCCAGCACTTTGGGAGGCCGAGGCGGGCGGATCACGAGGTCAGGAGATCAAGACCATCCTGGCTAACACGGTGAAACCCCATCTCTACTAAAAATACAAAAAATTAGCCGGGTGGGGTGGCGCATGCCTGTAGTCCCAGCTACTCAGGAGGCTGAGGCAGGAGAACGGCGTGAACCAAGGAGGTGGAGCTTGCAGTGAGCCGAGATAGTGCAACTGCACTCCAGCCTGGGTGACAGAGCAAGAAGCCGTCTCAAAAATAAATAAATAAATAAATTATTCGAACAGCTCTATTAGTTCCATCCTTTACCTTAAAATATAGCATATTTATAACGTTATTGAAATTTTTCAAAATCCTCAGATGCAAGATACCTTATTACAATAGAATGATTCAGCCTTACTTTAAAATGTTCATGGAAAAAATAAAATAAAATGTTCATGGAGTATGAAGATCACAGTCTTTGAGGTCAGAGAAACTGAGATTCAAAGACCAGCTCTGTTATTTATTAGCAGTTTGACCTCGATTCCATCATCTGTAAAATGCAGATGTCTACCCCTTATAGTCTTACGGTGAACAACAGAATTAAGATAAAAAAATTTTTTTTTGAAAGAGTCCTGCTCTGTTGCCCAGGCTGGAATGCAGTGGCACAATCTCAGCTCACTGCAACCTCCACTTCCCAGTTCAAGCAATTCTCCTGCCTCAGCCTCCCAAGTAGCTGGGACTACAGGCACGCACCACCACACTCGGCTAATTTTTTTTTTTTTTTTTGTATTTTTAGTAGAGACAGGATTTTGCCACGTTGGTCAGGCTGGTCTCGAACTCCTGACCTCAGGTGATCCATCCGCCTCAGTCTCCCAAAGTGCTGGGATTACAGGGGTGAGCCACCATATCCGGTCAGAATTGAGATAAATGCTATACTGTTAAGTACCTAGTATAGTACCTGACATGCATTAGATAATCAATAAATTACCTTCCCCTCAGCCTAAGACACAAATCACACATAGAAATATGGTAATAGGCAGGGCCCTGTGGCTCACGCCTATAATCCCAGCACTTTGAGAAGCCGACGTATTGCTTGAACTCAGGAGTTCGAGACCAGCCTGGGCAATATGGAAAAACCACGTCTCTACTAAAAAATGCAAAAATTAGCAGGTGTGGTAGCCTGCACCTGTAGTCCCACCTACTTGGGAGGCTGAGGCACTAGAATCACTTGAATCAGGAGGCGGAGGTTGCTGTGAGCCAAGATCATGCCACTGCACTCCAGCCTAGGTGACAGAAAGAGACTCTGTCTCCAAAAATATAAAAAGAAATATGGTACTGGCCGGGCACGGTGGCTCACACCTGTAATCCCAGCACTTTGGGAGGCCGAGGCGGGTGGATCACCTGAGGTCAAGAATTTGAGACCAGCCTGACCAACATGGTGAAACCCTGTCTCTACTAAAAATACAAAAATTAGCCGTGCGTGGGGGTGGGCACTTGTAATCCCAGCTACTCAGGAGGCTGAGGCAGGAGAAACACTTGAACCCGGGAGGCAGAGGTTGCAGTGAGCCGAAGATCATGCCTCCAGCCTGGGTGACAGAGCGAGACTCCGTCTCAAAAAAATAAAAATAAAAACAGAAATATGGTACTAATACGTAGTTCAATATGGGCATTATTCAGAGGACCCAACATTAACTTTACAATGGACTTTACAAGGAACTTGATAACCTAACTAGTTAACTGATTCCTGTGGTACCTAAGAAATTAATAGATAGCAGGTAGTAAGGGTGTTTTCTGCCAGGGCTTTGAGGGAGTGATGATAAAAGAGGGATGGTGTTTCTAGTCCTGAAAATAAAATAAAATAAAATAAAATACCTACTGCTGCTTCAGTCAGCACTAGGTCTCCTCTATTTTTGAAAATGGAGCTCTAAGCTATGGTCATTATGAGGCTTAGTCAGACTCCTCCCATCATTTCTTTATCATTAAATCTTCCCTAAGCACCAAGACAAGATAGCTGGGATCCCCACAGACAATGCCCCTGCTCTAATGGAGTTTCCCTTTTGCAGGGGAGCATTCACTGGGGCCACAAAATGACTCTGGTCAAGGCTGACAGAGACCTCTAATACTTAAGGTGAAAGGAACTCTATGGAGATTTACTATAATGCAAAATACTAAAAAGACATCCAAGAGACCATTAAATTGGACTGCTGTCTAGTTTCCATTAATGCTAATAGTTATACACTGATAAGTTAGGAAGTAGGTTACTAAATCTTCACATGTGAGCCACATCACATTTGTTTTGAGCCTAGCACATAATAGGAGTTGAATATGGCAAATTATTTAGTGAATACAAGATTCCTTTTGTACATATATTCATGAAATTGCAATAAAGAACCAACTCTGAGATGTCTTTAATCAGAATATGTATTAAAATTATTCCAAAGTAAATGTATTTAACCAATTCTTGCTAAATGATGATAAATGTAACATGTTTTATAACTTAAGTTAGAACTTAAGAGTCACAAATACATATATTTATTTATTTATTTCAAATACATACATTTATTTATTCTTCACTAGATTCTCAAAGGGTAGAAATTATCATGTATAATTTTCAAGCGAGAAAATTGAGGCGCTGCTCGAGTACTCTTTCTTAAATCATATTGGCTTGCCAAAAGAATTTATTAATGAAAAGAAAAATTAATGTCAAAAAACCGTTAGGTCTCCCTCTCCCTCTCCCCCTCCCCCTCCCCCTCTCCCGTCTCCCCCACGGCCTCCCTCTCCCTCTCTTTCCACGGTCTCCCTCTGATGCCGAGCCGAAGCTGGACTGTACTGCTGCCATCTCGGCTCACTGCAACCTCCCTGCCTGATTCTCCTGCCTCAGCCTGCCAAGTGCCTGCGATTATAGGCGCGCGCCACCACGCCTGACTAGTTTTCGTACTTTTTTGGTGGAAACGGGGTTTCGCTGTGTTGGCCAGGCTGGTCTCCAGCTCCTAACCACGAGTGATCTGCCAGCCTCGGCCTCCCGAGGTGCCGGGATTGCAGACGGAGTCTCGTTCACTCAGTGCTCAATGTTGCCCAGGCTGGAATGCAGTGGCGTGATCTCGGCTGGCTACAACCTCCACCTCCCAGCCGCCTGCCTTGGCCTCCCAAAGTGCCAAGATTGCAGCCTCTGCCCGGCCGCCACCCCGTCTGGGAAGTGAGGAGCATCTCTGCCTGGCCACCCATCGTCTGGGATGTGAGGAGCCCCTCTGCCCGGCTGCCCAGTCTGGGAAGTGAGGAGCACCTCTTCCCAGCCGCCATCCCGTTTAGGAAGTGAGGAGCGTCTCTGCCCGGCTGCCCATCGTCTGAGATGTGGGGAGCGCCTCTGCCCCGCCACCCCATCTGGGATGTGAGGAGCGCCTCTGCCCGGCCGCAACCCTGTCTGGGAGGTGAGGAGCGTCTCTGCCCGGCCGCCCTGTCTGAGAAGTGAGGAGCCCCTCCGCCCGGCAGCTGCCCCGTCTGAGAAGTGAGGAGCCCCTCCGCCCAGCAGCCGCCCCGTCTGAGAAGTGAGGAGCCCCTCCGCCCGGCAGCTGCCCCGTCTGGGAAGTGAGGAGCCCCTCCGCCCAGCAGCCGCCCCATCCGGGAGGTGGGGGGCAGCCCCCGCCCGGCCAGCCGCCCCGTCCAGGAGGGAGGTGGGGGGCAGCCCCCGCCCGGCCAGCTGCCCCGTCCGGGTGGGAGGTGGGGGGCAGCCTCCGCCCAGCCGCCGCCCCATCCGGGAGGTGGGGGTGCCTCTGCCCGGCCGCCCCTTCTGGGAAGTGAGGAGCCCCTCTGCCCAGCCGCCACCCCGTCTGGGAGGTGTACCCAACAGCTCATTGAGAACGGGCCATGATGATGATTGCGGTTTTGTCAAATAGAAAAGGGGGAAATGTGGGGAAAAGATACAGAAATCAGATTGTTGCTGTGTCTGTGTAGAAAGAAGTAGACATAGGAGACTCCATTTTGTTCTGTACTAAGAAAAATTCTTCTGCCTTGGGATGCTGTTGATCTATGACCTTACCCCCAACCCGGTGCTCTCTGAAACATGTGCTGTGTCCACTCAGGGTTAAATGGATTAAGGGCGGTGCAAGATGTGCTTTGTTAAACAGATGCTTGAAGGCAGCATGCTGGTTAAGAGTCATCACCACTCCCTAATCTCAAGTACCCAGGGACACAAACACTGCGGAAGGCCGCAGGGTCCTCTGCCTAGGAAAACCAGAGACCTGTGTTCACTTGTTTATCTGCTGACCTTCCCTCCACTATTGTCCTATGACCCTACAAAATCCCCCTCTGCGAGAAACACCCAAGAATGATCAATTAAAAAAAAAAAAAAACCGTTAAACTGAATTAAATATGCATGTTTAGAAGTTGGAAAGCTGCACAGTTAAGGCATTTATAACACTGTAAAAGTAAATATAGAAAAAAAACACTACCTCTCAATTGCTTGGAACGTATTGACCTACTATGGGAGAATTATTGAATCACTGAAAATTACCACCTTGGATTAACATTTCATTATCAAGCCAATCTGTACCTTGAAATTTCCTCACCTTGTTTACCTTGTTTCAATATTCCTGGAGAATACAAACAAAAATCTAAACAAACCATAAGTAGTCAAATTAACGTGCTATGTTAAAATCCTACCACATACTGGATTACAGTCAGACATCAGCATAAACTTAATATGTATACAAATAGACATAGGAACAATTATAGATATGTTTATATTTATGACTTAGTATAACATACATATATTATCCAGAGGGCCTAGAAGCAGTGACACCCAGCAATAAGCAGACCCAGCTTATCTGGTTTCTAAATACATTCTCCAAAAGGAACCAGGGCTCCTTGGAGAAATAGCTGATTCTAGGGATGGGGCAGGGGAAATACAAGATGATCCTGAGGCATCTGGAAAGAAGTCTTCAAAAAACAAAAGGATGGGGACATGTCAAAGAGACACGGGAGCCAACCTGAAAGAGCTCCCAATGGCCAAAGTTGGAACAATTTGTGAAATAAAATAATGTAGCACTGGCTTATAACCCAAAGTATATGATAAATATACATGAGATGACAGTAATAAATAAACGATTGAATAAATAAATAAATGGAAGAAGACACAAGTCTTTCTTATGGAAGAATTCTAAAAACTGTATATAGGTAACCCCTGCTCCAAGAGATGAAGCTTAATTCCACCCCCTTCTCACTCTTGCAGGTGCGCTAGATTTAGTCATTTGTGACCAAAGAATAGTTAACTTTCTAGTGGAGAATCCTGGCAAACACTACTTTAACCAAGGTTAACATTTCCAGAGGTATCATGTGGATATCATGTACCCCTGATACAATGTGATGATGTGATGTCAGAACAATGCCTGTGCTCTTCTTTCCAGAAACCCTTAATCCCAGTCTAATCATCAGAAAACATCAGTCAAATCCAGACTGGAGGAGGAGGCATTCTACAGGATACCTGGCCAGTGCCCATCTAGACTTTCACAAGAAAAACAACAGAAGACTGGTAAACTGTCCCAGACCCGAGGAGACTGGGAGACATGACAACTAAATGCAATGTGGTACATCTTGTATGGGGCCCATGAACAGAAGGAGAACATTAGTAGAAAACTGGAGAAATCCAAAGAGTCTCAAATTTAGTTCATAGTAATGTTCTAATGTCAGCCTCTGAGTTGTGACAAACATACCATGGTAATATAAGATGTTAACAATAGGGAAAACTGGATGAAGGGTGTACAGAAACTCTCTGTATTGTTTGCAACTTTTCTTCGTGAGACAGAGTCTCACTCTGTCACCTAGGCTGGAGTGCAGTGGTGTGATCTCGGCTCACTGCAACCTCCGCCTCCTGGGTTCACGCCATTCTCCTGCCTCAGCCTCCTGAGTAGCTGGGACCACAGGGGCGTGCCACCACACCCAGTTAATTTTTTGTATTTTTAGTAGAGACGGGGTTTCACTGTGTTAGACAGGATGGTCTCGATCTCCTGACCTCGTGATCCGCCCACCTTGGCCTCCCAAAAGTGCTGGGATTACAGGCGTGAGCAACTGCACCCAGCCTGCAACTTTTTTATAATCAAAATTACCCCAAAATAGAAAGTTTATTTTTAAAAAGAGAAAGAAAGAAAATGTGGTAGTTACCCACTATGTTGATTTTACAACCTACTAAAACAGTGCAAACTGAAGTTTGAAGAACACTGCTTCATGAAATTTATGACTCCTGGCAAAAATGATCAGAAATGTTCGGTAGCCCGTACGTGATTTTGTTGAAAAAAAGTATTTCAGAAAGCTACGTTATTAATGGAAAATATAAAAAACAGTTCTAAAATGCAACTACTGTCTGTAATTATTCCAACCCGGAAATTTCCATTCCTACATGAATCCCCTTGAGAACTAAATTTCTACAGCTGATTTTGTAAAAGACAAAGAAAAGGAAAGTAAGGAGATTTTAAGTAAGATGAATTAGTCCTGTTCCCAAACTACAAAATTACTGGATAGGTGAAGTAAGATAAAAGAACTCAAGCGAACACAAAAACTGCAATTCTAAACTTGCCTGATAGGAATTTCATCATCACTGTCCATGTGTAGCAATCGCTCTTGTAGACGCCTCTCTTCACTACGAAGCTGTTTTCTCATTTCTGATAATTCCATAATTACATTTTTTTTCTCCTCTGCAAATTCCCATTGATAAGTAAAACACAAGACAGGAATAAGAACAAAAGACTAAACATTAAAACACAACCTGACTAATAATAAAGTGAAACTGCTCAGAGAGACAATTTTATGAAAGATATTTTAACATTTTATATATACACACATACATGGATCATAATTGTGAACGTCATTAGGACCCACAAGTACATTTTTTATAATATAGGAATTTCAGAAGCGATATTCTTGGGGGAGTGCAACTATAAAGGAGAGGCCCAAGGAAGTTCCTTTACGGTGATGGAACAGTTCTGTATCTTGATTGCAGTGGTAGTCGCACAAACTGTGCATGATAAAAATGCACAGAAATACACATACATAAATGCATGTAAAAACTGGTAAAATCTGATGGTCTGTGGACCACATCAATGTCCACTTCCTGGCTATGAGACTATACTATCTAAGATGTTACCCCAGGGGAAAGTTGGAGAATGGGTACACAGCACCTAACCGCTCTATACTGTTTCTGCAATTTTCTATGAGTTTATAATTATTTCAAAATGAAAAGTTAAAAAGAGAAATACTCTAGGTAACAGGTTTAGTAGTTAACTCTACCTTCTGCACGGAGCTGATTTTTCCTGGCAGGTACCGGGGGTGACTGTGCCCTGGACATGGAACTTTCCTGTTCAACAATAATGACAAAGACATGTTCAGTATGTCTTCCCTACACAGAAGCTTGAAGGGAGTAATTTTTTGAAGTATTTATATGTAAAGGAAACCAAACTCCACACTATCCTACCTCCAAAACTTACCCAGCTATACTCTACCCAAGGTAGAGTATATCCACCTTTTATATCTATTCTAGAGTGTATCTACCATGTAAATCTATTCTTCCTTCTCATCACGATGGAAGTGTCCTTGCCTCTACCCAAACAGAATCCCTTCACCTGTACTCTGTATCTGATAATTGACTCCCATTCTCCTCCGATTATTCTTTTTTCCAACTTCCTCTCTCCAAGCACCTTCCTCTCAGCCTATGTGTAAAAACCTCTCCCTTTCTTAAAAAAAAATTTTACCTCATCCTTCATTGCTCACTGTCTCCTGTCCATTCTGTCCTTCCCTTCACAGCTGAGCTTCCTTAAAGAACAGTAAATGCAGTACTTTTGGGTCTACTGCCTACTCTCATTCACTTCTCAACACACAGCTATGGCCTTTGCTTTCACACCCATCACTCCAACAATACTGCCTTCACCAAAGTCATCAAGTGACCCCCAAGTGACACATTCAGTGGGCATTTTACTTGGCCAGTCGCAACTGCCGTCACTGCCATCCTCTCTCACCCTCTGTCCATTCCTTTCACTGCTTCTCAAATGTTGGTAATTTCCCAGTATTCTATTCTCAGCCTCCTTTACTTCTCTTGTAGACACTCATCGTAGACAATGGCACTAATTTAACAAGCACCAATATGTTGATGGCGTCCAGAACTACAAATCGAGTCCAGAACTCATTCTGCTGCCACAATTCATATTTTCAACTGCCTACTCTATGTAACCCTCACCAAAAACTTGAAAGTTATCATAGACTCCTACCCACCACACACTCAACAAATAGTACTACTATGTCTCTTAAATGTATCATAAAGCTGTCACACCTTCACAGTTCTTGGTGTCACTGCCTTTGTTTGGGTCCTCAGTCTCACATCTGGACTTGTGCAAAAGCATCTTATCTCCATGTTTAGTCTTGCCCCACCTCCAAAACTTATCTCCACACCATTGCCTAAAAAAACATTATACAAAAGTGGCCATGTCATTCCCCTACTTAAATATTACAATGAATTCCTATGCATTATCTACCACAGACCTACTAAATCAGAATCTCAAAGGGTGGAATTCAGAAACATGTTCTTCTGACACATTTCTTTACCTTCTGCTAATTAGCCTGTCTGGAATCTACCAGCCTATGGAACAAAATCAAAGCTCTTAGCACTCCGTACAGCATGCCACACATGTTCTGACCTCCACCTCCTCTGCTGCCTTAATGCACAAGCATCATCAGGCCAGACCACACCATGGAAGATTCTCCACATGTGCCATGAGCTTACATTGCTCTCCACGACTTTCCACAAGCTGATAATCCCTCACCCTCCTCTTCAAGGCAAATTCCTGCATATTCTTCAAGCATCACCTTGAGGATCAATCTTAGAACATTTTCCATGTTCTCTTTTCCTTGTAGTTCAATCTAAAGTATAACAGACTCAATGAGCATATCTACAGCTACCTAGCTTGAGGGGCTAAATTATGGTTTGTCAAAAGAAACTTTAGGGCACCAAGCACTATCAGTTACAATCGAAGCAGCAGGCAAATTACTGTAGATATCACCTATATTTCAGATCTGAAAAAATTTAACCTATCCAAATATAATGAAAAAGAAAATTTCATTCGATCCCCCAATCCAAAATAACTGAGCTAGGATGAACAAATAAAAACAAAAGTACATACATGAATAAAGGAACGTATGATGCTGTCAACTGAAGGAGGTCTTTGGAGTTTGCTTGCAATTTTGTTCTGAAGAGCAGGAACTATAGGAGAAGGCTGTCTCATGTGCTGAAAAATTTAAAAAATTTAAGAGCATATTTGCTTCATCACACTCACACACATATATACACACACACACACCCCTTATAGTTAAGAAAGTCATCTAAGAAGTTTAGATTGTTATTGCTTTTATTTAATAAAATGCTTTCTACAAAAGTCAGAAATTCAATTACATAAGATCAAACATGTTGGTTATGATAAACATAAATGGATTTAGACATCTTTATTAAAACAGTATGACTGTCAGATTAGGATTTAAAAAATCAACAAACACAAGTAAAGCAACAAAAAAGAAAAAATATAACAAAACTAAAGAATCATCTTTAATAATAAAAAGGTACCATGACAATACAAAAAAATTAAATAACAAAATCCTTCTGGAAAGCAATACAAATCAACCTCGAAAATCTAGATCTAATCACTAACAGCATCATGGATGAGGGACTTTTCAAGATCACGATGGGGTTCTATATTTCAGTTTATAGTGTATTAAACCTTATAGTCCAAAAACTTCATTGTAAATACAACATAGACATTCTAAATCCCTGTAGAGGATGGAGCAAACAAGCCATAGTACACATAACAAAAGACCAAAAAGCTATCAAGGAAGAAAAACACAAAAAAGTCAGAAATGCAATTAATGCAAAGACATTAGTTTTGATAAACATAAATGGATTTAGATATCCCTATTTTAAAAGATTAGGCCAGGTGCAGTGGCTCATGTCTATAATCCCAGCACTTTGGGAGGCCAAGCAGGCAGGTCACCTGAGGACAGGAGTTCAAGACCAGCCTGGCCAACATGGTGAAACCCCGTCTCTAATAAAAATTAGCCAGGTGTGGTAGTTTGCACCTGTAATTCCAGCTACTGGGGAGGCTAGGGCAGGAGAATCACTTGAACCTGGGAGGCGGAAGTTGCAGTGAGCCGAGATTGCACCACTGCACTCCAGCCTGGGCAACAAAGCGAGTCTCTATTTCTAAATAAATAAATAAATAAATAAAAATAAAAAGATTATAACTCAGATTAGGATTTTAAAAATTCAACAAACTAAAGATAGAAGCTAACTAAATAAAAAATATGGTGACACAAAGGTAAAACTGAAGGAATAGACAAAAATATATATATATATCAGACATACATAAATGAAAGAAAATGATAGCAATGTTAATTTCAGAAAGGCAAATGCATTAAATGGGATAAAGCTGATTTAAAACTTTATGGTACTTTACAATTAAATTATAATATCATAAAAGTATATATTCCTTAAAAAATAGCATTTTTAAAAAACATAAGAAATTACAAGAAATATAATTATGGGAAACTAACAATTCTGTTTAATTCTTTTTTTTTTTTTTTTGAGATGGAGTCTCGCTCTGTCACCCAGGCTGGAGTGCCACAGTGCAGTCACGGCTCACTGCAACCTCCGCCTCCCAAGTTCAGGCGATTCTCTTGCCTCAGCCTCCTGAGTAGCTGGGACTACAGGTGCCTGCCACCACGCCCAGCTAATTTTTGTATTTGTTATAGAGACGGGGTTTCACCATGTTGCCCAGGCTGGTCTCGATCTCCTGGCCTCAAGTGATCCGCCTGCCTCGACCTTAAATTCTTAAATGATGAATTTTACAATAAAAAATTATCTGTGAGGCAGGGTGTGGTGGCTCACACCTGCAATCCCACCACTTTGGGAGGCTGAGGCAGGAGGATAACTTGAGCCCAAAAATTTGAGATCAGCCTGGGCAACATAGCAAGACCTGGTCTCTTAAAACAAAAAGAAAGAAAAAGAAAAAGAAAAAGAAAAGAAAAGAAAAGAAAAGAAAAGAAAAGAAAAGAAAAGAAAAGAAAAGAAAAGAAAAGAAAAGAAAAGAAAGAAGGAAGGAAGGAAGGAAGGAAGGAAGGAAAGGAAAGAAAGAAAGAAAGAAAGAAAGAAAGAAAGAAAGAAAGAAAGAAAGAAAGAAAGAAAGAAAGAAAGAAAAAGAAAGAAAGAAAGAAAGAAAGAGAGAGAAGGCCGGGCGTGGTGGCTCACTCCTGTAATCTCAGCACTCTGGGAGGCAGAGGTGGGTGGATCATCTGAGGTCAGGAGTTTGAGACCAGTCTGGCCAACATGGTGAAACCCCGTCTCTGCTAAAAATACAAAAATTAGCTGGGCATGATGGCGTGTGCCTGTAGTCCCAGCTACTTGAGAGGCTGAGGCAGGAGAACTGCTTGAACCCAGGAAGTGGAGGTGCAGTGAGCCAAAATTGTGCCACTGCACTCCAGAGCCTGGGCAACAGAGCGAGATTATGTCTCAAAAAAAAAAAAAAAAAAAAAAAAAAAAAGAATACATATATATATATATATAAACCACTCTCACTTTCTGTATTAGTCTTGTCATGAACCATAACAAACAGTTCATGTTGTACTGTCTGCAGACCATATTCTTGGGTGGCACCGCATACACCATGGGAATGAGACTAAGAATGGCTCAAGTAAGTAAATCCATTACCTTCAATGGACAGAAAATACCAACAAAGCACAGTGACAGTACCTCCTACAGAAAGTTCAGTACATTGTGCCCAGACTAAACAGTAAGACAGAACAGGAACAAAAGCACCTCCTCCTCTTTCTCCCCTTTTCTAACAACTGTACAACTCTCACAGTGAAAGTGAGTTAAACTATGGGTTTGATTGACATTTTTGTCTGAAACTTACCTTTGTTTCTTCCCCAATCAAATTGTCTCTTTCACAGTAGTGCTGAAGTTGCAGGTTATATTTTTCTTCTTCTTCTTTCTTCTTTCTTTCTGCTTCTTTTTGTCTTTCTTCAGCTAACCGAATATGCTCTTCATTTTTTAGCCTTTGCTTTAAAATAAAAAGAGAAATATGCATTCCATATATTCCTTCTATAGTACATTCAAAAATGTGCTGCCTTATTTATCTGATAAAATGAGATAAAGATATAGATGACATGATATGGTGTTCTTTAACATAAGTTGTCTGCTTAAAAATAAAATATTAGGCATCTTTTATAAAGTCTTCAGTCAGCCTACATCTATATTTTTAAAGTCATCACTTATCTCCTTTCTTAAATTACCCTTTCACCTTAATAAAATAATATCCAAAGAATGTATATTGATCTGATATTTTCTAAATGTACTCCAACACTGTTCTCCTTTATAAGTAAGAAATACCTTTTCAAGTCAAAGATTTCACCTTCAGACTAAGTAGTAAAATACAATAGGGAAAAAAGATGTACCTCCTCCTCTTTCTCTCTTTTCTTTTCCTGTTCCTCTTCATACTCCTGCTGAATTCGTGCCCTCTGTTCTGCAAGCCGTCTTTCTTCTTTTTCTTCTGCAATTCTCAGTCTCTCTCGCTCTGCTTCCTCTCTTTGTTTCTTTTCCTCAATCTAAAGAATTAAACTTAGTTATTTATCTTGTAAAACTATTGAAAAGTTAGAATATCACTTATTTTTTTCCTGATAGTATATAAACTCAACACTTGTACCCTCTTTTTGCATGTTCCTAAATTTTTCAGTCTCCTGTATTTTCAGGGAGGCTACATGATTTACTGTACTGTTAAAAGCTTTGAGTTAAATTCCAGTTCCACCAAACAGACCGTGTGACCTTAAGAAACTTGCTTGTCCTCAGTTTTCTCTTTTTTCTGGTAAACACAGTTATTAACGCCTACATCTCAAAGGAGTGCTTAAAGAATTAAAGTGAAACAATGTAAGGAACATAAAAGTCCTCCTATATAGAAGGTTCTAAGCAACTAATTCATGATTATATTATTCTATAGTGATTGCTGCTATTATGTGTCAAAATTCTTGGAATTGATTATTCTAAAATAACAGTGAAATTAGTATTTTAGTATTCAATCATTTTTTAATGCAAGAGCCATTTCTCCCAAATGCCCTTTGTTATTTCCTAACTATAGAGGTTAATGGAGAAAGAACTAAAACTATTAGGTGGAGGAGGATTTAGGTCACAAGGACTCACAATTAAGTTTCATCTTGAATGCTACCTGGAGTCTGCAGCGTTGAGTACTCTAGAGCCTAAGATTTGAAGGAAAGAAGGCCCTAAGAGATAGATAGTCCACACGCCCGATGAATGAGGCAGGGAAGAACAGCAGCATGGGAACCAGGTATTCATGTCTCTGGTTTAAAGTTATCAACAGATTTTAGTTATCCTTAGGTATGGATCATACTACTCAGCATATTTTTGTTTTTCTTGTCTGTACTTCCTCTAGCTTCAAGGTTGCTCTATCTAGTGCTATTAATTTTTGAGCTACAAGAACTTTAATCTGGCCAGGCGCGGTGGCTCACCTGAGGTCAGGAGTTCGAAACCAGCCTGGCCAACATGGTGTAACCCCGTCTCTACTAAAAATACAAAAATTAGCCAGGCGTGGTGGTGTGTGCCTGTAATCCCAGCTACTCAGGAGGCTGAGACAGGAGAATCACTTGAACCCAGGAGGCAGAGGTTGCAGTGAGCCGAGATTGCACCACTGCACTCCAGCCTGGGCGACAGAATGAGACTCTGTCTTTAAAAAAAAAAAAGAACTTTAATCTTCTAACACATCCTATGATTTTATATACTAGGGCTTTTTCCAACACTTCTTTCTCACAACATTATTAAATATGCATAAGCCTAATATTTAGTACTTTTAGTTAGCAATTTGCATGCAATCACTTCTTCAAGTCCAATATGCCTAAAGAAAACATCATTTATAATTCATCAAAATTTCATATTCAATACTCAATTCCCCCTTCTTCCTACTCCATGGAAAAAAAAATCACATTCACAGGGGTCACTTTTCCATCAAAATCAAAGAATACCAATTTTTAAGCTATTAATGGATCATACACCTAATGGATCCAAAGCTCAGTGCCAACAGGAATGCTAGACAGTTGTTCAACAGGTTTCTGGTCTGGAAAGCAGGGAAAGCTATCTTCCTGTCATGGTTTTCCAATTACATAACACAAAAATGCTTCAGAGTTCTTAAAAATATTTTATTTGTTAACTATTTTTAAAGCTGTGGTTAAAAATGTCAAACATTCACAAGTGTTATTAATATTCACCAAATTTTAACAGCATGAAGACTTCTGATGCATTAACTTGAGCTAACTGTGGAACTTACTTGTACAGACCTCAGGCTAATTTCTTACCATCTTTGTGCACAGATTTGAACATTTCATAATATTTTTTTTAACAAAAGTTTTGGATACTTTTTATCTGACATTATATTGTTGACAGTAATAATAAATACCATTGATCTATTTTACATTTTCTTAGAATTACATATTAGGTTTTGTTTGAGGTGGGAGAAGAGATTTTGAAGAGGCTGCTGAAAGAAAAATTAAAAAATCATCATCTGAAAGCAATCCATTCACAGATAAATTGAGGGTTGACAGGGTGGAAGAACTGAAGGTTGAAACTAAAATAGTTAAAGCTTCCCCCATTACCATACTTTTTCTAGAGGTAAAGACTTCCTAGTGAATCCTATAAATAGAAGTCTGATATCCATAGATATTACACTTGAAGTCTGGAGACTTGGGTTCAAGCAATGGCCTCACAATTTGCTAGCTGTGACACCCTGGGCAAGCCTGTTAGTCTGTGTATTAGTTGTATGTTATTAAACAGAGATAATAAAACCTCTCTCAGAGAAATCTGAGGTTTGATGAGACACTATATGTAAAAGTATCTCAAAAACAATAAAAGTCTATACAATTGTAAGATTGTTTTTTGGCTGAATTCTACCTTAGACCATGATAAGAACTGCTAAGCATTAGAGGAGGTACTTAAATTATGACCTGCTGTCATGGTCAATATACCACACGGTCCTTTACGTTCAACAGGGACTCTGAACCCTCAACTTGCTGCTACCTGACTTGAGTGCACAATATTGGGACCTCTGATACCAGTTTCTCACATTTAATATCTATATTGTTTCTGCTGAACCTTAAAAAGCACTTTCCACCCATTTCCACTGTCACCCACACTAGTAAAATATCCCTGCTTCCACTCTTTTTAATCCTCTATTATTGTATCTTAAACAGTGATGTCACATCAATCATCCTTTTTTCACTCTGTCACCCAGGCAAGAATAAAGTGGCATATCTTGGCTCACTGCAACCTTTGCCTCCTGGGCTCAAGCAATCCTCCCACCTCAGCCTCCCGAGTAGCTGGGGTGACAGGCACACACTACAATGCCTGGCTAATTTTTTGTAGAAATGGGGTTTCATCATGTTGCCCAGGCTAGTCTCAAACTCCTGTGCTCAAGAGATCTGCCCACCTTGGCCTCCCAAAGTGCTGGCATTAGAGGTGTGAGCCACCACACCCAGCCTAATATCAATCATCCTTAAAGGCTATATCCATTACGTCACTGCCTTATTTAAGAGTCAAGAATAATTAGGATTAAAAAGAAGATATGTTTGAGGGCATCTATTTAAGAGTTTGGAATTAGATTATAAAACCTTAAATGTTAGGTTCAAGAGTTGAGATAATTTCTGTAGGCAAAGAAAAGCTACCACCAGATTTTGAGTAAAGAAGAATAGCAGGTGAAAAGTCATATCAAAGGAGGATTAACCAGGCCATAAGATTAATCTGACACTGGTATCTAAGTGTGAGTGTGAAGGGGAGGGAGGTAGGGAAAGAAGAAACTGTGAGTCCCTCATGAGCAAGTATCTCACATTCATCTCAGGCTCCATCCCTAGGACTCAGCCCAGGGTACCCCCAGTATGGGAGTAAGTCTGTTTGCTTCATAAACACTGGATGTTCAAGTGTCTTCCTTTGCGAATAGTCTGGGCAGTTCTACTATGTTAAATGCCATTTACTTATGTACATAAATGGGGCAAATAATTGTAAACTGTGATTATCTTAAATCTAATTTTTATTTATTTACAATCTGTAATAATATCAAATCATTTGGAAAAAATCTATTGATTTTCTAATAACTTACAAATATCTAGAAAGATGCATTCTCTGCCTAATAGATGAATATATTAGTAAATCAGTTTTTAAAATCTCAGCATTCTTTGATTTAAAATTAATGACTTAGGCTGGGCGTGGTGGCTTACACCTGTAATCCCAGCACTTCGGGGGACCAAAGCAGGCAGATCACTTGAGGTCAGTAGTTCGAGACCAGCCTGGCCAAGATGGTGACATCCCGTCTCTATTAAAAATACAAAAATTGGTCAGGTGTGGCGGCTCACGCCTGTAATCCCAGCACTTTGAGAGGCCAAGGTAGGCAGATCACGAGGTCAGGAGATCAAGACCATCCTGGCTAATACGGTGAAACCCTGTCTCCACTAAAAATACAAAAAATTAGCCGGGCGTGGTGGCAGGCACCTGTAGTCCCAGCTACTCAGGAGGCTGAGGCAGGAGAATCACTTAAAGCCAGGAGGCGGAGGTTGCAGTGAGCGAAGATCTCACCACTACACCCTAGCCTGGGTAGACAGAGCAAGACTCCGTCTCAAAAAAATAAAAAAAATTAATTATTTAATAAAATAAAAGATTAAGTCAACTACTATACTTAATACATCTGTTTATTTCCTTGAAATGAAATAACTTTTGTACTACTGATATCTGATCTGATATAAATTAGATATTTTAGATAACAGTATGGCATTTTAGAATTTAGTATTTATCCTGGAGAAAATCTTTGCAAGTTTTGTTTATTAAAATCTCATGAAACTTTGAAACTGATCAAATAGCATTTCACCTGGAAACGAAGAAAATTCTTGTATAATTCTTGCTGTTTAATCTGAAGTTCAGTTGGAGGCTCACCAAATACATTTCCCCGAGCAAAAGGAGAGCTCTGTGTTTGCATATGACCTTGAAAGAAATATTTTGCAAAAACATACTATTAGCCAATGCTTAGAAAATTTAACAGTTAAAGAATGAACAGTTTGCTAATAAATTCATTTTTAAAAAAAAAAAAAGTCCAAAGATTAAAATCAGAAGGGGAAGGTTGAGATTAGAATCTGAAGATCAGATGAACAGTAGTAAGAGAAAGAAAAATGGTAATACTAAAATAAAATTAACAGTTAAAAAAATCAAATAATATCTGAAAGATACAAAGGAAACATAAAAGCTAACAGCTTAAACAACCCTCATTGCAACAAAGGCTTTAAAATAGAATTTATAAAGAAAAAAAGGACATATTTACATTCTTCAGTATGTGAATATCCTTTACTTAAGAATATTGCTTAATAACATATTAAAATGTATTATGTAACATATATTTAAAATTTTCTAAAACCGTTTTTAAAAATCAGTAATTTCAAAATGCTTCCCAATAGTTTAAATGACAGAATAGAAAGTCAGCTTTGAAAAACATATTTAACAAATTAGAATGCATCTTAATTATTGTAATCGTTTTTATTTTTAAAACTCTCAACTTAATGAGATATAAACATGAACAAAAATTTTTTAGTATATATTACCTATAAATAGTATCATATATTCTTGGAATGGAAAAAATTATTTCATAAAAGCAATTCGAAAAACAATTATACCCTTAGAGTCTCTTTGAATGCAGATGGGAAAAAATGACATTTAAATTTAAGCCTCACATAACTTTTTATATTATTTTTGAGTTTCTGACTCATTCTTTATACCATTAAACTAAAGCATGTATTTCTTTTTTTGTTTTTTGAGACAGAGTCTTGCTCTGTCACCCAGGCTGGAGTGCAGTGGCATGATCTCGGCTCACTGCAACCTCTGCCTCCCAGGTTCAAGCTATTCTCCTGCTTCAGCCTCCCAAGTAGCTGGGACTACAGGCGTGTGCCACCATGCCTGGCTAATTTTTTTTTGTATTTTTAGTTGAGACGGGATTTCGTCACATTGGCCAGGCTGGTCTCTAACTCCTGACCTCAGATGATCCGCCCGCCTCGGCCTCCAAAAGTGCTGGGATTACAGGCGTGAGCCAGCGTGCCCAGCCTAAAGCATGTATTTCTCGCATGTAGTTTTGTATAGGCAAATTGCTTTGCAGTTCAGCTACCACTCAGGTCTATTTTGCTTTTGTATTTAAATTTATTAATGCTTATTTGAACAGACTGGCAGAAAGCCAAATCAATACTTAAACATTATGAATACTTTTTCCCTCTAGAAAATTTTCCCACTGAAAACAAACTAAATATACACCTTGAAGGCTCTTTTAAATTTTATGCTGTGGTGGAAAAGCTGATTAGCAAAACAAACTTGAGTAGCATGTTTCACCGTGATGCTCACTCCTATTCTAAACCTTTGGGGCAATTAGAGAAGAAATATTATTAGAGACAGACAAGAGAAGTCCTTTTAGAAATGAATAAACTATAAAAGGAAAATCATAGGGAAACACTTGCTATATACAAAGAAAGCAGAAATGTATCTTGGCATGATAATAAGCCAAAAAAATAAATTTAAGCCAAATTCGTATTAGACTTCATAAGCCATAGCTCATCTAAAAACCATAAAATAAAAGAAAAAATAATGAACATTATAAAGGGCATCAGAAACAAACCTAATGAAGATAAAATATTAGAGGATAAGGAAACTTAAACACATGTTGTAACATTCAATTTTCAGCTATATTCAAGTTCCTTCAGGCTTTTAAAATATCAAATGCTACATATATGCAAAGATATGTGTGTCTGTGTGTACATACATACACATACATGCACTCATACACATATATATGGCATAGCACAAAATTAGGTGGCTTTGAATCATTTCTTGTATTGAGAAAGTTTATTTTAGATTAATTAATTCTTTTTTTTTTTTTTTTTTTTGAGATGGAGTCTCACTCTGTCACCAGGCTGGAGTGCAGTGGCGTGATCTCAGCTCACTGCAACCTCCTATTCCCGGGTTCAAGCAATTCTCCTGCCTCAGCCTCCCAAGTAGCTGGGACTACAGGCACATGCCACCACGCCCAGCTAATTTTTGTATTTTTAGTAGAGACGGGGTTTCACCATGTAGGCCAGGATGGTCTCGATCTCCTGGCCTCATGATCCGCCTGCCTCAGCCTCCCAAAGTGCTGGGATTACAGGCGTGAGCCACTGCACCCAGCCAATTAATTCATTCTTAGGGAAGAAAAGTCTAATTTGGGAATTTCAATTCACAAAAAAAAGGAAGTTTTAAACATTTTATGGTTTTTTTTTTACTCAATTCTTAAAACAGAACATCTTGGCAACAATATCAGCATAAAAACCTGGCAGTGGTACAGAAAGGCTATAGGCAACAAATTTTGCTGTGCATGTTTAATCATCAGGCTTATGCTTTTGGGAAGGGATCATGGGAACTGTTGATTTTCTGGTGTTTTTGCTTGGTGTGCAAAGCTAGATGGCTAAAAAGTGTTATTACTAAGATAGCGAAAGTTCTAGGCTGAGCCAGAACTACAAACAATACCAGGTATGGAAGAAAAGGGTAGAGAAAGACTCTGTATGGCAATGAGATCTCAATACAGACTACTAGAAGCAGCAGCAAATGAGAAAAATATCAGAAATAAGTCAAAATTCTCTTAGCAGCAATAATATGAAAAGGTGTTGTGATGTTCTTACCACACACTATTACAAATTAAAAGAGCCAAATCAATAATATTGTCAAAATCAAAGGTTCCAATTTTAGTGCTCTAAAAATCAAAACTGGATCCGATAAAATATATTGTAGAACAAAGAAAGCATTTTCTCATAATTAGAAAACACTGGTACAAGCTGCCCATGAAAACGGTAAATAATCCATCTCTTAAACTGTTCAAAAAGGCTACAGATAAGTGTGCTACCATCAAAGCCTTGAAAGATGCAGGGCTATGACTCTAATCACAGCTCCCCACTTCACTTATCTGTTTAGCCAAAAATAAGGGTTAAAAACAAAAAAGACTACATGATCAGTCACAAATATTTTAGAACTTCCTAATGAAAAGTTCTTTTCTAATCTAAAATCAAAACTTCTGTGAAAGCACAAAGTAGAATTTTGTAATGAATAAATGGCCAGTTTTATAGGCATCAAAATATAGTGTGAGGTGCTGTATTAAATTTTATTTTTAAATATATAACACAATTTAACATACCTGACAACTTTTCCTGGTATGTCAAAAAAAGATAATTGAATAATTTTCAT
This sequence comes from Homo sapiens, assembly GCF_000001405.40. NCBI lineage: Eukaryota > Metazoa > Chordata > Mammalia > Primates > Hominidae > Homo > Homo sapiens. Next base: position 67,150,759 of record NC_000008.11, on the reverse strand, counting down.
CTTTCAGAATTGATTAAAGGATATTAATAGTAAATCAAAGATAAGTAGTTAAGAGGCATGTAACCAGGCGATGGCTCACGCCTGTAATCCCGGCACTTTGGGAGGTGGAGGCGGATGGATCACAAGGTCAGAAGTTCGAGACCAGCCTGGCTAAATGGTGAAACCCCATACCTACTAAAAATACAAAAATTAGCCAGGTGTGGTGGTGGGTACCTGTGATTCCAGCTACTTGGGAGGCTGAGGTAGAGAACTGCTTGAACCCAGGAGGTGGAGGTTGCAGTGAGCTGAGATTATGCCACTGCACTCCAGCCTGGGATAACAAAGTGAGACTCCATCTCACAAAAAAAAAAACAACATTGCTTCATTTCTTTGTACACTGTTGTTTTACAAGGGAGGGTAAATGATTACTAAAACAAGTAAAAAATGAATTTCCCTGTACAATTTATCATATCACAATGATACTGTTTCACTAATTCAAACAGCTATGGATATAAGATGCAAATTGTGTATGTGTGTAAAAAGAGTGTTTGATATTAAGAAATGTCCCCCACTAGCAAAATAAAAATGTTAGCAGCAGCTAAAGGATACACAGCAAGTTACAAAGCTGAGAAGAAACACAGTAGGAAGAAGTAACCTTTCCCTATTCACCTTTTTTCAAAGTAACTATGAAGAAAAGGCACTTTATGAATAGTGTGTTATGTTTCCTGTATCAGGATAGCCAAATTCTCAAGATCCCAATAAGAACTTAGTCACAGAACAGAAATGTTACTGAACAATTTCAGAAATGTAAAAAAAAAAAAAAAAAAAAAAAAGTGATTAAAAACCTGAGCTTTTATTTGCAGCATCTTCTAGGTTCTCAGCATTTGAAGTGGCTAAATTTGGGTCTAGAGATACAACAGCCCTTTTATCTTCATATGTTCTTGCATCTGGGTTATGGTAGGCATCTATATTTTGTCTGTGCATCCTATTCAAATCAGCTGAGAGGAAAAAATAAGCCATTTATTTCAATAAACACATTTCTGTAATTGGCATGCAAAATATATTTTCTTAAAATAGGAAGTCAGAAAGAAAAACAATAGGACAAAGTTGGGAATAATTCAATGATATGTTGGTGCCCTGAAAAGAGAAACAAAATTATCAAAACTTTTAAGATTTTCAAAAAATAATCCTTAAAAATAATCTCAATTAGTAGATAAATTAAGGACACATAAATCTTTAACAAAACATAAAAACCATATTAACAGTATCTATGTTACTTCAGAACTTAGAATTTCTTTAATATAGAAAAAATATAGCAACAATTTAAAACAACTCATAGTGTAATTTACCTGTCATCGGTCTCCTAATAACACATAATTATGTGGAGTGGAGTTTTAAAATATATTCACAAATTACTTGGCAATCCTCCCTCAAAGGGTAAAGCTAAATTCCATTCCCCTTCAGTGGTGTCCAGAGTTAATAACTCACTTCTTATGACTAGCATATTGCAGAAATAATGGTATATGACTTCTGAGGCTACCTCATAAAAGAAATTATTTCCACCTTGCTTATCTATGGATCATTCACTCTGAAGAAAGCCAACTGCCATACCATAAGGACACTAAGGGAGCCCTATGGAGAGGCCCATATGACAAGGAACTAAGGCCTCCTGAGCCATGTGAGGGAGCCATATTGAAAATGAATCTTACAGTCCCCATCAAGCCTCAGATGACTACTGCCATGGTCAACATCTTGGACTCCAACATTATGAGGGAGCCTGAGACAGAACCACCCAACTAAACCACTCACAAATTTCTAACCCTCAGAACCGCAAGATAATAACTGTTTATCATGCTAAAACACCAAGTTTTGGGTTAATTCATTACATAGAATAGATATCTAATACACACAGCAAAAATCTGAGCACCTAGAATTGGGTCAAACAACCAATCTCAAAAACAGAACTGAATGATTACAGAACTTAAAGCTTTAATAAAATAAAAAGTACCTGTTTTCCATAAAACAAACAAACCAAAAAACTGCAACAGTATGGCAGCACTGAAAGTGAACTTAAACCTGGATATAAGAAGTATTTATCAGGAAGCCTGTTATGTTCAAGAATGTATTTTGAACATGAATCACAATTAGAATTCCAGATAGAACATGGCAAGTAATACATAAATGCTACAAAAGAGAATGGGAGTTCAGAATCAGGAAGGTTCACATTCTGTTACAATATTTAGGGCAGCTTGGACTTGGAAAATGTATAGGAGCTTCACAGATGAAGATAAGTAGGAAAGCATAATAGAGAAATAGAACAATGTGAGAAAGCACTCCAAGTGGGTAAAGCATGATGAGTGTTCTGGCAACATTAAAGTAGTCCAGCTAGACTAGAGCATAAAGCACATGTAATAGAGCAATGGCAAATAAGACTGGAAACCATAGAATGGATACCTATTCTTCAATATCCTAAAACACATGTCAATGGCTCTCAATTTTGTTCTGTAGAAGGTAATGGAGGCAGTTGTGGTTGTTACAGAAGTGGGATTAATATATTAGTCTGGCCGGGCGTGGTGGCTCACACCTATAATCCCAGCACTTTGGGAGGCCAAAGAGGGTGGATTACTTGAGCTCAGGAGTTTAAGACCATCCTGGGCAACATGGTGAAATCCCATTTCTACTGAAAATACAAAAATTAGCTGGGCATGATGGCATGTACCTGTAGTCCCAGCTACTTGGGGGGCTGAGGTGGGAGGATCACTTAAGCCGGGGGGGTGCAGGTTGCAGTGAGTCAAAATTACACCACTGCACTTCAGGCTGGGTGACAGAGTGAGACTGTCTCAAAAAAAATAAAAATAAAAATGGTTGAGGGCAAAGAAAAAGATTTAAAGATCAATCTGTAGGGAAGACCTAAAGAGTAACACAGGAGTAAAAGAGATGACATGGAAGAGAATGGATGAAGGGATGAGAAACACACAAGGTCAGATGACAGTCCTTAGAAGAAAGATCATGCTCACAAACCTAGCAGAGTCTAACTCTAGTTCATAATGCACATCCAAAAAATATTAGCTGAAGTCTGGACAGCATCTCGGAGGATACAAAGGACTTAGAGAAAAAAAGGAACTGTCAAGCCAGTTCAAAGAAGATAAAAGATGAGTAAAAATCATTAAATTGAAATTAGGTCATCAGGCTTTTTGTTGACAATGTGGCATGGGGTGGTGGGGCGCGGGGGTACAAGCTAGATGTTATACTATGGAAAAATAGCCAATAAGAGGGTGGTAAGAAGTGACAGCAACAAGCATGGACTACTTTTTGAATGTGTTTTATATGGTAAAGGAAGCATTTGTCTGTGTTTTAATACAAGTGACCTAAGCATGTTCAGAGGTAGAAAGAAGAAATAAATAGAAAAAATGCAAAGAGAAGGGACTGGGTGAAACCACAGAAAAAGGTGACTGCAAGAAAATTCCCAAGTGCCAAGGACTGGCAAGGCAGATAGATATTCTTGAAATAATCTACAGCTGTGTTGCCAAACTAGTGAGTGCTTAGGGAATGCAATCTTAGTTTGATAGTCACCTGCACAAACCATACATTAGGAGATACCCTATATGTAAGCAAACTTCGATAACACATTATAATTTATTGTTGATTATATATGGACTTCTCAACTGGAATAATATTCAACATATTTATATTAAGAGAAAATTAATTTCATCAGAGTACATAATTATTAAGATTTAAGACTATCAGATTTAGCAAGCAAACCAAATCCATATTGCTTTTTATTGGGAAAAATGATTTGGCAACTGGCCACTCCTTTTCTGTCTTTCTGTGAGATGGTAAAATAAATGATTTGAAATCAGCTAAAAAACGAAAATTAAAAAAGGCACTTTGGTCAAGAGTGTAATTTGTCAACTGCAAAGATAGGACTTTATTTTAAATGTAAATCATCATAACATTCAATATAAAATTAGGAGCACTTACGTGCTCCTCACTGAGTGAATTAGCTCATTATAAAAAAATTAATTTTAATTAACTTCACAAGTTAGCTGCTACTCTTTATACTTTGGTGGAAAATACATATCAAAATATATTTTGTGAAGGGCTGAGATATGTTAAATGTTACTATAAACCCAGGATTATTCAGCAATTCATGGCTGACACAGAAACTCTTTTATAATGACCTAATTCAGAGAGCTAAGCAAAATTCCCAACCCTAGCACTACTAACAATACATATATCAAAATTAACCTAATTTAAAATATATACACTTACTTATAGAGTAAAATTCTAACTGATGGCTCATAAAACAAATCTCACAAACTTAAAAACACTGAAGTCATTAAAAGTATATTCTCTCCAGCTGGGCGCAGTGGCTCATGCCTGTAATCTCAACACTTCGGGAGGCTGAGGTGGGAGGATCATTTGAGGCCAGGAGTTTGAGACCAGCTGGGCAAAAAAGTGAGACCCTGTCTCTAAAAAAAATTTTGTAATTAGCTGGGCATGGTAGCATGTGTCTGTAGTCCTTGCTACTTGGGGGAGCTGAGGCGGGAAGATCACTTTAGCCAGGGAGGTTGAGACTGCAGTGAGGCATGACCGTGCCATTGCATTACAGCCTGGGTGACAGAGTGAGACCTTGTCTCAAAAAAAAAAAAAAAAAAGAAAAGTATATTCTCTTACAAAACAGAATACAAACTAGAATTGAATAAAAGAAAGCTCTCAGGAAAATCCCCTGATACTTGGAAAATTTTTAAGTCCACTTCCAAATAACTAATGGGGGTCAAAGAAAAGTCACAATGAAAATCAGAAAACTGAATGAAAATTAAAACAACACATAAAAATTTGTGATGTACAGCTAAAACAGTACTCAGAGGGAAATGTGTAGCACACTTAAATGCACAGAAAATAAGTAAGGTCTCAAATCATAGTCTAAGCATCGACATTAAAAAATTAGAAAAGGGGGCTGGGCACGGTGGCTCATGCCTGTAATCCCAGCACTTTCGGAGGCTGAGGTGGGCAGATCACCTCAGGAGTTCGAGACCAGCCTGGCCAGTATGGTGAAACCCCGTCTCTACTAAAAATACAAAAATTAGCCAGGTGTGGTGGTGTGTGCCTGTAGTCAGTCCCAGATACTTGGAAGGCTGAGGCAGGAGAATCACTTGAACCCGGGAGGCGGAGGTTGCAGTGAGCCGAGATTGTGCCACTGCACTCCAACCTGGGCGACACAGAGAGACTCTGTCTCAAAACAAAAACAAAAAAAAAAGAAAGAAATTAGAAAAGGGAGAAAAGTAAGCACAAAGCAAACTAAAGGAAGCAAATAGTAAAGATAAGAGCAAAATCACTGAAACAAGAAGAAAAGCAGAGAAAAAAAATCAATGAAAACTAAAGCTGATTCTATGAAAAGATCCATAAAGTTGATAAACATCCAGCCAGACAGATTAAGAAAATATACAAATTACAAATATCAGGAATGAATGAGAAGCCATCACCACAGATCCTACAAACATTAGAATAAAAAAGAAATATTATGAACAACATTATGCCAATAAATAAATAAATAAAATGAATAATTTCCTTGAATGATTCAAATAACCAAAGCTCACATAAGAAATAAACTGAATGTCTCTTTATCTATTAAATAAAGTGAAGTCATAGTTTAAAACTTTCCCAAAAAGAAGATTCCCCACCCAGATGGCTTCACTGGTGAATGCTTTTTTTTTTTTTTTTTGAGATGGAGTCCCGCTCTGGCAGTGACGCAATCTTGGCTCACTGCAACCTCCACCTCCTGGGTTCAAATGATTCTCCTGTCTCAGCTTCCTGAGTAGCTGGGACCACAGGAGCACACCACCACACACAGCTAATTTTTTTTTTTTTTTTTTAGTAGAGATAGGGTTTCACCATGTTGGCTAAAATGGTCTCGATCTCTTGACCTTGTGATCCACCTGCCTCAGCCTCCCAATGTGCTGGGATTACAGGCGTGAGCCGCCACACCCAGCCTTCACTGGTGAATTCTAAACACAGAAAAAACATTTCCCAGCTAGGCGATGTGGCTCACACCTATGTATTCCCAGCACTTTGGGAGGCCAAGGTGGGAGGATCACTTGAGCTCAGGAGTTCGAGACCAGCCTAGGCAACATAAACATAGTGAGACCCTGTTTCTACAAAAAATAAAAAAAATTAGCCAGGTATGGTGGTACATGACTGTAGTCCCAGCTACTCAGAAAGTTGAGGTGGCAGAATTGCTTCGGCCTAGGAGGTCGAGGCTACAGTGAGCCGTGATTATGTCACTGTACTCCAGCTTCTGCGACAGAGCAAGACTCTGTCTCAAAAAACAAAAGAAAAAACATTTCCCAATTCATGTTATCAGGCCAGAATTACCCTGACACCAAAACCAGACAACATTATAAAGAAATAAAAAACCAGAATATCTTATGAGCCTAGATGCAAAAATCTCTAACAAAATACTAGCAAATCAAATTCTACAACACGTATAAAAGACAATAATACAGCTTGGTTTTTCCCAGGAATGCAAGATTGGCTGAATATTCAAAAATCAATCAATGTAATTTACCATAGGTCAGAAGGGTAAAGAAACCACATTATCATCTCAATAGATGCAGAAAAGCACCTGACAAAATTCAACATACACTCACAATGAAACCTCTAAGCAAACAAGGAATAGAACATCCTCAATGGGATAAAAGAAAAATCAACTAAAAGCCTACAGCTAACTTAATGGTGAAAGATTGCTTTCCATCTGAAATCAGAGACAAGACAAGGATGTCTGCGCTCATGAATTCTTAACACTGTACTGGAGTTCTTAAACAGTGTAAAAGGCAATTAAAATAAATAGAAGGCATCAGATTGGAAAGAAATAAGTAAAACTAACTCTACTGACAGATGCTATGATTGCCTACATTAAAAATCAAAGAATCTACAAAAAAACTACTAAAACTAACAAGTGAGTTTAGCAACCACACAGACTACAGACAGTAGCAAGCACACAGACTACAGACAATATAAAAAATTTACCTGTATTTCTATAGACCATCAATGAACAAATGAATTAAAAATTTTTTAATGTAACATTTTAAAATAGCTTCAAACCACATGAAATATTTAGGGAAACAATTAACAAAATATACACAAGATCTGCCACCAAAAACTACAAAATATTGCTGAGAGAAATTAACTAGAAGCAATAAATGGATATACACTGCCCACTCATGGATCAAGAGGCTCAATATTATTAAGATGCTGGCTGTTTCAATATTATCTATAAAGTTAATGGAATCCCAATGAAAATGCCACCATGCTTGACATGACAAAGTAATAGTAATAGTAATAATTACTTACTATAACATTATTTACTTACTATAACTTATTACTAAATAATAATATTACTACATTACTATAGTGATAGTAAAATATGCGAAGAAGTTGAGTTGTCAAAAGATCTTGAAAAAAAAGAACAAAGCTGGAGGACTCAAACTTTTCAATTTCAAAACTTACTACAAAGCTATAGTAATCAAGAGACTCTGATACGGGCAAAAGGATAGAAATATAGAGCAATGGAACAGAGAGAGACAGAAAGACTGAGAAAGAGGAATTTCACAGATTGGAGGAGACTAAAGAGACATGAACTAAATGCATTATAGGATCCTGGACCAGAGCCTAAAATACAATAAGGACATTAGGAAAAGAAAAAAAAAACTGGTAAAATTCGAACAAGGTATGTAACTTAATTATCGGCACTGTATCTAGGTTAATTTCTAATTTTGATCATTGTGCCATGATTATCTAAGACGTTAACGTCAGGGGAAACAAGGTGAAGGATACTCTCTACACCATCTTTGCAACTCTTTTAGGTCTTAATTTCACAATAGAAAAAGCTTTTTTTAAATGAGGTATCACTGCACTTTCAATAAAATAACTAAAAGTTTAAAGATGCATAATTTCAAGTGCTGATGAAAATTCAGAGCAACTAGAAACCTCATACTTTTCTGATAGGAATGCAAAATGACAAAACAAAATTGGAGAATGTTCTGGCAGTTTCTTACAAAGTTAAACACTTACTATTCAACCCAGCAATTCTATTCCTAGGCACTTACCCAAAAGAAATAAAAATTTATGTTCACACAAAGATCTGTAAGTGAATGTTTCTAACAGCTTTATTTATAATAGCCTTGAACTGTAAACAGCCCAAATATCTATCAACTGGTAAATGGATAAACAACTGTGATACCTTCAGAAAATGTAATACTATTCAGTAATAAAAAAAATAAGCTACTGACATATGTAACAACATGGATGAATCTCAGAAACACTATGCTAAAACACAAATGTCAGAAAAAAGGCAATATTTTCATGCCAGAAACGAGATCACAGATTGGCATGGGTGGACGAGTAAGTAAGAGAACTGACTAACTAATCATCCTGTTAATCAATTGGAACTATGAGATACCATTTTTCAAAGTGGTTTTTAATTTTATCTTTTAATTTATTTTTATTGACATTTTTCTTTTGGTGTATACGTTTTAACATTTGACATGGACAGTTTCATGTAAAGTTTCAAATAAAAACCTGAATAAAGAACTTTAATAAATAAAGAACTGAGAAAGACAACAGAATAAAATACTGTACAAATAATTAAAATGAGAAATATTTACTTTAAAAGGGGTGATACTTTAAAGTTGCATGAATAACACATTTTTATATTTCATTAGTAACTACTATGCCTTATAATGAGATCTTCTTAGGTAAGATAAGGGTGCAGTGTTAAGATTCAATTTTATTAATTTCTTTGGAATAAAAGATCAAAAAAAGAACAGGAGTAATTAGAAAAGTCAGCAGCAGAATTAAAGTTAGCCAAGATAATGAACAGACGTTATGTGGTCTTAGTCATCACACTGCTCTATACTACATATTTCAAATGTAATGTTCCCGCCTTCTCTAAAATGTAGTAGCTACACTGGGTGCAGTCGCTCATGTCTGTAATCCTAGCACTTTGGGAGGCCGAGGTGGATGGATCACCTCAGGTCAGGAGTTCAAGACCACCAACATGGTGAAACCCCATCTTTACTAAATACACAAAATTAGGGGGGCGTGGTGGCACATGCCTGTAATCCCAGCTACTCAGAAGGCTGAGGCAGGAGAACTGCTTGAACCCGGGAGGCAGAGGTTGCAGTGAACTGAGATTGCATCATTGCACTCCGGCCTGGGCAAAAGAGCGAAACTCCATCTCAAAAAATAAAAATAAAGATAAAATGTAGCATCCACATACAAAATAAACTGATACTCTTTAAGTCATGAGTTTACTTGCTTGAAAATATCATTAAAAGAGTTATACTGTATTTGATAAAATAGTATGCCTTTTCTATTTCATGGCATGAAGACGGCATTAAATAAGCCAACTAAACATTACTATTAAAAATTGAAATCTAAGAAGCATTTTCTCCATGCTCATTAGGTCACGCAATTCTAAAATAATGTGGAAACATTTTCTCCATGCTCATTAGGTCAAGCAATTCTAAAATAATGTTTTATAACTCAATAACCCAAATTTATCCTACTCACTTCCACCAATTAAAGGCATACAGAACACAATAATTGTATTGTTTGAACTAGAAATAATCTTAGAGGTAAGATTTTAGAAAACTGCTCTATCCCAATGTTTTCCAATGTTTCACTCAGTTAAGCACATTTTTCATGGTAACTAGTTAACTTCTATCAATTTATAATTTAAATTTACTGTAGCAAAGATTGCCCATATGGCTATTAATCCCATGTCCTTCTTCTGAGCATAAAGAAAGTTAAACTTCCCAGCCTCCCAAGCAGTTAGGTTAGAACCTATAACTAGGTCTGAACAATGGAATGAAGGCAAAAATGATCTTCCTCCACATCCAGGCCAGGCCCCAACAAAATCCTCAATTTGTCCCTGGACAAGAAGAAAAGGACTCTAAAATGAAGGAATGAAACAATGGATCCCTGAGTCACTTCTTGGAGGAGAACCACCCAAACAGCAGCATCAGAGTGGGACAAAAGTGGATGCCTAACAAGAGAGGCCTTAAGCTTCTAAGAATTTGGGTTTGTTTATTATTACAGCACTTTCCATTAAATGCCTGGACTAATGCCTTCACTTTAATACCTGTAGTTTAAAAGAAAATATTATAGCACTATTCATAAATGGAAAACTAGTGTTTTTCTAATATATTTTCAAGTAAACACTTACCTATTAAAATAAGAAATGTTAGCTAGGCATCATCTAAAATCATTTCATTGATAAAGAAAGTAATAAGAGTTTCACTCTTTCAAAACTGTGAGAAAATTATTCATGAGGTGAAGATAGGAAAGGAACAAATCTTTTGGGAAGAAAAAAAGAGCTATTAAAATTAAAGTAGGCTGGGCACAGTGGCTCACACCTGTAATCCCAGCACTTTGGGAGGCTGAGGTGGGTGGGACACCTGAGGTCAGGAGTTTGAGACCAGCCTGACCAACATGGTGAAACCCCGTCTCTAATAAAAATACAAAAATTAGCCGGGTGTGGTGGTGCATGCCTATAAATCCCAGTTACTTGGGAGGCTGAGGCAGGAGAATTGCTTGAACCTGGAGGCAGAGGTTGCAGTGAGCCAAGATGGTGCCATTGCACTCCAGCCTGGGTGACAGAGTGAAACTCTGTCTCGAAAAAATTAATTAATTAAATTAAAATAAATTAAAGTGGGCCTCAAATATATCTTCAAAAAAACCAATATTTAACAAGCAAAGGCATAATACATAAGAATTCTTTTATTACTATACTTTAAATTTTAGGGTACGTGTGCACAACGTGCAGGTTTGTTGCATATGTATACATGTGCCATGTTGGTGTGCTGCACCCATTAACTCATCATTTAACATTAGGTATTTCTCCTAGTGCTATCCCTCCCCGCTCCCCTCACCCCACAACAGGCCCCGGTGTGTGATGTTCCCCTTCCTGTGTCCATGTGTTCTCATTGTTCAATTCCCACCTATGAGTGAGAACATGCGGTGTTTGGTTTTTTGTCCTTGCAATAGTTTGCTGAGAATGATGGTTTCCAGCTTCATCCATGTCCCTGCAAAGGACATGAACTCAGCCTTTTTTATGGCTGCATAGTATTCCATGGTGTATATGTGCCACATTTTCTTAATCCAGTCTATCATTGTTGGACATTTGGCTTGGTTCCAAGTCTTTGCTATTGTGAACAGTGCTGCAATAAACATACATGTGCATGTGTCTTTATAGCAGCATGTTTTATAATCCTTTGGGTATATACCCAGTAATGGGATGGCTGGGTCAAATGGTATTTCTAGTTCTAGATCCCTGAGGAATCGCCACACTGACTTCCACAATGGTTGAACTAGTTTACAGTCCCACCAACAGTGTAAAAGTGTTCCTATTTCTCCACATCCTCTCCAGCACCTGTTGTTTCCTGACTTTTTAATGATCGCCATTCTAACTGGTGTGAGATGGTATCTCATTGTGGTTTTGATTTGCATTTCTCTGATGGCCAGTGATGATGAGCATTTTTTCATGTGTCTGTTGGTTGCATAAATGTCTTCGTTTGAGAAGTGTCTGTTCATATCCTTTGCCTACTTTTTGATGGGGTTGTTTTTTTCTTCTAAATTTGTTTGAGTTCATTGTAGATTCTGGTAATGCCGCACATCTACAACTATCTGATCTTTGACAAACCTGACAAAAATAAGAAATGGGGAAAGGATTCCCTATTTAATAAATGGTGCTGGGAAAACTGGCTAGCCATATGCAGAAAGCTGAAACTGGATACCTTCCTTACACCTTAAACAAAAATTAATTCAAGATGGATTAAAGACTTAAATGTTAGATCTAAAACCATAAAAACCCTAGAAGAAAACCTAGGCAATACCATTCAGGACATAGGCATGGGCAAGGACTTCATGTCTAAAACACCAAAAGCAATGGCAACAAAAGCCAAAATTGACAAATGGGATCTAATTAAACTAAAGAGCTTCTGCATGGCAAAAGAAACTACCATCAGAGTGAACAGGCAACCTACAGAATGGGAGAAAATTTTTGCAACACACGAGAATTCTAACTCAACATCCAATCTTCCGATTCTATCACTCATCTATTCCTACAATACATAACACCTAAAGAACATGAAGTGTGTATCTTTGATCTACTTTTATTCTGCTTAACTAAACGCTAAACAAAGACCATCCTAATATATACAACAGCCCTTTGTAACTGCGGGTTCCACATCTGTGGATTCAATCAACCACAATTCAAAAACATTAAAAAACAAAAAAAAATGGATGCTTGCATCTGCACTGAACATGTGAAAAGTCTTTTTTTCTTGTCATTGTTCCCTAATTAATACAAGATTACAACTATTTACATAGCATTTTCACTGTATTAGGTATTACAAGTAATCTAGAGATGACTTAAAGTATACAGGAAGATGTGTGTAGGTTATATGCGAACACTTTACCAATTTTATATCAGGAACTTGAGCATCCATGGATTTGGGTATTCACAGGAGATCATGGAACCAATGTCCCATGGTTACCAACAGACAACTGTATATAACAAGTTGTATAAAGCCACTCTTTCGAAGTATTTGTTGTGTGATTACTAGATCAAACATTTTTGAGAGTACATAATTGAAAGATAAATCAACAAATTATGAAACTTGCTAGAAAGTTTCTATGATCATGTCTTCTTTTTCCCAAAGGAATTCTTGCAATTAGCAGGTATATTGCATAGATAAATTAAACACAAAATCCCCTCCCAAAACTGTTTTACATCCTTTATTTCTAAGACATCTTACTAGTTTATTTTTTTTAAATTGTAATATGGGTTTTATCATTTTTATGAGGGAACAAAATATTCTAAGTACCAGTTTCAGTAAAAACTTATCAACTAACATGAGCTTTTCTCTGCAACTGGGTTATCAACATCGGAGGATGAAATATTTATAATAAAAACAAATGGATAGTATTCTGAAGAAGAAATGCTTTCTAGCCTCTGTTATTATATTTACTCTTAAAATACCTCATATGCATTAAGTTACATACATGCGTTGCTATAGAGGCTATGATTCCTACTTTTTTCTACTCCCCAATCTTTTAAAAAGTTAAAAATAATTTAGCTTATTTTAAAAACAAGTCAGTAGAAATAACGTACTTATCAGATTTCCTTTTGCATCCCTGAGAGGAGCACCACCTCCACCTTTTCCCCAGGGATTATATGTTCTCATTTCAGCTTCTAATTTAGCTTCATATTCTTCTTTTTCTTCACGTTCTTTCTTCCTTCTTTCTTCTCTTTCCCGAATCTTGACAACATAAGATATATTTAAAATAAACGCTGACAAGTATTCTGATACAAGAAGTTAGTAATACCAGATGTTATTTTTTGTATTAGAAAACAAGCAAAAAAATTTGCTTTTTTTTTTTTCCCCAGTGTACCCCCCTACAAAGGTTAAAATCACAAATATATGTAATACTCAATGTAAAAATACTTTAGGTCAGGTGTCGTGGCTCATGCCTATGGAGGCCAAGGTGGGCAGATCACTTAAGGTCAAGAGTTCAAGACCAGCCTGGCCAACATGCAAAACCCCATCTCTACTAAAAATACAAAAATTAGCTGGGTGTGGTTGCGCACATGTGTAATCCCAGCTACTTGGGTGTCTGAGGCACAAGAATCACTTGAACCCAGGAGGTGGAGTTTGTAGTCAGCCAAGATCATGCCACTGTACTTCAGCTTGGGCAACATTATGCAAGACACTGTCTTTAAATAATAACATTAAAAATAAAAATAATTCAATGGCTAGAATACATAGCCCCTGTTCCTCTATATACACCAAATGACTTTCTAGCCACTAAGGTACTTCAGACTCAACCAACTCCTCCTTCCCTCCCCTAGTGTCTACCTGAGCCATTCCCTCTCTAACCCTGCCAGTTCCATGGGACCATCAGATCTCCCTACGTTCCTTTTTCATCTATCCTTTCAAGGGGAATGCCCAGCCACAAAGTCTACCCTCAACCTTACCAGACCTACTTTCCCTAGGCAAACTCTATTCCCAGAATTCAGAGGTCGGAGGATCAACTCTCTCTGGGGAATGCTTGGCAACTTTAAATACAGGCATACCTCATTTTATTGTGCTGAATTTTATTGTGCTTTGCGGACATTGCATTTTTTTTTTTTTTTTTTTTTTTTTTTGAGACGGAGTCTCGCTCTGTCACCCAAGCTGGAGTGCAGTGGCGTGATCTCAGCTCACTGCAAGCTCCGCCTCCCGGGTTCACGCCATTCTCCTGCCCCAGCCTCCAGAGTAGCTGGGACTACAGGAGCCTGCCACCACGCCCAGTTATTTTTTGTATTTTTAGTAGAGACGGGGTTTCACCGCATTAGCCAGGATGGTCTCAATCTCCTGACCTCTGATCCACCCACCTTGGCCTCCCAAAGTGCTGGGATTACAGGCGTGAGCCACCACGCCTGGCCACAGATATTGCATTTTTTACAAATCGAAGGTTTGTGGCAACTCTGCATTGAGGAAGTCTATCAGTACCATTTTTCCAATGGCATGGGCTAATTTCATGTCTCTGTGTCACATTTTGGTAATTCTCACAATATTTCAAACTTTTTAAATTATTATTATATCTGTTATGGTGATCTGTGATTGCTGATCTTTAGTGTTACTATTATAATTGTTTTGGGGCGCCATGAATCACACACACATAAGATGGCAAATTTAATGGATAAATGTCATATGTATTCTGACTATTCTACCAATCAGCCGTTCCCCTGTCTCTTTCCCTCTCTTTGGGTCTCTCTTTTCCCTGATAGAATACTGAAATTAGGCCAAATAATAACCCTACAATGGCATGTAAGTGTTTGAGTGAATGAAAGAGTCACATCTCTCACTTTAAATCAAAAGCTAGAAATGACTATGCTTAGTGGGAAAGGCTTGTCAAATGCATAGACAGGCTGAAAGCTAGGCCTCTTATGTTAAATAAACACTTTGCCCAGTTGTAAATGCACAGGAAAAATTCTTGAAGAAAATTAAAAGTGCCACTCCAGTAAACATATGAATGATAAGAAAGTGAAACAGCCTTATTGCTGTTATAGAGAAAGTTTTAGTGGTCTAAATAGAAGATCAAACCAGCCCAGCATTCCCTTAAGCCAAAGCCTAAACCAGAGCAAGGCCCTAACTTTCTTCAATTCTATGAAGGCTGAGAGAAGTGAGGAAGCTGCAGAAGAAAACTTGCAAGTTAGCAGAGGTTGGTTCATGAAGTTGAGGGAAAGCTGCCATCTCTATAACATAAAAGTACAACATGGGCTGGGCTCACACCTGTAATCCCAAAACTTTGGGAGGCCAAGGTGGGCGGATCACTTGAGATCAGGAGTTCAAGACCACCCTGACCAACATGGTGAAACCCCACCTCTACTAAAAATACAAAAAAAAATAAAAAATAAAAATTAGCTGGGCGTGGTAGTGGGCACCTGTAGTCTCAGCTACTCGGGAGGCTGAGGTGGAGGTTGCAGTGAGCCGAGATCGTGCCACTGTACTCCAGCCTAGGCTGGGCAACAGAGTGCGACTTTGTCTCAAAATAAAAATAAAAATAAAAAAGTACAACATGAGGCAGCAAATGCTGATGAAGAAGCTGCAACAAGTCACCCAGAAAGTCTAGATCAGATAACTGATGAAGGTGGTTCCACTAAACAACAGATATTCAATGGAGACAAAACAGCCTTGTATTAAAAGAAGACTTTCATAGCTAGTAAAGAGAAGTCAATGTCTGGTTTCAAGCTTCAAAGGACAGGCTGACTCTCTCATTAGAAGCTAATGCAGCTGGTGACTTTAAGTTGAAGCCAATGCTAATATACCATTCTGAAAACCTTAGGGCCCTTAAGAATGATGCTAAATCAGCCGGGCACGGTGGCTCACAACTGTAATCCCAGCACTCTGGGAGGCCGAGGCAGGTGGATCACGAGGTCAGGAGATCGAGACCATCCTGGCTAACATGGTGAAACCCCGTCTCTACTGAAAATACAAAATAAAAATTAGCCGGGCATGGTGGCAGGCGCCTATAGTCCCAGCTATTCGGGAAGCTGAGGCAGGAGAATGGCATGAACCCAGGAGGCGGAGCTTGCAGTGAGCTAAGATCGCACCACTGCACTCCAGCATGGGTGACAGTGTGAGACTCCGTCTTTAAAAAAAAAAAAAAAAAAAAAAAAAGATGATGCTAAATCTACTCTACCTGTGCTCTAGAAAGGAAACAACAAAGCCTGTATTGCTGCACAACTGTTTCAAGAATGGTTTACTGAGTATTTTAAGTCCACTGTTGAGACCTACTACTAAAAAAAAGAGATTCCTTTCAAAATATTACTGCTCATTGACAACGCACCTGGTCAACCAAGAGCTAGATATACAAGAAGGTTAATGTTGTTGTCATGCTTGCTAATACAATATCCATTCTTTAGCCCATTAACTCATGGAGTAATTTTGACACTGAATTCTTACTGTTCAGGAAATACGTTTCATAAAGCTATAGTTGCCACAGAGAGTAATTCCTCTGATGGATCTGGGAAATCTAAACTGAAAGCCCTCTGGAGAGAGTTTACCATTCCAGATGCCATCAAGAACATTTGTGAGTCATGGAAGGAAGTCAAAATATCAACAGTATCAGAAGTTTGAAAGAAGTTGACCCTAATGGATGATTCATGGATGACTTCGAGGGATTCAAGACTTCAGTGGTAGAAGAAACTGCAGATGTGGAAGAAATAGCAAGAGAACTGGAATTAGAAGTGAGGCATGGAAGACTTGAGAGAACTGCTGCAATCTCATGATAAAATTTTAATGGATGAGGAGTTGCTTCTTATGAATGAGCAAAGAAAGTGGTCTCTTGAGATGGAGTCTACTCTTGGTAAAGATGTTGTGAACACTGTTGAGATGACAACAAAGATTTAGAACATTATATAAACTAAGTTGATAAAGCATCAGCAGGGTTTTGAGAGGACTCCAAACTTTGAAAGAAGGTCTACTGTGGATAAAATGGTATCAAACAGCATCGTATCCTACAGAGAAATCTCTCATGAATGGAGGAGTCAATTGATGCAGCAAATTTCACTGTTGTCTCATTTTAAGAAATTGCCACAGCCACCCAATCTTCAGCAACTGCCACCCTGATCAGTCAGCAGCCATCAACATTGAGGCAAGACTTTCCACCAGCAAAAGGATTATGATTTGCTAAATTTTTTTAGCAATACAGTATTTTTAAATTAAGTTTACGTAGCTTGTTTAAGACATGTTGCACCTTAATAGACCACAGTATAGTGTAAAGATAACTCTGCATGCACTGGGAAACCAAAAAATTCATGTGAATCATTTCATTGTGATATTTGCTTTATTGCTGTGGTCTGGAACTAAACCTGCAATACTTCTGTAAAGCTGTATTAAGCACAAAAAACAAATGCATTCTTATCATCACTAAGTATAAGCGCAGGGTTGTTCTGTAGAGACATACAGATAGGCAATAAACAAGTGTCTACATTTTGGAAAGTCACTTTTAAACTCATAACCATATGCACAGTAAATTTAAGCAACCTTTTGCTCCAGCATAGCCAAAGAAGTCATCACACACATCAAATAGACCTCTAGAGTTGAAAAATCTAGTTTTGTCAGTGGTGTTTTTAATATGCTCATGCAAAAACAGATTCTGAATTTAAAATTCAGTCTTTTATTTGTAGAATCCTAACATACAAAAAAGGTTGGTAATTCTGTAATTTTAAAAATCTATCTTTCAAGAAAGTTGCCCATGTAAAAGTTGAACAAAAGTACTTTTAAAAGAAATCCAAGTGTAATTCTATAGAAAAGTAAGTAAGTTAGAGTCCCAGGGTCCTCTCAGATGGTAAGGGAATTCCCACAAAGAACCCCATACATTTGATAGTTACTCTTAAATTCTCTGCAAATATTACAAACTACGAAAGAACCCATTATCCTCCTCTGTAAACATGAACTACTACCTGTATTCCCCATTTTGGTTTATAGCCTCATTATTCTCCTAGGAATCATCTTCAAACCCTCTGTTCTCATTCCCTATATCTGAGTCCTGTCAATGAAACCTGAGAATTGTCTCTTAGATGTCTTCCCCAACGTCCCCATCTGGTTCAGGGCCTCATCACCTCCTTACTGGACTATCTACTAAATAATTTCTCTGCCAATCTCTTCCCAATTGTCCAAATCACAACCAATTATCTTCATAAAATATAAATCTGCTTAAAGCAAACAATCCTTTCATACTTTTCTTGGCCTAAAATTTCCTTCCTTCAGCTGCCCATAACCAGATGAAACTGAAAACCCCTTATTAGCTAGTCCTTCACAATCTGCTAGAACAACCTAACTAACTCTCCAGCCCCTTCTTCCACCCCAATTCCATTCTCTGTATACACCAGCAACTTGTAACGTAGTCATTGCACAACATGCAGCTTAAATATCAACTACTGTGTGAAGCTCTCCCAACTGCCCCAGGCAATTATTTTCCCTATCTTATGCTTCCAACAGCGTTTTACTGTATCCACTTCAAAACTCAGCATTTTGAATTATAATTAACTGTTTTTTTTCCCCTCCCCGGCCACACTCTGAGCTCTAAGGGACCACCATGCTTACACTTAAGAGGTTCAACAGTAAATGAGTAAATGAATCAATACCTGCTGCTGCAAAGCCTCTTGGTAAGACTGAAGTGACTGTTTGGAAGGTTTCGGTTTATCTTCAAAAATCAATCCTGAATTTATCACTTGATCACTTGTAATCTTCAGTTCATTCTGTCCAACCGTATTCCTACATCAAATACACAATAAATAATTTAAATCCATTGACGACAAAGCAAGAAGAAAATACAACAGTTTTTTGAAATAGCATGGCATATAAATACATTTAAAAATACAGAAGGATATTTCTCTATAGGCCAAAGAGGAATCCTTAAGTGACCCCTTCCTTAGCTCCTTCCTGCCTTTGCTTTGACAATCCTTGCAACTTTCAAATTCACTGTATCTATTTCTTAAGCTAGGTGATAGTTACACAGGAGTGAAAAAAGTTTGTGGTAATTCATTGAACAGTACACATATGACTTAGGCGGCTTCCTGAACAAACAGAAATAATAACACAGCCAAAGTCCCTCAAGTAACACAATAACTAATGATTTATTTTTAAATGATTTACTAATAAAATTACTTCTTAGCTATTTCAAGAATAAAACAATGTAATTACAGGAAAAAGTCTGACTGTCTCAAATAAAATTAATATTTTTGAAAAATTCACAAGGAAACATAAAAGAAAAAATGTTAAACATATTGTTGTTACATAAATCACAAGCAATAAAGTGCTGTTTTTTTGGTTTTTTTTGGGACAGGGTCCTACTTCGTCACCCAGGCTGGAGTGCAGTGGCGCCATCATAGCTGACTGCAGCCTTGATCTCCTGGAATCAAGCGATCCTTCCACCTCAGCCTTTCAAATAGCTGGGGGTATAGGTGCACATCACCATGCATGGCTCACTTTTTTTAGAGACGAAGTCTTTCTACGTTGCCCAGGCTGGTCTTGAACTTCTAAGCTCAAGTGATCTTCCTGCCTTAGCCTCCCAAAGTGCTGGGATTACAGGCGTGAGTCACTGCACCCAGCCAACATAACACATGTTTAAGTACAGGAATATACTGACTTTGAAGACAGTAAAACATTTTAGAAATCTAAATTATAAAAGATAAATTCAAATACTGATTTTATAATTTTTTGTTTTCTTTTGTTTTGAGACGGAGTTTCACTCTTGTCGCCCAGGCTGAAGTGCGATGGTGCCATCTCCGCTCACTGCAACATCCGCCTCCCGGGTTTAAGCGATTCTCCTGCCTCAGCCTCCCGAGTAACTGGTACTACAAGCACCCGCCACCACGCCCGGCTAATTTTCGTATTTTTAGTAGAGACAGGGTTTCACCATGTTGGCCAGGCTGGTCTCTAACTCCTGGCCTCAAGTGATCCACCCACCTCGGCCTCCCAAAGTGCTGGGATTATAAGCATGAGCCACTGCGCCCAGCCTGATTTTATAATTTTAAAAAAGCTTTCTCTTCTCCAAAAATATCACTGCTTTAAAAAATGAGTTCCATTGTGTATTTACCTTTTCTAACTTATTTACAATCTTTTATTAGGATAAACAAGTATGTTTGTGTATACTGTCACATTGGATTATGAGTGGCTAAAAGGGAAGATGAGGTAAACTAGATCAAATAGTTCCTAACTGACTGTATTTTTTCAGAGCAAGGGGGCTCTTTGTGTAAATGAATAAAGAAGGTTGAGAGGGTCTATGTGAATAAACTCATTCTCTCAAAATACACTGTTTATAAATCATATGGTGGACAGGTTCTCTCAATATCTATTTCACTCATGATCCCTCCCGTCTATATTGCCCACATACTCACAGACCCAAATTCTTAACCTTTACCTATCAACTCCTCCCTGACTCCCCCAAAAAGGGGGTTTAAGGATTTATGTAGTCAGATCAGGATGAAAGGGAGGAAATAATTGGGGTATTAAGTATAGTCATCCCGTGGTATATCTGAGGGATTGTTTCCAGGACTCTCTGCCTATACCAAAATCAGAGTATACTCAAGTCCCAAAGTGAGCCCCATGGAACTCCCACATAAGAAAAGTAGGCCCTCCACATACATGGGTTTCACATCCCACAAATATTGTACTTTCTATTGAAGTTGGCTGAAAAAAATCCACATGTAGGTGGACTCATACAGTTTAAACCTGTGTTATCGAGTGTCAACTGTATACAATTAAATGATCTTTAGTAAATTTATAGAGTTGTGCGATCATCACCATAACCAGTTTTAGAACATTTTTATAACCCAAAAATATCCTTCATAGCCATATGCAATCAATCCCTACTCAACCCTCAGCCCCAGGTAATTATTAAGTAAGTAGCCTGCTGTCTCTATAGATTTGTACTTCCTGGACATTTTATATAAATGGGACCAATATAGTATGTATAGATTCATTTAGCATAACATTTATAAGGTTCATCCATATTATATCATATCAGTAGTTCATTACTTTTTATTGCTGAGTAGTACTTCATCGCATGAATATAACACATTTTGTTTATCCATTCACTCACTGATGGACACTTGAATTGTTTCCACTTTTTGACTATTATCAATAATGCAGCTATAAACATTCACATCCAAGTCTTTGCATCTACATGTTATTTTTATTTCTTTTGATTACATGCTTAGGAATGGAATTGCAGTATCATATTCTTTTTAAGGAACTGCCATTTCCTGCAACTGCTTTTTGTATATTGATTTTGTAATCAGTAATTCTGTGAAAACTTTCATATTAATTCCAATATTTTAACCATATATTATTTTGCAAATAACATCAGTTTTCTCTCTTCCTTTCTAATCCTTGTACCTTCCTTCCTTTCTTTCTCTTATTTTTGGCCTTGCTGAAATTAAGCCCTGTGAAAGGAAGCAATGATAGAATCTCAAAAGGAATATTTTAAATCTATCATCATTAAATAAAATACATGATGTAAGTTTTTCATGTTTATAGGCTCCCTTCTAACCTATTTTATTACATTTTTAATCACTAATGCAATTATTTTAATGCTTTTCCTTTGTCTATTGGGATATCATATAGCTTTCTTCTTTATTCTGTTAACATGGTAGATTACAGTAGTTTATTTTATAATCATATTGATTATATCTAACACCAATAGGCTCCAGTATTCAGACACTATCCTAAACACTTTACATATTTTAACCATTCAATCATCAGAAAAACCCTGTGAGGTGATACCATTATTACCCCAATTAACGGACAAGGAATAGAAGTAAGAAATACACCTCAAGCTAATGAATGGTAAAAGCAGGATTCAAACCAAGGCAATCAGGCTACAAAGTCCATGCTCTTAACTGATATACTCTACTAAATTTAATCATCCTATATTCGAGAGTAATTCTAATTCCAGATCAATAATCCTTTCTCTATACTTTGAGGTTCAGTTTTAGGATCCTTGTGTCTGTGCTAATGAGTGTAACTAGCTTGTAATTTTCCATTTCATACTGGTCTTATTAGGTTTAAGTATCAAGATTATGAAAGTCTCATAATAGTAACCGGAGAGTATTCCTTCATTCCACACTCTGTATTAGCCTGTTTAAGACTGAACCCGGCCAAGAAGCTTTTTTTTTTTTTTTTGAGATGGAGTCTCACTCTAGTCGCCCAAGCTGGAGTTCAGTGGCGTGATCTTGGCTCACTGCAACCTCTGCCTTTCAGGTTCAAGTGATTCTCCTGTCTCAGCCTCCCGAGTAGCTAGAACTACAGGCATGTGCCACCACGCCCAGCTAATTTTTGTATTTTTAGTAGAGATGGGGTTTCACCATGTTGACCAGGCTGATCTTGAACTCCTGACCTCAGGTGATTCACCCGCCTCGGCCTCCCAAAGTGCTGGGATTACAAGAGTGAGCCACTGCACCCGGCCAACAAATTCTTAACTTATTCCATCACCAAAGCTGAAAAAGATCAGACAGTTAATAAAACAATTTCCCAATTCTATTTTGGTTGTTCTTTTTTGAATTTTTTCCTCTATTACTGTAGTAAGTGGTACCTTTTGTTACTATACTTTTAGTGGTTACCCTAGAAATATAATAACACACCCATCCTTATGAAAGACTAAAGCTAATCAAAATCTTTACCATCCTCTCAAATGATACAAAGATTAAAGCATGCTAAATTAATAAAGTCAATGGAAAGAAGACAGATTGTGCGTACATCAAAATAGTTAACAGAGTCACAGGTTCCTTCCACCTCTCATGCTAAAATGCTTGGAAACAAACAAATATTTGAAAGTCATTGGTTTGTAAGATAATTCAGCTGGTCACTCAGTTATCTAACTTTTATAACAAGTTTACACTTTTTAATGTGGCCTTCAGAAAAATTTAACAGAGAAGAACTTAAAAACAACTATACTGAGGATGGGAATTAGGATTAACTATAAATGGGCATGAAGGATCTTATTGGAGGGATGAAAATGTTCTAAAGCTGATTTATAGAAAGCACTTCTAGAATGGCAGAATAAGAACTTTAAGAAAACCTGCTACTCCGTTAAAGCAATGAGAACACGAGTCAAAATTGTCAAAACCAACTTTTTAATAATTCTGGTGCCATGTACTGAATTGTGTTCTTACATCAAAGCCCTGCGTACTATTCTGATGGTATTTGGAGCTGGGGACTATGAGAGGTAATTAGGTTTAGATGAGATCAGGAGGGTACAGTCCTCGTGATGAGATTAAATGTACTTAAGAAAAAATGGGGAGGCGTGAAATGGAGTGGGGGAAAGACCAGAGACCTTGCTCTCTCTACCATGTGAGGATACAATGACAAAGCCAGGAAAAGGGCCCTCACTAGGAACCAAATCTGCTGACACCTTTATCCTGGACTTCTATGTCTCCAAAACCAAGAAAAAATGTCTGTTGTTTAAGCCACCCAGTCTATAATATTTTGTTATAGCAGCTTGAGCTAAGTAATTTGGAAATTCATGGAAGGCTTGGAACAATCCCAGGAGAGTTTTTGTTTTTTTGTTAAGGTTGATTTTCAGTAAGAGAAGTAAACTTTGTGGCATTTGAACTTGCCCTTGACCTTTCAGTTTCTCCTTAGCTCTATCATAAACTTAAAATCCAAACGCTGCCCAAAGACAGTTGCTGTGAAAACCAGTAATCTAGTATCCACTGGACAGGTAGAATAGGTCTGGAATTCCCCAAAAATCCAATCTCTAGAAAAATCTCACTTTTGACCTGTCTGGCAGCTCCCAGGAAAAGCCCCATTCACAGAGCCTATATTTTACCAGACTCAGAACTCACTATCCTGGGGTTTTGTAGAAAACAATCAGCAGTAATTACTTAACATCATAGCTATCTAAAACAGTGATACCAGCCAGGGCAAGCAAAAGACTGACAATAAAATTAAAAGAAAAATCTGGGAAATAACATGCCCATGGGGTCTTGAAAAGCTCCAACATATTCCTGAGAATTTAGAAAGCCACATGTATGTGCAATTATATGGATGCCCGAGGAAGCTCTGAGAACACCTCTCATTTCTGGCTGGCATTGAGACCCTGTGCAAGTGGGATGTGAAAGCTAAAACAAAGATGTAAATTGCCAGGGTACTGAACGCATGCCCCAGCACACACACACAGAACCAGTTGGCATAGGCTGGGAGGTTTATTGGGTCAAAGCTTTTAAAGAAATCTCAGTCTAATCATGAACTATTAAGCTATCCTAACAGAGACTTCAGTGGCCACATATGACAAAGAATACAGACTTTACAAAGGGTACTTAGAAAACAGCAACAACAACAAACCACAAGGAGGAGGAGAATCTAATTTCCACAGTAGCCACATTATGTTTCCTAAATGTTCAGTTTTCAAAAAAGAAATTATGACACTTGCAAAGAAATAGAGAATTATAAGCCATACATACGGGGAAAAAAGAAGTCAACAGAAAATTTCAGAGGAATCCCATGCCTTGTATTTAATCAACAAAGATTTTTATTCAGTTATCAGAAATATGTTGAAAGAACTAAAAAATATGTATCTAAAGAAATAAAGTGGCTGGGCACAGTGGCTCACGCCTGTAATCCCAGCACTTTGAGAGGCCGAGGCGGGCAGATCACCTGAGGTCAGGAGTTGGAGACCAGCCTGAGCAACATAGCAAAACCCCGTCTCTAGCAAAAATACACAATTAACCAAGCGTGGTGGCGCATGCCTGTAATCCCAGCTACTCAGGAGGCTGAGGCAGGACAATCGCTTGAACCTGGGAGGCAGAGGTTGTAGTGAGCTGAGATCAGGCCACTGCACTCCAGCCTGGGCAACAAGAGTGAAACTCCATCTCAAAAAAAGAATTAAATTGTGAAAACAATGTTTACCAAATAAAATTAACAACAAAGAGATAGAAATTACTTTAAAAAGAACCAAATAAAAATGATAGAGCTGAAAAATATAACTGAAAAGAAAAGGGAGCCAAGAGCACATTCGAGCAGGCAGAAGAAACAATCAATGAACTTGAAGACAGGTCAATTGAGATTACCCAGTCTAGAACAGAAAGAAAAAGACTGAAGAAAAATGAACGAAGCTTCAGAGATCCTGTGAAACACCATAATGTGTACCAATGGGGGTCTCAGGAAGAGAAGACACAGAGAAAGGGACACAAAGAATATTGGAAAAAATAATGGGCAAAAATTTCCCAAATTAGATGAAAAATATTAATCTACAGATCCAATAAGCGCATCAAACTCCAAGTAAGAAAAACTCAAAGGGATCCACACTTATACAGCCAAACAGCTGAAAGATAAAGACAGAGAAATCCTGAAAGCAAGAGAATAACCATTCATCACATACAAGGGATCCTCAGTAAGATTAACAGCTTATCAGAAACCATAAAGGCTAGGGGATACCATATTGTGTTAAAAGATAAAGAATGCCAACCAATACTATTCCATACCATCAAAATTATCCTTCAAAAATGAAAGCTAAATTAAGACATTATTAAATACAATTCAGAGAAGTCATCACTAAGAGACCTGTTCTGTAAGAAACACTGAAGGGAGTCCTTCAGCTTGAAATGAAAGAACACTTGACAGCAACTGAAGTAAGCACAAACAAATAAAGAACGCCAGTAAAGATAATTACATGGGCAAATATAAAAGATATTACAAATGTAAAGACGTTTGTAACTTTATTCTTCTCTATTTGACTTAAAAGACAACTATGGATGGGCACAATGGCTCACATCTATAATCCCAGCACTTTGGGAGACCAAGGTGGTTTGAGGCCAGGAGTTCATGAGCAGCCTGGGATACACAGAGAGACGCCTGTCTCTACAAAAAATTAAAAAAATAAAAAATTAGCTAGGCGTAGTGGGAGTAGTAGCTACTTGGGAGCCTGAGGTGGGAGGATCCCTTAAATCCAGGAGTTTGACACTGCAGTGAGCTATGATCATACCACTGCACTCCAGCCTGGGTGACAGAGTGAGATCCTATCTCCAAAACAAAACAAAACAAAAAATTTTTTTAATTAGCTGAGCATTGGTGGTATGCACCTGTAGTCCCAGCTACTCAGGAGGCTAAGGCGGGAAGACTGTTTGAGCCCAGGAGTTCAAGCTTGCAGTGAGCCATGATCATGCCACTGCACTCCAACCTGTGCAACAGAGTAAGACCCTATCTCAAAAAATAAATTTATAAATAAATAAAAGACAATTGCATAAGGCAATAATTATAAAACTGTGTTGAGAGACTTAAATGTATAATAGTGTGATTTGTATGACAATAATAGCATCAAGTAGAGGAAAAGGAATGACCTTATATTAGAGAAAAGGTTTGTGTACCATTGAAATTAAGTTGCCCTTAATCTAAACTCATTTATTTTAAATTAAGATATCAATTTTAATCTGTAGGGAAACCACAAAAAAACTCAAAATTATGCAAAAGGCAACAAAAAAATCAAAATTGAATGCTATTAAATATTTAACATAAAAGAAACTAATAGGCCGGGTGCGGTGGCTCATGCCTGTAATCCCAGCACTTTGGGAGGCCAAGGCGGGTGGATCATGAGGTCAGGAGATCGAGACCATCCTGGCTAACGCGGTGAAACCCCGTCTCTACTAAAAATACAAAAAATTAGCCAGGCGTGGTGGCGGGCGCCTGTAGTCCCAGCTACTCGGGAGGCTGAGGCAGGAGAATGACATGAACCCAGAAGGTGGGGCTTGCAATGAGCCGAGATCGCACCACTGCACTCCAGCCTGGGCAACAGCGAGACTGCGTCTTAAAAAAAAAAAAAAGAGCCTGGCCGCGGTGGCTCATGCCCGTAATCCCAGCACTTTGTGGGGCTGGGATCACTTGAGCCAGAAGTTTGAGACCAGCCTGGGAAACATGGCAAAACCCTATCTCTACAAAAAATACAAATATTTAGCCAGGCGTGGTGGCATGTGCCTGTAGTTCCAGCTCCTTGAGAGATTGGAGTGGAAGGATTGCTTGAGCCCAGGAGTTTGAGGCTGCAGTGAGCTCTGTGATCACACCACTGCACTCCAGCTTGGGAAAGAGAATGAGACCCTATCTCTTAAAAAAAAAAAAAAACGAAGAAGAAAAAGAAGGTAATAAAGGAGGATTAGAGGAATAAAAAGACATAAGACATATAGAAAAAAATTGCAAAATGGCAAACATAAAAACCAGGAAGTAACTGCATTCTGTCTACATAGAGACATCTTTTAGATTCAAAGACAAATAAATTGAGAGTAAATACGAAAAATCATACACCATGCAAACAGTACTAAAAGAGAACCAGAACAGCAACATTTATATTAGAACTAAAAGCACTTTATGACAAAAATTGTTAGCAGAGACACAGAAGAATCTCTGACACTAATAAAAGGGTCAAATCTTCAGTAAGACACAATTATAAACATATGCATATAAAGAGAGACCTAAGAAACGAAACAAAAACTGACAGAATTGAAGAGAATAATACACAAGTCAAGAATAATAGTTGGAGTCCGGGTGTGGTGGCTCATGGCTATATTCCTCGTACTTTGGGAGGCTGAGGCAAGAGGATCGCTTGAGGCCAGGAGTTCAAGATCACACTGGGCAACACAGGGAGACCCTGTTTCCACAAAAAATAAACAAATCAGTCAGGTGCAGTGGCACACGGCTGTAGTCCTAGCTGCTCAGGAGGCTGGGGTAGGAGGATTGCTTGAGCCCAGGAGGTTGAGGCTACAGCAAACTATGGTCTCACAACTGTATTCCAGCTTGGGTGACAGAGCAAGACTGTATATCAGAACACACACACACACAAACACACACACACACACACACAGAGCAAGACTGTATATCAGAACACACACACACAAAGTAACAGTTGGAGATTAAATACTTCACTTCTAATAATAGAACAACTACACAGAAGATCAAGGAAATAAAAGAAATAACACTATAAGCCAACTAGATCTAAGAGACACTTATAGAATAATACACTCACCAACAGGACAATACACATTCTTCTCAAATGCATGTGGAACATTCTCTAGGACAGACCATGTTAGGTCTTAAAATAAGCCTCAATAAATTAAAAAGGACTGACTGAAATCATACAAAGTTTGTTCTCCTACTGCAATGTAATTATATTAGACATGAGTAACAGAAGGATATTTGGGAAATTCACAATTATGTGGAAAGTAAACAACACATTTCAAAATAACCAACAGGTTGATGAAGAAATTTTTAAAAATTGGAAAATATTTTGAGAGCAATGAAAGTGAAAAGACAACATACCAAAACTTAAGGGATGTAGCTAAAACAGTACTAAGAGGAAAGCTTATAGTTGTAAGTATACATACCAAACAAAGGGAAAGATACCAAATCAATAATCTAGATTTTCATCTCTAGAAACCAGAAAAATGAGAGCAAACGGAACCCAAAGTAAGCAGAAGGGAGGAAATTTAAAAGATTACAGCAGAAATCAATGAAATGGAAACTAGAATAACGACAGAAAAAAAAAAAATCAACCAAACCAATAGTTTGTTATTTGAAAAGATCAACAAGATTGACAAATGCTTAGCTACACTGACCAACAAGAAGGCTCTGAATCTTCTATTAAAATCAGGAATTCTGTGATGGGAAGAATGAGGTCAGAAAAATAAATAAATAAATAAATAATAAAATATAATCAGAAATTCACAAAGGGGCATCACTATTAATCTTTTAAAAATAAGAAAGGACTGTAAGGGAATATTATCAACAATTATATGCCAACAAATCGGATAACCTAGATGAGATGGACAAATTCCTAGAAATAAAAACCTATCAAGACTAAATCATGAAGAAAAAGAAAATCTGAATAGACCTATATAACTAGTTACTAAAGAGACTGAATCTCTAATCAATAATCACCCAACAAAGAAAAGCCCTGTACCTTATGGTTTCACTGGTGAATTCTATCAAACATTTAAAGAAGAACTAATATAAATCCTCAAACTTTTTCAAAAAGTTCAAGAGGAGGGAACACTTCCTAATTCCTTCTATAAGCCCAACATTATGCTTATACCAAAGCTAGACAGTATAAGGAAACTACAACAAGATCACATATGAACACTGATGCAAAACTCCTTAACAAAATACTAGCAAACCAAATCCAGCAGCATATTAAAATGATTATACACCATGACTAAGTGGAATTTATTCCTGGAAAACAAGGATGGTTATGGTTAAACATAAAAAAATCAATCAATATACCACATTAAAAGAATAAAGGGGAAAAAAACATGATCATCACAATACAGAAAAAGCATTTGACAAAATTTAACACTTGCATCGTTAAAACTCAACAAACTAGGAATAGAATGAAATTACCTCAACATAATAAAAGCTATATATATGAAAAACCTACAGCAAACATCATACACAACAGTGAAAGACTGAAAGCTTTTCCTCTAAGATCAGGAACAAGGCAGGGATGCCCGCTTTAGCCATTTCTATTAAACATAGTACTGGAAGCTCTAGTCAGGGTAATTAAGAAAGTAATTAAGAAAGAAAAATAAGGGGCCAGGCGCAGTGGCTCACACCTGTAATCCCAGGACTTTGGGAGGCTGAGGCAGGCAGATCACAAGGTCAGGAGTTCGAGACCAGCCTGGCCAACATGGTGAAACCCTGTCTCTACTAAAGATACAAAAACTTAGCCGGGCATAGTGGTGCACGCCTTTAATCCCAGTTTCTCAGGAGGCTGAGCCAGAAGAATCACTTGAACTCAGGAGGCGGAGGTTGCAGTGAGCCAAGTTCACAACATTGTACTCCAGCCTGGGTGACAGGGTGAGACTCTGTCTCAAAAAAAAAAAGAAAGAAAGAAAAATAAATAAAAAGTATTCATATCAGAAAGAAAAAGTAAAATTATCTCTGTTCACAGATGTTATCATCTTATTTGCAGAAAATCCTAGATTCTACAACAAAATTATTAAAATAAATGAATTCAGTAAAGTAACAGGATACAAATCAACACCCAAAAATCAGCTGCATTTCTATACACTAACAATGAACAATTTGAAAAGAAAATTATGAAAGGAATTCCATTTATGAAAGCATCCAAAAGAATAAAATACTTAAGAATTAACTAAAGAAGTGAAAGACCTATACCTATACAATGAAAACTATGAAATATTGCTGAAAGAAATTTTAAAAGACATAAATAAATGGACATATATCTTATGTTCATGGATCAGAAGACATGACACTGTTAAAATGTCAAAACTACCCAAAGATTCAATACACTCACTACTCACTACCAAAATCACAATGACTTTTTTGCAGAAATAGAAAAACTCATCCCATAATTCATATGGAATCTCCAGGGATCCAAAATAGCCAAAACAATTTTGAAAAAGAACAAAGCTGTAGCACTCACATTTTCTGATTTCAAAACATTCAAAGCAACAGTAATCAAAACACTAAGGTACTGGGATAAAGGAAGACATACACACCAAGGGAAAAGGATAAATAGCCCAAAAATAAACCCTCGTATATTTGGTCAAATGATTTTCAACAAGAATGCCAATATCTCTCAATGCAGAAAGGATAGTCTTTCCAACAAATGGTGCTAAGAAAACTGAATATCCACATACAAAATAACTAAGACAAACCCTTATGCAATACCATAAAAAAATTAACTCAAAATGACTCAAACAGCTCAACATAAGACCTAAAATTATAAAACTCTCACAAGAAAATATAGGGCAAAAGCTTCAGGATGTTGGATTTGGCAATGATTTCTCAGACATGACACCAAAGGCACAGGCAACAATAATAAAAAGACAAATTGGACTTTATGAAAATTTAAGAATTTTGTGCATCAAAAGGCAATATCAAGACAGAATGGGAGCAAATATTTTCAAATCAAATACCTGATACAGAATTAATAACCAGGATATATGGAGGACTCTGAAAACTCAACAACAAAAAACAAACAACCTAATTCAAAAATGGGAAAGTACTTGGAAAGACAATTCTCCAAAGATGATATACAAATGGCCAAGAAGCATAGGAAAAGATGCTCAACCTCACTAATAATTAGGGAAATGCAAATTAAACCTACAATGAAATACCATCTTACACTCATTAGAATGGTTACTATAAAAAAAAGAAAAAGAAAATAAGTATTGGCAAAGACGTGGAGAAATTGGAACCCTTGTGCCCTACTGGTGAGAATATTAAAAAGTATAGCAGTTGTGGACAACAGTATGGCAGTTCTTCAAAAAATTAAACATAGAATTACCATATGACCCAGCAATTCCAGCTCTGGGTACAGACCCAAAAAAATTGAAAACAAGATTTCAAAGAGATATTTGTAAACTCATGTTCACAGCAGCATTATTCACAAATAGCCAAAATGTGGAAGCAATCCAAAGTGTCCACTAATGGATAAATGGATAGATTTTAGATAAGTAAAATGTTGTATACAATTACAATGGATTATAATTCAGCCTTAAAAAGGAAAGAAACTCTGAAATATGCTAAAAGACGGATGAACCTTGAGGACATTATGCAAAGTGAAATAAGCCAGTCACAAAAAGATAAACATTGTATGATTCTATTCATATGAGGTACATGGAGTAGTCAAAATCAGAGACATAGAATGGTGGTTGCCAGAGAACGGAGGTAGGGGAATGAGGAGGTACACCATTATTATTTAATGGGTATAGAGTTTCAGTTTACAAGATGAAAAGAGTTCTGAAGATGGATTGTGGTGATGGTTGCACATTATGAAAATATTAAATACCACTAAATAGTATACTCTAAAATGTTAGGATGGTGGCTTTTAGGTTATGTGTATCTTAACAAAATAAAAGTGGGGAAAAAATTATTCTTTTAACTAATAACTTACACAACAGGTTGTGCTAGTTGGTGGGTGACAGGAGCACTAACATAAGCTGCAGGCTGTACGCCCATCATTCCTGAACCATCTTAAAGAAAAAACAAAAAAACAAAAAAAGTTTATTTAGAATAATCATTTAATAATATTTTACTTATTCCTCCAGAAAAAGGTGCATAATCAAAATGTTACATAGAGAAAACCATCAATATTTCCTTCTGGGCTAGAAGTTAGCAAAGAACAACATAAGAAAACACAATCGTTATTTCTTAAACCAAGATGAAAAGGAAATAACTATAAAATATAACTGGGCTTTAAAATAGGGCATTTATTAAATCAATATATAACATCTGAATTAAGCAAAGTTGTGCTTTTCTCATTTAGATATTTTTTGTTTACACAAAAAAACAATTTTCCTTATTGAGCCAAGCGGGGAGAAAATGCTTACCCTATAGATAACTTACAATAAGCAAGACTGGGATCGAAAGTATTCCTGGACCCATAAAAATAGTATGCATCATCATAAGGAGTTCGATAGTTAGTAGCCAAAGGTGGTAGTAGGGGAGGTGGAGGCAGAGGTGCAATCCTGTATGAAAAGAAAGATGAAAAATTCCTCTCATATTTCATTGCAATTTTTTAAAAAATCAAGATGTTACTCTTTTGCAAAAACAGTACTGAAAATCCTATCACTACTTTAGAAAATGTCACCATCTTGCTCCAATCATTCACCAAAAATTATGACTTAAAAAGCAAATACTATTACATAGGATTTCACAATTTCAGGTACATTTATGTAAGATAAAAACCTGGGTTAATATTCAATCAATTAATATCCAATAGGCACTATGTGCCAGTATCAAATAAAGACAAACATGGTCCCTGTCCCTCAGGAGTAACATGAAAATAAACAACTACAGTCAAGTACAAGCAAATTAAATAATTAATAATAGTACAAGCAAATTAAACTAAATAGCAATATAGCCCAAAAAATGCAGATTGCTATAGGTACAGGAGAAGGGACATTTAAATCACATGAGGGAGAGAAAGAAAGCACATGTAAGGCTTTCCAGAAGAGGCAACGCTTAAGCCATGCTACTGGAGTGAGCTTGTGTGTGTTAGAGGAAGGACAATCCAGAAAGAGAAGGCAAAGAGCTACAAAACAGTGTGAGTACAAATGGTTCAGTCTGACTGAGGAAACGAGTGTATTTCTTAATAGTAAAATAAAAGCAACTTAAATACCAACAGTAAAGTATTGACACAATCTTTAAGTATTTCATAAATTTAAAACTTCTAAAAACCTCTACATTAGCACTTCATTACTGATTAGGAAATATCTCTGTATTGCTACCAATGCAATATTTTTCAGTAGTAAAAATGGCAAAGGCAAATTCCTTTAAATGAATAGAAAGAGATGGCGGCATTCTAGAATGTTCTCACTGTTGTATGTATCTTAACAGGTTCTCCCTTGTCATATACTTCAAAATAATTCCAAAGAACTAAGAAGGTACGGAAGTTCTCTTCAGTAGGGAATATCTTTCACATTTACTAGCCACTCAATGTGTCTAAACCTTATACCATCCTCACAACAAAAATACATCAACAAAAATGTCAAATAACTGTTATGAAAGGGAGCTGTCATCATTAAATCGAATTTCATAGAGATTTATACAAGCTAATCCTCACAACCCTGTAATTGTAAACATGAAAAAAATATAATACTACTCCACTTTTACAAATGAGAAAATTGAAGTTCAACAAAGGTGTGGTTTGCCCAAAATCCAGATAGGAAAGCCAACCATTTCAATCCCTAATTCAATGCTGAGACCACCATAAAATGCTCTGTTAATTCCAATGCCTCCTATTCCTGAGTCAGGAAGCCATCAGATAAAAAACACAAAGCCCCTGATAAGTATAGTAAACACACTTCCACAGTTGGTTAGTAACTAAAAGACCAACTTCTACTGAAATAATACAGTCCAGAAAATATCAATGTTCAAAAAAGTTAAGAAAAACACCTCTAAATTTAAATATATTTTATAATTAATACACTAACAGTGAACAAAAAATAAGCCCAGGCCCTACAAAGAAGAAAGTATAGCCCAGAAAATATCAGTGTTAACAACAGGATTTTCTTTATGTATATTCTATTATAGTGTGATGCCTTTCACCTACAGAAATCAAATCTTTACCCCAATACTTAAATTACAGGTTTTATAATCTCAACACTTTTTATTTCAGGTATTTGAGTTACACAGCCCATAAGTAATCACAGAGAATGAGCTGAAGAAACAGAAGCTAAAATAAAATTATATGTGTAAAAGAGCCACATTAGAAACTTTTTCTGCACAAATTGAAGAATTCAATGTTTGCCAAGTGGAAAGAACAAAATTGAAAAAAATGTACAACTTTTATATGTTAAAAGATATCAAAAACATCCCAAAATACAACCCAAAACTAAATAAATACTAAAATGTACTTAGTAATTCATTCTAAAGATACAAAATCATCTTTAAACAATAAAATGTTTTAAGAATTTCCCTTTTTTTATAATAGCAGAGAAAAAAACAAATTTCAAGAGAATTTATTTCACAAAACTGTTAACTGTACAAAATCTCTGAAGAATAACGTCATCCGCTTCAGTATATCCTTCTAAACATAAAATATAGCAATACCTTACCTAATTCCCAAACACAAAACATTTAAACAAGCACCTGGGAGACACCATTTCACCAAGGGCGCTGCTGAGTCCACTGCGCAAATCTTCATTTTGAGAAGGAACAGGATGAACTGATGGGATGGGTGGGACAGATGGGGCAGATAAAGGAGGGAGAGGTGTCTGGAAAGCTATTCTGGGTCTTTCAGGTGGTATCATCTCTTCAAAGTGTCTTGGTGCCACACTAAACTGCTTTAGTCTATCAGGCTAAAATAAAGAAAAAAAATCTGTTTGTTACATATAATCATAAGTTTAAAGGTGGAAGGGACCTCAAAAGACCTCCTATCCCAGCAGGCACTTAAGACAGTCACAGAATAACAGAATTTTACAGCTATAAAAGACTCTGAATATCTATTTTTATTTATTTATTTACTGAATAACAGAATTTTACAGCTATAAAAGACTCTGAATATCTATCTATCTATCTTATTTATTTATTTATTTATTTTTGAGGCAGAGTCTCACTGTGTCGCCCAGGCTGGAATGCAGTGGCATGATCTCAGGTCACAACAACTTCCACTTCCCGAATTCAAGCAATTCTCCTGCCTCAGCCTCAGAGTAGCTGGGGTTACAGGCACCTGCCACCACGCACAGCTAATTTTTGTAGAGAAGGGGGTTTCGCCACGTTGGCAAGGCTGGTCTTGAACTCCTGGCCTCAAGTGATCCGACCACCTCGGCCTCCCAGAGTGCTGGAATTACAGGTGTGAGCTTCTGTGCCCAGCCAGACTCTGAATATCTAATGCTTATTTTATAAATGGGTAATTGAGGCTCTCTGAGAAGTAATATATCACCTAAGGTCTCACTATTAGTAAATAATTAAGCAAAGACTAGAGTCAGATATTAATTTTAAATATACCTGTAGTATTCTTTTTATGTACTAGGACACCGTGCTACTTCTCTAATTGCCATTTCTGTTATAGTATTCTGTAAAACAGGGTCAGCAAATGCTTTCTGTAAAGGGCTAGACAGTAAATAGATTAAGATTTGCAAGACTACATAGTCTCTTCATAATGAGCAGACTCAGCTATGGTGCTAAAGCAGCCACAAACAGTATGTCAAGGAATGAACAAGGCTGTGCTGCAATAAAACTTTTTTTTATGAAAACAGGTAGCAAACAAATTTGGTCACAGGCCACACTTTGCTAATCTCTACTTTAGAACATCACTTATGTGCCCTTTTCTAAGATTTGCACATCAAAAGTAAACCCAAAAGTAAAGGCGTAACTGTTGCCTCCAATTACTTATTTATTCTCATAAATCAACTTGACACTGTATAGGAGCTTCAATTCAAAGATAAATAAGGTCTGTCACACACTAGTGTAACCATAAATACAAAATTTAACATGCCAACATATTACATTAAAAAGCTCACCTCTTAAAAGGAAACTTTTGATTCATAAAGGAAAATATATTTAGCTTTGAAATTTATCTTCTTTTTTTCCTACCATGGTTATCTTATCAGGAATGATTTATCAGGTTAACCCAGAAGCATACTGCGAGTGATGCTGGTGCAATATGAAACTTTTCCAAATAGATAACCCACAGGATATATTCTCAGCATAAGTAAAAGCAAATCAAAAGTTGCCTACAGGTAAATAATTTTAAGTTGCTGCATCCTTTTTAAGAATGAGCTTTTTAATGAAATTAAAGGTCTTAATCATCATTCAAAGATGAAACAAGACTTGTATTAGAAATAAATATTACATAACCAACTACAGAAAAAATAAATTGTGGTAAAAACAATAAATTACCTCCTCCTTACTTAACTGCAATGATGTGAGTAATTCATTCCACTTAATGATGAGAATTGCAAAATTAAAGTAAAAATAAGATTATTATCTCTCTAATGTTACAATAAGTAACAATTACTAAAACGCTTTAAAAATAAAGTCGTCAGTTTTCTCAGAAATCACTCCAATGTAAGAAAAGTAAGTGATCAAGATGTATTCAAGAAAAATATTAACATCAATTGTAAATTTAACCCAGATAACTTTCCCATGGAATAGTACATGTGAATAAAGCAGAGAGAACTAATTTAAACTTTAAAAAAATGACACACAAATGAAAAAGGAAAAATTACCTCAAGGAAATAACAGTTAAGAGAATTTACACTTTATGAGAACTGAATTTAGTTAATTTTATTACTGTTCAAATTGGTCTACTCTCTTTTTCTCCCAATATTCTCTATCCCCACCTGCCACCACATTTGAGGATCATTTGATGAAAGATTAAACATTAAAAGATGCCAGAAACCCTTACCGATTTCTCAGGGTCTTGTGCTCCAGACGCTGCAACCCTGAGTTCTAAATCTTTTTCTCTAAACAAAATTAAAGTTTTACATATTAAAAAGATATAGTAAACTATCAAAATTATAAATCATCACTGAAAGAAGCTTATACACAAAGTCTATGCACTACATCTACAAAAACAAATAATTCCTTTAACTGACATTACAGCCTTAAATAATACTGAAAGCCAAATTTTTTTACTTGATACAAAGTAAACTAGAATTCACATGTAACTAACTTGGACTATGTATCTCTAAGCCAATGCCTAGAGTATTTCAAAGACTAATTCACACAAAATAAAACACAAAAATAAAATATTTACCTTGTAAAACAAAAAAACCTCTTTTAGGGTACACATATATTTTCAGTTAGCAAAAAGAAGGGTAAAAATTTAAATATATCTACCATACTTCCTAATAATAGGGTTTTTTTAAAAATGATGTTAAAGATAGCTAACATCAAACAGTAGATATTGGCTTCCTCTGAGATAGAGGGAAAAAAGGCAAAAACTAAGAGATAACAGGTCTCAAATTCTCTCAAAACGAGATCTCTATTCCTAATTTTGTTGTTGTTGTTTTTGTTGTTGTTTAGTCAAGAGTCTCACCCTGTCGCCCAGGCTGGAATGCACTGGCGTTATCTCAGCTCACTGCAAACTCCGCCTCCCAGGTTCAAGCAATTCTCCTGCCTCAGCCTCCCGAATAGCTGGGACCACAAGCATGTGCCACCACGCCCGGCTAATTTTTTGTATTTTTAGTAGAGACGGGGTTTCACCGTGTTAGCCAGGATGGTCTCGATCTCCTGACCTTGTGATCCACCCACCTCGGCCTCCGAAAGTGCTGGGATTACAGGCGTGATCCACTGTAATTTCTAATTTTAAGCTATATTTAAAATTTCTAATTTTAAACTCTATTCCTAATTTTAAACTATAATATCTCATAGGTATTTCAACAAGAAAGACTACAAACAATGATACCTATGTACAACATAAATACTTGTGATTTACCATTCCTGTAGAATTGAGGAAGCCACTGAAGATTTTTGAGCAGGGTGCCAGTTTGATTAGTGTATTTTTTGACAGTTAATATTACACAGTGTGCTGGATCTACTGGAGCAGGGAGAAGGGAGTTGGGAAGACTAGTTATTAGTTAGAAAGCTATTGCTGCAATCCAGGTCAGACGTAGAGAGGACTTATCCAACATTAATGGCTCTGAGAATAGAAAGAAGGAGGGGGCCTCGTATGAAGTGAATACGAGAGGACAAGGAATCCAAGTCATAGTGAGATTTTGAGGCTCCATTATTGGGCTATTAATAGAAAATGAAGAGGGACAGTTGGTTTTGAGATGCTCATTTGGGATGGAAATGTTAAATTTATAGGATACAATTTTTTTTGCATGTATGTGTGTGTGCATACCATTTCATATGGCAAAAAATACTTTTATATTTGTTACTATATATGGGATAATCCAATGGGCATATCTATAACATTAAATGCTACCTTAAATCAAAAACTGAAGAAATCAATGAGGGAAGTAAAAGGGCTATTACAGAATATATAAATACTCTCACTTGCTACTTATGACCAAAAAAAAAAAAAAAAAACTCTCTTAGTATTTATTTTCCTTGTTGATTTAGCATGTAGAGATGAAAATATAAGTGATTTACAAATCAAACATCATATTAGAACGACAACCCCTTATTTAACCATGTCATTTTACACAAATGCACTTTAAACTCAAAATATCTCTTTTAAATGCAAACCTTTCATTACCGTCTCTTGTTCCTCTGTTGCTCAGCCATTTGTTCCAACAGTTCTAGTCTGTATTTCTCTTTCCTTCTCTGAATAAGTTCTCGATCTTCACCTCCTAGATAGTGGTATGAGAAAAATACAATCTTAACTCTTAAGCATCGTATGCAATTAGAAAGTTAAGTCCTTAAAAACTCCATCTTAATTGTATCATATAATTACTAATATGCAAGAAATACAGAAGGAAAAAAATCACATGAATCAGTCCTTCTTCAATTTCTTTTGTAATTAATGGGTACCTACTATGCGTCAAACACAAGATACAGTAATCATGCCCATGCCTCTACCATTAGTCAAAAATTTTCCTAAATAACAGAATGTTCTTATCCCAACCCCATTTTTCTAACAATCTAAATAATATTTCCATTAATATCTTCCATAAGTCTTACAAATTTAACATTTCAATCGCAAACGAGCATCTCAAAACCAACTGCCCCTCTTCATTTTCTACTAATGGCCCAATACTGGAGCCTCAAAATCTCACTATAACTTGGACTGCTTGTCCTCTTCTATTCACTTCATATGAGGCCCCCTCCTTTCTATTCTCAGAGCCATTAACCTTGGATAAGTCCTCTCTACATCTAACCTGGATTGCAGCAATAACTTCCTAACTAATTACCAGTCTTCCCAACTCCCTTCTCCCTGCTCCAATAGATCCAGTACACTATGTAATATTAACTGTCATAAAATACACTAATCAAACTGGCACTCTGCTCAAAAAACTCAATTCTACAGGAAAAAATACAAACCTCTCACCTTGGTATTCCTTATACAAAAATCCAGTTAATCAAAAATTTTGAATGCAGAGAAGATTATTATTATTGCATATGTTAATGCCACAAAATAACCTCTTAATCTAAATATGCAAGATCTGGAACACTACAAAAATCACAGGGTATCAAGAATGCAATTGAAACAGCAATTTCTGTACTGCCTTCATTATTGGTCTCCAACCATCAGTGGGCACACAGCATCTCAGTTTGTCCATTAAGCATAGATGTCAGCAAAAGTGAAGCTCCCGTAGAGGTAACATAAATTACATTAAGGTTAATAACTGTGTTTTATAATAAAAGTAAATATTCCCATTTCACTTCTGACCATGATAGAATAACCAAGCACAAGACTTAACCTCACAGTTTAAAAAACAAATAAACAACAACAACAACAACAACAACAGAAACATTAGAAAACTGCGCAAAATACACAAAATAATTGTTTTCCAGATACTGGACAATAGGTAGTGCAGAATTGTAATTGAGGTGAGCCCTATAATCACCCAATTTCTGCCCAAATGAAATTTCCAGACCACAGATACAGGTAAAGAGGTAAAGAGAACCCAAAGAGGGCCAGGAAACTGAGCTAAATTGAGTAGATAAAGAGCAAAATTCAGGAAGGCTAAAATGGCTAGAAGTTATGGAGCAAAGATCCAATAGGAAGCATAAAAAGAGCTCCAGAAATCCACAGGAGGTCCCTTCAGACTTTGCAGTGTGCTAGTTTGTGCATTCACAGAGTGAAATTCCATTTGGCCTGGCAACAAACTAAGAAGGATATAAACTGAACAATTCTCAGACCTGAAACAAAGGAGCAAAATTCAAGCTCCAGCCAGCTATGTTCTTGGTGGTCTCTCAGGGAACATGTCAGAAAGGTCACTCTGTAGTAGTAAGACTAAACTATTCTCTGAAAGGAAAGCTACTCTAGAGGTCCTTAGCTAAGCTTAAAACTGAACTTAGATCAAGTTGGTCTTTAGTGAGGGAGAAGGAAAGGAAAAATCATTTGGGAAAAAATTCAGACTGCAGAAGCAGCCTGCTTGAAAAGTCACAGCAACAGGCAAAAATAAAACAACCTGGGGAAAAAAAAAAAACCTCAGACTGCACCTGGACAGATAAGCAAACAGGATCTAGCACAGAGCTCTTTGTTCTTTGTCTAATTAGTGAACTCCCAGGAAAAAGTTTCCACCCCAGTTTAGGCATATTCATGGTGGGAACTTGCATGGGGATGGGGCGGGGGTGGCTTATCTAAAACAAACCCACAGTTATACAAACAAGACAAGCCGATTTCTGCTTGCCTAAAGACGTACCCACAGCTGTATAAGATAACGGGAGTAGCACAGACAGCTTTACTGATAAAATAAGTTACTCAAACTCCTACAGAGATGAAGAGTTTCTTACAAAAGCTTTTTAATTCAGCTGTAACCCCGCCATCCACTTGGACTCCCCTCTTTCCTGCAGAGAGCTTTTTTTCTTTCACTTATTAAACTTTCACTCCAACCCCACCTTTGTGTCTATGTTTCTTAATTTTCTCGGATATGGGACAAAGAACCTGGGGTACTAGTTCGGACAATGAGAAACTGCTACATTAAGGAGCATGTGTGAGATTGCAACATTAGTAACAGAGAAATGCGACAATGGTAGGCAAAATTTTTTAAAGATGGCTACTATGTTCCCTGCTCCCAGCTGAATCCCTGTATAATTCCCTCCCCTTGAGAATGGGTAGGACCTGTAACTTACTTGTATACAATAGAATATGGAAGGATGGAAAAATATTTGCAGATGTAACTAAGGTACCAAATCAACTAATTTTGAAGTAATTAAAAGAGAGATTATCTTAGGTGGACCTGATATAATCAGGTGAAAGCCCTTAGAAGAAGGACTGGGCCCTCCCTGAATTTAGAGATTCTTCTTGCTGGCATAAAGTGAGTAACCATGGTGAGGAAGCCCACATGACAAGAACAGCAGATGGCCACTAGGAACTGTGGGCAGCCTCCAGTGGGTATCCAGTAAGAAGCCAGGGCCCTCAGTCATACAGCCACAAAGAAATGAATTCTGCCAACAACCTGAATTAGCTTAGAGGAAGATTCTGCCCCACTCAAGCCTCCGGTTAAAAGGCAGCCTGGCGGATACCTTGATTATAGCCTTTTGAGACCATTAACAAAGGATCTGTTCAGTAAACCATGCCCAGACTTGACCCACTGGAGTTGCTGCCTGAATGCAATTTTCAAATGTTCACTAGAAAAACTGGGATCAAACAATACAGAAGACCTGAAAGAGATACTTTTGTGACATTCAGGCACAAAACATGGCCCACATTCCAGACTTTCAAAGCAGACTATACAAAGCAAAAGCTGCAAGCTATTGGTGAAGGGACAGAAAATCAGCTTGGACCCAGTATCCCACACTCTTATATAGCAAAGGCTTGTTACTGTTAGGGGAAGGGCAAAAAAATCTGGTGAAAAATCTGATGCAAAACCCTCCTCAGACACAAAGAAGAGTTTAGCTATCATCCTGGGCAAGGACAGTAATGTTGAGAAAGACCCATCCCTGAGGCCCAGATGCACAGGACCAGTCCAGCATCAAGTAACAATCAACAGCAATATACTGCGGAGAAGGGGAAAGTGTGGAGGGAGAGATGCCCTCACTGTCAAGGACATGAAGGTCTTGCTGAAAACTGGGGAAAGTGCAGGAACACTAAGAAAAATCTCTCTGGCACTCCAGGCCTCACACGAAGGACAAGATAGAGAATTCAACACTTCTCTCTAAGCAATCAATAGAAGCAGATAAAATTCATTAAGGATATACAAGACATGAACATACGATGAACCAACTTGACTTAACTCTTTTTTTTTTTTTTTGACACAGGGTCTTACTCTGTCACCCAAGTTGGAGTACAGTGGCACAATCACGGCTCACTGCAGCCTCAACCTCCCAGG
The DNA here is from genome assembly GCF_000001405.40 of Homo sapiens. Lineage (NCBI taxonomy): Eukaryota > Metazoa > Chordata > Mammalia > Primates > Hominidae > Homo > Homo sapiens. The sequence goes on along the minus strand of NC_000008.11, from coordinate 67,108,323 downwards.
CTTAAGCAATCCTCCTACTTCTGCCTCCTAAGTGGCTAGGACTACAGGTGCATGCCACCACACCCAGTTAATTTTTTTATTTTTTACTTTTTGTAGAGACATGGTCTCCCTATGTTGCCCAGGTTGCTCTCAAACTCTTGGGCTCAATCAAGTGATCCTCCTGCTTCAGCCTCCTAAGATGCTGGGATTACAGGTGTGAGCCACCACACCCAACCTTAAATGACATTTATCAACTACTATACTCAACAACTGCACCATGCACATTCTTTCAAGTACATACTAAACACTCACCAAGACAGACTATATTCTGAGCCACCCAAACAAAAAAAAAAAAAAAAAACTTTGTCAAAGAAATTAACAAACTTGAAATAACTGAAATTAATCTAATTATATTCTTGGATCATAAGAGGCTTAAACGAGCAGTCAATAACAAAAAAGATAGAAGGAAAATCCCCAAATGCTTGGAAATTTTAAAACATACTTCTAAATTACCTATGGTTCTCTTATAAACCCCACAATACATTTCCTATTTAGCTCTAAACTAAATCAATGATCTCACTTTTTAAATAAAGCAAAAGGTCCCAAGTGACATCCTTGGGGCAAAATTATAGGAAGATAAATTTCAGTTCAATTGAAATAAGAGTATCATAACAATCACAGCCATCTGAAGATGGAATGTCCTGTCTCTGGAAATCGTAAGTTTCCTATAGGTATGTACAAACATAGTTTTGGGGGGAAAAGATCAACCAGGAGGTAAGTCATTGAATTAAATGACTTTAACAGTTTCAAATGTTAGAGTCCATTGTCTTACCAAATATTCATCTATAAATCCTGGATTGCATTAGTGATAAACTCATGCCATTCATCTTTAAAAGGTCAGGGTACAATAATCCTTTTATTGATAAAATTATTTATCAGTAGGCTCTCAGCTCAGAAAGACATTTCTCTTATTTTACCATGTTTTATAAACTACATCGGCCGGGAACAGTGGCTCACGCCTATAATCCCAGCACTTTGGGAGGCCAAGGCAGGCACATCACTTGAGGTCAGGAGTTTGAGACCAGCCTGGCCAACATGGTGAAACCCCGTCTCAACTAAAAATACAAAAATTAGCCAGGCATGGTGGCACATGCCTGTAATTCCAACTACTCAGGAGACTGAGGCACAAGAATCGCTTGAACCCAGGAGGTGGAGGTTGCAGTGAGCCAAGATCGTGCCCCTGCACTCCAGCCTCAGTGATAGAGCGAAACTCAATTTCAAAATTAAAAAAAAAAAACAAAACATAAGAATATAGCCATTTAAAATAAAATAAATAAATAAAAACAAAACAAAAAGAATATAGCCTTTACATGGTACTGATTAAACTGGTCAATTTTCACCTACAGATATTACACTAGAATTCTAGGTGGCATGCCATTTTTCTCACAATAGCCATTCACAAGGGAACAAAAACCTGACAATATAATGCAATAATATGTCTCTAAACCAGTATTTAATTTACTGACTGTTTTTACGTTGAATGAATCTAGAGTGTTAATTTCTTCATATACTTTACTAAAACCAAATTTCAGTTCATTTTTTTCTAACAGTTTTCACAAAAAGACCTCTTTTCTATTACATATTTAAAGGTATAAACCAGAAACAAGTCTCTCCTCACAGTTTCTGGTATTAAATTTTGCCAAGTGTAATATAGCAAAACAAGCTTATATTCAGCAATGACCTTGACTTCCAATAAATAGAAAATTTAGACCATCATCACGATTTGAACAAAACACCTTCTCAGAAACTACATGAAAAGAACAAAGGAAAGAAAGGTTTAATTTGGAGAAAAGAAACTAAAATACACAGCAGTTTTGTACTAGCTAAAGAAACTAGAAAGAAGAATTAAGGAAAAAACTATCATAAATAAAACAAAATACTTTTTAAAAGCAGAAAAGAAACAGCCACACTGCAACAGAGTGCTAATAAAATATGGAATTAAAAGCTCATTACTGATTGGTAATGATCAATCCATTTTGCAAAAAAAAAAGATTACTGAAACTAATAATTTCATTATCACCTACGGAAAGCACATCACTAAATAATTTAGCTTTAAAATTATACATAGATGTGTTCATGAACATCATGAGTAAAAATAAGAAGATACATAAAATTTTAAAAATACAAAATAAAATTATACAGAGCTATATATGTTAAATGATTAGAATAGTACCTAGTGTAAAGTAAGCACTTACAAATATTTTCTACTATTAGTAAAAATAGTATTAATTACAACACTGAGTTCTCACTTAAAAAAGGATTATAAGACACTCTATACAAGCGCAACTAGTTGGAAGTTTTGTGCCTACCAAAGAGCATCCCTGCAAAAGGACTACAGGTATCTTGATTAGCAGATTTGGATGTTTCATTGTCTGGAGCACTAAAGAAAAAAAGACAGAGAAAAAGAGTAAATTAAAATCCAGATAATTTTCAGGAAGCAAAATTTCAGAGTAAAATGTAGCTATGAATTATTAGCCTTTCAAAGTACTATGGACATTAAAATATTTACAAATTTTTAAGGTTAAGGTAAAATCATGGCATTCTATCTCTTTATACAGTGCAACTCCAATGTATTCAGGCTTAAAAAATTAATAATAATTTGGCCAGGCATGGTGGCTCACACCTGTAATTCCAGCACTTTGGGAGGCCTACGTGGGTGGATTGCCTGAGGTCAGGAGTTGGAAACCAGCCTGGCCAATATGGTGAAACCCCGTCTCTAATAAAAAATACAAAAAAATTAGCTGAGTGCAGTGGTGGAGGCCTGTAATCCCAGCTACTCAGGAGGCTGACACAGGAGAATCACTTGAAACCAGGAAGCAGAGGTTGCAATGAGCCAAGATAGCATCATTGTGCTCCAGCCTGGGCAACAAGAGTGAGACACATATCAAAAACAAAAACAAAAACAAAAACATTCAGCTTGCTTCACTGGCTGTATAGGTTCTCAAATAAAATCTTTTTCAGGCTGGGCGTGGTGGCTAACACCTGTATTACAGCACCCTGGGAGGCCAAGGCAGGCAGATCGCTTGAGGTCTGGAGCTTGAGACCAGCCTGGCTATCACAGTAAAACCTCATCTCTACTAAAAATACAGAAATTAGCTGGACATGGTGGCACACGCCTATAATCCCAGCTACTTGGGAGGCAGAGGTAGGAGAATCACTTGAACCTGGAAGGCAGAGGGTACAGTGAGCCAAGATCCTGCCACTGTACTCCAGCCCGGGTGACAGAACAAGACTCTGTCTCGAAAAAAAAAAAAAAAAAAATCCTTTTTCATAAAAAAACAGCTACCCCAGTAAAAAAAAAAAAAAAAAAAAAAAAAATATATATATATATATATGTGCATGTAAGACCGGGAGCAGTGGCTCATGCCTGTAATCCCAGCATTTTGGGAGGCCAAGGCGGGCGAATTACCTGAGGTCAGGAGTTCGAGACCAGCCTGGCTAACATGGTGAAATCCCATCACTACTAAAAATACAAAAAAATTAGCCAGGCGTGGTGACACACGCCTCTAATCCCAGCTACTCGGGAGGCCGAGGCAGGAGAATCACTTGAACCCAGGAGGCAGAGATTGCAGTGAGCTGAGATCGTGCCGCTGCACTCCAGTCTGGGTGACAGAGTGAGACTCTGTCTCAAAAAAGAAGAAAAAGAAAAAGAAAAAAAGTGCACGTAAATAAAAAATAAAAAAAAAGGAAAAGAAAGAGTGATCTATGCACATACTTAGAAAAGATCATCCCTAAAAACACTCCTTCCTGGCCATGCGCAATGGCTCATGCCTGTAATCCCACCATGAGTTTGGGAGTTCAAGACCAGCCTGGACAACAGAGATCCTGACTCTACAAAAAAATTTTTTAAAAAACTAGCCAGGCATAGTGGCACATGCCTGTAGTCCCAACTACTCCAGAGGCTGTGGTGGGAGGGTCACTTGAGCCTGTAAAGTCAAGGTTTCAGTGAGCTATAATATGTCACTGCACTCCAGCATGGACAACAAAGCGAGACTCTGTCTCAAAAAAGAAAAAAAAAAAAAAACCTTTCTTGGAAGACAGAAACAAGGGGAAAAAAATCCTCAAAGGAAACTTAATCAATTAGAACAAAACAGCAAATTATCTTATTGCAAGCAGTGTTTATATATTACTTTTCTTAGAAAAAAATAGACATCTTTCTTGACATATGACATTATCTTCACTGTATACTATAGATTCAAAATCATTTATCCTTATGTACGACACAGGAATGCCACCAAAATGATAAAAAACTGTAAGTAGAAAGAGAACATAAATATAAAATACATACAATTTCCTTTCAACATGACAGAAATATATGAGCACTAATTTTACAAAGTAGGCATAAAAGCTATCTACTTGATAAACTGAAAATCAAAAATAAACTTTTGAAAGAAAAATTCACACCACAGGAACATTTCCAATTTTTTTTTTTTTTTTTTTTTTTTGAGAGGGAGTCTTGCTCTGTTGCCCAGACTGGAGTGCAGTGGTGCGATCTCGGCTCACTGCAAGCTCCGCCTCCTGGGTTCACGCCATTCTCCTGCCTCAGCCTCCCGAGTAGCTGGGATTACAGGGATTACCAGGGATTACAGGGATTGCCACGCCTGGCTAATTTTTTCTTTTCTTTTTCTTTTTTTTTTTTGTATTTTCAGTAGAGACTGGGTTTCACCATGTTGGCCAGACCAGGCTGGTCTTGAACTCCTGACCTCAAGTGATCCGCCTGCATCGGCTTCCCAAAATGCTGGGATTACAGGCATGAGCCACCAGGCCCGGCCACATTTTCAATTTATTTCCAGTCAAGTTGCATCACCATGACTCTAAGATATTTTAAGTTGATTTTTAGTCCATTAAATTATACTTATTTCTTTTATTATTTCAAACAAATTTACATACTTTGTAATGATAGGGACTTCTTCAGAACACCTTGGCACACTTTATAACCAAAACTTGTTCTTTAAAAGAATGCTGTAAAGTACTATCGATTTTCATTTAGTACTACCTCCCCACCTTTCTTTTCCTTTAATTCACTTCTCACTAAGAAGGAAGGCTGTTAATTTACTGTATCTTTCTACTTTTTCAGTTAGCCAGTTTTAGGCACATTCTGTTTCACAATGTAATGACTAAAGCAGAGAATTTATATTACATACTGTACCTTTTATTTTCAGCAGATGAAATTCTTATGTTTGACTGTTCTATAACATCCCCATCATGTTCCATAGGAGGCATATTCCCTCGTTTGTTCCTGTGCATCCTTAAAAACACATTAGCTTATAAAGCATGTGCCACATACAGTGGACCTTCTTATAACAGTTTGGTGTTTTTACATTTGATGTTGGCAACATTAAAAGGAACAAAGTGTTATAATGAAGTTTTACTATAAATGCATTATAAAATTAAATAGAATTTGTATGATCTGCTGGTTAATGAGACACTAAGAGTTTAAACGTAATAATCTTTTCTAAAAAGATTATGTTATTTTAATGTACTTGCTATAAATTTTTATTTTTAAAACTACAAATATACTAACACTTTTTTATCATTCAATTTAAAAGTGAATAACTGAACACCTACTGGGTATTCGGACACAGTCCCTGCACTCACAAAGATTATAGTCAAAATTCAAAATGAGAACATTTTTTAAATCAAAATTCATAGAGTCTGTGAATTATTTCATTGTACGTATAACCTTCTTTTTTTTTGAGACGGAGTCTTGCTGTGTCGCCAGGCTGGAGTGCAGTGGCACAATCTCGGCTCACTGCAACCTCCACCTCCTGGGTTCAAGTGATTCCCCTGCCTCAGCCTCCCAAGTAGCTGGGACTATAGGCGCGCACCACCATACCTGGCTAATTTTTTGTATTTTAGTAGAGACAGGGTTTCACCATGTTGGCCAGGATAGTCTCGATCTCCTAACCTTGTGATCTCCCGCCTTGGCCTCCCAAAGTGCTGGGATTACAAGCATGAGCCACCGCGACCTGTCATAACCTTTTTAACTTAAAAATACAGCAGCAGTCTTATCAATAAATTAAATAAAATATAACAAACCATGACATTTGCTAACACTGTAAATCACAGGAAAGAATAAATGTTACTGATAGGTGAATGGAAAATATAAACAGAGAAAATGATTAGCTAACTTTACTTACGAGGTCATAAACAACAAAAAGAAAGATTAGCATGTTTTCTGTTTTCTTCTTTAAAAACCTTTTTGGAAAATAATAATGAAAAAATGTTTTTCAATCAATCTTTTTTCCATTTGGCAAACACTGATTTTATTTTTAGCTTAATTTCTCATACCATAAAACCAACATGACTTTTTACACCAACACTTATTGGCATCCGTGAAAATCAGCATTTCATAAGCATTTCAAAGTTTCTTTACATGGCTGTTGAGTTACCCAACTATATTGTCTTTCTCAAGAGGACTATTACAAAGAAATATGGTTGTTAAAGCAGTATTCAGTATTTTAGGTGAATTTCATTATTGGATTAAGAAAAATGGCAATTTTCCGGAAAAAAAAAGAAACTTCTCACTCTCCACAGAACCAGCATATAAAATTCTTTCTTCCCTTGTTTCCATCATACAAGCCACTGTCAATATCATCTGTGGAGAAAACACTATTTGGAATTTTAATCTTAGTAACTATGACATGGCATAACGCATGAATGGCTTCCATTTTTTAATCGATCACAGATCACATACACACATTCTGATGTGTGAATGACACATCAGTTTAGTGTCATTCCCTACTTCTACCACTTAACAAACAGGTAAATACAAACTCAAATTCAAATTTGTAATTAACACTGCCAGGCAACCAGATTTAATTATACTGGATATTTATATATAATGCAGAAAAGCGTTAACAGAGCAGGCCTGAGACTGCCTATCCTCAGAAAATCCTGACTGTACAGTTGACCCTTGGCTGGCACCTGGGAATATAGATTTTGGGAGAGTTACAACCACTGGCAGAACTGATAAGAGCAGCTCACTGTGCTTAAACTGTTTACACAAACTATAGTTTATGCTAAACATTTGCTTTTCTTCAGGAAGTCTGGAATTTTGGTACATGCCAGGTACAGGGTGCCTACGTAACCATCCCACAATAAAAACCTTGGGCACCAAGTGTCTAATCGCTTTCCTGGCAGACATTTCCTTATATTGTTACAATTCAATGCTGGAGGAATTAAGCATCTCCTGTGTGACACCACTGGGAGAGACCCCTTGGAAGCTTGTGCCTGGTTTCCTTCAAACTTTGTTCCATGTGCCTTTTACCTTTGCTGATTTTGCATTGTATCATTTTGCTGTAATAAATTATAACTGTGACTACAACTATACCCAAAGTCCTTATGGATCCTCCTAGCAAATCACCCAACCTAGAGGTTTTCTTGAGAACCCATGACACAACACAAAAAGTAAATTCACTGGTGTAGTAAAGAGGTATCTAGGCCAAAAAAAAATTACATATAAAAATAATCTTTATTTATATATATATATATATTCTTTAATAATAAAGAAATCTTTATTACAAATTTTTTTAACAGAGGCCGGGCACGGCGGCTCATGCCTATAGTCCCAGCTACTTGGGAGGCTAAAGTGGGAGGACTGTTTGAGCCTGGAAGGCAGAGGTTGCAGTGAGCCAAGACTGTACCACTGCACTCCAGCCTGAGCAACAGAGTAAGACCCTGTCTCAAAAAAAAAAGAAAAAAATTAAATAGAAATTTAAAGTTACAAATTCTTAAAAGCATAACTTGGGGTCCCAGAATTAAAGGCCAGTTAAATATACAAAAGCTTTTTCTAAAATTAACATAGGGCTTGTGGCTTCCTTAATTATTAGTTAAGTTTTCTGAAGATAATATTTAGATTAATAATTCTAGCTTATCTTTATACCACCACTGCACCCAAGGTATCCACACTAAAAAATCTTTTACAGTCTCTTCAGTGTATATAGATAGTAAAGCAAACACCATAAACACAAGAGGTCATTTTCAAAGTTCATCCTAAATTAATTTAAGAAATGATTTTATTTATGTATAAGGTTAAGGTCTCTTTGCTAAAATCTACAGCAAAATCAAAAGATTTCCTAGTGAGCAGCACATATGAAAGATGTTCTAAGGTATACCTTTCATTGAAGAAAAAAATCATTAACAAGATTATAAAAGTCCACTCTGTCACCAATAATTATAAGATCAAGACCGAAAAATGTTTAAGAGGCTAAAAAAGAGCAGAAATAAGCATTTCACTAAAAAGATAATAAAATCTTAGGGATACTATTCAATTTTATGAAATGACATATGATTTGTTTATCTTTTTTAAGTCAAGGAAGAATTACTGTTTACAAATACAGATTTTATAATTTTTTTTAAATTACCAATGTAAGACCTAAAAAAAAGAAACCTTGAAGGGAAATTAAGCTGAAAAGACAAACTATAGTTTGGTAAGTTAGCCACCTTATTCTCTATTAAAATATCCCTACAATTTTTATGGCATTTCCTTCATTTACTAAATTGGCCTTTATATTTCTAATAAATTTAGCATTTAATCACCCAGAACTAGCTCTGTTAGTTCACTTAAAACAGCTTTTATGGTCTTACAATTTATTGTTGTAACCTTTTCTGAACAAAAAAAGTCCTCTCTGAAGAAAGCAACTAGTAAGAATCAGCAGTGGTTTTACCACGGCTACATCTCTATTCAATCATCTCAACATTAAAGGAAAACAGACAGATGATAATATCCAAAAGTAATGCACTCACTAAATGTCTAAGAACCATTTGATTCTAATCAAAGTTCAGGAGTTCTGTTTAGGTTCAGTTTGTCCCTGGAACCCCTTTATGTTTCACTGTGAGAGTACCAGATTAAGACTATCCTTGTGACCCAAAAGTAATCTATCTAAATACTCTCCCACCAAATTACTAACCAGGTCCAAGCCTACTTAGTTTCCAACATCAAACAAGATCAGGCACATTCCAGGGTGGTATAGCCATAGAAAATCTATCTAAATATTCTATGGCTTTTAATATATAAGTTCACTTACCACACCTTAACATGTTGGGTTTTGTCACAAAGGGACAGAACTCATAACTTTGAAATGCAAATCAGATATGATTGAGGGAATAAAATAACTGCAAAATGGTTTCACCATCCTACTAACTAAAAAAAAAAGGTATTTTAAATGAAAAAAATATTTTTCTCCCTATTTCCTTGAAGACAAGAGTCAACAACTCTAGTTGATCAGGTAAAAATCGTAATACCCAAAGAAACCAGGTATAGGGTACAGGCCAAGTTTATCCTAAAAATGAACACATGTTAATCTTTAAAAAAAAAAAAAGAAGCTAATGAAACACTCTGAGATGTTAACTGTGGACAATCATTTTTCTCTTTGTTTTCCATTCTTTCCCAATTTTTATATTTACTTTGGTAGCAGTGTTTTCTATTATCAACCCCATCTACTCTGTACCTGGTTTCTTTGGGTATTAAGAAGTAAAACTTCTTTTATTCATTAACATTGGTTAAAGTAAAAGATAATAAAGTAAAATATTAACTTCTACAGTTCAAGTTAATAAATAAGACTAGGATTACTATATTTAAATAGAGCTTATAAATTTCAAAGTATCTTAAGACATGCTATTACATTCTACTTTAGAAAGCTCCTAAAACATGATAAATTTTACTTGAATTGGTAAATATGCATAAATAAACAACACACATACACACACAGAATGCAACTATCAATTACAGTGTTAACCACCTTGTTAATTAAGAATGCTGTCAGTGATTTCATGATATGAGTTTAGGAAGGCAACATCATTTTCTGAGAAAAGTTTTAGCTTTCCCATATTTAAGTATGGGGAAATATTTCATTAATAATTATGGTATATGAAAAAAAAGTAAACGTTTATAGGGTAGAGAAAAATTGAAACCAAAAATAAAAAATTATTATAAACCAAAACTAGAATTTACCAGATGCTGACTTTTAGGAAAGGAAAAAAAAAAAAAAGACCAAAGAAAACTTAGAAGAATGAAGGAAAATTAACTGTGCACTTCTCATAATACATTATAATTATTTTTTGTCAAGAACTTCTGATCAAGATTGCATAGTATGTTAAGAATAAATGCTTGGAGCAAGAGATGAAACTCAGTTCCACATTTCTTTAGTCTCAAAATTTTCACAAATACAGTCATTTCTCCTAAACCAGTCTATTTATAAACTACTGAATGACTGGTCTTTTTTTTTTTTTTGCTGGAAATAAGGAATCTATAAATCTGAAATAAAGAAATCCCATTTTAAATTAAATTGTTAAAGAGACACATAAGAAAAAACACTTGGAGATGTCAGAGTTTATATAAAAACGAAATAAAAATATGATTTATATATTGAAGAAACACTTTAAAGTATTTAACAAGAATTATTCTCACTCAACCTCATGTTTAATCTATTCTTAAATAGTATTTGGAAAAGTTTATATTGAAGGAGTTCATTTTATTTTGGGATACATAAGAAGATATGAGAGTTCTCAAATAGAATGATATTCATTTGTTAGTTCATGTATAAAATTATCACAGGATATAATTATAAAAGTAATAGATTAAAAAAAAACAAAGAAGCAACCATTATGTTTCTTAAAATTCCAAACTTAAAAGGGTATGCATTACATTCACCCTAAACGTAAACAAACACCATAAAGGGAAAAGAAGTTCTCATGTACAAAGGAGACATTATCACCAAGAGTCAAAGATTACTTGCAGTTCCCCAACTGAATTATTTTAGTTTAGTCAGCCTTTAATTACCTTACATATAAGCATTTTCAAATATAACATTATAGGATTTGGAGAATTTTCTGAAGTATAAACAATTAGATTCAGATCAGAGAAACTATAATTGCCATTTCCAAATTCTAATCCTTCATTCAAATTACCTAAATCAAGGTAAATATTAAAAATATTGTGTGAGGACATAACAGCTACAGAATGTAGAAGACAAAGAACTGTAAAAGCTTTGTATTGTAATTAATAGTTAGAATATTGAATGTACAGCACTACCCCGAAAACATTTTCTAAAATACTTAAAAACTAATCTATTTGGACTAGCAAATAAAGCAGGTCCCAAAAGCTACTCAAAATGTATTAACACTTGTCAAGTAAACAAGTCAATGACAAATATGAGACCCTGAGGTATTCCTATCTCCAAAACAAGTTAGGTTAAACTATGGCAAGTATCAATGTATGATAAATACAACAATAAAACCTCATTGTAGCAGTTAAGAAATTATAAATAGTGTCACAAAAACATTCAAAGGAACTGAAAACCATCTGAAAATCTGACTGAAAAAACTTATGACTACAGGAATAAATTGTATTTCATCTATTTTAAGGTATCCTTTTTTCACACGTTTTATTTTATTCATTTATTTTTATTGTTGTTGTTGAGACAGAGTCTCGCTCTGTCGCCCAGGCTGGAGTTCAGTGGCACAATCTCGGCTCACTGCAACCTCTGCCTCCCAGGTTCAAGCGATTCTCCTGCCTCAGCCTCCCGAGTAGCTGGGATTACAGGCACGTCCCACCACGCCTGGCTAATTTTTGTATTTTTAGTAGAGATGGGGTTTCACCATGTTGGTCAGTTTGGTCTCAAACTCCTGACCTCAAGTGATCTGCCTGCCTTGGCCTCCCAAACTGCAGGGATTACAAGCGTGAGGCACAACCCCCAGCCACACTTTTTTTTTTTTTGGAGACAGAGTCTCACCTTACCGCCCAGGCTGGAGCGCAGTGGCGTGATCTCTGCTCACTGCAACCTCTGCCTCCCGGGTTCAAGTGATTCTCCTGCCCCAGCCTTCTGAGTAGCTGGGATTACAGATGCGCACCTCCATGCCTGGCTAATTTTTGTATTTTTAGTAGAGACAGGGTTTCACCCTGTTGGTCAGGCTGGTCTCAACCTCCTTACCTCGCGATCCGCCCGCCTCGGCCTCCCAAAGTGCTGGGATTACAGGCATGAGCCACCATGCCTGGCCACATTTTAATATTGGAAGTCAGAACAGCCAATGACCTGGTTTTATGTCAAGTTATTGCAGAGTTATTTTTCCCCTCATCCAAGAGCACTATGAATTGAGAAAACTCTGAATTCTTGCCTCAAGGTTTCTTTGGACGCTACTGGCAGTATGAATTCGGACTGTGAACTTGAATCATTACTAATTTACACTTCAAATTCTCAAGGAAGGTTGTTTGTATCTTTACTCTCTACTCACTGCCAAGGTTGGGATGTGGACATTTCCTCTCTGTCCCTTTCTGTGGGAATGACTACTTCCAATTCACATACTTTTACATAAAGGGTGTAGCCTTTCAGTTTTCCAACTTTACAACAGGGCCCCCACCTTGAGTGTTTTCTTTTTCCCCTCAGTGGGACATAAAATAATGATGCATCTTAAAACTGACAGCATCTTAGAATTAATTATGATAAATCAAAACTGCTTCTCCCTAGTATAATGATAAAAAGTAACAACAGCAAATATTAACAATTAATTTGCTATATTAAGCAAATAAAATAAAAATGAAGTTGTAAATACCTGTCATTTGTATACACTCTCGAAAGTCTTCTATCAAAATCACTTTCATATCTAAACCTCTCATCCATTTCTTCACTTACTTCAGGATCTTGGTCTGGTCTATGATACCGTCTATCAAAAACACGATCCTCATTAAATCTGTGAAATCTTCTATCTGGAATGCCAGCCTTGCTTGCAAACCTTTGATGTTTTAGGTTGGAAATGCCCACTTCTTCATTTGCTTTTTTAATAATTCTTCTATTCCTTAATTCGATTTCATCATCTAGTTGTCGGTATCTGTCCTCCTCTAGTCGTCTTTGGTTCAGAAGTTCTTCATATGCCTCTGAAGGAGTTAAGACATCTTTTCTAGGACCCTCTGAATTTTCACAAGATGTCTGTATTTGTGAAGTTAGATCAGGCTTAACTTGACCAATAGGTTTTTTATTTCTCTGACTCTTGGGCTGTTCAATTAAAAAAGAAAAAAGAAACAAAACTTGACAAGAAACTATCTCTTATAAGGTAATTAAACCCTCAATTTATACTTAGTCTATCATTTCAACTCTGATGTTTATTTAATCACCCATATATTTATATATATATACGTTTTTACATTAATGTTCACATGAGCTTTACTTGTAATAGCAAAAACCAGAAATAACTCAAATGTCCATCAACAGGGGAATGGATAAACAAGCTGATACAGCCATGCAATGGAACATTACTATGCAACAAAACGGAATGAATCATCCATACATTCAACAACACAAATGAACCTCAAAATAATCATACCGAGTGAAAGAAGCCATATCTCCAAAACTAGTATATCCTGTATGATCCATTTATAGTAAATGATCAAATGTAAACTAGTCTAGGGTGATAGAAGTCAGGTCAGGAAGATCTGGAGACAGTATGGGAATGAGTGGAGGACAGTGAGGACACACAGATTCCAAAGGGTCCCAGAACCACTTTGGGGGATACAGGATACGCTCGTTATCTTGATTGTGGTTTACATATTCTAAAACCCATCAAATTGTGCAGTTTATGAAAAGCTTATTACATAAAAATTCTAGGTGGAGGCCAGTGGATTGCTTGAGCCTGGGAGTTCAAGACCAGCCTAGGCAACATTAATCACCCATATATTTTTTTAGAAAAAAAAATTTCAAGAAAATTTTACCTTTCTGTGGCAGGGCCTGGTGGCTCACGCCTGTAATCCCAGCACTTTGGGAGGCCGAGGCAGGCGGATCACAAGGTCAGGAGTTCAAGACCAGCCTGACCAACATGCTGAAACCCCAACTCTACTAAAAATACAAAAATTAGCCAGGCGTGGTGGCAGGCACCTGTAATCCCAGCTACTCCAGAGGCTGAGGCAGGAGAATCGCCTGAAGCCAGGAAGTGGAGGTTGCAGTGAGCTGACATTGTGCCACTGCATTCCAGCCTGGGTGACAGAGCAAGACTCCGTCTCAAAAAAAAAAAAAAAAAAAAGAGAGGATAAACTAAATGCAAATTCCTATCCCAGGAGATATTACTTCAAAATATTTCAAATTAAATTCTCAACACAAAGGATATAGAAAGTGGTAAATGTTTTGGCCCCAGATACATCAATCATCCTTTTTTTTTTTTTTTTTTTTTTTTTTCAGACCAGGTCTCGCTCTGTCACCCAGGCTGGAGTGCAGTGAGGCAATCTTGGCTCACTGCAACCTCTGCCTCCCAGGTTCAAGCGATTCTCCTGCCTCAGCCTCCCAAGTAGTTGGGATTACAGGCACCTGCCACCATGTCCGGCTAATTGATCCTTAAATTTTGAAAAAAACAAACATAGCTAGGAATTGTCATCATAAAAACTCATTTAAATTTTTAAAAATAAATGAAAATCACTTAACAAAACTGATCTCTAAAATTAAATCTCCCCAATTAAATGTTAAAAGTTCTTCAATATGAGATAAAATAACTTCCAAAACTAAATATTTAAATGTCCTGTGTTTGGTTTAATTTGGCTTAATTTTGCAAGTATTTACAAAAAAAAGTAAAATGTCTAAAATAGAAAAAGCTTTTCAAGTACAAAATATTCAACCTGTGGTAGTAGTAGTACAGATTTAATTCAAAAGCAAAACCTACCTCAGTACTCTTTTCCACCTGCCTGAACTTTTCACTGGATTCTTCCTTACCCCTGAGAAACTGATTGTATTCTTTGTTACGTTCAAGTTTCAACCTTTCCTTAAAATAAAAATCAAAAGGCAATGTTAAAATTCAACTTCAGGAAAAAAAAATCCCTCAATGTCCTATCAGAATGTCAAATCTGAATCATACATATCAGAACTCTTACCCAGAATCAAGCTTTACTAATAATTTCAAGGACAGATGTCACTGAAAGGCATGGGAGAAGTCGGAAGAGGTTTGAGGACACACATACAGCTCCCCAGGTCTTTCTTGTCACATGAGAATATGCATGACTACATGCTTTGGTCCATTAATACATGAGGTCTCTAACAGAAGGGAGTTGCTTCGTTCATGAAACATCTCCATTTTACACTCCAATAGTTAACAGAGCTTAGATGACATTTTCCAAAGAGCCATGCCACATAAATCCATAGATTCCAGGTTTGATTCCCAACAGCAATCCTAGACAAACCAGGTGTATTCTGCCAAAAGCATTCAGAGATAAATCTCTCCCACTAGTAAATATGATGATTGTGTTTGCCAGGAGATCTGTCATTAGCATGTTTCCAAAGAGATATGATGGGGTTACCTTCCTTCTTTCCTTCTCAGGGACACCTCCCTCTCCTAATGCCCAACCCACTCCCCTGAAGCACCTGCTGCTAACCATTTGCTTTCCAAGGTTAAAAAATGATCCTTTATATTTTAAACTTAAAAAGAAAAATTATCACAGATTATAAAATATTATAATGAAATGTTCTGTTAAAACATAAATATATGATTAAAAAATGTTCTTAAATTTTAATACTCCCGTGTCGCTAAAACAACACAATCTAAAAAAGTACTAAAGAAACTAGGTCAGCTGGGAGCGGTGGCTCACGCCTGTAATGCCAGTACTTTGGGAGGCTGAGGCGGGTGGATCACGAGGTCAGGAGCTCGAGACCAGCCTGGCCTACATTGTGAAACACCATCTCTACTAAAAACACAAAAAATTAGCGGGGCTTGGTGGCAGGGGCCTGTAATCCTGCCTCCAGCTACTCAGGAGGCTGATGCAGGAGAATCGCTTGAACTGGGGAGGTGGAGGTTGCAGTGAGCCAAGACCCCGCCACTGCCCTCCAGCCTGGGCAACGGGGTGATACTTCGTCTCAAAAAAAAAGAAACTAGGTCTGTCTTTTGAAATTTATTAACTGTCCATTTTGTCTTATATACTATTTCATGATCTCTGATATACTCTGGTGAGACCTGAGTCACTACAAGAGGTGTACAGTGCTTTATTACTTTCATCTCTAAGGAATATGGACGTGTATTAATGGAGTGTCAGAATCACACATTCAAAGAACCCTTACCCTCACCCTATATAAAAGCTCACTATAATTTCACATCCACTTATTCCAATAACTGTGTTACATAGCATAAACTTTATAGTCAGAAATCAATGCTGAAAAAAATGAATTCTGAATATTCAGTTAAGTATAACTGAATACAGCAAAAGAATCAACATATTAAAGAAATATAAAATTATATGGTTACAAATGTTGTGTTCAAGAAAATTTTTTTAAACAGCATAAATATGACTCCACGGATTTTTGAAATAGAAATATATTCAAGTGTGGGGAAATGATGTGATCTTCCATTTGCATTTAAATCAGCAGTATGTTCTTTAATGATTTTGATGCCTCGGAAAACTGGTACCCACAATAACTACTCCTATCCACCTACCTTAGCAGATAACCTCTCACCAATAGGAAGAGAAACTCCCAAAGTAGATGGATCTGTTTCACTCGTAGATAGAAAATTTTTCTGTATATATACACATTAAAAAAATATATTACCTAATTGCCTTTATAAAATATGTTGCATAAATGTGTCTTTGCATTCTATATTCTAAACTAGTATTATATTATGCAGAGCAAATGAATGAAATGGAATGAAGACAGAAACTACAAATCTATATAGACCATACCAAAAGCATTTGGAAAAAAGAGAATTTTCTTCCAATCAACAACTCCCTGAAAGGGAAAATCAGGCCTTAATTTTCATGTGCAATATATACGTCTATTGATTCAAGATGATTAGAAGCATGAAAAAAAATTTCCCAATTTCGTCTTCTAAGCATGTACTCTTCATTATCAGTGCTCTACTGTCTTTTTGTTCTCAAGGCAAATTTAAACTTCCTCACAAATATCTTAATGCATGCCACAAGTTTTTTTTCTATTTTTCCTATAATTATGTGAGTGAATATCTACTGAAATGCCAATAGATATAAACTATGAATGTTGTTTATGTGTTCCTCCAATCTTGTTCATTAAGCATTTAAGTAATGCAGTGTAGTAGAGGCAGCATTAGACTAGCAGTCAAAAGACCTAGGATCTACAACTAGCCCAAGCACTTATCAGTTGTGTAACAATGGGGAAGTCACTTAACTTTTCTGACAGACACTTTCTTCTTCTGCAAAATGAGAATAGTACCTGCTCTGCCTACCTACCAAAGCTGGTATAAGGATGAAGGAGGACAAAAAATATAAAATCGCTTTGAAAGCTGTAAAGCAAATACAAAGAACTGGAAAAAAAAAATACACATGATCCCCAATTGGTAAAAAAATACATATGATCTCCAACTTTCTGGTACTGTTACTTAGCAGTCAAATACTTTGGAATAATTTACTTCACTTCATTTCAGTTTCCTTGTCTATAAAACAGAAATAATGCCATCTACACATCACTAGGTTATAAGGATAAAATCAATCAATAATTGTCAACCTGCCTAATTCCATGCCTTTTATTTATTCATTAAACAAGCAATTAGCAACCATCTAATACTATGCAGGTACTATTTTCAGATGGTAGGGATACAAATATATTTTCCCTATATTCAAGGGATTTACAATTCAGTAGCAGAAACAGACATGTAAGCAAATAACCGCAAAACAACGTATTAACTACAATAGCGTTGTATTCAAAACATTATGGAAAGATAGTAATTAGCAAAACTAAGTGATTAATAAAGTTTCATTAAATCTGGCCAGGCAGGGTGGCTCATACCTGTAATCCTAGCAGGTTGGGAGGTTGAGGCAGGCAGATCACTTGAGCTCAGGAGTTCGGACCAGCCTGGGCAACAAGGCGAAACCCCCTCTACTAAAAACACAAAAAATTAGCCGGGCTTGGGGCCGCGCACCTGTAGTCCCAGCTACTTGGGAGGCTGAGGCAGGAGAATCACCTGAACCCAAAAAGCGGAGGTTGCAGCAAGCCAAGATCAGCACCACCGCACTCTAGCCTGGGTGACAGAGTGAGAATCTGTCTCAAAAATAAATAAATAAAGTGTCATTAAATCTGAATTTACAAATGAGTTGTGCTACAAAAGCTAATTTGAAAGTTGGCTGTATGGAACTCTAAACTTACCTGACAAGGAAAAAATAAGACACATGACCAGATCCCTGAGTGATTTTACCTCCTATATACTGAAGTACACTATAAACCTAATTATTTTGTAGAGTTATAAATGCATGAAAAACCCATTCATAGTTCCAACCAGGAAGATAGATTTAACATCCTCACTCCTTCACTGGGCAATTTCCCATTCCAAACATGGGTCAAGAATGATGTTTGAAATTTTCAATAAAATGAAAAGAATAAACAATAACAACAACATAGGCAGGGAGTGGTGGCTCATGTCTGTAATCCCAGCACTTTGGGAGGCCAAGGCAGGAGGGACACTTGAGCCCAAGAGTTCAAGACCAGCTTGAGTATTTAAAAAAAAAAACAAAAAAAAAACTTTTTTTTATTACCCTGTCTCTACCAAAAAAACTTTAATTCTTAAAAAAAGAACAACATAGTGAGTTTTTTCAAAAAGCTAAATTTTAATCATTCATTCATTCATTCATTCAATAAATACTGAGTGCCTACCATGTGCCCAAACTTTCTGATACATTTGGGACTGAAAAAAACAGATAAAGATTCCTGTCCTCCAAAAGCATACATTCAAGCTGGGGAAAATGAAAAAGAAATAATAAACATAATGAGGAGTAATTATACAGCATGCTAGAAGGTAATAATTACTGTGACAAAAAGGAAATTAAAAGGACAGGCTACGGATAGTGCAGGTTTATCAGCCATGAGGGTGGGAAGAACAGAAATCAAGAATTCTCTTTTGGACATGGTCTACATAAGATATCAGGTAGATTTCAAAGTGAAAATGTGAATTATGCAGCCAGCTAGAAAACTCTGAAGTTCAGGATGGAGGTCTGGGCTGGGGATATTAATTAACTGACTCAATTTAAAAACTGTTCCCCTGAGAACATGTCTTTTCTGTGTTTAGATGGTCAAGCATCTTTTATTCTAAAAACAGGAAACCATCTCTGGGCAGGAAGGGCACAGGAAAAAAAAATTAATTAAAACACGAAAAAAGATGGTAGTTGTTTGTTTTAATAACTCTTCTTGACAAAATTAAAAGATTTGATTTTTTTTAAAAACTCAAATATCCATGCAATCCAAGTCTGGAAGCCACAAGAGATATGAGTGGGACTTGGAAACCATACATATTTCAGGGGGTCCAGGAAGCTGCAGCCAGCTCCCTATAGTCTGTGTAGTTTTCTTTTTCTCTTGCTTTCCCTTCCAGTCCCACCTTCTCAAATGTGAACAAAAGACTGTCTCTCTAATTTTAAGGAAATAGTGCTCCTCTACAAGACTATATTCTTTTTTTTTTTTTTTGAGACGGATTCTCACTCTGTCGCCCAGGCTGGAGTGCAGTGGCGCGATCTCGGCTCACTGCAAGCTCCGCCTCCAGGGTTCACGCCATTCTCCTGCCTCAGCCTCCCGAGTAGCTGGGACTACAGGCGCCTGCCACCACGCCAGGCTAATTTTTTTGTATTTTTAGTAGAGACGGGGTTTCAACGTGTTAGCCAGGATGGTCTCGATTTCCTGACCTTGTGATCTGCCCGCCTCTGCCTCCCAAAGTACTGGGATTACAGGCGTCAGCCGTGCCCCCGGCCGACTATATTCTTAATAATCTCAAAAACTGGCCGGGTGCGGTGGCTCATGCCTGTAATCCCAGCACTTTAGGAGGCCGAAGTGGGCAGATCACAAGGTCAGGAGTTTGAGACCAGCCTGGCCAATATGGTGAAACCCCGTCTCTACTAAAAGTACAAAAAAATTAGCCAGGCATGGTGGTGGACGCCTGTAGTTCCAGCTACTCCGGGAGCTGAGGCAAAAGAATCGCTTGAACCCAGGAGGCTGAGATTACAGTCAGCCAAGATCGTACCACTGCACTCCAGCCTGGGCGACAGAGCAAGACTCTGTCTCAAAAAAAAACCAAAAAACAAACAAAAAAATCTTAAAAAACTCCTTCACATCCCTTTGAATTTAAAGATTTGTACTTTCATGACGGCAATTTCTTCTCATGTCCCCCACCACTATCCTTTTTAAAAATCTTACCTAGGGAGTAATGCAAAACCTACAAGAGAAAATGGTAGATATCTGATACCAGAGGAAAACTCCACCCAATAAGAAAAAGTAGGGAAGGGGAAGATAATGAGGTATAAGCCCAGGGAGTCAGGCTGGAACACGAAAGACATGTGCCATGCTAAGGAATTTGAATTTTTATCCTGGAGGCAGTTAGAGGATACTGACATATTTAAATAAGTTAGGGACTGAATCATTCTGGAAAATAGCTTGGAGGGTGAAGTGAAAATTAGCGCGAGGAAATCAGTTAAGAAGTTGGGCAGCAATTTAACACAATGAGAGTCTCTACATGCAGAACTAACTGTCCTAAAACACAGTTACCATGCTCTTCACAAGCTATTTAAGAAAGTATGATGCTCATCACTGACTATTACATATAACAAGTTAAAAATCCACTGCCTTCTAATTTGATCCTATCCTATATACATCATTATTTCTTACTACTCTCAAAAAGAATGATACTCTGACCCAGTCAGGCTGGTAAACCTAATATGCCTCATTCATACAAAGCTAAAGTCTACCCTCTAGGTCCTCCTTTACTCTATGCTTTCCATCTGAAAAGCTTTCTCGCTTCGATTCTCTCTCCAGATCACCCAAATCTAGATTGCCTCACAAAATAGAAATTCCCACTATGAGGACTATCTTGATCATTATATCCTTCTTGTAGTTACCACTTTCTGAATCGTATGAATGCTATCTCTACAACTAAATTCTAAGCCTCTTGAAGACAGGATGCATACCTGATATATCTTCATAATAAGTGTTTAAAATATGTTAGTTGAATGGTGAATCTGTGAGATTCCTTTTAAAACCAGTTTTGTAAAACCATAAACTGTTTCTCTTTGTTTTCCAATATAAATGGACAATGCAATCTATAGATTTTGGTGGAAAAACAGAGTAATCCAAATTCTCACAACATGTAGTTCAAATATCTTGGATATTCTACTACTCTATTAATCTTACTGTGATTAGTGTAATTTGAGAAATAAAAAATTGCATGCTGAAAACAGACTTAACTGCAGAATATTCAAAAAGAATGCATAAGAAAGCAATAAACACAAATGCAAAGCAGGAATCAAAAGTAATGACTATATTAACGGAAAATTATAATGTGTATGCTGTCATCTGCTAAAAGCAAGAATACAAAATGGTGCCATTCAAACATCTCAAAATCACAAATGAACCCGTTTTCCTAATTGGTTTGAATCTCATAAATGCAAATGATTGCAACCTTCTAGATCGTAAAAAAAAAAAAAAAGAAAGAAAAAACTGAAGGAGGACGTATTGCAGACAACCCTACCTTTCTTTTCCCTTGTGTAATGCCCTAAAGTCAAGGGAAACAAACCATTGACAAAGTGTATTAAGTCAAAGTTCATTCTCTCCATGTGTAAATCAGAATAAGAGACATTTGTACACTTGGAACAAACATAAAGCAGTAAAAAACTAAAGAATATTTTGAGATGACAACAAATATCATAATTGTTTAAAATAATTTTATAACCTAAATTTAAAACTTACAATAAACCTTACTTTGGCCATTATATAATTTAACAAAAATACTCAAGAGTTCTGCTAAGTAAAACATGAGATCATAAAACAAAAGCTTTAGTGGCTAAATAATTAAATGTAATTTTATAAGCTTGGCTCATAGGAAAATAATTAGCAACTAGAACTCCATATGTCATTTTAATACATAGTTGGGGGGTGTAGAAGAGTGGGAAACCATGATTGGACTACTTCAAACCATGACAACTTTACAGAAAACATGAAAAACCATAATTAACGATCTCACTTAAAATTAGAATCCACTGCCTTAGTCAAAAGGTCAAAAGTCTGTATCATTCTATGGCACCGGTTCTCAGCAATATTTTTTTCTCTACCAATGTCATATATGCCACTTAACTTTGACTATACTACTACTTTGCTAGTACCACTGAAAACCTAAAAATTAACACATATGACTAATACCTTATGAAAACAAATTTAGGAGCTGAATTCTGAAACATTAAACCCAACTCATTAATAGAACTCATTACCTGAGTAAGATAACGTCTGTAATCTTGCCGCAATTCTTCTTTTAATTTATGTTTCTTCCGTTCATAGTCTTCTCCAAGTGGTAAACTTAATCCATAATCAATTCCTAGAAAAAAAACAACTTCTTAGTATAATTCATTTTCAAACCAATCTCAAAGTTCTACTTCCTGTAACAAAGCACAGTAAGAAGGAACAGAATTATGCTTATTCCAAGAGTAGGATTAGGGTAAGTTTTTTACTTAAAATGTCTCAATAGATAATACATTCAGATAATCAAAAATATTATCAAAAATATCATTCTCATCCATGAGCCCTAGCCACCCTGTTCTCCTGTCCAGAACAACAAACATTGTTATTTCTTGTCTCCATGCAGATAATTTTTTAATGCACCTATAAACAGATACTTTTATATTATCATATACATATTTATATGCATGTGTGCATTATATTCACTTTTTCCTCCAGTTAAGACAAGTAGTCCAGCATTGTTTGGCATCTTGCTTTCTCAAGAACAGCAAAATTAAAGAAAAACTAATTATCTTTACATCTTCACTTAATTATACACTAATTTCTATAAAAATAAATACCAACAACAATTTTAATGCATCATTTTCAGTCTAGGAAAACTAATAACATGATTTTTTTTAGCATACAAGAATATCTTTAATATAACATGTTTCTGAGAAAAAATTATTAGGGCCATGTGTTGCTTAGAATCACATTTCTTTTTTTTTTTTTAATTTTCTTTTTGTATCAAAGAGCATTCAGATAGGATGAAATTCCTAAAAACTTCTAAAGTTAAACCACTTCTGATTTCATAAAAATGGATATTAATTTTTATTGTGGTAAAATGTATATAATATAAAACCTACCATTTTAATCATTTTAAGCATTCAATTCAGTGGCATTAAGTACATTTACAATGTTGTACAACCATCATCACTATCCATTTCCAGAATTTTTTCATCATCCCAAACAGAAACTCTGTAAATGGATGTTAATTTTTGAAGAAAAACTTCGAATTTGAGTAGTATTTCCTTACACAAAATTTAAAAATCAAATTACATTTAGGGATGATGACAATGATGACTGTACAACTTGTAAATATACTAAAAACCATTGAATTGTACACTTTAAATAGGTAAATGTTATGGTGTGTAAATTATATCTCAACAAAGCTATCAAAAATCAAATTATATACTTTTCAAACCTTCAATAATAAAATACTATGTCAAGAAGCATAGACATTAGATGAGTATTCAGATCTGAAGCTTCATCCCTTTTTTAGTCCTACTATACACATAATACTATAGTATTAAAAAATTATCATTTCTAAACAAAATAAAACTTGGCTTTTTTTTTTTTCTCTCTCTTTAGACAGGGTCTCGCTCTGTTACCTAGGCTTGAGTGCAGTGGCGTGATCATGGCACATTGCAGCCTCAACCTCCTGGCCTCAAGCAATCCTCCCATCTCAGCCTCCCGAGTAGCTAGGACTACAGGCATGCACCACCACGCCTGGCCAAAACTTTCCTTAAAGATTCAGCTATGAGCACTATAGATGAAATAAAATTTGACTGTAGTTTATAAACTGATATAAAAATCACCATTTTGTGCCTTATTTCTCACAATGTAGCTGAATGATGGGAACTTTTCAAGAATGTGTCATATCACTGCTTACTACATCACTGAAACATTTCAGGCAGGGAAAAGGCCAGTGTAATATAAACATAAGTGGATGTTTATGGATTCTTACAGAATACTAAAATCCACTTACCGCTATCAACACTGGAATTCTCTTGATAAACATTTCTGGCCTATTTAACTCCTTGATGATAGAGGGTATAACAGAGGATTCCTTAGGGACACCTCTTACACATGCTTCTAACTCTCTTCCAAAAGAAACTAAAGCATTCCATATGCTTGGAATTTTAAATCATCCTAGAAAGGAACTGTTTCCTTTTGAAGGAATCTAAACCTTTTTTTAAAGATACAGAATTTAAGCCTAAGGAGAGAAAGTTTTGATTCTCATGTTCAGAATGGAACATCATATATAAAACTAAACTATAAAATCTATGAAGGCAAGGCCCATGCGCTATTCAATTTTATAATGCTGGCACATAACTTTAACCCAAGAAAATGTTCATTGAATAAATCTGCAAATGAATATATGAATGAGTGCCTGAGACAGAGGAAGAAATGAGAAAAGGTGAGGGGGAACAATATACTATACTTAATATTCCATTTCTCCTGTTAGCGGTCTGACTGCATAGAGAGAGGTAGTTACCAAAGTTACATATCACTAGTCACACAGGGTCACAATGGATGTTCTATTGTGCCAAGGAGTAAAAGACAACAATGCTGCCAGGATGATGCCAACACACTACCTGCCCATCCAGGAACAAGCAATTTACAAATTTACAAAAAGTGTAAGTTTAAGGTGGCTTTTACTGCTGTTTTTCAATTCTACTTGGGGGTTTATGTGGAAGAATGGAAAGAAAAACATAATTCATTTTCATTTACATTATTATTCATATATACATATATATATATATATATATATATATTTTTTTTTTTTTTTTTTGAGACAAAGTCTCACTCTGTTGCCCAGGCTGGAGTGCAGTGGCGCAATCTTGGCTCACTGCAACCTCCACCTCCCAGGTTCAAGTGATTCTCCTGCCTCAGCCTCTCAAGTAGCTGGGATTACAGGCACCTGCCACCACACCTGGCTAATTTTTGTATTTTTAGTGGAGGCGGGGTTTCACCATATTGGCCAGGCTGGTCTCAAACTCCTGACCTCATGATCCGCCCACCTTGGCCTCCCAAAGTGCTGGGATTACAGGCCTCAGCCACTGCGCCCGGCCTATTATTCATATTAAGTTAAATTTTTATTTACTAAGAGTATTTGTTTTTCACTATTAATTCAAATAGTATTGTAAAATTGTCTTGACAAGTAACAATATATAATGCCTTCTGAGTTATTTATAACTTTATTAATTTAATGTTTAGTCAACAGAAAACACTAACTTTTTAATTCTTATTTTGTCATCTTGTACCAACATTTTATGGCATTAGAGGTAAGTCACAGACATAAAATTAGGAACTGTATAGAACAATGTAAATATCCTATTCTTTTAAACCATGCATTAACAATAGCATCTCAATTGACTTAATGAGCTAAGGAACACGGTGAGGCTTACTTATTGTGCCTGTTGTCTTCTGATGGATCTAGCAGCAAGTAAAGCATTTGTGTCATTTTAGGGTCATTTGAAGTGATGTCACTTCATCAAGTATAACATCAATGACCCTAAGATAGTTAACATTATGCTTCAGAACTATAGTAATTAGAAGTATTTGGTTTCTATAACAGTTGTGGCTTACATAAAATACTTAAGACTAAAGTATATAACTTCTTCATAATTAATTTACCTTCTAACAGAGCATTCATCATAATTACTCTATGAAACAAATTACCATAGAACATTTACTTTCTTTTCATTATTATACTACCATGAAAAAGCATTATGTAAAAATAATCAAAAGACAAATTATAGGAAATAATAATAGGCCTTTACACAATGGGTGACTTACAAGGAGATGTGACTAATTGAGGAGACACTGTACTCTTAAATTTCAGCTATAAAGGTATCACTACAAGGACCCATTTCACTCATACAAAATGAATAAAAACTGTAGAAGAGTATCTGTGATTTAGTTTACAATAGGATAAACCTAAGACAAAGAGGAATGATAATTAAAACTACAAGGCTGGGTGCTGTGGGTCACGCCTGTAATCCCAGCACTTTGGGAGGCCAAGGTGGGTGGATTACTTGAGGTAAGGAGCTCGAGACCAGCCTGACCAAGATGGTGAAACCCTGTCTCTATGAAAAGCACAAAAAAAGTAGCTGGGTGTGGTGGCAGGCACCTGTAATCTCAGCTACTCAGGAGGCTGAGGCAGGAGAATAGCTTGAACCCAGGAGGCAGAGGTTGCAGTGAGCCGAGATCGCGCCACTGCACTCCAGCCTGGGCAACAGAGCGAGACTCTATCTCAAAACAAATAATTAAAACTACAACTAGACAGATGCAGTGGCACAAACCTATAGTCTCAACTACTTAGGAGCCAGAGAAGGGAGGATCGTTTGAACCCAAGAGTTCAAAACCAGCCGGGGCAACATACCAAGACTCTATCTCTACAAAAAATTTAAAAATTAGGCATGGTGGCCTGAGCCTGTAGTCCTAGCTAGTCGAGAGGTTGAGGCAGGAAGATCCCCAGAGCCCAGGAGTTTTAAGCTGCAGTAAGCTATTATGGTGCCACTGCACACGAGCCTGGATGACAGAGCAAGATCCTCTCCCTTAAAAAAACTGGGTGGTGGGGAGAAACTACATGTTTTAAGACCTTGACACATTTGTATCAAAACATTTTTAAAAGATTAATGGGAGCATTTAAATGATTAATATAAGTATTTCAACAATATTGATTATTGTTAATAATACCAGTAATGGTTGTTAAACAATAATAAGTTAGTAAGAATTTCTTTTAATGAAATAAACACAAACATTATGCCTAGAAACAGTTTAGGGAGATAAAAGATCTTTTATAGATCACTTTCAGGTGACTTTCTCTTAATTTAATATTACTAGTATTCTGACAAACTCCTTATTAAAGACATTTTTTCATTAGCTTATATGAACTAAATCATGTACATCCTATGTGTAATTAAAAAATTGGCTTGGAAAAGAAAAAAGAAAAAAAAAATTGAATCCTTTGTCTCCAGTTTCTGGGAGGTAACCTCTAAATCCTTAAAATTTTCCAGACAATGGGAATGTCTTTATTATTCACAGTGGACACCTTGGACCACACCTAATAGTTTACACGAACAACGTAAATCATTGTGAGCCCCTAGTGGGTTTGACCTTAAAATTTACCAGATGATGGGAATGTCTTTATTATTCACAGTGGGTACCTTGGACCATACCTAACAGTTTATACTAACGAAGTGAATCATTGTGAACCCCTAGAGAGTTTATGCTACAGAGAAGACAAAAACGGGAGCTGGTCATGCCAGAAAAACCAACCATGTGATTTGAGGGTTGGGCCTTTGCGCCATGTGACATCAGCCAGGCCTAAGGGGAATGAATACAGCAGGGCTGGAGATCAAGCCAAGGAGCAACAATTCAACCAATCATTCCTACATAAGGAAAATCCAGTAAAAACTCTGGACACTCAGGCTTAGGTGAGGCTGATTGGCAATATTCTGTATCCTGTCACATACTGATGTGCTAGGAGGGTAATGTCTCCCTGAGACTAACAGATAATTAATGTTTGGACCGTCCCAGACCTTACCCTATGTGTCTCAACCTTTGGCTATTTCTAATTTGTATACTTATGCTATAAAACTGTGACCATAAGTACAGCACTTTCTTGAGTTCTGTGAGTCATTCTTATGAATTATTGAACTTGAGGGGATAGGGGAAACCCCCAAATTTATAGCCAGATGGTCAGACCTGAAGGTGTCCTGGTGACCCTTGAACTTGCAGCTGGAGTCTGAAGTGAAGGCAGTCTTGTGGAGGCCTATGCCCTTAACCTGTGAAGTTTGGTCCAACTCCAGGTAGCTGGTGTCAGAAGTCACTGTAACGCTACCTCAAATCCTTTTATGAAAGGTATAAATGGTGGTAGAAAGAGCCACATGGAATTAACCATGAATATCATCAGTATCTAACAGAAAAGAATTTATAAAATCATAGTGTTGTATGATAGTTGTACTATGAGCTATCAATAGATTGTTTTCATTGGATAAAATGAGTATGTCCAGTTTATATATCACTGATTACTACACTATGCTTAATTACTTATTCAAACTACGATGTTACAGTGCTTTAAGTCAATACCTCATTTCCAAATCTGACCTATATTAGACCTGTTTTTTATAATTCCTAAATGAGACCACTTAAGGAAAACCCTTAGTTGCCAAATAATTTTACATTTTTCCCAGTGTGAGAAACTATGTATTTGACTGAATTTTAAAGCCACAATTAATCAGGCAGGAGGTCAGTAACTAAATGCTTATGCAGTATAAAATTAGTCAATTATATATTGTTCTTTAATAAAATTCCATGTGCATCAAATGGTTTCAGATGGCAATGGAAGAAGCATTCCATGAAAATTAAAGTCAACACACCCAAGAGAATTGGTTTTATTTTTGCAATGGGGACATTAACCCGTTGGTTT
Source organism: Homo sapiens (assembly GCF_000001405.40). Classification (NCBI taxonomy): domain Eukaryota; kingdom Metazoa; phylum Chordata; class Mammalia; order Primates; family Hominidae; genus Homo; species Homo sapiens. Next base: position 67,079,886 of record NC_000008.11, on the reverse strand, counting down.
AAAACAACTTTTCCAAGCAGTAAGTGCTGCGCACTGTGCTAGGCAGTGGAAATACAACGGGATGCAAGTTGGCATGTCATTGTGGTACAAAAGAGAAGCTGAATAAGTTCAAAACTACTCTTCAAGAGGAGAACAAATCCTCTAGAAGCACATGACAGGATTGACCAACCCAATCTAGCAGAAGTATTAAGATGGCAAATTTATCATATAAGAAAAAAAGAAGCCATCAAAGGGTTTGAAGCAGAGACTAATATGATCAGATTTGTTTTATGCAAATATATAGAAAACATAGAGATTTGATACACGGGGCTAGACTGTAAAACAAAACAACCACCAAAAACACTAGGAAGCTTTTACAAAAATCTGACAGACAACAGAGGCCTCATAAAAGAAAGTCAGTGGGATTACAGCAGAGTGACCTTACTTGAGATTTATGCATTAGAATCAACTAGACTTGTGTAACTGCTTGATATAGGAGACAGGAGAAGACAGGAATCAAGGATGACTAGGCAGCCAGCTCAGTGAGATGGGGAGCACTAGAAAGTTTGACAAGAGTATAAGTTAATTTTGCAAATTTTGATTTTGAGCCCATGCCATACATGACCATACAAGTACAGATGTCCAATGGAAAATCAGACATATGGGTCAAGTTCGCAATAGAACCTGGGACTGGGGATACAGATTCAGAAGTCATGAACACACTAACAGTAAATAAAGCCCTGTGAGCAGATATGGACACTCGGGGAATGTATAAGATGAGAAGTCAGCCTAGGTCAGAGGCCGAAGTAACACCAATTAATGAAAAGGCAGAGGTCACCATCTTTCAGTTATACTGTTAACTCTCCATAATATGTGAATGTAATGATCAAAGAATAATTCCTAAGACAATTCAAACAACTACTCTTTTTTTTTATTGAGATGGAGTCTCTCTCTGTCACCCAGGCTGGAGTGCAGGGGCATGATCTCGGTCACTGCAACCTCCGCCTCCTAGGTTCAAGTGATCCTCCCACCTCAGCCTCCCAAGTAGCTAGGATTATAGGCCTGCGCCACCATGCTGGGCTAATTTTTTTGTATTTTTAGTAGAGATGGGGTTTTACCATGTTGGCCAGGCTGGTCTTGAACTCCTGATCTCAAGTGATCTGCTGGCCTCAGCCTCCCAAAGTGTTGGGATTACAGGTGTGAGCCACCACGCCCAGCCCGAAAAACTACTTTTAAAAAGATGGAAGGCCAGGCACAAGTGGCTCACACCTGTAATCCCAGAACTTTGGGAGGCCGAGGCAGGCGGATGGCTTGAGCTAGCGAGTTCGAGACCAGACCAGCCTGGGCAACATAGCGAAACACCACCTCTACAGAAAATATATGTATATAAAAAAAAGTTAGCCAGCATGGTGGTGCTCACCTGTGGTCTCAGCTACTTGGAGGCTGAGGAGGGAGGATGAATCACTTAAGCCTGGACAGTGGAGGTTGCAGTGAGCCAAGATTATGCCACTGCACTCCAGCCTGGGCGACAAAGTAAGATCCTGTCTCAAAAAAAAAAGATGTTAAGGAGAAAAAGAAATTAATATTTATTGTGTACCAATTACGTGCCAGCCATCTTTTCACGTATTTAACTTTCGCCCATAACGACTTTTTGAGATAGATGTCATAAGATAAGGAAACAAAGTGTAGCTCCTGACAGGTCATAAAGGCATCACAGCCCAATCCAAAGCAAGCTGTAACCCTAGAATTTAAAAGGGATTCTGTCTAACCTTAGCGACCTTAGTGCTTGAGATAACCTACTATTAAACTTTTTAAAAATTATCTCTTGGAATAATTAAAATTTAGATTCATAAAAACGTAGGGCTGGAAGATAATCAAACTTATTTCACAGAAAAAAAATTGAGAGCCTTAGAGATTAAAAAATTTTACCAATATATAATACTTTAGTTCACTAATGCTGTATATTAATAATTTATAAGAGATTCAAAATGGAAAGAGTTATCTATCTGATATTAAAAGTAGGGCACTCACTTTGAGCTATTTGTCTAATGCAGAGACAAAGCTTACTGACTATCCAGTTTCTTGGCCGGCATCCCCTTGTATCCACTGGCACACAAAAACAATTTAGGAGTATACCTACATCCATGAAAAGCTGTCCATTTGAGAACAATGCTTTAATCAAATGAACTTATCATAGTTGATTTTCTTTTTGTGAAAAAGTTTGTCATCATCAATAAATCACAAAATGCACATTGAAAATATTCATACAGGTCGGGCACAGTGGCTCACGCCTGTAACCCCAGCTTTGGGAGGCCGAGGCGGGCAGGCAGATCACCTGAGGTCAGGAGTTCGAGACCAGCCTGGCCAACACTGCGAAACCCTGTCTCTACCAAAAATATAAACAATTAGCTGAGTGTGGTGGCATGCGCCTGTAATCCCAGCTACTTGAGAGACTGAGACAGGAGAATCGCCTGAACCTGGGAGGTGGAGGCGGCAGTGAGCCGAGATCGTGCCACTGCACTCCAGCCTGGGCGACAGGGTCAGACTCAGCCTTGAAGAAAAAAAAAAAAAATTATATATATTCATACAGACTGGGCATGGTGGCTCAGGCCTGTAATTGTAGTACTTTGGGAGGCCAAGGCAGGAGGATTGCTTGAACCCAGGAGTTCAAGATAACACTGAACTATGATCATGCCACTGCACTCCAGCCTGAGTGACAGAGAGAGAGAGAGAGAGACCCTGTCTTTAATAAATAAACAAAAATTTTTACATATTCATACATTTTCTTTTTTTAAAATGTATACCTACCAACAAGCCAAAATGTGGTAAAAAGTTTCCAAATATTTTCATACCATACCATAATCAAAGCATTAGTATGGCTACAGTATTAACTTCTTTACAATTCCAACATGATCATCAATAATTAAAATAGTCTTTCACCAAACAGCATTTTGTACCCTTTAAGCATATTTCTTTAATTTTTAAATAAGCAAGTTCACCATTTTCAATCAACAAATAAAAGTTTCTCTTCTCTCTCTCTCTCACACACACAAATTCCTTTCAAAGTTTTCAATTTTTAAGTTATGTTATACACACCTTCTTCTATAAGTTCCATAAATCATAACCAATGCAGTATCACATAAAACAAGTACAAAGTTTTCAGTATGAGTTCTATTTCATATGTAGACCATATTGACTTACGTAAGATTCCAGAAAGAAAAACTACTAGGATTCCAAATAAATCTTTTTTTCTGACAAGACAAACCTCTTTCAGAAGAGCCCACTAAGGATATCTTAAAATAAGTTTAGCACATCTAATGACATACCTAAGGAACCCCTGGTCTGTTGACTATTTGGTGGTATGTTTTCCTTAGCCATAGAGATCAGTATCTTACTGTTTTCAGAAAGCTTCGCTGACAACTTTCCCTGAAAGAGACATAATGTTTACAAAAGCAAGAGGAAAAAAAAAACCATGAAATATACAACTCATCTCAAATTTTAATTAAACAGCTTGATGAAATTACACAGTACATCATAGAAGAAATTAAGTGTAAGGTTTGAGGAATTAGCCAAAGGTATTTTAATTTTATAATAGATATTCTAATATTTAACTCATTCACTTACCAACAAATATTTACTGAGTTCCCATTAAGTGCCAAACATTTTGTCAAGCATTGAAAGTATAAGAGTTTTAAAAAATAGAAGAATTTCTGCCATCATGAAGCTTATAAACTATTGGGGGGACACATAATGAACTCAACACATGATTAGATTATGTGATATGTAGATAGTGGCAGGAAGTGGTTATGGAAAAAAAAAAAAGCAGATTAAAGTAAGGAGGCCCAGAAATGCTGGGGGACTATAAGGCCTCACTGAGCAGGTGATACTTGAACTAAGACTTAAAATTATTTATGTACAAATTAATGTTAGAAATTATAACAAAACTGTCTTTAAAGCTATGTACTCCAAATCATGTAACTCCAAAGCCGTAAGCTGGTCCTAACTACTGGAGAGTGGTTAAGAGATAGACTCTGGAGCTGCATAAAGGTTCCACTCCTGAATCCACCACTGTGTGGACCTGGACAAATTACTTAACTCCTGTGAGCTTCACTTTCTTAATCCATAAAACAAAAAAAATTCACCTGCTTAACAGGGATATTATGATTAAATAAAATGATACATATAAAGTCCTTGGCATTCCTGGTACATGACAGGTTATCTGGAAGAAAGGCAACCTATTATGTTGGTTCCGAGGACAAGCACTGAAGCCAGGCTGCCAGGGGTCAAAGCCTAGTTCCACCAACTCTACTGCCTTAGTCTCATTACTTAACTTGCCTCAGTTTACTCATCTGGAAAATTACAATAACAGCACTTACCTCATAGATTACTGTGAAATATAACCTCTTAAGAATATGCCTTGTCCATAGCTAGTACTCAATAAATGTTAGCCATGTGAGTAAAATTGTAATCAGGGTATCTATATTATTTATCATCTCAGCCAAGGTACCTTTGTCCAGGACAAATGCTAAACCAGAAAAAAACACTGGACAACAGGTAAACCAGGATCATCTTGAACAAACCAATATATATGGTTACTGTCATTATGATGAACCATATGGCACAGATTAAACTACATGCTGTATCTTATTACATACACTGAGCCCTGAGAAGGTGCCACAACACTCTAATCAGTGCTGCATTCTCAGAGCTTAGCATAATACCTAACACAATCTCAGTAAGTATTTGCTAAATGGATAAATCAGTTTCACCTAAACAAGGAAAGCTTTAAGAAAGCCTTTAAGACATTGCTTTAAGAAACAATTATTTTAGGCCGGGCACACTGGCTCATGCCTGTAATCTCAGCATTTTGGGAGGCCGAGGTGGGTGGATCTCAAGGTCAGGAGTTCAAGACCAGCCTGGCCAACATAGTGAAATCTCAACTCTACTAAAAATACAAAAATTAGCCAGGCATAGTGGCGGGCACCTGTAGTCCCAGCTACTCATGAGGCTGAGGCAGAAGAATCACTTGAGCCTGGGAGGCGGAGGTTGTGGCGAGCTGAGATCACACCATTGCAGTCCTGCCTGGCCAACAGAGCGAGATTCTATCTCAAAAAAAAAAAAGCAATTATTTTAAGAAATTTATATTAAGAAACACAAATAGTACAAAATAAATTAATAAATTCACTTTTTCAGATTTCAAAAAAACTTTTTAAACTAATTAAATTGAATTTTTTCACATAGACTATAAACTTGCTTTTACAACTATTCTGTTTATGTTGTGGAAGTTCTTTGTAATAGAACTGGTCTCATAATCATTTTATAACCAAATAATTCTTCAACAAGAGATAAGAGAAACACTGTGAGATATAAACCACCACAAAAGAAAAACTGCATTCAAAATTACTGCAATCTTGTCTGGAGTCAGGCTCCTAGAATGACAGCATACTACAAAACAGAAGATTCTCACTCATAGAAGAGGATGTTTTGTATTTACACAGGAGTAATCTCCATAGACAATTATAATAAAACATGTTCAAAGAAAATTATTAAATTTACCTTCATTTCCATGTAAGGTGGATCACTTTCCAACTCTGCTTTGTCTTCGGCCAATCTGGCTTTTTGCTCTTCAATAAATTCATCCAAATTATCAGCCATTTTGCAGATTCTTTAAAAAAAAATTTCAGTGAGCGTATCTATATCACAGTATTTTTAGCCTAATTATCAACATGTAGGCTTAGTCCACATTTAGTTTTCAATCTCACTTATCAAATTGAGAAATTCAAACTTAAGATTGATCATAAATATGCCTGCCTACTGCCTCTCCCAGCTTCCCCAAAAAGCCTACAATATACTTTAAAATATCTGAAATAAAAAGAAAATGAAAAACTACCACCACCCTCCATATACACTCCCTCTCCGGCAAAAAACGAAGGCAAGCAAACAAAAAGCTCTTTAAATCCTTAAGCCAAAGCACTTCAAAAAAAAAGTTTTTTTTAAATATTGGGAGATAATTTCTGACCTACAGAGAAGTTACAGTAATAATACCAAGAACACACAAAGAGTCTTTATTAATTCCCTATTAAGATTTGGCTCCACTTGCTTCATCCTTTGCTTGTGCACACAAGGTCATTCTCTCCATACACACAAACACAATTTTTTCTAAAATTATTCAGAGAATAAAGTATATATATCATAGCCCTTTGCCCCTAAGCTCTTCAGTGTGTGTGTCTTAAGAATTGGGTTATTTTCTTATATAACCTCAACATAATTATCAACTTTTGTAACACTGATTTTTTAATCTATTGTCCATATTCCACTTTTGTCAACTGACTCAATAGCAGCCTTTACAGCCTATTTTTCTCTTTCTAATTCGGGATCCCATCTAAGTTAGGTACTGATTGCATTTCACTGCTATATCTCTTTTGCCTTCTTTAATTTGGAATATCTATCTCTACCATCTTTCTTTGTCTTTTACCAATTTACACAGGTAAAAGAATCCTGTGTAACAGAACATCCTTTTCAATAGAACATCCCTCATCTAGGGTGTGCCTGATGTTTCTTAATGACTAAATTTAGATTATGCATTCTCACCAGAAATATTAGGTGAAATTTTAAGGTGTCACAAAGAGAAGGCACGTGATATTTACCTGCCCCTTGTTAGTGATGTTATTTTTTATTATATGGTCAAGATGTTGTCTAATTCCTGAACTGCTAAACTGTTCCTCAAAGTACAAAGTACCATATTTACATTCCAATGTATAAGAATGTATGTGGGTTGTAATGACAATTGCAATTTCTACACATCCTTGCCAGGGCGTGATATTTTCAGTCATTTTTATCTTAGTCATTCTATTGTGTATTTATTTAGTGGTTATCTCTCTGAGTGTTTTAATCTGCATTTCTCTGATAACTATGATGTTGAGCATCTTTTCATCTATTTTTTTACCATACATATAATCATTGGGAAAGTATCTACTCAAATCTGCCCTTTTGTTAAAATTAGCTTTTCTTTCTTTCTTTTTTTTTTTTTTTTTTTTTGAGACAGGCTCTCTCGTTGTTTCACAGGCTAGAGAGTACAGTGTTGCCATCATAGTACACCTTCAGCCTTGAACTCCTGGGCTCAAGCAATCCTCCCACCTCAGCCTCCTGAACAGCTAGGACTATAGGCAAGCACCACCATCCCCAGCTAGTTTTTTCATTTGTTTGTTTATTGCAGACACAGGATCTCACTACGTTGCCCAGGCTGGAGTGGTATGATCATAGCTCAATGTTACCCCTTCAATTCCTGGACTCAAGTGATCCTCCTGCCTCGGCCTCCCAAAGTGTTCCAACTACAGGCATGAGCCACCAAGCCCAGCAGGTTGTTTTATTACCATTGAATTGTAAGATTTCTTTATATACACTTGATAAAAGTCATTTATTAAACTTGCTTTATTTTTACAAAGCAATATTTTACAAAACTTGCTTTGTAAAAATATTTTCTGCCAATCTGTGGTTTGTAAGTTTTCTTGATATATTTTTAACAGTGAAAGTTTATAATTTTTATCAAGTCCAATTTATCAATTTTTAAATTTGTTTGTACTTTTTGTGTCCTATCTAAAAAAAATCTTTTTTTTTTTTGAGACAGAGTCTTGCTCTGTCGCCCAGGCTGGAGTGCAGTAGCGCAATCTCACTGCAGCCTCCGCCTCTTGGGTTCAAACAATTCTCCTGCCTCAGCCTCCTGAGCAGCTGGGACTACAGGCGCCCGCCACCACACCTGGCTAATTTTTTGTATTTTTTGTAGAGACGGGATTTCACCGTGTTAGCCAGGATGGTCTCAAGATGGTCTCAATCTCCTGACCTTGTGATCCACCTGCCTTGGCCTCCCAAAGTGCTGAGATCACAGGTGTGAGCCACCACGCCCAGCTAAAAAAAATCTTTGCCTAACCCAAGATCACAAATATTTTCTTTTATGTTTCCTTTTAGAAGTTTTTAGTTTTTTCTCTTACATTTAAGTCTGTGATCCATTCAAAGTTAATTTTTGCAAATCTGTAAGTGTCAAGGCTCAACTTTTTTGCATATGAATAGAGTATTCCAGCACCATTTTTTGAAAAGACTAACCTTTCTTCATTTAACCTAGAATTTTTTTCCAAACACATCTTCCAAAGTCCCATTAAAGTTAGCATCTAATTGGGTACGTAGACAAAAAAGAAGCCACTAATGATCAAAGTTTTAAGGCCTGGAAGCTAAATGTGGATAGAATCTTGGACAGAAGTAAGTCAGAGCAAGTTGGAAGATTTAGAAAGGTTTGGTTTACATATGTTAAGTTGGAGCTAGTAAGATGTGCTACTGGAAATTTACAGTAGACGGTTAGAAATTCAAGATTCAAATTCAAGAAAATGAACTACATTAACTATGTATTTTAAAGGTAACAGTTGAAGCCACAGTAAATGAGCACAGGGAGGGAAAAAGAGAGATGACCCAGAACTAAACAACAGCCAATGTTCACTTGAGGGAGTGACAGAAGAATTGAAGCTGGGGGAAAAAAAAAAAACAGAGGGAATAATTAAATAATAATTAAAACAGGGATATGAAACAAACCCAATCAGCATAATTAGTTGAGGAAAAGAGGAAAGAGGTACAAAATAGAACTGGTAAACAATATCAAATGCAAGCAAGTTAAAGAAAAAAAGTATCCCCTGAACTTAATGTTTGGGACAATAATAATTTGTAAAATATATATATATATCATTGTAGAAAAGCAGGCTTTACCTAAAAGAATATGTTGAAACTTATAACAGGTAAACAGTACCTAATGTAAACTTCACGCCATTATGTAATGCCAAAAGAAACACTGATTTTAAAACATAGCCGTAGGCTGGGCTTGGTGGCTCACACTTGTAATCCCAGCACTCTGAGAGGCTGAGGTGGGATCACTTGAGCGCAGGAGGTCAAGACCAGCCTGGGCAACATAGTAAGATCTTGTCTCTACTAAAAATAAAAATAAAATTAGCCAGGCATAGTGGTGCATCCTGTAGTCCCAGCTATTGGGGAAGCTGAGGCAGGAGGATTGGATCACTTGAGCCCAGGAGATCAAGGCTACAGTGAGCTTATGAGCATGCCACTGTACTCCAGCCTGGGCAACAGAGCAAGACCCCATCTCAAAAAAAAACACTAAAAATAGAAATATATATATATATATATATTTACATATATAGTTTTAGCAAAATATACTTCAAATCAACAAAAGTTGATAAATTCTGGCCAATTTCTTTTGTTGTTTTTTGTTTTTTAGAGATGAGGTCTCGCTCTGCTGCCCAGGCTAGTGTGCAGTGGCACGATCATAGTTCATTGTAACTTTGAACTGCTAAGCTCAAGTGATCCTCCATGTTGGCCACCAGAATCACTGGGATTATAACTGCCAGCAACCACACTCAGCTTATTTCAGCTTTTTTTTTTTTTTTTTGAGATGGAGTCTCGCTCTGTCACCTAGGCTGGAGTGCAGTGGCGCGATCTCGGCTCACTGCAAGCTCCACCTCCCGGGGTCATGCCATTCTCCTGCCTCAGCCTCCCGAGTAGCTGAGATTACAGGTGCCCACCACCATGCCCAGCTAATTTTTTTGTATTATTAGTAGAGACAGGGTTTCACTGTGTTAGCCAGGATGGTCTCAATCTCCTGACCTCGTGATCCGCCTGCCTCGGCCTCCCAAAGTGCTGGGATTACAGGTGTGAGCCACCGTCCCGACTTATTTCAGCCATTTTTAATTTGCTAATAGTCACGAAAGATTTTTCCTAGTAAAAATTCTGAACTCAACAGCAAACAAGTTTTCATGTTTAAAACAATCAATCCTCAAAATCCTCTAATCTTCCCTAAATATTCTATGTCTGATAGGAATAAAATGATGAGATAACGCATATATTTTGCTATAGAATTTTGCACAGAATTTAAACAGAAATGTCATTTATCTAGGTTGGGGGCGGTGGCTCACGCCTGTAATCCCAGCACTTTGGGAGTGTGAGGCAGGTGGATCACCTGAGGTCAGGAGTTCGAGACCAGCCTGGCCAATATGGCGAAACCCCGTCTCTACTAAAAATACAAAAATTAGCCAGGCATGGTGGTATATACCTGTAATCCCAACTACCGGGGGACACTGAGGCAGGAGAATCGCTTGAACCAGGCAGGTGGAAGTTGCAGTGAGCCGAGATCATGCCACTGCACTCCAGTCTGGGCAACAGAGTGAGACTCCATCTCAAAAAAAAAAAAAAGAAAGAAAAGAAAAAAAAGAAATGTCATTTATCTAAAAAGAAAAAAAAAACAGTAACATGCCACCTTCACATGGAACTAAGGTTTCCATACCACCTAATAACAATTATTAATTTAACATGTTCATTTACATGTTGTTCTAACCAGGCTTTGAAAGATCTCCCTCTTGAATTTATAGATGCTTATCTTTCTCTTTACTGTAATTATTTAACATTATAAATTATAGAACTGATTTTAACTTACAGTAATCAAAAGTACAAAAAGTACAAATAAAACATACTTTTAAACAACCATAGTAAATATAGCATATGCCATAACTAAAACATAAGATTTATCCGAGATATAAGTACATTTCTAATCATTTCTAAATTTTTCCTGTATCTAATCTGATTAGATTATAATGACTTTAATATTAAAGAGTCAAAGACACTAATGAGCTTTCTCCTGGTAATGATCTCCAGCCAAAGAACACCAGGAAAACTACCACAGTTAAGTTGGATGTACTACTCATTGCATTAAGGAATGCACGGAGAACACACACCATGGGGAACCCTGTGGTATCGTGGTAAGAGGGTATTGGAAAAGACTTATATGTGTTGGGTGATTTGGGGGAAGGCTTAATTTGAGGAAGTGGAGCTTTGCTCAGGATTGAACACTGTTAGAAGTGGGGTTAATTCTATGATGGTACCACTCAATAAATCTAAAATATAGGGGGAGGCTAATGCTGTAACTGGTAAACAAGCAGTAGTCATTCACATCAGCTGGGAAAGGGAATGTTTGGTATCTCGGTTCTTGGACAATATTTACGTTTTGTCTGTGTTTGGAGACACTGATGGAATGTTTTTGTCTTGATCCATCATAGACACAGAGCGGCCTTATCTGATGTTGACATTCTGTACAATAGTTTATCTTCAACAGAAAAACACAAAGTTACTGTGAATGCCAGGCTAGTTTCTAGCAATACCAGTTTCTAGATATCACGGCCACTTTTCTTTTTCTCACTCCTAAAAGCATGTGGTAACTTACAGAAAACATATTTCAACTACACAATTATTCAAGAATTACTTGGTGAATCACAGAGACTGGGTTAATAAATATGGCATAGGTACAATATAGAGTAAGAAAGTTTATAATTTAAGGATTAAGTTGCCAAAAATAAATCAGCTGAAAGAAACCTAAATGAGATTATTTATATATGACACTCTACAATATAAAGTCACTCACAACTTTTTTCAAGACATCATGGCCAAGTATTATTTCTCCAGTAGCTGTGTACATAGTATGTAGATGATAAACAGTTTTCAGGAAAATAGTTTAATTGAAAGAACTGAGTTTGAAATATACTTCTATCACTTATTGATCTCAACATGAATGACCTCAAGCATGTTCCTTAACTGCTCTATGCCTAATCTATAAAACAGAAATATCATTTATTCTAGTATATTATGAAGAAAAAAGAAAATAATGCATATAAAAATTATGACAGAGAACCTAACACTTAGAAATCAACAGATCAGGCCAGGCGCAGTGGCCCATGCCTGTAATCCCAGCACTGTGGGAAGCCAAGGAGAGTGGATCACCTGAGGTTAGGAGTTTGAGACCAGTCTGGCTAACACAGCAAAACCCATCTCCACTAAAAATACAAAAATTAGCCAGGCATGGTGGCACACCTCTGTAGTCCCAGCTACTCAGGAGGCTGAGGCAGGAGAATTGCTTGAACCCAGGAAGCAGAGGCTGTAGTGAGCCCAGATCACGCCACTGTACTACAGCCTCGATGACAGAGCAATACTCTGTCAAAAAAAAAAAAAAAAGAAATCAACAGATCAATTCTTTTATTGTTTATGGTTGTATCTTTACAGTCTTTGCATATATGAAGATTTACCTCTTAAAAACAGAGCCTGCAGCCGCGCGTTGTGGCTCACACCTGTAATCCCAACACTTTGGGAGGCCGAGGCGGGCGGATCACGAGGTCAGGAGATCAAGACCATCCTGGCTAACACGGTGAAACCCCGTCTCTACTAAAAGTACAAAAAATTAGCCAGGCTTGGTGGCAGGCGCCTGTAGTTCCAGCTACTCAGAAGGCTGAGGCAGGAGAATGGAGTGAACCTGGGAGGCAGAGCTTGCAGTGAGCTGAGATCGTGCCACTGCACTCCAGCCTAGGTGACAGAGCGAGACTCTTGTCTCAAAAACCAAAACAAACAAACAAACAAACAAAAAAAACAGAGCCTGCAAACGTAAAGTATGCTGAGATTTAAATAATCAATAATTGATACTTGGTTATCATAATCCACACCAACATCTCTAAACCTTAACCTTTGGCTCTTTATGCTTATCATATAGATATAAGCAGACCAGAGCATACCCATTCTGCTAAGTCTAGTCAAATCCAATAAACAAACAGAACCCAGTTAAAACTGAGTTTGCCCAATTCCTTCTCCCAAATCCATCAGTCACAAAAAGATGGGAAAATGTTGCTCCTATCCTTTTCCCTCTCAAGGAGTGGAGTACAAATTTCCTCCCCACTATGGGAGCATGAGAAATGGAAAATGACTTCCCTCCTAAAGCATGACATTGTGCTAGAGGCTGGCGTAGTCAAAAATATAAAATGTGGCTGGGCACCGTGGCTCACGCCTGTAATCCCAGCACTTTGGGAGGCCAAGACGGGCGGATCGCTTGAGGTCAGGAGTTTGAGACCAGGCTGGCCAACATGACAAAACCCCATCTTTACTACGAATAAAAAAATTAGCTGGGTGTAGCAGGAGGCAGAACCATTGCTTGAAAATGGGAAGCAGAGGTTGCAGTGAGCCGAGATCACACCACTGCACTCCAGCATGGGTAACAGAGTGAGACTCTGTCTCAAAAAACAAACAAACAAACAAACAAAAAACAAATATATATGTGTGTATATATGTGTGTGTGTATATATATGTATATATATAAACATGATTCTTGTCCTCAAATTTGGACAAGATAATGCCCCCTGCTACAGAGGCTGACAGGGGTTTAGGAGCTGAATGTGAGATATCCATAATGGATACACCGGAGATACGAAGAAATCAATCTGAAAATGTCTACAACTCAGAATAGAACCCAGGCTGGAAATAAAGATCTAGCAGTGTTTAAAATAATCATTAAGGCTGTGGGAGAAGAGTTTTGTCTGGAAAAAGAGACCCTAGAGTAGGGGAACAGGACCTAGAACAGGTGTCAAAGTGTGATAACATGTGCGGTGGGGGGAGGGGCCAGTGAAAGAGCTTTAGAAGAAAGGGAGGGACAAAGTGACCAGGACAATGTTTCTCACTTCTCATCCATCCAGAGATCCATCTACCGAATGAAAGGTTCTCCATCTTCCTCCTGGCAGATGGCATCCACATGAGCAACTTCCTCCCATGGGTACACCAAAATTTTGACAAATTTCCCTAAATATTGCTAAGATGTAAATACTGTTGCTGGGGGAAAGAGAGGGAGGCTGGGAGACAGGATACAAAGAGAGAGTGAATAAATATATAAAACCATGTTGAAGTCTTTCAGTAGCTATTAATAATACACCCTTAATGGTGATTAACGGCAGTAGCATAAATTAGCCTTTGGGTTATGCCAAATTGCTGAAACACTTGCTCAAACACCCTTGCCTGCCACTCAGGAAAGTACATCAGAACCTAAGTCAGAATGATGTTAAAAGGATAATCTGAAATCTGCTCAAATGTGTAACAGTTAATTCATATTTGTCTGAAAGCTTCATCTGAGAAAAACTGTACCGAAAGTAGCCTGTTTCAATTTACTCTGTCTAAACTCACCCACTCCCTCCCAGGCGGCCATCTGGCAGAAGACCCAAACTTGAACGGGCACAATGGCTCAGGGCCGTAATTCCAGCACTTTGGGAAGCCGAGGCAAACGGATCACTTGAGGTCAGGAGTTCGAGACCAGCCTGGCCAACAAGGTGAAACCCCCTTCTCTACTAATGCCACTGCACTCCAGCCTGTACAACAGAGCGAGACCCTGTCTCCAAAAACAAAACAAAACAAACAAACAAAAAAACTTGATCCTTGTGGAGCATTTCAGCAGACATTTAATCACCAGAAAGCTAGCGACCTCCTAGGGAGAAGAATGATATGGAGAAAAGAAAATACCTCAATAGCTTCCATGGAGCTTGTCAACATTACAAGTCATTCCTTCACACAGAATAAAGCCTAATTTAGGCTTTTTATAAATTCCTATCGGTTGCTTTTAAGCCCCTGCATTTTCCAAGGTGTTTGGAAAGTAGGTGATGGTTTACTTCAGAATTTAGTCTTCCCCGCAATCCTAGTTAAGCGTCTTAATCCTACAATCTTGAGAGCTAGCCTCTCTCAAAAGATGAGTCCCATTAATAACATGTACTGACAACTGGATTTGAGTCCCACATAAGATTCCTAAAATCAAGGCAGTTAGAAACAAGAGGTTCAAGCTCAAGCAGTCGGGCAATCACGGGGGGAAATACGGTCACAACAGTACGAGCTACGAGCTACGGTGAAGATTAAATAAGTTTTACTAGCAAAGCAGTGCGCACAAGCGCTCCCACGTTAACAATAACAAGCACCGAGGGGCAAGAAAGGCGCTCGGGGAGGCTTGACGGAGCAGGGGGGGCCTGGCCGTTGGGGAGAGAAGGCGCATGGGAACCAAGGAACCGCTCGCCCCCGGGCCCTGGAGGTGGCTGACTAGGAAGCGTCGTCAGGCAACCAGCTATCAACAACACCGCGGGCAGCAGCGACCGCAGTGGCCCAGGAATCCGGACCGTGTAACCAGGGAACCTCCCCGACCCCGGCAGCTGCAAGACCCCTGCTCACAGAACTCCCGCCCCCAACCCTCATAACTCGTAGTCACCGATGCCGGCCTCACGGCGGCGAAATCCCAACTCTCCACACCCTTAACTCGGGCACCTCCCCCACCGCACCCAGCCGCCACGAGACCCCCTGCCGACAAGAAACCCCACCCCCACCCCCAGATTCCAGAGCCTGTAACTCTGGCACGTCGCCGGCCTAGTTGCCTCGAGACCTACGCCCCGAGGGAGCCACTGCCCCTGCCCCCGCTCCGGGGCAGCGAATGCAGCCCCAGGACCCTCCACCCTCAACCTACACCACCCCAGGCCACACCTCGCCACTCACGCTCCCCATCCGCGGCTGGCTGACTCTTACTCAGGGGAGCGGGCTCGCGTCCGGGGAGACACACAGTGCTCTAGAGGATCGTCGCGGACCGAAGAGGTTACAGCGGCCACCTGGAGCGGGAACAGCATGACAGACCTCCGGGCCGGGGCTCCGCCCCTCAGGCCCAGCCCTCCGCTCGCCCTTCGCCAACCGCCGGGTACGGCCCCGCCCCCACTGCAGGCGGCCGCGCGGCAAGACATCGCCCCCTGCTGTCCTGGAGGCCGCATAGCTGCCCGCTGCTCTCGGTTCGCCAGTACGCTGGCCGGGGACTTGGTCAACTCGTTCTCCTGCTGTGCCCAGGGGCTATTAAACTGTGGGGGCCACTTCTCAGGCTAAATCTATTGCAGCCTCTCCAGCCTCCCATGCACCAGCCAGCTTAGGAACAGTGTAAGAGCCTGGAAAGAAAAATGGGGAGGGGTGGTAGTGAGAGGAAAAGTGTTGGCATACCTCTCAGGGCATTACTCCTAGCCCAGGAGTGTGGTCAACGTTGGGTCCTGGGCTTTCATTACCATTTTCAACATATTATTCAGTTCACCCCAATACAATCGCATATGGCCATATGCTACCACTAGAAAAGAGACCTCTAGTTTCCCAGGAGAGTGGAACTAAGGGTAGGTATTAATGTACTATTTTACCCTAAATTTCTTTGTAAGATGGTTTTAAAGGAAATTTTCTTCAACGGAAAGTCAGTGCCAAAACAGCAAGCTGTGGTGTGGATTCAATAATTCTAATGTTTTTGTCTTAACTGATTATTACAACGCATTGTAACAGTTATAGAAGCACCTACGGAGACTTACAGACATAATGGAAGGAATGGTAATTGGAGCGTCAAGAAAGAGTTCGTGGTCGATCTCACTGGACTGCATTTTTAAAGATTAATAGGAGTTCCCAGGCAGAAAATTTACGAAAGAGCGTTTCAAGCAATGCTGACCACATATGCAAAGCCAAAGTAAAGATATCTGCATTGCTAGAATGAAAAGTTTCAAGGGGGGACTAAAAAGAGATGAAGCTGGAAGAGGTGCATAGGGGCCAGGTTGTTAACAGCTGTGGTGCTATCTTTTCTTTTTTCTTCTTTTTTCTTTCTTTCTTTCTTTTTTTTTTTTTTTTTTTTTTTGAGACTGGCTCTGTCTAACAGGCTGGAGTGGCGCAATCTCGGATCACTGCAACTTCCGCCTCCTGGGTTCAAACGATTCTCCTGCCTCAGCCTCATGAGTAGCCGGGACTACAGGCGCACATCATCACGCCCGGCTAATTTTTTTTTGTATTTTTTTAGTAGAGACGGGGTTTCACCATGTTGGCCAGGCTGGTCTTGAACTCCCGACCTCAAGTGATCAGCCCGCCTCGGCTGCCCAAAGTGCTGGGATTACAGGCGTGAGCCACCGCGCCTGGCCTGTCATGCTATCTTTTCAGGAAATAAAAGAAAAAAAAATCTTGAACACCTATGCTAGGTGCTAGGAGATAAAACAAGGAACGCAGACCTGCTCCCTGTGTCTTGAAACTTAAAATCTTGCACGGATGGAAGAATGAGATGGAGAAAAAAGAAAACCTAAAACACGTGAACTAATAAAAAAATTAAACATTGTATTAACTGTAGGAAGAAAACAAACCAGTTACCCAGATTAATTACGCTTTGGGAACAAATGCGGTTCACAGGAGTGCCAAAGATTTAACTGTAACCTGTTACGAGAACTGAGTACTGGACATTTTCAGATCAGTAATGGCACATTATATATACGTAGATGTTAACTTTTACCAAAGCGCAAAAAAGCAATCAAGGAGTACCCACTGCCTCCTCGCATCGATAGAAAAAGCCCATCTGCAAGTGAAGTGCCAAGCCACCACGAGCCCGTTAGCTTTTACGCATGTACAGTGAGTCATCTTGAAGTAAACGGGAATGCCATGTTTATCTTCCTCTCAACCAGCTTCCAGAACGACTTTTAGCTCAGTTGTACAACAGACAGCCTTACCTTTTAGTCTTTCAACAAACTTATCTCATTTAAGGTACCTATACCCACACAAAAACACTTTCCGCCCTCCACATCCCGCTCTTAAGGCTCCAGCTACCTTTAATATGGCGGAGGCCGAGCCTGCGCATTAGAAGCAGAGAAGGCAAATACCAGTTTCTGGAATAACGTTACATGCCCTTCTTCCGGTGCGGAAGACTATACCACTCCCATACCCTATAACTTTGTTTGTTCTATTTCACACATATAATTTTCCGAGACAAGATGTTCTCATTTAAGCAACAAGAAGATTCGTCTCTCGCTATTACTGTAACTGCTGTTTATATCGTCATGTCCCGGAAAGGTCCCTGTCTTCCCTGAATGGTCTCTACCAACTTCACCTCCGGTTCTAGGTGTCATGGCTGCCCCAAGAGTCTAGGTAAGAGTTTGTTCCCGTGGTGCGGAGGGTCAAGGCCCACACCCGGAAACCTAGCGAGGTAAAGTTGCGTCTTGGTTGTAGAGACGACAACTTCTCCGCTTCCTCGGCGATGGCGGCGTCCGGGAGCGGTATGGCCCAGAAAACCTGGGAACTGGCCAACAACATGCAGGAAGCTCAGAGTATCGATGAAATCTACAAATACGACAAGAAACAGCAGCAAGAAATCCTGGCGGCGAAGCCCTGGACTAAGGAGTGAGGAGGTCCCTGGCGAGACGCAGGGGAGGGAAAGGGTGGCGGAGTTTAAGAGACCCAGAGGGAGAGGGAGGTGAAAGGGGTGAAGAGCTTTCACCGACTGGGAGGGGGACAGAATATGCGTCTTGGATCTGCAAGTAGAGCCTAAGCCCTCCGCTGGGGCTTTCACTCCCCTTTCTGTCGCTTTAATCCATTTGCCCCCGGGTGATGTAAGGGGAGAACAACAAGCGGTGATTTAAGTTGTCACTTCTGAACATCCGTATTGTCATATATGCCACACACCCTACCTTGAGCCCAGTGTCGACATGCACCTTGTTTGGGTCTTCAACTAATCCCAAACTGGGGATTGCAGCTGTTTTCAGAAATCGAGTCAGCAGCCCAAGGTCTCAAAAATAGCTATGAGCTATTTTCTTTTCTTTTTTTTTTAATAGAAATGGGTCCTCGCTGTGTTGCTCAGGCTGATCTCGAGCTTCTGCCTTCAAGCGATCCTCCCGCCTTCGCCTTCCAAAGTGCTGGGATTACAGGCGTGAGGCCTGGGCCTATAATAGTTTTTTGATTGCTGGTAATTATTTCGGAGGCACACGGAGGCTCTACTACCTGGTCTCTAAAATGTTACTCCACCAGTTCCCATAAGCCAGAAATTATAAAAATAGAGCTTAAGACCTTTTGCCCTTCAACAATATCCATTTTTCCCTGGGAGTGGTGACAAGTCGAGGGATCTTTACCCATAATATTTATCTTTTCCTGAGAGCATCTCCTGAGAGATTTCCTGCTATCAGGAAAAGATAATTATTACGGGTTATGTTTGAGAGTAAAAAGAGCACGAAAGCTAATGGTTAGATAGAAAGGAAAGCTGTGGTCAACAAGAGGACATACTTCTACTGCCTCACAGTTTTTTTTACAAGGCTAGCCTTGTCTCTCAGTATTCAGATTCCACAATGGTGAACTGCGGAAGCACCTAGCTAGAGATTTCCACGTCATTTAATTTTCATGACAACCCAGTACAGTATATCCATCCTTTTGTTACAAATTAAAAAACAAGCAAATACGTTATGTAATTTATGATCATACTGACATAAGTGAACTCTCAACTGAGCAATAGTCAGACCTAAGATCAAATCTCACAGCTGTCACTAACTAGTTGATTGACCTTAGGAAATTTACTTATCCATCTTCATTTGTCATAATATGGAAATAAGACCTACTTATTGGTATTGTCATAGAGATTAGGTGAGATAATGTATAAAAAGAGTCGTCTAGAATGTATGTAATAGGAGCACAGTAACTTGTCTTTCTTCTTTTCTCCAGTAAAGGGAGAAGCCAAGATTTCGATTCATGTCTTGACTTCCAACATGAGGTCTACACATTTTTCAGCTTTTGGTTGAAATCTGGCAAAGCTTAGGAATTAAATTTGGATTCTTTCTGTGGGCAGACATCTAAAAAGGCTTTGTAGAGACGTTGACTGACTGCTCTGTAAGGCTGCTTAAGTTGCTTGGTTATCTGCTTGCTTCTGTAACAGGCTGTGCATTTTAGGTTCGTGTACTCTTAAATATTTGGAAACTGTTGGCCTGCCTCACTGTCTAATTGTGGCTCTAATTATATTCATCCTAGCTGTCTTGGGCTGCATTAATGAGACCAAAATGTAATTTTATTCAAGAGTTTAATTCACTGATGACCAACTCTGAAATAGTGATCATAGGAGACTAGGATATTAGGGCTACTTTTTAATTTAAGGCTGATATAACAGGGAAGCCCACCCTTCAACACTCTGTTCTTTGAGAGTAGGGTTAAGAGACAGGTTAATAATGCTGATAACAGCTAGCACTTATTAGGGTTCTAGTATGTGTAAGGCACTAAGCACTTTATATACATTATTTCATTTATTTCATCCTAACAACAATTATGAATATCCCTATTTACAGAAAAGGAAACCTAGGCACAGATATTACAGGGTTGTCCCAATACCACAGCTAGGGAATGGCAATGTCAAGATTCAGACCTTAGCAGATGAATGTCAGAACCCACATTCTTAACCATTAGGCCAGAAGGTTAGGCCTCAGAACAGTTAGGCACAACCATCCAAGCAGTCAGAATCCAAGATTGGGTGATTCCAAATTAATGGAGAAAAAGTCTGTTGAACTGGTCATGTTACTCCCTTATTTGAATAGCATATTAAAAAAGTATTTCAGACTTTTCCCCTCCCCTAAGGGGGATACGTTGCTGCACTATGACATACTTATTGTTTCCAGCCTGCAAAAACTGTCCTTTTTTACTTTTTCTCCCCGTAGTCTACACTCCCTTTCCATCGCTCTAAATTCCTTCAATACTTACTCTTTATCTTCATAAAAACTTTTCTGAAATTTTACTTTATATAAGGAATTTAATTACATTGTGATTTTGTTTTGCAGTCACCATTACTTTAAGTACTGCAAAATCTCAGCATTGGCTCTGCTGAAGATGGTGATGCATGCCAGATCGGGAGGCAACTTGGAAGTGATGGGTCTGATGCTAGGAAAGGTGGATGGTGAAACCATGATCATTATGGACAGTTTTGCTTTGCCTGTGGAGGGCACTGAAACCCGAGTAAATGCTCAGGCTGCTGCATATGAATACATGGCTGCATACATAGAAAATGCAAAACAGGTAAAAATGTTGTTTCTTATAGTTTAGTAATTGCAAGTTAGAGTCTCAAGGTGACTTTTGAGTTTCTAAACTTAAAATTATCCCCTTTACATGAAATTTTATATTTAAATTTTAATGATTTATATGTAAAATGTACGAGATTAAAAGCCTGATAAGACTTATAGCATGGTTTTTTTTGTTTTTTGTTGTTGTTGTTTTTTTTTTTTCGAGACAGGGACTCACTCTGTTGCCCAGGCTGGAGTGCAGTGGCGTGATCTCAGCTCACTGCAACCTCCATCTCCTGGGCTGAAGCAATTCTCCCTCCTCAGCCTCCTGAGTAGCTGGGACTACAGGCGTGCACCAGTAGGCCTGGATAATTTTTCTATTTTTAGTAGAGACGGGTTTTCTCTGTGTTGGCCTGGCTGGTCCCAAACTCCTGTCCTCAGGTGATCCACCACCTCAGCCTCCCAAAGTGCTGGGATTACAGGCATGAGCCACTGCACCCGGTCTATGGCATGGATTTTATTTTTTTTTTAAATAAACTCTCACACTTATTATCAGATACGTGTTTAAAATAAAAAATTTGGAAACAACCTAACTCAGTTCCTGAGTATAAAACTGGCTAAATAAATTATGGTATATCCATCAGTGGACTGCCAGGCAGCCTTTAAAAGAAAAAAAAATAAAAAGATAACCATCATATATATTGATGATTTATATGAAGCAAACTCCAAAGCAGTTTATTGAGTGAAAAAACAAAGTGTAAAACATTATTATGTTATGTGGTATGCTATTGTGTGTGTTTTTATCAATCTATGTATGTGCAAAGAATATGTATTCTGTATACAAAGAATATCTCTGTAAGGGTAAGCAATTGCCCATAGATTTCGCATCTGGGCTGAGAAAAGTGGGTAATTGAGGAGAAGGAGATGGGAAGGAGACTGGTTACCCTTATTGTACTGGTACCTTGTAAATTAATTAAAGAGTAATCTTAAACTTTTTTGCCCCTTCATTTGTTAGGTTGGCCGCCTTGAAAATGCAATCGGGTGGTATCATAGCCACCCTGGCTATGGCTGCTGGCTTTCTGGGATTGATGTTAGTACTCAGATGCTCAATCAGCAGTTCCAGGAACCATTTGTAGCAGTGGTGGTAAGAATTTTAAAACCAGTTTAATTAAGTTCTTTATGAAGATTTGCTGAAGCAAGTATACTGAGAAATAAGAATAGTGTAGTAAAGAGAAATTGCTCTGGTATCAGTCTGCCTAGGTTTCAATGTGAATTCCATCTCTTAGAAGCTGGGACTTTGAGCAAATTATTTAACCACTGTGTATCTTGCTTCTCCCCTCTGTAAATTGTGGGTAGTCATAGCATCTATGTCTCAGTGCCAGCTCATCATAGGCATTCAATCAGTGTTGACTGAACTGAGTTAAGCAGGAATTGCTAGAGCAGCTCTTATTATGTTCAGGGTGTTTTAAGTGCAATCCAGGTTTTATGAGGAAGGTAGGAGTTATTCACCTCTTAAAAGGACAAAAGAAAACTTTTTAAAAATAGATGAGCAAACCTTCAAATAATATTCTTAAATGTTATAATAATTTGAATCTCTAAGTTAGCTGTGAGACACTTATATTACCCTCTTACTGAACTTTTATGGTTTTTTGGTTTATTCTTATTTGGTTATTATGTATGTATATAGTGTTATATGTATGTATACATTTCTAGGTTTATAATGTTTAAATAAAAGGCATACAGTTTTATATCAGCAGATATTAAATATATCTTTCTTATAGATTGATCCAACAAGAACAATATCCGCAGGGAAAGTGAATCTTGGCGCCTTTAGGACATACCCAAAGGTAACTTTTTTTTTTTTTAAGAGTTAGAGTCTCACTGTGTTACCTAGGCTGGAGTACAGTGGCTATTCACAGGCATGATCATAGTGTACTACAGCCTTCATCGCCTAGGCTCAAGCCAACTCAGCCTCCCAAGTAGCTGGGACGGTAGGAATGCTTAGTAATTTTTAAAATTATAAGTCCTTACATTTTTTAAATTCCAAATATTTGACTTATTATTAAAGACATTAGCAATATCTCTTGTTATTAAAACAATTCAATAATATTTACAAAATAGTAAACTACCACAAGCTGTCCCTAGCAAAGGGTAATACATTTATGTTATATATTGTTAATTTTACTGGAAAAGCAGTCTTTATTTATTAATAAGTATCTGTGTGCCTGTGGCATTCTGCCAGGTACTAGAGAAAAAACAAGCTAAATCTATAGGTCTATTTCCTTCCCTGGCAGGAGGCCGCAATCTGAAATAGTTATTAGAACAAAAGTACATCACCTAAGGAGAAGAAAAATAAATCTGTAAGCAAAATCCAGCCTACAGCCACCAAACTGGGTGGGGGGAAAGTAGAAACAGTATTTTTTTTTTATTAGAATGCTCATGTTAAATATTTGCCTCCGAAAGTTAATAATCCTATTATTAGAAAGCTCCATAGAAAACATGTTTTTCTCATTTTTATATATATATATATATATATATATATATATATATATATATATATATATATATATATATTTTTTTTTTTTTTTTTCTTAATCTTCTGTTTACCTCATTTTTGTTTAGGGCTACAAACCTCCTGATGAAGGACCTTCTGAGTACCAGACTATTCCACTTAATAAAATAGAAGATTTTGGTGTACACTGCAAACAGTAAGTAATTTAAAAACATATCTGGGCCAGGCACGGTGACTCACACCTATAATCCCAGCACTTTGGGAAGCCACAGTGAGAGGATTGCTTGAGGACAGGAATTCGACACTAGCCTGGGCAACATAGTGAGACCCCATCTCTACAAAAAATGTTATAAAAGTTAGCCAGATGAAGTGGCACAGTCCTGTAGTCCCAGCACTCAGGAGGCCTAAAGAAACCTTAGATATCAACCAGTCCAAGCCCCTTATTTTACAGATGAGACAAAAGGCATAGACAAAATGCATTTCATGATAGCTTTTACAATAATAGTATATGAATTTAGGTAAATGTTTGCATTTTTAAATTTTTTTCTTTTGCATTTTTTATTAATGTTTCAAACTAGCATGTCATTTGCCTTTTAAACAACCTAAACTTTTTCTAATGTACAAGATATTTGGCCTACATAAAATTATAACAAGTGAAAGATGGGTTCAGGACCAGCTGACACTAGCATGTCTGCAGCCCTCAAAATATATAATTTCTACTGAACAAAGATTCTTTCTAATCTTTGAAAGATTTGAAAGACTAAAGAAGCCATATTAAAAAGTCAAAGTTATAAAAGTGTAAGAATTCTTACTAAAAACCACTGTATTACATACCCTCCCCCCACCCCCAAGACATAGTCTTGCTCTGTTGCCCAGGCTGGAGTGCAGTGGCGTGATCTTGGCTCACTGCAACCTCCGCCTCCTAGGTTCAAGCAATTCTCCTGCCTCAGCCTCCCAAGTAGCTGGGATTATAGGTGTGTGCCACCACACCTAGCTAATTTTTGTATTTTTAGTAGAGACAGGGTTTCACCGTGTTGGCCAGGCTGGTCTCAAACTCCTGACCTCGTGATCCACCCGCCTCGGCCTCCCAAAGTGCTGGGATTACAGGTGTGAGCCACTGTGCCCGGCCTACGTACCTTTTTTGATGGTGAATTTTATGATGTATGAATTATATCTTAAATTATTTTAATGTTAAAGAAGCCAATGGGGACAGTTTTCTCTACCTTCTAAATATATCTCACCACCTCTTTTACTATCCTTTTCACCCAAGCCACTGCCATCTGGAGCCCCAATCAAGCACTTGCCTTCCGGCGAGTCTTTCTACTTGTGCCCTTCACTTCTTAAAGCTCTGTTTTCAGCCAGACTGATTCTGTTAAGATGTAAGCCGGATAATCCTCTTCCTTTTCAGAATGACTTCCCATCTTACCAAGAACAAGATCCTTAGTCCTTATCACAGACTGCACACCTCTGTGTGGTCTGGCTCCTACAGCCTCTGTGAGCTCATGTCCTATCACTGAACTTCTGCTGGTCTGCAATCCAGCCATATTGACTTCCTTATGGTTTGTAAAATGTGCCAGCAGGCTCATGGCTCAGAGCACTGGCACTTGCTGTTCCCTCTGCCTAGAACGCTCTTATTTCCATGTGGCTCACTAACTGCTTTAAGCATTGAGTATCTGTTTACAGGGTCGTGCTAACAGAAAATGTTCATTAGTTCATTAGGCATGATCATGGTGTAGTATTTTACCTATGTAAAGTAACACCTCTGTTTCCTCTTTCCCCGCTTTTTCTTCTTAGCACTGTAACCATCTGATATGTTTTGACATCTTTTTTTTGACCCCTTTAGAATGTGAACACAAATTTACTGCTGTATCCTTGGATTTAAAACAGGGCATGCCACATAGAAGAGGGCACCAAAAAAAATTGCTGCTTAAATGAATAAATGATTATCTACTGCCCTCTTTTTCTGTACCACTTATGCCAACTTCAAAGAATACTTTGGCTACCCATGTGCTACTACTGCTCTAATTTTTCTATTTAGAAGTTCTTAGAAAATTCTAGAATTTCTAAAATTAAATTCTTAAATATATGTGGTTTTCAATAATCTCTGACATATTTCTGTAAATACAATTCTCTTTTCTTCCTTTTTTTTGGTTCCTGTTTTTTTATTTCAGATGGAGTCTCACTAGGTTGCCCAGGGACTACAGGCACACCACTGTGCCCAGCTATAGAAACAAATATATATTCAGATAGAAGTTTAGTGTTAATTATTTAATTTGCCCTATTAAAAAGAATTTAAATGATTCCTGTTTGAGAGAATTGCTCCTAAGCCTGGAAATACCTTTGCTGTGATACTTTAATCTTCAGAGGAACTCTCAATTTTTTTTATTTATATTGAGTTGTATCAAAGGTTTATACTTCAAAACAAAAAAAGATTGAGACAGTTTATGTTTTCCGTATTCAAACAGATCTACTTTCCCTGTTTGTCTATTCCGTTAGTTTATCCTTCTGTCTTCCTTAAATAACTTTTTTTTTTAAGATCGTGTTGCGTACCAATCCTTAAATAACTTTCTTTTGGCAAACACCTTACCTTGCCACTCTGAAATATGAGCCTACCAAAGAGGGATAGCTACTTTGCTAGCGGCCTACATTGCTAAAGACTAGAATTTTGAACCTGGAATTGCTAAAATGTTCTTTTTTTTTTTTTTTTTTTAAATGGAGTCTTGCTCTGTCACCCAGGCTGGAGTGCAGTGGTGTGATCTCGGCTCACTGCAAGCTCTGCCTCCCAGGTTCACGCCATTATCCTGCCTCACCCTCCCGAGTAGCTGGAACTACAGGCGCCCACCATCATGCTCGACTAATTTTTTGTATTTTTAGTAGAGATGGGGTTTCACCGTCTTAGCCAGGATGGTCTCAATCTCATGACCTCGTGATCTGCCCGCCTCAGCCTCCCAAAGTGCTGGGATTACAGGCGTGAGCCACCGTGCCCGGCCCAAAAATGTTCTTTGTGTGTGTGTGTGATGGAGTCTCACTCTGTCACCCAGGCTGGAGTACAGTGGTGCCATCTCGGCTCACTGCAACCTCCGCCTCCCAGGTTCAAGCGATTCTCCTGCCTCAGCCTCCCGAGTAGCTGGGATTACAAGCACACACCACCACACCCAGCTAATTTTTGTATTTTTAGTAGAGACAGGGTTTCACCATGTTGGCCATGCTGGTCTCGAACTCCTGACCTCAGGTGATCCACCTGCCTCAGCCTCCCAAAGTGCTGGGATTATAGGCGTGAGCCAACACGCCCAGCATGATGTGTTTAATTTATTATGTTTTATTTCCTCACGCTAAACTTTAATCCGTAAGCATTTTTGCACTTTGGGAGTCTGAGGCGGTGGATCACTTGAGGTCAGGAGTTCGAGACCAGCCTGGACAACATGGTGAAACCCTGTCTCTGCTAAAAATACAAAAAATTAGCTGGGCATGGTGGTGGGCGCCTGTAATCCCAGCTACTCGGGAGGCTATGGCAGAACGATCACTTGAACCTGGGAGGCAAACGTTGCAGTGAGCCCAGATAGCACAACTGCACTCCAGCCTAAGTGACAGAGTGAGATTGCGGCTCAGAAAAAGCATTCTGTTTTTAAAAGGGTGCCTATGTGTCTTTATCTTTCGCACCACTAACCTCTGAGTCTGAACCTCTGTCTCTTCTCATCTTCCCTGCTGCAGTGGCTTCCTTTGTGGAATCCCTGCCTCCAGTTTCTCTCCTGTAATATCTCCTAATGGTACTATAAAACACCCCTTTGACTGTATTATTACTCTACTCAAGTACCTTCCATTCTACTCAAGCACCTTCCAAGAGTCCCGGGTATCTACAGGATAAAGTTTAAATTTCTTTTTTTTTTTTTTTTTAAGACAGAGTCTTGCTCTTGTTGCCCAGGCTGGAGTGCAGTGGCGCGATCTCGGCTCACTTCAACCTCTGCCTCCCGGGTTCAAGCGATTCTTCTGCCTCCGTCTCCCAAAGTTTGGCCGAGCACTGTGGCTCCCAGCACTTTGGGACGCCAAGGCGGGCAGATCACCTGAGGTTGGGAGTTCAAGACCAGCCTGACCAACATTGTGAAACCCCATCTCTACCAAAAATACAAAAATTAGCTGGGCATGGTGGAGGGAGCCTGTAGTCCCAGCTACTCGGGAGGCTGAGGCAGGAGAATCGCTTGAACCCGGGAAGCAGAGGTTGTGGTGAGCTGAGATTGTGCCATTGCACTCCAGCCTGGGTGACCAAGCAAGACTCTGTCTCAAAAAAAAAAAAAAAATTCTTAACCTTTTGTGTAACATCCTTCACCACCTAGACCCCAGCATAGCTTTCTAGCTTCCCCTCACATAATTCTTCTCTTGCTAAATTTTCCAGCTAAACCCATTGCCTTATTATCTCTTACATGTCTTTCCTTTTTGTGTGTTGATGCTCTCTGCCTAATGCCCTCCTTGCTCTCCACATATCCATACCATAGACTCAAAAATGTTTACCCTACACCTTGCCTTTTCCCTGAGGCTTCTCAGGCAGTTCTAGCTTGAGCTCCTCTATATGAAGAATACTTATTATCTCTAACCCTTAGTTGGTAGGTGATTCATTTTATATAGCACTGTAGCATCACTTATTGTTATTCAATGTATATCATTATATTTAATTTTGATGTGGGTTTAGACCACATCCCCCATATAAATGTTGAGTTCCTTAAGGTAAAGATGTCTCATGCTTTTTTATATCCACTGATACACAGAAGCATGTGTAAGTTTAAGATGTAAGTTTACATCTTAAAAATATATGTATTTTTCAGACATTTAACTAGATTTTTCCTTACTATGCCCTGATGATAAATTAGGCACCTTTGAAAGTGGGAGCAATTATTTTAGATGCCTTAAGGACCTACCTTAAAATTTGCTTTTCAAAAAGCAGTAGGTCCTAACTGGGGAATTAGGAAGGGAAGAATGGAATCCACATGTCATTTTTATTATTTTAAAGAGGCTAACAAAAATTATAGTTGACCCTAGAGAGGCAGCTTATTAAGTTTATGTGCTGTTGGCTTGAATTTATGAACTCAGTAACAGGAATAAACTTGTCATTCAGAAGTTTTGACTGGTTGTTAATAACATTTGGGGAATTTCTGGGCTCTACAGAAAAAAAGGAATAAAACAAGAAGTTTAGTAGGAGATTTGGATCCACAACCCTTGAAGTGTGAGGAAACCATGGTTAGCTATTGCCTTATTGGAATAAAGACTAAAATGTGAATATTTGAGAATAAAGTGTAACTCACTTAAATCTGGCCATAAGTTTTATGTGACGTAGTTGAATTTTTTTTTTTACTTACTAAATTTTATGCTTTTATTTCATAGATATTATGCCTTAGAAGTCTCATATTTCAAATCCTCTTTGGATCGCAAATTGCTTGAGCTGTTGTGGAATAAATACTGGGTGAATACGTTGAGTTCTTCTAGCTTGCTTACTGTAAGTACTATACTTGTAAAGAATGCATTTGAATTTTATCTAAGCTTCATAGCCGTTTAATATCTGAAACACTGTTTCACAGAAAGGCTATACCTGACTTGGCCAAGACACCAGGGCTAGGGTGGGATTCTGCACCACCACAGCTGGATTAGGATTCTAGGCCAATTCAGGATCTGTGTCATGACCCACAGAGACCAAGTCTAAGTAGCAAACAGAGTGTCCAGATCAGGGTGAGATCTGCCCCTGCCATAAGGAGATTTATGGATTAAAAAAATACACATATTGATTTTTGTGTATCAAGTGTCTCAGCTTGGACTCTGGTTACAAGTAACAGGATACCTAATGAAACGAGCTTAAACAAGAAAGGGAATTGTGTAAGTTGCAAAGTTGAGGAATAGGGCTTAACTCAGGCACAGCTAAGTTTGCATTCAACCAATATTATGAGGTCTTTTTTTTTTTTTTCTTTCTCTTAGCATTGATTTCATCTTAGTTAACGCTAGTTTCAGGCTTCATGTGAAAGCAAGACGGCAGCTTTAGCTTTAGACCTCCAAGTCTCTCAGCTTCATGTTCAAAAAGAAGGTCAAGATACACACACACACACACACACACACACACTCTCACACTCACATATTTCCAGGTCAAGATACACACACACACACACACACACACACTCACACTCACATATTTCCGGGCAAAACTTCATTGTGTCTGACTGGCTTTACTTAATCACATGCCCATGTTTAGGCCTGGTGTGGGCCAACTGAATAAGCTTGATGAGCGGCTTGCGCCACGGCAAGTGCTTTACTGCTGAGCCGCAGCGTAGAAAACTCCTTCAGGAGCTCAAGGACTAAAAATGGGGAGGAGAGGTTCCCAGAGTGAATCAGAAGAGCATTACTTTAAAGCAGTAGATACTAGGAGAAAAAAAAAGAGGCCGGGCGCGGTGGCTTACGCCTGTAATCCCAGCACTTTGGGAGGCCGAGGCGGGCGGATCATGAGGTCAGGAGATCGAGACCATCCTGGCTAACACGGTGAAACCCCGTCTCTACTAAAAATACAAAAAATTAGCCGGGCGAGGTGGTGGGCGCCTGTAGTCCCAGCTGCGCGGGAGGCTGAGGCAGGAGAATGGCATGAGCCCCGGGGGGCAGAGCCTGCAGTGAGCCGAGATCGCGCTACTGCACTCCAGCCTAGGTGAAAGAGTGAGACTCCGTCTCAAAAAAAAAAAAAAAAAGAGAGTATCACTGAATTTTTTCTGATAATATCATAAAAACTTAACATATTTGGTAGGATATTATTTAACAAACTTCTCTATATTTAGAACTTAGGAACAATTTTTTTATTTTTCTAAAAAAGTAGGCCATTTCATATACTGCAGTATATATAGTGGTTAGAACCACAGGATTTAGAATTAAATAAACTGGGTTTGGAGAATATGAGCTACAGCAGCAGGAGTCATAGCAGGACCGGCACTTAGAAGTTTCTTATGCTCTTTGATGGAGTATTGGTTGAAAGGAGTACAGCTGAAACTGTAACCAAAGGAGGCATTACGCTTCCAGAAAAATCTCAAGGTAAAGCATTGCAAGCAACAGTAGTTGTTGGATTGAGCTTTCAAGGAAAAGGTGGATTCAACCAGTTAATGTGAAAGTTAGAGATAAAGAATTATTCTCCCAGAATATGGAGGCACAAAAGTAAAGAACTACTTTGCAACTCTTCAGGTTTATTCAGTTGACCTGGAAGGCCAAGGATTTTTTTTTTTTCTTTTTCTTTTCGAGACAGGGTCTCTGTCTCTGTTGTCCAGGGTATTGTGGTGGCACGATCTCAGCTCACTGCAGCCTCAACTTCCCAGGCTTGAGCGATCCTTCTGCCTCAGCCTCCCAAGTAGCTGGGACTACAAGGGTGAGCCACCACACCTGGCTAATTTTTGTATCTTTTTGTGGAGACAGGGTTTTGCCACGTTGCCCAAGCTGGCGTTGAACTCCTGGGTTTGAGCAATCTGCCCGCCTTGGCCTCCCAAAGTGCCATTACAGGCCGTGAGCCACCATGCCCAGCCAGATTATTTCTTATTTAGAGATGCTGACATTCTTAGAAAGTATGTAGACTGAAGTAAATCACTATTGAAATGCCATCAACATGAAGCTGCTCATTGCACTTAAGTTCTGAAATATTTAATTATGTAAATAATTGCCATGTCTCTTCTATAATAAACAAATGATATCTATACTAAAAAATAAAACTGACTTTGAAAACAACTCTGCCACTTTACTAGTTCTGAATGACTTTCAGAAAGTTATTTAATGTGACTAAGCATTTCTTTGTTGTAAAATGTTGATATGCTACATACATCATTAAGTACTCTGAGAAAATTAAATGGGCTACTTTATATAAAGCAATTAGCAAAGTGTCTGGCATATAATAAAGCCTCAATTAATGATTTTTTTTAATTTGGTGCATTATATTCATGGGAAAAGACCTCACTTAAGCCTATTATTTACTGGAATTTTTTTTTTTTTTTTTTTTGAGATGGAGTCTCACTCTGTCACCCCGGCTGGAGTGCAGTGGTGCAATCTCAGCTCACTGCAACCTCCACCCCTCCAGGTTTAAGCAGTTATCTGCCTCAGCCTCCGGAGTAGCTGGGATTACAGGTGCGTGCCACCACGCCCGGCTAATTTTTTGTATTTTTAGTAGAGATGGGGTTTCACCATCTTGGCCAGGCTGGTCTTGAACTCCTGACCTCGTGATCCACCCGCCTCAGCCTCCCAAAGTGCTGGGATTACAGGCGTGAGCCACCGCGCCCGGCTGGAATTTTTTTTAGGCTAGTCAAGTGAAGCAGTGTATTTACTGTTATTTTAAATACAACTCTGACAAGCTTTCTGTTCTTTTTTTCCTTTTTTCCTTTTATTTTATTTTATATTTTATTTTATTATTTTATTTTACTTTATTTATTTTATTATTTTATTTTATTTTGAGACAGGGTCTCACTCTGTTGCCCAGGCTGAAGTGCAGTGGTGCAATCACATCTCACTATAGCCTGGACCTCCTGGACTCAGGTGATTTTCCCACCTCGGCCTCCTGACTACAGGATGTACACCACCATGCCTGACTAATTTTTTATATTTTTTCATAGAGACAGGGTTTTGCCATGTTGTCCAGGCTGGTCTGGAGCTTCTGGGCACAAGCCTTCTGCCCACCTTGGCCTCCCAAAGTGCTGGGATTACAGGCATGAGCCACGGCGCCCAGTATCTGTTCTTATTTCTTATCCTTAGTAGTCAGAAGTAGCAAATTAGGATGGAGAATGATCATAATAGCAAATATGTGTTACATGCTTCCTATGTGCCAGAAACTGCTAAGTGTTTTATATGTGTTGTTTCCTTAGAGGCAAGTATATTAATAGCAGCCAGAAGTGACACCTGATGGCAAGGGGAGAAAACACTGTTAAGACCAGAACAGTCTGAACCTTTGTATGAGGCAAGCAGATCTACCTACTCAGCCCAATGTCTGTCCCTGTATTCCAGCACTGCATACATGAGGACATTAATAATCAAGAAAAGGTTAAATTACATTTCTCCCTTGTTGTTTTATGTATAGTACATTGCAGCATTTTAAGAACAAATATGTAGATATATGTTCAACTTCTCTCTTCCCCCAGCTAAGGACGTTAATTATAGCATGTAACCTAAGTTATTTTCAAATTTAAGAAATTAGTTTAGTATATTCATTTTCTGCACATTTGAAATGTAATTGGATATCTTTTATTGTCATTTTAATAGTATAACTATTTCTGGTAGCCTATATTTTTATGGCTTAAATAGCTCTATAAACTTTAGGGTTTTTTCCAAGTCTGTGGGAGGAAAATACATTGGCTTCCTAAACCATTTAGATCCAGACCAAATGAATATAATTGCATCTTTTAAAAAATATTAAGTTTGTAAAAATCATTGGAAGAACTGGTAGCATTTTAAAGAGCCCCCTATAGTAAGCTGTGATGGCAGCAAATAACTTTTCTTGTTTGGTGACTGACTGTCTTTCCTTGCAAACTGAGCAAATAGAACGACATACTACTTTTTGCCAACTAGTTTATTTCCTCTTCATACTCTTCTATTGAAGATCTAGGAAAGAAATATAATGTATACTTAATAACTTTGTGAAATTTTTTTTGTGTTTTAGACTGCAATTAAAAAGTGATACCCCATAAAAATATTGGTAAAATATGTAATATTATAGTTTCTCAAATGTAGATATACATGTGAGCATATAGCAATGCTCTTTAGTTGCAGTTATAGCTAAGTGAAGAGATTATAGATGTGTTTGTTTACTTCTTTATATTGCTCTACATTTTCCAAATATTTTTGTATAATTATTAATTTTGTAACCAGAAAAGTGTTTGTTTTTTTTTTTTTTTTTTTTTTTTGGAGACAGAGTTTTGCTCTTGTTGCCCAGGCTGGAGTACAATGGCGCAATCTCGGCTCACTGCAACCTCCGCCTCCTGGGTTCAAGCGATTCTCCTGCCTCAGCCTCCCGAGTAGCTGGGATTATAGGCTCCTGCCACCACGCCCGGCTAATTTTTTTGTATTTTTAGTAGAGATAGGGTTTCATCTTGTTAGCCAGGCTGGTCTCGAACTCCTGACCTCAGGTGATCCAACTGCCTCAGCCTCTCAAAATGCTGGGATTACAGGCATGAGCCACCGCGCCCGACCCAGAAAAGCTTTTAAAATGTTATTTTTATAAATATTGTCATAAGTACTAATTCTGAAAGTTCCACAAAAACAATAGCAAAATTAGCTAATATTACTAAGCCTTTACTAGGTGTCATGAACAGTCCCAAAAACTTTATATGCATTACTTCATTTAACTTTCACAGTAGCTCTAAGGTAGGAATTATCGACTCCCTTACCATTTTCAGAAGAAAACCTGGAGGCATACCTCAGGCCTTCAACTAATATGCCATAGTTCCAGAACCTGGACTTAGGTCTGTATACTTCAAAGCCTGCCATAATAACAAATAATTAGATTTAAGCAGTCAAGGAGAAAAATTCCAAGTAATCTTGAAATTATAAAAGGGAAAACATCTATCTACACTTGAACTGCCTGAATTTGGAAGCAGATTTGCAAATGTAATTTGACTTCTCTCCTCACTGACTATTCACTCAGATTTTACAGTGGAATTCTTTGCAAATGAAATATTCTTTGTAGAAAATTAGTTTACATTAAAATATACAGATTTTTAAATGGTAGACTTGTGTTTTGCAGTGACACAATACCACTTTCCCCACAGAATGCAGACTATACCACTGGTCAGGTCTTTGATTTGTCTGAAAAGTTAGAGCAGTCAGAAGCCCAGCTGGGACGAGGGAGTTTCATGTTGGGTTTAGAAACGCATGACCGAAAATCAGAAGACAAACTTGCCAAAGCTACAAGAGACAGGTAAGAGTAAATCTATAAGATTCCTGTTGCCCCTAACTCTTTTTCTTTCAAAATTTGCAAACAATAGTAGTATTCAGATTCCTTATGGCTCAAGTTAGTTACAACTTAGAATGGTACCTGAATATTAACTTCTTGGAAACTTTAGGAGTTGTCAGACACAAGTTTTAACTTTGAAAATTTAGGATACCTCAGGTAAGAACATGAAAAGGCTTAAATCAAAGTTCTAAGCAGTGTTACGGAACACTCCCAGTCACCTTTTCTAGGTTCAACTAGAAAGTGTGACAAAAGCAGCCCTTAAGTGGATCTTTAAAGTGTGTGTGTGTGTATGTGTGTGTAACTAGGATTTCTTTTTTTTTTTGAGACAGAATCTCGCTCTGTCACCCAGGCTGGAGTGCAATGGCATGATCTTGGCTCACTGCAACCTCCGCCTACCGGGTTCAAGCGATTCTCCCGCCTCAGCCTCCCAAGTAACTGGGAATATAGGCACCTGCCATCATGCCTGACTAATTTTTTTGTATTTTTTGTAGAGATGGGGTTTCACCATGTTGACCAGGCTGGTCTTGAACTCCTGACCTCAGGTGATCTGCCCACCTGGGCCTCCCAAAGTGCTGGGATTACAGGCATGAACCACCGCACCCGGCCAAAATTAGGATTTCTTAAATTTACAAGATGTTAATATTCAATAAAGCTTTAAATCCTAAGATATTACAGAAGTGATTGTCTCTCTCTTAAATTGTGCTTCTAAAACAGTAATTTAGTATCCCAAATTTTACTACCAAAGATTTTATTAGGAACAAATTTGGGATGTGTTCTTTAATAACTTACGAAATAATTATGTGGACCTTCAGATATATAGGCTATACAAAGTTGCAAAGATTAATAACATTTACTTTCACAGAAATTTGAATTTTAGGCCGGGCACAGTGGTTCACACCTGTAATCCCAGCACTTTGGGAGGCCAAGGCAGGCAGATCACCTGAGATCAGGAGTTCAAGACCAGCCTGGCCAACATGGTGAAACCCCATCTTTACTAAAAATACAAAAATTAACCGGGCGTGGTGGCGGGCACCTGTAATCCCAGCTATTCAGGAGGCTGAGGCAGAAGCATCACCTCCACCCAGGAGGTGGAGATTGCAGTGAGCCAAGATGGCGCCATTGCACTCCAGCCTGGCCAACAAGAGCGAAACTCTGTCTCCAAAAAAAAAAAAGAAAGAAAAGAAATTTGAATTGTAATGCAATAATTAGAGGCAGAAAGGAAGGAAGAAACATATTGACTTCTATAAACATTTATATGTTGGTATCTATTTTAAGAACTGGTTTGGTTTATAGGGAAAAGAAGAGAAAAGAGTAGCTAAAGTGTATCCTGGGATTGGAGGTCATTTTGGGTTAGCCTTATTTCACTGCCATCTTCTCAGTGGGTTTTTAGAAGGTAGAGCTAGTGGCCTGCATAAAAGTTGCGTTTTTCGGCTGGGCATGGTGACGCATGCTTATAATCCCAGCCCTTTGGGAGGCCAAGGCAGGCATATTGCTTGAGCTCAAGAGTTTGAAACCAGCCTGGGCAACATGGCAAAACCCCATCTCTGCAAAAATTTAAAAAAAAAATTAGCTGGGCATGGTGGCGCAGATCTGTGGTTCCAGCTACTTAGGAGGCTGAGGCACAAGAATCACTGGAGCCTAGGAGGCAGAGGTTGCAGTGACCCATGATTGTGCCACTGCACTCCAGCCTGGGTGACAGAGTGAGACTCTGTCTCCAAAAAAAAGTATTTTTCGTTGGCATCAGGAGTCATTTTAGATACTTGCTTTGAGTGTGTGTTTTGTTCATCTGTCTTTATGTATGTCATTTATCAGTTTATCTACATTTATTAATTATGAAGCAAAAATTTTACTATGGCAATGTCTTCAATTATATAAGAAATAGAACAGAAGTAGTAATCAAAAGTAGAGAATTTTCCTTTTTGGGGTAGCTTTACAAGAATTGCATCTCTTCTGAGTATTGGTGGGGTTTTGTCATTTCTTTTGCCTTATACTTTTTATCATTTCTAAAATCTAAGGCCTTCACCCGCTAACCTAAGTTTGACTTCTGATTGTTGGAGGATGCTTGTGATTATTTCAGAAAAAAGCATAGTATTCTTTAAAATTATTTGTCAAATTATCCTAAGTAATAAACAAGGAATAACAGATTTTAATATAATATAATATTAGAATCAATCTCTAATTACAGGTTTGTATAATTTTACTCACCTTCTAAAACAGAACAATTGTATCAAATTTTACGTTGTCATTCTCTTGTGAAAGTTCTAGTAAGTAATGAAATGGTCAAAAAGACATGGGGAAGACTAATAAAATCACAAGGGAAAACTTCAGATTGGGGTGGTTTGAGAAGTATGAATAAAACTAAACTCATTGGAGTTACATGGATGGATTGGGGCTGATCTTGTGTGTTTGAAATAGTTTTCAATTTATGACATCATGTGATGTGTGTTTTTTTTTCCAGCTGTAAAACTACCATAGAAGCTATCCATGGATTGATGTCTCAGGTTATTAAGGATAAACTGTTTAATCAAATTAACATCTCTTAAACAGTCTCTGAGAAGTACTTTACCTGAAAGACAGTATGAGAAAAATATTCAAGTAACACTTTAAAACCAGTTACCCAAAATCTGATTAGAAGTATAAGGTGCTCTGAAGTGTCCTAAATATTAATATCCTGTAATAAAGCTCTTTAAAATGAAATTGTCCTTTGATTTTTTTGTGGGAAGATTCGCAATATTTTTCTAGTATCCATTACGGTTCTTGAATATGAGAGAAAATATATTTATTAGAACTTTCTATTTTTAAGTTTAGACTATCTAAATTAGTCAATTTCAGCATTTCACTTGCCATACTGATTGTCAGAACCACTTTTCAATTTGTCCCTTCTTTTGACTGTCTGTAAGTAAAATATAATTTAACAGTTCATTATTTTAATAATGTATTAGGAACACTTTTAATGTTCCTACAAAACATTAGCTGAGTAGTACCATAAATTATTTTCCTGAAAATCAAATACTTATTAGAGACAGCCTAGCACAGGGTATCTAGTCCTTCAAATATTCATCACATACCTTTCCTGAGCTGGTGACTGTTACTCTCTGGAAATATGCTGAACAAGCTAGACATGGCCACTGTCCTCACAGAACTTCTGGAGGCTAAAGCTTAATTAACAAGAACTTAAAGATACTGCTGTGAGGGGAGAAATAAAGTGTGTTGGGGACTCATGGGGAGGAATGCATGTCCTCAAGAGGGGTTAGCAAAGTTGGCTTCCTGAAGGATGTGGCCTGACCATTAAGTTGAAACATGAAAGGATTAGCCAGAAGAGAGTAACAGGGAGGTGGTTACTATTACAGGCAGGGAGTACAGCAGTGTGTAGAAGCTCAGAGGTAGAAAGCAAGAACCTAGAACCTTCAAGGAAATGAGATTCAGTTAGACTTAAGATTGGTAAGTAGGGCCAAGCATGGTGGCTCACGCCTGTAACCCCAGCACTTTGGGAGGCTGAGGCAGGAGAATTGCTTGAGCTCAGCAGTTCGAGACCAGCCTGGGGTAACATGGCAAAACGCCATCTCTACTAAAAGTACAAAAAAATACCCAGGTGTGGTAGTGCGCGCCTGTGGTCCCAACTACTTGGGAGGCTGAGGTGGGAGGATCGCTTGAGCCAGTGGCAGGGGGTTGGGGGTGCAGTGAGCCGTGATCGCACCACTGTACTCTAGCCTGGGTGACAGAGTGAGACCCTGTCTGAAAAAAAATATATATGTGTGTGTGTGTGTGTGTGTGTGTGTGTGTGTGTGTGTGTGTGTGTGTGTGTGTATGTGTATGTGTATATATATGTATATATGTCAGTAGGACTTGGGGAGTGACAAGATGACTTCAGAGGTAGGACCAGGGTAGATCCTGCGGTGGCATTCTGGAGTTTATCCTAACAGCATTAGGGAGTTAGAGAGTTTTAAACAGAGCAAAAATGTACTAGATTGTGTTTTCTAAGAGCTTCCTGTTGAGAGATTTGGCAGTAAAGCCTAGATGACAGCAAATGAGATAACCCTTGGAGAATAAAGAATGAGAAGAGGGCCCAAGACTGAATCATGGAAACATCAGATATTTAAAATGGGCAGAGGAAGAGGAGACCACAGGAGCCAAGGAGTAAGAAACCTTTAAAAAGGAACTTACGGCAGGGCATGGTGGCATGGCCCATAATACCAGCATTTTGGAAGGCTGAGGCGGCAGGGTCACTTGAGCCCAGCAGTTTGAGACCAGCCCGGGCAACATAGCAAAACCATCTCTACAAAAAAATACAAAAATTAACCAGGCGTGGTGGCATGCACCTGTGGTCCCAGCTACTTGGGAGGCTGAAGTGGGAGGATCACCTGAGCCCAGGAAGTTGAGGTGGCAGTGAGCCATGATTGCGCCACTGCACTCCAGCCTGGGGAACAGAGTGAGACCCTGTCTCTAAATTAAATAAGTAAATAGGAACTTACCAGTGACTTCACATGGTACAAAAGGTCAAGGAAAAGAAAACATGAGTTTTGTTAGATTTAGCAATGAGGCAGATTTTTGATTAAGATGAGGAAGCCAATTAATATCCAAATACTTGGTTGCTGATATATTAACATTTTGGTCTGTTTTATATCCCTTTAAAGGAGGCAACCCCCCCCCCCCAGTTTCAGATGGCACAACCTGACCTCTATTTTTATGCCCTTTAAAACAAAAATCATGAGCCAGGAGCGGTGGCTTATGCCTATAATCCTAGCACTTTGAGAGGCTGAGGTGGGTGGATCGCTTGAGCTCAGGAGTTCAGGACCAGCCTGGGCAACAAGGTGAAACCCTGTCTGTACAGAAAAAAAGAAAGAAAAACATTTCTGCCTCCAAAGAACAGCCAAGATCTGCAGTTACTGCCACAGATAGATATAGCAACACCAGCATCATATTGAGTCATTCTCGGAAAACAAATGAATTGAGGTTTCTCTCACAGACATGAATAAATGGTTAAGGTTTTGACATGAAAAAGTAAGGAGTCATTGAAGTCACCATGAAAACATATTAGCAGTTTTCATTCCAAGACTTGAATACAGTTATTCATATTTAATTTGGCATTCCACATTTAATTTGACATTGGTGAACTTATTATCTTGGAGGCTGGGCACGGTGGCTGGCGCCTGTAATCCCAGCACTTTGGGAGGCCAAGCTGGGCGCATCACTTGAGATCAGGAGTTGACTTCAAGTTGACCAAGTTGACCTGACTTGAATACAGTTATTCACATTTAATTTGACAATCCACATTTAATTTGACACTGGTAAACTTATTAAGATTATCTTGGATGCTGGGTGCAGTGGCTTACGCCTGTAATCCTAACACTTTGAGAGGCCGAGGCGGGTGGATCACCTGAGGTCAGGAGTTTGAGACCAGCTTGGCCAACATGGCAAAACCCTGTTTCTACTAAAAATACAAAATTAGCCATATGTAGTGGCGCATGCCTGTAGTCCCAGCTACTCGGGAGGCTGAGGCAGGGGAGTGCTTGAACCCAGAGGTGGAGGTTGCAGTGTGCAGAGATTGCGCCATTGCACTCCAGCCTAGATGACAGAGTGAGACTCCGTCTCAAAAAAAAAAAAAAAATTATCTTGGTGGGATGGAAAATACCTATGCTTACAACAGAGAATTACCAGGGAAAGAAAGCTTTTCAGTCCTAATTTCATTGGACTCATTTTGAGAAGCGTCAGTATTTCAGTAATGATTCCTTGGTTGGAAGTAACCACAAAACAAAACAAAAAAGTAACTTAAAAAGAATATATTAGCTCATTGTCAAAAAAAAGATTCTGACTTCACTCTGATTGACCTAACAGGTCATGAGCCCACCTCTGGGATTACATATAGCAACTGCTGAGATCAATTAAGGGCTACTTCTAGAGCTGGGAATAGGGACAATAAACCAAAATGCACAAGCAGTGGGTCAATTGATGCCACAGACACAACCACCAATGTCCCCTCAAGCAACCACCCAGCCCAGGCAATAACAGCCCCAGAGTGAGGCATTTGCATTTCATTTAATGTAGC
This sequence comes from Homo sapiens, assembly GCF_000001405.40. Taxonomy (NCBI): domain Eukaryota; kingdom Metazoa; phylum Chordata; class Mammalia; order Primates; family Hominidae; genus Homo; species Homo sapiens. The sequence goes on along the minus strand of NC_000008.11, from coordinate 67,039,729 downwards.
TACTTTACTAAAGAGATCCTTTACAAATATTTTTAAGCACTTCTTTACATTTTAATCTATTTTCATGATTACTTTTAGTATTAGTGTTCAGTTTATAACATTGAGCTTTTAGGAAATCAGGGTTCAATTTGCAGCCACCATTTAGAAACTAAGTTGGGGTTGACTAAACTAAGTTGGGGTTGCCTTCTCCTGCAAAGCATTGTCTTACAGCCTTGAGCTACTTAAAGTTGAAAAGGCCATTTTTCCCAAGTGAAGTCTGTTTTTTGTTCAGTTTCAAATTTTTCAGAGATAATTTCCAAAGCTCTTTGGTGATAATATACAGGAAATGTCAATTATCATAAAAAATCCCAATGTTCAAGTAATAAAATGAGCCACAGCAGGACTAGAAGCCCAGGCTGGAACAGAGATGGAGTGAGAAGTCACTGGATATGGAATGGGGATTGGAGCCAGTTAAGGAGGACAGTGAGATACCAGAATCAAGGATGTTCCAAATTTTCCAGCTTGCTTTAATATCTCAAGGTCCTAGTTCCAAAAAGTCAACACCATGACCTTATATATATTGTTGACATGTACAATATGCCTGTAATACCATTTTATGTTACACTGTCCAGTTATATGAATACTTCAATCTGCACGTTTTATTTATTGATTAACAACAACACACCACGCAAGTACTGCCAAGAACAAAAAAGCCAATAGGGGAAGAATAGCTGTTTGCGCTCCATTGTTTCTCAATTTGGAAAATAAGCTCTGAGACCAAACATCATGTGCTCTGTTAGAGGGATCAAGTCTGAAGATTGTTGTCACAAATTAGTATGACTACCTTGTATTCAGGACTTTGAAAAATCACTGCATTGCACAATAGAATAAACTGCCCCACAGAGCAGCCACTTAAAAATAAACACAGAAGAGAGCAGGAGCATAAGGAACTTTACAGTGAATCAGAGAAACTGTTGGAGGGTAGGTGTGCTGCATATTGCAGAGTTTCAAAGTTTCCAAAAACTGTTCTGTGAGTGATGAGGTACAGATGCACAAGCCATGCATGCAGAGAAGAGTTCATTTATATTACTAAGTCTGCACTGTATCCACATGTAGCTGAGTAAACTCAACTGAACACAGATTGTTAAGTATCCAAGGTTTCTATATTTATGGATTGTTTTAACTATAACTTAATATACCTATATGGTGAGTAATGTGGTTTTTTGTTCTAGTTTTGAAGACAGGAAGATACACTACACAGAATGACAGCTTTTATTTTTGCTCATTCTTATAAAATATAATTCTGTTTAAATTATAATGAGATCATAATGTCATTCACTGTTTAATAATCGATGTATCTATGCCATTGTATTCATAAAATACTTGTTAGAAAATTGCAAGTCTAGTTGTGTGTTCTGTCATTTTGGCCTATTTTCAGTACAAGCTCCAACAGCAAATAAATTTACTTTCTTGGGGCCAAAATGCTAGTTTAAGTAACTACTTCTGAGATAATCAGTCTATAGGTTTCTAAAGGTTTCTAAAATTTTTATCTATATACTACCAGAAGAAATACCATTTATCTTTGTAAACATAAAGTTATAACGTACTTTAGAAATCTAATAACACAAGAAACTCAGGTCAACTGTGACCAGATTGGCATACTTAAACTTTTGATCTCAGAAATAATATTACAAAAATAAAATCAGGAACTCTATCATTTCAGGTCATTTGGGAGGAAACAGCTAAAATCATAGCTTGATAACTAACACCAATGATTAATTGCTTTTTCAACATGTGGATTATCTTGGTGCCAAAAATTATGGAACAACTGCTTAACAAATTGGAGAGTCCCTGATGTCAATGCTCATATTTTCTTTGGATTATACTAAGCAATTATGCTAAAGTTTCTAATGACTGAGTAAAATGGTATTTGTGCCTTGGGCACATTTTGATGAACTACAGTTGTGCTTTTCAAAACCTAAGAGTCATATGCTTTAAAAAGTATATTGTCTACAATAAATCTTGGTTTAGACTTTATATTAGATTTCAGAGGATTATTATATGTACCTATTGTACAACTATAAATATGTTTACCATTGATAGTTGTTACTTTAAACTACTTACCTTCCTGAAAAATCAGTCGGTATAAATTCATCTCCAAATAAATGTTTAACTTATATGATTCATTTTTGTTCCTAGCACTTGCTACTTCATACTCCATTCTTAAATTCAGTTGAATTTATTCTGTGTATCATTGATGTTGCTAAATAAGTCCTTTAAAACACATATAGAATTAGCTTTAACTTTTTACTTCAACTCCTATATAATCCATCTATCATTTCTTGCATATCTTTTCAGTATAATTGAAGCTATCTTAAGGTTCTGGGCTTAGAAAATAAAGTAACACAAACTAGGCGAATAAATTAATATGCGATTTTGTTTGTTTGTTTGTTTGTTTTGAGATGGAGTTTCACTCTTGTTGCCCAGGCTGGAGTGCAATGGCGCAATCTCGGCTCACTGCAACCTCCGCCTCCTGGGTTCAAGCGATTCTCCTGCCTCAGACTCCCGAGTAGCTGGGATTACAGGCATGCGCCACCGCGCCTGGCTAATTTTGTATTTTTTAGTAGAGACGGGGTTTCTCCATGTTGGTCAGGTTGGTCTTGAACTGCCGACCGACCTCAGGTGATCCGCCCACCTCGGCCTCCCAAAGTGCTGGGATTACAGGCCTGAGCCACCGCGCCTGGCCAGAAATTAATATGTGATCTTATATGTGAGGACACATCATGTTGAATAAGTACAGCCATCTGAAAGGTTCTGTATCAGCACTCTAGGAAAGGGGGTAAAAGTTTTATAAAAAGAAGAGTTGGGGAGGGGAGGGAGAGAGAGAGAGGAAGAAGAAGAAAGAGAAGAAAGAGAAGAAGGAGAAGGAGAAGAAGAAAAGAAGAGGAAGAGGAGGGGGAAGAAAAGGAAGGAAGGAAGAAGGGAGGGAGGGAGGGAGGAAGGAAGGGGAGAAAAGAAAAAAGTGAAATGTTCTGTAGCTTGAAGAAAGTTACCTTGATAGGCCACTGATGTCAGAATTACAAATGAACACCACTTTTTAGGGAAGATTATGAGTCTAACTAGTCTTAATATTTAAGGTAAACACTACATCACTTAAAACTATGGAATGTTGAAATGGTAATTCATATAGACAGACATCAACATTATAGACTTCTAGTTATCCCAAGATCTGAAAATAATTAACACATGCCTTACCTACACCAGAAAGCAAAACTAAAACAACAGCTATATTGAATCTGACAATTGGGAACACAAGTTGAAATATATTTCCAAGTTCTCAAGACCCTCCTGCTTATATTTCTAAGGGCATCCTTAATACTATTAATTACACTAATATCACACTACAAAAACAGTATTTTTTCATCTTATAAAGTAGCAACTGCTCTCTCCTTCAAACTCTAAATATAATACATACAATAAAGTTAGTTTTTTCCTGTTAACAAAAGGAAAATTTACATTCTGCCTTATGAGTTAAATACTATGACATATTAATACCAAAATCCAAATTTCTCACTGTGACCAAAAGGCCCTTTACATCTGATTCCTACTTTCCTCTCACCCATTCTCCCACTCCTTCACTGTCTTCCACCCACACTGTCCTCTGGGTCCTTATGCTCACCCAGCTCTTCCCCACTCCAAACCTTCACAGTGGCTGCTTTCTGGACCTGGAACACTTCCTTGCAGGCTCTCACACACCTGGCTCCTCATTCTTGTCTCAGTTCAAATGCCCATCTCCCTCATCTCAAGGAAATACCTTTCTCCTTCCCTTCTTCCTCCCTACCCCAGTTACACAATTTCATTACACTCTATTTCTTTCTTTCACAGAATTTACTGCAATCTCAAATTATTTGGATGCTTGATTTATTAGTCTGTCTCCCCTTTCTAGAATGTAAGCTCCATGGGGGTGGGGACTTGTTCTAACTCACCTTTGTATCCCCAGCACCTTAAGCAGTGGCACCTGGCAGTCAACCCATAAATATCTGTTCAGAAAAGAAATAACTTACTGCACATATTTTTTTTGCTTTTCAGAAACATCAACAATATACTGCATTTTTAGAGGAGGAAATTAAATGTGCCCACACTTTTTTTTTTTTTGGTTTTTGTTTTGTTTTGTTTTGAGACAGAGTCTTGCTCTGTCACCCAGGCTGCAGTGCAGTGGTGCGATCTCGGCACACTGCAAGCTCCCCCTCCCGGGTTCACGCCATTCTCCTGCCTCAGCCTCCCCAGCAGCTGGGACTACAGGCGCACGCCGCCATGCCTGGCTAATTTTTTTGTATTTTTAGTAGAGACGGGGTTTCACCATGTTAGGCAGGATGGTCTCCATCTCCTAACCTCGTGATCCACCCGCCTCTGCCTCCCAAAGTGCTGGGATTACAGGCATGAGCCACCGTGCCTGGCCTGGTACCCACACTTTTAAAGTGACTTTATTTTTTTAGAAATGGGGTCTTGCTATGTTGCCCAGACTAGGGTACAGTAGCTATTCACAGACACAATCATAGTGTACTGCAGCCTCAAACTCCTGGGCTCAAGCAATCCTCCTGCCTCAGCCTCCCAAGTAGCTGGGTCTACAGGCATGCACCACTGTGACTTTTGTTACACTGTGAGATCATTATAAAAATAAGTACTTTTTACCGAAACTTCTTAAGAGGTTTAAAATAGGAGTAAAAAAAAGCCTTATTCTATAAAGGATCACTACTGTAGAAATATATAAAAGGACACACTACTATTAAAAAAGCACCAGCCACTTACAAAAACAATCATGGAGGAGTGGAACTCTTTTCAAATGAGCTTACCAAAAAAAGCAAACAGGAACCAAAAAGTGAAGCAATTAAATAGAGGTATACAGATATATAACATGTTTTCACTTATTTTATTTTGAAAGATATGAGGATAGAGTATATTACATTGCTGAGTTTCACTCTTAGCCCCTATCCATCACAAACTAATTAAACTTTTGCTGAACTTATTATTGGCCTGATAAACTGAAGCAAATTTGGTCTTGAATCTCCAGAGGTTCCCCATCTCTGGTACAAAAGACAGTTTTTTTGAAATTCCTAAAACATAAGCAGGGAACTGTTCCTGAAACCTAATCTAAACTTTTTCTAAAATTGTATGTGCATGTCTTGCAAATGCTACCTGAAAACTCAAACTAAAATTTTAGACTCTATTGACAATAAATGTTACAGAAATTGAGATAAAACGTTACTTAAATTAGAGTGCTAGCGGCAATGTTTACAAAATACTTTTCAGAAAGCTTCTTTTCACTTTAAGGTAAAATCTTTTTACTTTAAGGTATAATATTAAATGTGTCTTTAGGCTGGGTGCAGTGGCTCACACCTGAAATCCCAGCACTTTAGGAGGCCGAGGCAGGTGGATTGCTTGAACCCAGGGGTTCAAGACCAGCCTGAGCAACACGGTGAAATCTCATCTCTATAAAAAATACAAAAATTAGTCGGGCATTGCAGCACACCTGTAGTCCCAGCTACTCGGGAGGCTGAGGTGAGCGAGCTATTGAGCCCGGAGGGTCGAGGCTGCAGTAAGCTGTGATCCTACCACTACACTCTAGCCCGAGTGACAGAGACCCTATCTCGAAAAAAAAATGCGTCTTTAAGGTAATGAAACTGATTTTCAGCTGAGATCCTTAATTTATAGCCACATCTCACATGTTATATTTATTTCAATTTGATCCTCTAGTGATGAGTGCAAGTGAACCATTTTAGAAAAGAGTCTATATTAAACATAATAGAACTGTAAAAATAGAACTTGAGAAAATCTTTGTGTATTAAAATTAATATAACTTTTAAAAATAGAACTTCACAAAGTCCTTTCACATCTGTTGTTAGTTAATGATGGGGACGTGGAGAGAAAGCTAGATTTGAAAGTCATGCTGAGATTAAGTGGACATGGTTTGGTGACTAGTATTAATATGTGAGAGTACTGGAGATGGCTCTCAGGCTCTACATCTGTAGTAGGGTGAACTGTGAGCAAGACAGGATCTAGAGAAAGTCTATCAGATTTGTGAAGGATGGAAATGAGTTCAGTTTTGACAGCTTGAGTTTTCAATGCCTCCAGGACATTTATATCCAGGTGGAATGAATGTCTAGCAGCCAGTTGGATGCATAGGTCTGGAACGCAGAAGAAATACCATGGATTGTTTTATATATAATCTATGTAATAATCATTTATATTTATAAAATACAATATATAATAAATTACATAAATCAGTTACTAAATTATTTTTTAAAAATCACTTATTATTAGGGCTCATATTGTGTACATCATGGCCTTAGAGGGCTCTTAGTATCTTCTACAGAAGCTCCCAATGAAATGATCATCTTCAGGTTACAGGATACCTTGAATAGAGACTGCTTCATCCATAACCAAAAGGGTTTTGTTTGTATTGATTCTACAGCTTGCCGCTTCTGATAGATTAGATAGATAGATAGATAGATAGATAGATAGATAGATAGATAGATCAATATATACTTGCTTAACTAAGCTTCCTGTAGTCACTTTCTTTTCTCTCCTCTGAGTTTCCATTTGAAATGTCCTATAAAAATAGGAATAATGTCCCAATTTTCTGAATAAACCTCTCCTTAAGGGAATTTTCCATTGCTCCTATTAGGTATTTATTGCTATATAACAAATTGCAAAACTCAGTGATTAAAATTACACATATTGTTTCACAGATTTCGTAGGTCAGGGATCTAGGTCCTCTGCTTCAGAGTCTCTCTCACAGTGCTGCTATCAAGGTGTTGGCTACGGATGAGATCTCATCTGAAAGCTCAACTTCCTAGCTCAGACAGTATTTGTTGGCATTTAGTTTCTCATCGGATTGACAGTCTCAGTTCCTCACTAGCTGTTGGCTAGAGACTATCCTCAGATCCTTGCCATATGTGCTCTCCTAAATGGCAACTTGTTTTTTCAAAGACTGCAAGCCCAAAATGTAATAAAGTCTGCTAACAATACAGAAGTTACAATCTTTTGTAACCTAATCACAGAAAGATAGTCTATCAGCTTTGCCTTATTCTATTGGCTAGAACAGGTCAGTAGGTCTAGTCCACATTCCAGAGGAGAGGATCACACAAGGGCCTGGATATCAGGAGGTGAGATCGCTGAGGCCATCTTAGAAGTCTGCTTACCATATAACTAATATTTACCAATCTACAAGATCAAGACAAAAAGAGGCATTAACAAAAAATTTTTCTTTATGGAGTTATGTGATGTTACGCATGTCTGGGCCCTTTAACTTGCTGGTTTCTCAATGAAAGATAACTAATCATTAAAACTGGTGTGCTGTATGTACTCTGGAAGGTCAAGAAATACATACGGGCTACAAAGAAAAATATATGAAATATAAAGTATGTTTCCGTCTAAGGTTTCTTGGAAACTCTAGTTGAGGCTTTTACAAATGTGCTTTTTAGCATCATTCTTCCAAAAGTACCTTTTAAAATGATTCTCAAGGCTTCACAATATATATATTTTTACAAATACTTATTTCCCAACATCTGTAAAAGTGTAAATCTTAGAGTATTTTATGCTGAACTTACAAATTTGGTACTGAAGACAAGTATTTCTTGCAGTCTGCCAAATTTCTGCCACACTGGAAAATACACAGATGATTGTTTAACATTCTGTGCCATCAGACAGGAATTATATTTCACATCTTTTTTTTTTTTTTTGAGACGGAGTCTTGCTCTGTTGTCAGGCTGAAGTACAGTGGCACGATCTCAGCTCACTGCAACCTCTACTTCCCAGGTTCAAGCGATTCTCCTGCCTCAGCCTCCTGAGCAGCTGGGACTACCTGGCAATACAGGTGGGTGCCACCCTACCCGGCCAATTTTTTTATTTTTAATAGAGACAGGGCTTCACCATGTTGGCCAGATGGTCTCGATCTGCTGCCCTTGTGATCCATCTGCCTCGGCCTCCCAAAGTGCTGGGATTTCAGGCGTGAGCCACTGCACCTGGCCTATATTTCACATCTTAATGAGAAAATACTTTCTCTTAACTTGTTGCATCAAAAAAATAATTAGAAATTCGGCTGGGCACGGTGGCTCACACCTGTAATCCCAGCACTTTGGGAGGCTGAGGCAGGTGGATCATGAGGTCAGGAGTTCAAGACCAGCCTGGCCAAGATGGTGAAACCCCGTCTCTACTAAAAACATAAAAAATTAGCCTGGTGTGGTGGCGCGCACCTGTTCTCCCAGCTACTTGGGAGACTGAGGCAGGAGAATCACTTGAACCCAGGAGGCAGAAGTTGCAGTGAGCCGAGATCGTGCCACTGCACTCCAGCCTGGGCAACAGAGTGAGACTCCGTCTCAAAAAAAAAAAAAAAGAAAAAGAAAAAGAAAAATTAGTAATTCAAACCACTGTAACTACCAGCAGTCACAGAGACATTTTCAATTCCATGAACAGTGGAATCCAAAATAAATTTTCAGAATGTAATTTTATCATTAAAAAAAAATCTTGTTAATAAAAATAGGAGAAAAAACAATCATAATTCTATCACCAAGAAACAACCACTATTAAACATTTTGGTATATATCTATATGTATATCCTTTTAGACATTTAAATATGTTTTATTTAAATGTTATTTAATTTAAATATGTTAAATGTGTTAAATATTACCACAAATGAAATAATACTCCGTTTTATAATGATATATGCAATTGTTCCAAAAGGAAGATTTCCAGAGCAACTGATTTTCAATGAGGCATTGCTAAACAAGGCTCCTAGCAAAGTAATGCTAGCGGCAAGTTGACCAAGTGCTACACAGAGCAATGGACCAGCCCTGCATCATTGTTAAAGCTGTTATCCCCAAATGAATGAACTACAAAACAGATAATTGAGGGGCATCTAATTCGTACCCCTCTAGTAGTGTTTTAGCCATATTACGTTGATCATTCTTTTCTTTCTTTCCTTCTTTTTTTTTTTTTTTTTTTTTGACAGAGTCTCGCTCTGTTGCCCAGGCTGGAGTGCAATAGCGCAATCTGGGCTCACTGCAACCTCTGCCTCCCAGATTCAAGCAACTCTCCTGCCTCCAGCCTTCCGAGTAGCTAGGATCACAGCCGCACGCCACCATGACCAGCCACCCTTTGTATTTTTAGTAGAGACGGGGTTTCACCTTGTTGGTCAGGCTGGTCTCAAACTCCTGACCTCATAATCCACCCGCCTCAGCCTCCCAAAGTGCTGGGATTACAGGCATGAGCCACCATGCCCAGCCATTCTTTTATTTCTTATCCTTCTGTGGCTTTTTATTCTGTTAGGTACCCCCTCTTTAAACTCCCTCCCCCAGTGTCTGAATCTGAATTATGAGTTTCGGAATCACTGAATTATTGTACTTCTCAGGACAAATCTTACCTCTGATGATTCTTTCTATACCATCTTTACTAGTTTTTCTTCCCTCTTTTATCCAAACTAGTTGGCATAGCTACTAACCCACTATTTCGCTTTCCTTATTTTCTCCCTCCCTACCATTTATGGCCTCATGGTTTAAATAATCAGCTTTATATTGGAGACTATTAAAACCTTTCTCACCTCACACTTAATGTATGTAAACCAAACTCATCCACTTCCCCTCAAATTACTCACCATCTCTCCTCTTTCCCCAGTATTGTTCCTTTATCATAGCTAACATCTGGGAATTATCTTCAACTTCTCCCCTCCCTTTATACTATCCAGTCTCTATTAAATCATGCTTCAAAATATCTCCTAAATTTTTTCATTCTTTTCCACTTTCTTTGCCTTCACTCCAACCCAGGCCAAGATTGCTCTCACAACTGGACTTAAGCAAAAATATCCTGAATGGGGTTAGGGCTCCTTTGCCACCATTCCCCCACCTTCCTAGGATACTCTTATTGTAATGGTCAGGGGGATAAAATGAAAGGAGAAGTGGGCTTGAAATCAGGAGGCCAAGAAGTTCCCTCTCTGTCACCCCAGGTGTGACCTTGAGCATGTTTCTTTCTTCTTTTGAGCCCTGGGAATTTCCTTATCTGCAAAATGGCAATTTGGATTACCCTCATGAGCTCTAAGCTGCCTTGCATTCTAACAATCTTCTGCTCTGACACGTCTTTGCTCAAAGAATGGCAATGACGACCTTTTCTCCACCAGAATCACAGCTGGTACTCAAATGTTTTCCAGCTTGCATTGTCCCTTACATCCAGACTGCTCACTTCACCATATCCCTAATGAGCCCCAGGCTTTCCACTATAAATGTCAGTTCCCTGTACTATTGTTCTTCTTCTGCAATTAAATTACTCATTTTGCAAACATTTATGGAGTAACTATTAATGAACAAGGCACTTTGCTAGGTCCTGGAAATAGCGAGGTAAACCACATAATCCTTGCCCTCAAAGAATTTACCACCTCATTGGAGATATGGCTAAGTAGCTAACATGTAATATTGTATTAAGTGCTATGCTGGAAAAAGTAATACATCTCAGCTGTTTGGGGGGAAGAAAGGGCATTACTTAACAAGATGGGATACCCAGGAAGACTTCGGAAAGGTTGCACTAATTCCAAACTGAGTCTTTAAATCTTAAAAGGAAAAATAAGACTGAAGGAGGTGAGAAAGTGTGTGCTATGCCTACCTTGAAGGGCGGAGAAGAGAGGGGAATTATTATTATTTTTATTATTAAGAACAGGGTATACTGAAAAACACTGGAGTGTAGAGGGCAGGCGGCAAGCGGTGAGGTTGGTCATGATAAATGGCCCTCAATGTCACCCTAAGGAATTTGAGGTTTCACCGAGGAAAGGATGGAGTACAGGCTGTATTCTGAATCAGATAATTCCTTTCCTGGTCTGTTATTGGGAAAAGGTGGTTGTTGGGCACTGAAACGGTCAAAGCCGATGGCAGGATAATCCGGTAGGGGGAAATGGTGGTCTGCCAAAAATTGTTCCGGCTACTAACTGGTCCACTAAAACAATGCGGTGACCGATGCCTCACGGCCTCTTCAAGCTAACAGGACTCTAGTCGGAGTCGGCCTAGTGACCACCGTCAGTGCCCATCAGCGCCCGGCCGCCGCCTCACAGGGGAAGGACCCACCGGGGAGGGAGCAGCCTGCGATGTCGCGAGATTTCTCGTGAGCGGCGCTTGGACAGCGCGTCTGGTCGCCCAGCAACCGCCGCTGGTCTGCGTAGGGACCCGGCGCCGATGAAACCGACCAAACTGGAGTTAGCTACCGGACTGTCCCGCGAGCGGTGAGCTGCCCGCGGGGAATAAGCGTGGGGACCGAGGAAACCCTAGAACCATGTTTCTCAAACTTGCCTGCCAGTAAGACTTTCCGGGACATTTGTTAAAATGCAGATCCTTGGGCCCTATCTTTAGACATACAGAATTTCCAGAAAAAATAGTCTGGAAGTCTGTGTTTTTAACAAATGGTTAGCTGGCAAGATTGTGAAACAGCTCTAGAGGAGGGAGACACAGGTGGAGGGGTGGTCGCGGGGCTGAGGAAGCAGCCCGGTGGGCGTGGAGCTGAGTTTGAAAGGGAAGGGTTTTGAAAAGCCTGAGGGCTGGAGCCAGTGATTTAGAGCATCTGGAAGCCACTGAGCCTGTGGCCTAAGTGGAAGTATAGATACTAACAGAATTCAGAAAACGTTGTCCACTGCCTCTAGTCTGTGGGAATTCCAGTAGATGAAAGCCAAGGGGTCCATTAAAATGGATTCCACCCATGTAAGAAACCTGCACATGTACCCCCCAAACCGAAAAGCTGGAAAACAACAACAAAACGAACAAACAAAAAAACAAAAAACACCAACAAAAAGCTAACAATAAAATGGATCCCTAGAGCCTGTAAAGAAGCTCTAAGCTGTTCCCACCGGTGGCCTGGGAGAGAGAGATCTAGTAAGAGGAGTCCCAAAGTAACACGAGATATCTAGAAGGTGGAAAGTAGGCAAAAGCAGTTTCTCAAACTTTAGAACACAATCTCTTTTAAAAGAAAACCAAAGACACTTCACAAGTGCGGACATTATTTTTATTATAATGTTCTAAAATATATCCAAATCCACTTTAGGTTCAGTTTAAGCTCCTGAAGCTTTTAATTTTCTAAAACAATAAAAACTACCAATACAGTTTAAATTAATATTGTTTTTAACAAGATGAATGGTGGTGTTTTGATGAAACTAAATTCTTTCTTATGGACTGCTACAATGCAAATTCTTTTGAGTTAACAGTCTATTATTTTGTGTTGTGGGTTGATTCAGTTCTCTCCTTTTCCATATTCAAGCCCCTAGAAAGTTTTCCTATAGCTTGCTGATGAGGTCCATTGACCTTCCCTTGGTTTAATAAATACTTCACTTACATACAAAGTTTGCCTCTGTCCTTTTCCAAAATTATCTAAGGTCATTAATTTTTATCTATGTGAACACCAGTTTATACACTGAAATCTATAGACGGAATCCATTTCTAAAGTGAAAGTATTAAGAATATGTCATTTCAAAATATGCTGCTCTGGCATATTGACTATATTTAGATAAAAGCACTTGAAAAATTGCTGGGCATGGTGGCTCACACTTGTAATCCTAGCACTTTGGGAGGCTGAGGCGGGCGGATCACTTGAGATCAGGAGTTCCAGACCAGCCTGGCCAACATAGCAAAACCCCATCTCTACTAAAAATACAAAAATTAGCCAGGCGTGGTGGTGCATGCCTGTAATCCCAGCTGCTCGGGAGACTGAGGCAGAAGAATCGCTTGAACCCAGAAGGCAGAGGTTGCAGTGTGCCGAAATCGCACCACTGAACTCCAACCTGAGCAACAGACCAAGACTCCATCTCAGGAAAAAAAAAAAAAAAAAGCACTTGAAAAATGACAGGTAAAAGACGATTGCTCTGACTTTTATTCTGTTTTTTGTTTTTTGTTTTGAGACAGGTTCATGCTCTGTTTCCCAGGCTGAAGTGCAGTGGCGCAATCACAGCTCACCACAGCCTTGACTTCCCAGGCTCAAGCAATCCTCCTGCCTCAACCTCCCAAATAGCTGGGACCACAGGCGTGTACCACCATGCCCGGCTCATTTATTTTTGTAGAGACAGGGGTCTCGCCATGTTGCTCAGGCTGGTCTCGAACTCCTGGGCTCAAGCAATCCTCCCACCTCAGCCTCCCAAAGTGCTGGGACTACAGGTGTGAGCCAACACACCCTGCCTGTTCTTTTTCTTAAAAGCAGGAGAATAAATTTTTATGTGAAAGATTTCCTCCCTATACTAGAAAGTATCATTCTTACCATCAAGGACTAGAAGCTGAAGCCAAGGAAAAGCTGTACAAACAAATGTTTTTACAGGAACCCTTCACCAATCAACTACCCTAGCCCTAGCCCAAGCTCCTTTACCTTGTCACATTTTCTTTTTTCTTTTTTTTTTTGAGATGGAGTTTCACTCTTGTTGCCCAGTCTGGAGTGCAATGGTGCAATCTTGGCTCACCACAACCTCTGCCTCCTGGGTACAAGCGATTCTCCTGCCTCAGCCTCCCGAGTAGCTGGGATTACAGGCATATGCCACCATGCCCGGCTAATTTTTTTGTATTTTTAGTAGAGACAGGGTTTCATCATATTGGTCAGGCTGGTCGCAAACTCCTGACCTCAGGTGATCCACCCACCTCGGCCTCCCAAAGTGCTGGGATTACAATCATGAGCCACCGCGCCCGGCCACATTTTCACAATTTACTATGCTCTTATTTTTTCTTTTTTTTTTTTTTTGAGACGGAGTCTCACTCTATCGCCCAGGCTGGAGCGTAGTGGTGCGATCTGGGCTCACTGCCACCTCTGCCTCCCAGGTTCAAGCGATTCCTCTGCCTCAGCCTCCTGAGTAGCTGGGATTATAGGCATGTGCCACCACGCCCAGCTAATTTTTGTATTTTTAGTAGAGATGAGGTGTCACCATGTTGTCCAGGCTGGTCTCGAACTCCTGACCTCAAGTGATCTGCCCACCTCGGCCTCCCAAAGTGCTGGGATTACAGGCATGAGCCACCGCACCCGGCCTACTGTCCTTTTTCTAACTTAGTATGCAAGTATACAACTCTGCGTCTTTGGGTCTCCATTTCTTATGAAGGCTCCCATGCCACATTAAACTTGTATTAACTAAATTTGCTTGTTTTTCTCCTCTTGATCTGCTGTATGTCAATTTAATTCTTAGGCTCAGCCACAAAAAAAAAAAAAACCCTAAGATGGAAGAGGTAAGATTTTGCCTTCCCTACAAAATAGCATGGCCATTCATGAGGTTTCAGGTGATCCAAATTTTCTGTTTTAGCCAAAGTTAGAAAACAGAGCCTGAAGTAAAAACTCAAGTGATAGGCTGGGCATGGTGGCTCACACCTGTAATCCCAGCACTTTGAAAAGCCAAAGCAGGAGGATCACTTGAGCCCAGGAGTTTGAGACCAGCCTAGGCAACATAATGAGACCCTGTCTGTAAAAAAAGAAAAGAAAAACCTCCTTATTAAGCTTAGATGAAAAAATTCCTGGCAAGGCATGGTGGCTCATGCCTATAATCTTGGCACTTTGGGAGGCTGAGGTGGGAGGATTGCTTGAGGCCACGGGTTTGAGACCAGCCTTGGCAACATAGTAAGACCCTGTCTCTATAAAAATAAAAAAAATAAAAAATTAGCTGGGCATGGTGGTGTACACCTGTAGTCCCAGCTGCTCAAGAGGCTGAGGTGGGAGAATCACTTGAGCCCAGGAATTTGACATTGCAGTGAGCTATAATCACACCACTGCACTCCAGCCTGGGCAAGAGTGAACCCCTATCTGTACCAAAAAAAAAAAAAAAAAATTAAAATCCTAAATAAAATATTAGCAAACTTAATTTGTGTATATATGTTATTCTGACTAAGTTTGGTTTATCGCTGGAATGCAAAAAAATTTAACATTAGAGGTCTACCAGCCTGGGCAACATGGTACAACCCTGTCTCTACAAAAAATACAAAAATTAGGCTGGGTGCAGTGGCTCACGCCTGTAATCCCAGCACTCTGGGAGGCCGAGGTGGGTGGATCACGAGGTCTGGAGATGGAGGCCATCCTGGCTAACACGGTGAAACCCCGTCTCTACTAAAAAAAATACAACAAATTAGCTGGGCTTGGTGGGAGGCGCCTGTAGTCCCAGCTACTCAGGAGGCTGAGGCAGGAGAATCACTTGAACCCGGGATGGGGAGCTTGCAGTGAGCCAGGATGCACCACTGCACTCCAGCCTGGGCAACAGAGCAAGACTCCATCTAAAAAAAAAAAAAATTAGCTGGCATGGTGGCATGAGCCTGTAGGGCATGAGCTACTCGGGAGACTGAGGTGGGAGGATTGCTTGAGCCCAGGAGGCAGAGGTTGCCTGAGCCGAGATTGCACCACTGTACTCCAGCCTGAATGACAGAGTGAGACCCTGTCATACACACACACATACAAAAAGAACCATTAGAAGTCTATTAATGTATTTCACCACATCTCCTAATGCAAAAGAAAAACATTTCATAACCATCAACATTCATTCATGATTTTAAAAAAAACTTTACAAACTATGAATATAAAAGCACTTTCTTAATCTGAGTATGGCTATCTTTTTTTTGGTTTTTTTTTGAGATGGAGTCTTGGTCTGTCGCCAGGCTGGAGTGCAGTGGCACGATCTCAGCTCACTGCAACCTCCTCCTAACGGGTTCAAGTGATTCTCCTGCCTCAGCCTCCTGAGTAGCTGGGACTACAGGTGCGCGCCACCATGCCCGGCTAATTTTTTTTGTATTTTTAGTAGAGACGGGTTTTCACCATTTTGGCCAGGATGGTCTCGATCTCTTGGCCTCGTGATCTGCCCACCTCAGCCTCCCAAAGTGCTGGGATTACAGGCATCAGCCACGGTGCCCAGCTGAGTATGGCTATCTTAAAAAAAAACTTACAGCAAATATCATACTAAAAAAAAAAAACTTACAGCAGATATCATACTTGGTGAAATGTTGCAAGTATTTCCTTTGAGATCAGCAATAAGACAAGTGTATACGCCCTCATCGCTTCTATTCAACACTGTTCCCAGAGGTCCTAGCCAGTGCAATAACACAATAAAAAAGAAAAAAAAGAGATAAAAGGTTTGGGAAGTAGTAGACTGTTACTCATATATAATCTGATTGTCTACATGGAAAACCCAAAGACTCTATAAAATAAAATTAATGTGTCCTTACCAGTGTTGCTGGATATAAAATCAATATTTTAAAAATACTGCATTTCTATACAGTGGCTACAAACAGAAAATACAATTTCTAAAAGAATAACATTTGCAATATCAACAAAAATCTATGATCCCAATAACTCAAAAATAAAAACTCGAGCTGGGCATGGTGGCTCATGCCTGCAATCCCAACGGTTTGGGAGGCTGAGGCAGGTGGATTGCTTTCGCCCAAGAGTTTGAAATTCCCCTGGCAACTTGGCAAAACCCCATCTCTACTAAAAATACAAAAATTAGCTGGGCATGCTGGCGCAGGCTTGTAGTCCCAGCTTCTCGGAAGGCTGAGATGGGAGGATCCCTTGAGACTGGGAGATGGAAACTGCAGTGAATCGAGATCAGGCCACTGTACAGAGCGAGACCCTGTCTCAAAAACAAACAAACAAATGAAAAAACAAAACAAAACAAAAAACTTATGCATGGCCTTAAATATAAAAGAAAAAATTTTAACTACTGAAAATCATTAAATTAGCACTACCAAAATGGAGAGACTTACCGTACTCATGGAAAAGAAGACTTGATATTAGAGAAATGTCAGTGCTTCATGAATTGTTTATAAATTTGCAATTCCTAACAAAATCATGAAAGGACTTTTCATGAAATGAAAAATTGATGTTAAAGTTTATATGAAAGAGTCAAGGACCAAGAATAACCCAAGTAGAGAGAGAGATTATTAATCTATACTAATTAAGACCGTGTTGTCATGGAGATAAATATATAAATAATGGAAGAGAAAAGAACCATAGAAGAGAAAACACCCCAAGTACTGGGGTAATTGGTTCTCATAAGGAAAAAAATATTGAATATCTCACTTCCTACACAGTAATCAACTCTAGATAAAGACCAAAATGCATCAAGGAAAACTTTAACATGTTCAGAAGAATATATAGGTCTTTTTTTTTCTGAAATTAAGGTAGGGAAGGAGTTATTAAATAAGCCACAAAAAGCACAAAACATGAGAAAAATAGTGATACATTTGACTATATTAAAAAGTAAAGCTTCTGTTTTTTAGAAGATACCATTAAAAGCAAACTAACAAGTGAAAAAGAGAAAAGACAAGCTACAGTCTGGGAAAAGACATTTGCAACACATATTATCAATGAAATATTAGTATCTAATAGAAATGTGTGTGTGTTCTAAAAATTTCTTAGAAAAGCAGAACTCAGTAGGAAAAATGGGCAAAATATAAGAAATAGCAATTAACAGAAGAGAAACTCCACATGGCCAATAATCAGGAAAATACTCTCAGTCTCTCAATAAGTAGAGAATGGCAAATTAAAACACAGTAGTGAGATATCATTTTATACCCATCAGCTTGGCAAAAAGTTAAAGATTGCCAATATCAGGTGCCAACAATGGTGCAGAGCAGTGGGAACTCTTTTACTTGCCAGTGGTAAAATTCCTTTGGAGAAAAATTTGGCAGTATATAGTAAAGTTGAAATGTCCAACCCAGAAGTGGCCACTCCTAGTTTTAAACCTTAAAGAAGCTCTTGCACATGTGCTAAATGATATATACAAAATCATAAAGGCAACATTGTAAAAGTGAAAAAAAAGAAATACTCAAAGATCAATCATTAGGAAAAATTAATTTCTTACAATGGAATATTGTATAGTAAATATTGTAGAGCTACATACATCAACCCAGATGACTCTCACAAACAAAACATAAAGCAGAAAAGAAAGCTAAAGACAGAATAATATCATTAATATCATTGATAACATGTAAAATTGTGAAAAACAGTACTATATATGGTTTAGGTATACATACATCTGTAGTAAAAGCATAAAAACATGAGTAGTCTAAATTTTAGATAAATCCTAAATTTAAGAGAATGAAGAGGAAGAAAGGTATAGAGGGGTTTCAAATGTATTTGTAATGTTTTATATTTTAAGCTGACCTGTGGGTCCATAGGTGTTATACTATTCTTATACTTTTATCATGAAATATTTTATGAAATATTTTCAAGGTAATGTTATTTTTATTGAATTAGACACTTTGTTCAGAATATAGTATCATATTTGAAATGTGGTCTGAAAAGTCAACAATAAGCTTAAAATTTTGTTATAAAAATAATCAGATATATGCAAATTTCAAAAATCTACGAAGATTTTATAATTTTTTTTTCTGCTCAGTTCTGAGGCTTAAGATTTTATAATTTTATTCTGTAGGCTGTACTTTGCATTTTGAAGAGTCTAAGAATACATTCCATATCTTCAAATATTTTATTGTGGGCAATTTATAATAACATAGCCTGGGTAATGCCAATGTGTGAGTATACAAATTTAATTTATAGTCTACTGAATTCATTTTTCCTTCTAAGCACTGATTTCATATACAGAATATTGTTCACATTGAGGTATTTTATTGGTTAAATTCCATATACACTGGAATAATGTTTAATTTTAAACTGTGTTTTTGGTTACATTTGTAGTAAAAGAATGTGAAGCACAATTGGGGAAACTGGGATATTTATCACTTAAATAGCTATACTTCCTGGGCAATTGAAAAAACGGGTTACCTCAAATCTATAGACAATATATGGCAATATTTTATTTACTTATTTAGAGATAGTCTCCCTCTGTCACCCAGGCTGGAGTGCAGTGGCATGATCATAGCTTACGCTAACCTGGAACTCGTGGGCTCAAGCAATCCTCTTGCCTCAGCCTACCCAGTAGCCAGAACTACAAACACGCACCACCGCCCCCCGGCATGTTTCCCATATTTAACAGTCCTGATATATTTCTGGTGATACAGTTAAGATAAACTTATCTGTGAACAAACCAGTAACAGAATAATAATAATGATAGCAAATGTTTATTGACCTATGTACCAGGTACTGTGCAGAACACTCTATAATGAGTATTTCACCAATCCTCACATTATCCCTTGGAAATAGGGACTATTATTATCCTTATTTTGTAAGAAATTGAAGTAACCTGCCCAAGATGCCTAACTAGTAAGTGATGAAGCCAAAATTGGAACCAGGCAATCTGGATTGAAAAACCCTGGATTGGCCGGGCTCAGTGGCTCACGCCTGTACTCCCGGCACTTTAGGAGGCTGAGGCAGGCAGATCACCTGAGGTCAGGAGTTCGAGACTAGCCTGGCCAACATGGTGAAACCCCGTCTCTACTAAAAATACAAAAATTAGCCGGGCATGGTGGCAGGCGCCTGTTAATCTCAGCTACTCGGGAGGCTGAGGCAGAATTGCTTGAACCCAGGAGGCGGAGGTTGCAGTGAGCCGAGATCGCGCCATTGCACTCCAGCCTGGGCAACAAGAGCAAGACTTCATATCAAAAAAAACAACAACAACAACAACAAAAACAAAACACAACAAAAAACCCTGGATTATGTTGCCTCTTTGTGGATTATGGTTGTACTAATAAAACATAAATTTCTAGGCCAGCTTCATTTTCAAGTATTTTGCACCATTGTCCTATGTACTTAAGGTTTTCACACCATGTGTTCTGATTTAGGGATTTCAGACATATGGTCTCTATGGGTACTATGGGAAAAGGAGCCAAGAGACCTGGTCCCTTTCTCAACTGTCACTAGCTTGAGTAGCTTAAGATAAATCTCTGGGGCTTAGTTTTTTTGTTTGTTTGTTTTTTTGGTTTTTTTTTTGTTGAGGTGGAGTCTCGCTCTGTCGCCCAGGCTGGAGTGCAGTGGCGTGATCTCGGCTCACTACAAGCTCCCCCTCCCAGGTTCACGCCATTCTCCTGCCTCAGCCTCCCAAGTAGCTGGGACTACAGGCGCCCGCCACCATGCCTGGCTAATTTTTTGTATTTTTTAGTAGAGGTTTCACCGTGTTAGCCAGGATGGTCTCGATCTCCTGACCTTGTGATCCGCCCGCCTCGGCTTCCCAAAGTGCTGGGGACTTAGTTTCTTCACCTGTGAAATGAGAACATTAGAGGATATTCCTCGAGGGCCTTTTTTACTCCAAGAGTGAATAATAATCCTTTAAAAGATGCTCATAAGGCCGGGCGCGATGGCTCACGCCTGTAATCCTAGCACTTTGGGAGGCCGAGGTGGGTGGATCACGAGGTCAGGAGTTCAAGACCAGCCTGGCCAA
This sequence comes from Homo sapiens, assembly GCF_000001405.40. Taxonomy (NCBI): domain Eukaryota; kingdom Metazoa; phylum Chordata; class Mammalia; order Primates; family Hominidae; genus Homo; species Homo sapiens. Next base: position 67,019,442 of record NC_000008.11, on the reverse strand, counting down.
GATGGTGAAACCCGTGTCTACTAAAAATACAAAAATTAGCCGGGCATGGTGGTGGGCGCCTGTAATCCCAGCTACTCGGGAGCCTGAGGCAGAGAATTGCTTGAACCCAGGAGGCAGAGGTTGCAGTGAGCCGAGATCACGCCACTGCACTCCAGCCTGGGTGACAGAGCGAGACTATCTCAAAAAAAAAAAAAAAAAAAAAAAAGATGCTCATAAACCAGGCGTAGTGGTGCACCCCTGTAGGTCCCAGCTGAGGCATAGGCAGGAGGAGCACTTGAGCCCAGGAGTTCAAAGATTGCAGTGCATGGCTCGGGCGCAGTGGCTCATGCCTGTAATCCTAGCACTTTGGGAGGCCGAGGCAGGCCAATTGCCTGAGCTCAGGAGTTCAAGACCAGCCTGAGCAACACAGTGAAACCCCGTCTCCATTAAAATTAAAAAAAAAAAAATTAGCCGGGCATGGCGGCGTGTGCCTATAGTCCCAGCTACTTGGGAGGCTGAGGCAGGTGAATTGCTTTAACCAGGGAGGCGGAGGTTGCGGTGAGCCGAGATTGCGCCACTGCACTCCAGCCTGGGAGACAGAGCAAGACTCCGTCCCTAAAAAAAAAAAAAAAAAAAAAGGGGGGGGGGGCGGGGGCCAGGCACGGTGGCTCACTCCTGTAATCCCAGCACTTTAGGAAGCCGAGGTGGGCGGATCTCAAGGTCAGGAGTTCAAGACCAGCCTGGCTAACATGGTGAAACCCCATCTCTACTAAAAATACAAAAATTTGCTGGGTATAGTGGCACATGCCTGTAATCCCAGCTGCTTGGGAGGCTGAGGCAGGAGAATTGTTTGAACCCAGGAGACGGAGGTTGCAGTCAGCCAAGACCGTGCCACTGCACTCCAGCCTGGCGACAGAGCGAGAGTCGTCTCAAAAAAAAAAAAAAGGTTGCAGTGCACTATGATCATGCCTACATGCCTGTGAATAGCCACTACACGCCAGCCTGGGAACCATAACATGAGATCCAGTCTCTTAAAAGAAAAAAGAGGTCGGGCGCGGTGGCTCACGCCTGTAATCTCAGCACTTTGGGAGGCCGAGGCGGGCCAATTGCCTGAGCTCAGGAGTTCGAGACCAGCCTGGCCAATATGGTGAAAACCCATCTCTACTAAAAATATAAAAATTAGCTGGGGCGTGGTAGCACGCTCCTGTAATCCCAGCTACTCGGGAGGCTTGTGACAGGAGAATCGCTTGAACCTGGGAGGGGGAGATTGCAGTGAGCTGAGATTGTGCCACTGCACTCCAGCCTGGGTGACAAGAGCGAAACTCCGTCTCAAAAAAAAAAAAGAAAAGAAAAAAAGATACTTGCAATGATTCAAATACTACTCAGGAAGAAAAAAAGATTTAAAAGTAAAAGTGAATGAGTAATGAGTATTGTGCGTTTAATTTTGATGCTTTAAATCTTTTTATGAAGTTATGTCTATAAACTTAGAAAATACCTCAGTGCCCCTAAAAATGTCTATAAACTAGCTTATCAAATAGTTTCATATAAGGGAATTATTTAAAGAGTAAGTCAGAATAACTTTTCCTTAAATTGCTATGATATCATAATGCTCCTTTTTTCTTTAATCTTCAGAAAGTTGGAAATAATACCTAAACCTACTTCTTGACATGGTGTCAAAACAGAGCTTTTGCTGAGAGTTTGATTTATAAAGAAATTATGGTTCGACTGACCTTGGATCTAATTGCCAGAAACAGCAATCTTAAACCCCGAAAAGAAGAAACCATTTCACAGTGCCTGAAGAAAATAACTCATATAAATTTTTCAGACAAAAATATAGATGCAATTGTAAGAACTTTGAAATTATTTCCTATTTTATATAATTAATAATGTAAAATTTAGGAATTGGTTTGGGAGCATACCTAATATTTTAACTATATTTTCATTATTCTTATTAACTTTTTTTTTTGAGATAGAGTCTCTCTCCGTCTGTTGCCCAGGCTGGAGTATAGTGACATGATCAAAGCTCACTGCAACCTCCACCTCCCAGGTTCAAGCGACTCTTGTACCTCAGCCTACCGAGTAGCTGGGATTACAGGCATGTGCCACCATGCCCAGCTAACTTTTGTATTTTTAGTACAGATGGGGTTTCACCATGTTGCCCAGGTTTACCATGTTGAGTTCTTGAGCTCAGACTTCTGAGCTCAAGAAGTGATCCGCCTGCCTTGGCCTTCCAAAGTGCTGGGATTACACACGCAAGCCACTGCACTCGGCCTTATTTAACTTATTTTTATCAGTAAGCTTTATATTGTGTTTTTATTTTAACTTCCTACTTGTGATTTTAAATTTGTTAAAATTAAATCTATAAAATATACTATTGTGATTTTTAAATACATAGATTAAATATATGTATTACAGTTCTCCTACAACACTGTATAGTGTAGCAAACTAGATTTGAAAGTGTATGTTGGGAAATAATTTCATAGATACTAATTACTTTTGTATTATTGTAAAACCTTGAAATATAAATTTTTGAAATATACCAAAATGTTAAGAAGTAAGTATGTGAGTACCGTTTTTCAAAAGTTTAACAGTGAGGGAAGGTTGGGAAGGGGATGAGGGATAAAAGACTACATATTGGGTACAGCATACACTGCTTAGGTGAAGGATGCATTAAAATCTCAGAACTCACCACTAAAGAATTTATCCTGGCTAAGCGTGGTGGGTCACACCTGTAATACAGCCTGGGCAACAAAGTGAGACTACGTCTCAAAAAAGAAGAACCTATCCACGTAACCAAAAACCACCTTTACCCCAAAAACTATGGAAATAAAAATTAAAATTCACACAAGAAAAAAAGAGTTTAACAGTGAAATCTTTTTTGCACAGAATTTAACTGGTTATGTAAATGTATGTTATACTTGGGTCAATTACATCAGACAAGTTTATGTTTATCTGGATATAATCTGAAACTACATTTTCTCAGCACTAAGGTAATTCTTGGCTGTAATTTGGGAAACTTTAAAGGCTGCAATAACACTCTTAGGCCATTTGTGTTGGTATCTGTTGTCTACAGTAAATGCTAGACTACAGGTGAGCTAAATTTTCTTGGAAACACAGGAACTACCTGAGGGCAGAAATCATGTCTATTGTTTCACATCACTCTAAATCCCTCATCCATTACAATGCCTGACTCATGTACTTAATAAATATTTATTGAACAAATGAAAGAAATACTAATGCCCCAGGCAAAATGATCAATTAAATGCTTGGTTTTTTTGTAGGGACCCCAACCCAGCTCCCATTCTAGATCCCTTTCTGGTTTCCTGGTGATCCTTCTTCCCACGAATTCCTTTGCCCAAACCTAATGTTTCTCTTTTGTTGCCCAGAACTCTCTACCTCATCATATCATGTAAGACTACTTTCTCTGGAGAGCCCCCAGTAAAGCCCCTATTTCATACTCTGTCCTCACATCAATCAGTGCTCCTCCAGGGTGGATGATCTTTGTTAGAAGGAAGGCAAATTGGTTAAAGTAATTCACACTAAAATGAGAATAACTTCTAAACTTACAGTTTCCAACACATAGCTGTATTTTAAAAGAAGTTAATGAAGGCTGAGAAATTTTTGAGCAGAACTTCACTTTACCGCTTGTCTATTTACTCTAGGCTGATCTCTGCCATGACACAAGAAATGGCAGCCTTTTTAAAAATCCCTTTAATTATTTTATCTCAAAAGTAACTGGTAGCTGGGCATGGTGGCGCATGCCTATAATCCCAGCTACTCTAGAGGCTAGGGCGCTAGGATCACTTGAGCCCAGGAGTTTGACACCAGCCTGGGCAGACCCTGTTTCAAAAAAAAAAAAAAAAAAGTAATTGATGTTCTTTTTCATATAATATACATATAATAAGAAAGAATGTAATCCTATTCAGACACAATCACTTTTAATATTTAGGTAATATCCTTTCAGTCTTTTATTCATATAATTTTACAGTAGTGGGTCATATTGAATGTACTATTTTCACTTAACTATATATTATGAATTTCACTTAACTATGTATTAGATATTGCTGAAGAAACAAAAGGATATTTAATGGTTCTACAGTATTTCTTTTGATAGCATTATCATAGTTTTTAAAAAATTAATCTATGAGGCTGGGCGCGGTGGCTCACACCTGTAATCCCAGCACTTTGGGAGGCCCAGGCAGGTGGATCACGAGGTCAGGAGTTCGAGACCAGCCTAGCCAACATAGTGAAACCCCGTCTCTACTAAAAATACAAAAATTAGCCGGGCATGGTGGCACACACCTGTAGTCCCAGCTACTCAGAAGACTGAGGCAGGAGAATCACTTGAACCCAGGAGGCGGAGGTTATGGTGAGCCGAGATGGCGTCACTGCACTCCAGCCTGGCCAACAGAATGAGACTCCATCTCAGGAAAAAAAAATAATAATAATCTATTATTCTTGGATATCTAGATGACTCCCAGTTTTCAGTATTATAAACCACAATAGTTGACTTCCAATTCTACAGAAATATTAAACCCTATTTATAATGTTGAGACAATAATTTATTCAATGCTCCAACTTCCAGAGGAGCCTAATTGCTTCCAAGGAAAATTGCTTGCACTGGGAAAATCTTAACAATTCCAGTTTTATTGATATAATTACAGAATTTCTAAAAAAAGAAAAATATATTACAGAATTTCTTTTGTAATCAGTCTAGTCTTGTTTTAACTGTGCCAAGAACAGAGAAATACTGTTCTTTTATATTAACCTTAGAGAAATTTGTAGAATGATCAACTGAAAATTTTTGTTAAAAACAAACTTTTAAGTTTTCAGGAGAAATTACATTTGACATGTTTTTGTTTCCCTTTTAGGAAGACCTCTCTCTTTGCAAAAATCTTAGTGTTTTATATTTATATGATAATTGTATTAGTCAAATCACTAACCTGAATTATGCCACAAATCTGACCCACTTGTACCTACAAAACAATTGTATTTCATGTATAGAGAACCTCAGGTCATTAAAGAAACTGGAAAAACTGTAAGTGCTTTTATTTTTTAATAATGTATCTGATTTTTATGATTATGGTACTTACATTTTTTTGCATGAAGGCATTTCCATTTTTTGCATTAAATTCCAAAAGTAAATTCAATATGAAATTGATATGATTTCATACTTATATGAAAAAAAACCATATGATTCCCACATGGGTTTTGTGGAACAGACCTCAATTTCTATTTTCTCCTACTATTATTAACAAGAAGTAAATTGTTTCACATATAATATTAATAATTTGTGTTTTATTAAGCCTGATATACTTTTCATTCTGGGGAAGGGTTGTCTTAAGTGCTAATAGGGATACTTAAAACATCCTCATGTGGGCTCAACTGATAAAAGAAGTTTCCACGGAACCCAGATGAGTTATGTGCCTTTCAGAATCATATATCTCATACCATCTGCGTCATATAATTGATCCAATTGATGTAAACTTGATTGTAAAAAGGCATTTACTACCTATAGTGATTATAATTAGACAATGAAGATTGGTGGATCCAATTTCCCCAGACTGGAGTAACTATCATGCTCCTCAAAGAAACGGCTAAAAGCCTCAGAATGGGGACACAAGAGTTGGCTGGTGAATGCTTATTAAAAATGCAGAGCACTGGGTTCCAACCTACATATCCAAATTAGAATCTCCAGGGGTTAGGCCCAGATATCTTCATTTTTCCTTTTATCTCTTGGTTTTGAGACAGAGTCTCGCTCTGTCACCCAGGCTGGAATGCAGTGGCGCGATCATGACTCATCTCAGCCTTGATGTCCTAGGTCCAAGTGATCTTCCCACTTCAGCTTCCTGAGTAGCTGGGACCACAAGTATGCACCACAATAACTGACTGGCTTGCTTATTTATTTATTTATTTATTTATTTATTTATTTATTTAGAGATGGGATCTCCCTATGTTGCCCAGACTGGTCTTAAACTCCCAGGCTCCCAAAGTGCTGGGATTACAGGTGTGAACCACTGTGTCTAGCCGTGAAATCTTCATTTTTTAAACCTACAACCCAAAAATGGTTATTATCAAACTATCTACCCGGGCTTTTCATATGTTAGGCAACATATGAATTGTATGTTGCAATTCGCTCACTTTTTTAAAAAGCAAAAAAAAAATGTACTTTTAGACTAAATTAAGTGTAAGAATATAATTTGTTCTCATTTAGATAAACCAACCTTTCATAGATTCAATATAACACAACATTCCACATTTATAATTTTGTTCAGCTCAGTGATTTTGTTATTACACTTTTGTCACGTTTAATAAAGACCATGACATTCTCAGAATGTCTGTTTAGAATTATGTCTATGTTTTGCAGGTATCTGGGAGGCAATTACATTGCTGTCATAGAAGGTTTAGAAGGATTAGGAGAACTAAGAGAGCTTCATGTTGAGAATCAGAGGCTTCCCCTTGGGGAAAAGCTTCTGTTTGATCCAAGAACTCTTCATTCTCTGGCAGTAAGTTCACATTTGAATATTTTGACAAGGAATATAGTGATTAACAAGTTATAATGAAACAGGAATGTGGTGAAGGTATATTTGGACATTGTACATCCTCTTCATGTTTATATGGCCAGCTCAGAGCTTATCAGAGGACTGAAGCTGATTTTCTCATGTACAATCTCAGAGACTCAGCATTTATAAAGTGGGATAATAAAACCTGCCTCTTTGGGTAACTGGAAGGATGAAAAGAAGAATGTGAAAAGGTATGTTAACTGAAGTTCTAATACAGATGTTCATTCATTCATAATGTGGACCTTGGTGATTATCATGGCTCAACATTTTAAATTTTAGGAAAATGCCTAAGGAGAGAGGAATGTGCAATTATTTGGAAACTTTTAAACAATCTAGTAGAGAGCCATTGGAATAATAAGTTGTTTTCTCCTAGGATCCTGATTTGATTGTAGATTGCACTACATACAGCTCTACCACATCAGAACTATGTAGGCCTGGGAGCCCTGGGGTTGGGGCCCCAACTGTGTCGCCTGAAACCAGTCACATTGGATGGAGGTGCCACAATAAATTGAGAAGCCAGAGGGTACCACTTAGGCTCCTGCTAATCCTCAAAACAAGAGGCTTGTTGGGACAGGCTAACTTTAATTCTGGGGCAGGACACATAAATGGGACATGGTAGTTGTTTTACAGATTTCATCAGTTTTATTTTATTTTATTTTTATTTTAAAAATTAAAAAAACCCTGTCGCCCAAGCTGGAGTGCAGTGGCACGACCTCTGCTCACTGCAACCTCCACCTCCCCGGTTCAAGCAATTCTTCTGCCTCAGCGTCCCAAGTAGCTGGGACTACAGGCGTGCGCCACCACGCCTGGCTAATTTTTGTATTTTTAGTAGAGATGGGGTTTCACCATGTTGGCCAGGCTAGTCTGGGATTACGGTGTTGGGATTACAGTCGTGAGCCACCGTGCCCGGCCTCATCAGTTTTATTTTAGAGGGCCCAGAAATAGAGGATAGTGGATGGATTTTGACCCAAATTTATAAAAATTAAGAGGTAGTTCTCCCAGTACTTTAGTATCAGGAAATATTTTTTCTAAAGGTTGGCTGTGCATGGATGCCTCCATGTTTTTTTTAAACTTAAACTAACAAGAACAGATACTACACTTGATCTTAGCCAAAAGGCCATGAATTGATGATTGACTCCATCTTGGTAGAGATTCCTGAGCCTCATAAGATGACTCTGATTTAGTGTTACAGCAACACTGAAATTCCTGTTAATTAGCTAATTATTATTTTAAGTAGTTCCTGAACATATGGATTGATAAGAGAAAACCATATAGACAGGTAGAGAGAAAAATAAAAACCAGATATTATTTTATTCCTGGTCATGTTTCCTATTTAGTAAAATAAAGACAAAAACTATTTCTTCCTATGTAAGCACAAATCTTTTTTTGAGACGGAGTTTTGTTCTGTCGCCCAGGCGTGATCTCTGCTCACTGCAACCTCCACCTCCCAGGTTCAAGTGATTATCCTGCCTCAGCCTCCCAAGTAGCTGGGACTACAGGCGTGTGGCACCATGCCCAGCTAATTTTTTGTATTTTTAGTAGAGATGGGGTTTCACCATGTTGGCCAGGCTGGTCTTGAACTCCTGACCTCGAGTGATCCGCCCGCTTCACCTCCTAAAGTGCTGAGATTACAGGCATGAGCCACCGCACCCCTATGTAAGTACAAATGTTAGTAATATTTTGCACAAAATGATAATTTGCTAAAGCTACAGTAAGCATTTTTTCTATATTGTGTTACTTGTTTATTGGGGCATCTTTTTTTCTTTCTTTGCTTTTTGATTCTTGGCTTCTTTATTCTATAAGTTTATTTTGTATCTTGGAAAAGAAAAATATGACTTATGGAGGAATTATAGGGAGAACGGGTAAGTTATATGACATACTGTGGTTCTAAAACTTTCATCTGAAAAAAAAATGCAATAAAAAGAATTTCATGGCTTTTGATGTTTTTGCCTAAAGAACAAAACAACCTGAACTGATCAAGCTTAAACTTTTCAAAGATTAGGATTTCTGGTTCCTATATACAGTATTTAGACTATTTACTAATGCTAACTTCGTTATTTTTCTTACAGAAATCCCTCTGTATATTGAATATCAGCAATAATAATATTGATGACATTACAGACTTAGAACTACTAGAGAATCTTAATCAGCTCATAGCCGTTGACAACCAACTTCTGCATGTGAAGGTAGTGTAAAGAGAAATTAATTTTTAAGATATTTACATGAAATTATGATTGAAAAATGTTTTGTAATAGCTATAAAATAAATATATCACATTAAAAACTACTCTGGATTTGTTCTAAAATTAGCTAATGAATCCCTACTTCTCAATGTATTTATGTGTATAATTCTGTCCTCTTATTTAGTTTTCTCCTTTATACTCCAATACCTGTATCCCTCACCAACAGAATAATAGTTTCTCTGAGAAGGGAAGTATCTCTTCTTTGCATTATTTTCCCATCAAACTTTTTCTTCTAGAGACTAGATTTCTTGTCCCTTAAGCCTGATCTCCCAATGAATGAGTTTCTAGTAACTGTGACTAGACCTGAACTCTCTCTTGGCTACTTCTTTTTGGGGAAGTACTTGAAATGATTCTGACTGAACTTACTCTAATTTCTACCAGCTATATTAATGTCATGTTATATCATATCATGCCATATTCATTCAATTATTCATTTAATCAAATATGTATTGGCCACCTAAATATTTGTCAGGCACTAATACTACTCAGTGTAGAACAAAGGAAGGAATATACGGTCTTGATCTGCAATAAACCTACAATCAACTAGTAATGGGACTACAATATGATACTGTTTTTATAAGTATTGTGATAGCCCTAAGTCAGCCTAGGGCTATAGAAGGCTTCCTCGAAACAGTCATCCATGAGTTGAGCCATTGCTATGACCTCAAAGTTTCTGGTTTGGCAACGGAATGAGCTGTGGTATAATTTCTTGACATACGAACCACAGGAAGGAGAATGAGCTTCTTTCTCCCAAAAACAGCTTTTGTTTTCAGAACTACTTCCACACAGCCATTTGGTGACCCTAAAAATGTTACGTCGACCTTGTTTCCAAATTCAGACCTATTACCTGGTTCATCCCAAAGCTGTTATAAGCAATATATAATTATGAAAATAAATATATGTATTCTAGCACAAATGAATTCCTCAAAATATCTAAAATGCAATTGAATAATCAGGGTGGATGTTTCAAATAAGAAGACCTTAGGAAGCACAACTCAATTAGTTGTTTCAACTTACAATGTGAAAAATGTAAGACGTTCATGGGATAAATTCTGAATTAAAATATATTTTACATTTTTTTTTTCTTTTTATTTTGAGATGGAGTCTCTGTTGCCCACACTGGAGTGCAATGGCGAGATCTTGAATCACTGCAACCTCTGCCTCCCAGGTTCAAGTGATTCTCCTGCCTCAGCCTCCCGAGTATCTGGGATTACAGGTGCCTGCCACCACACCCAGCTAATTTTTATATTTTCAGTAGAGATGGGATTTCACCAGGTTGGCCAGGTTGGTCTTGAACTCCTGACCTCAGGGGATCTGCCCACCTCGGCCCCCCAAAGTGCTGGGATTACAGGTGTGAGCCACCGGACCCGGCCCTTTATTTTATTTTTTGAGACGGAGTCTCACTCTGTAGCCCAGGCTGGAGTGCAGTGGCGTGATCTTGGGTCACTGAAACCTCCGCCTCCCAGGTTCAAGCCATTCTCCTGCCTCAGCCTCCCGAGTAGCTGGGACTACAGATGTGCACCACCATGCCTGGCTTATTTTTGTATTTTAGTAGAGACAGGGTTTCACCATGTTGGCCAGGCTGGTCTCGAACTCCTGAGCTCAAGTGATCTGCCCGCCTCAGCCTCCCAAAGTGCTGGGATTCTAGGCATGAGCCACTGCACCCAGCCTGGTAACGGCCATTACTTTTAAAGAGTTATTCTATTATGCTTTTTAACTCCAAACAGAGAAAGGGGAGTTTGATAACAGGGCAAAACTTCTAGCCTCTAAATAATCCCAAAGGAGGTTTTTCTGCATGACATTAAGACAAAGATGTTTTGCCTACATGATTACTCTTAGACCATGTTAATAATGCATAACCAGAATAAATGTGCAGCCAAAATAAATACCTTCATTGTTGCTTATTATTCTAATGACCAACATCTAAATCCTCTTTTTTTTTTTTTTTTTTGAGACAGAGTCTCACTCTGTCATCCAGGCTGGAGAGCAGTGGTGTGATCTTGGCTCACTGCCACCTTCACCACCTTGGTTCAAGAGATTCTCCTTCCTCAGCCTCTCGAGTAGCTGGGATTACAGGCATGTGCCACCACGCCCAGCTAATTTTTGTATTTATAGTAGAGATGGGGTTTCGCCATGTTGGCCAGACTGGTCTCGAACTCCTAACCTCAGGTGATCCACCTGCCTCGGCCTCCCAAAGTGCTAGGATTACAGGCATGAGCCACTGCCATGGCCCAAATCCTCTTTAAAGACTGAACTTGATATCATCTCCCCTGTGTAGCTTTTCCTGAACCTCCCCATCAAGTTAATCTATTAAAAAATATTTACAGTAGTCCCAACTTATCTGTGAAGGCTACATTCTAAGACCCTCAGTGGATGCCTGAAACCATGGGTAGTATCGAATGCTACATATATTAGTTTTTCCTAAATGTACATATCTATGATAAAGTTTAATTTATAAATTAGGCATACTAAGAGATTAACAACAATAATAATAAATGGAGGCTGGGCGCGGTGGCTCACACCTGTAATACCAACACTCAATCAGGAGATCGAGACGAACCTGGCTAACACGGTGAAACCCCATCTCTACTAAAAATACAAAAAATTAGCCGTGCATGGTGGCAGGCGCCTGTAGTCCCAGATACTTGGGAGGCTGGGGCAGGAGAATCACTTGAACCTGGGAGGCGAAGGTTGCAGTGAGCCGAGATCTGCCACTGCATTCCAGCCTGGGTGACACAGCAAGACTCCGTCTCAAAAAAAAAAAAAAAAAAAAAGGAACAGTTACAATGTCAGCATCACTACTCTTGCACTTTGGGGCAAGTGAAATAAGGGTTGCTTGAACACAAGCACTATAATAGTGACACAGTAGATATGATAACCTAAGTGACTAATGGGTTGGTAGCATGTATAGAATGGAAATGCTGGACAAAGGAATAATTCATGGCCCCGGGCAGGACAAACAGGCCAGTGCAAGATTTCATCATGATACTCAGAATAGCTTCCATTGTACTCAGCTGGGCTAGATGGCTGATGCCTGTAATCCCAGCATTTTGGAAGGCCGAGGCAGGCCGATCACTTGAGGCCAGGAGTTCAAGATCACCCTGGCTGACGTGGCGAAACCTTATACAATAATTTGCCCAGAGCAATGGTGCACACCCTGTAATCTCAGCTACTCAGGAGGCTGAAGCAGAATTGCTTGAACCCAGAGCCAGAGGTTGCAGGAAGCCAGGATTGTGCCACTGCACTCCAGCCTGGGTGACAGAGTGAAAAAAAGAGCATCCATTTTAGAACTTACAAATTATTTTCTCTGGGATTTTCCATTAAATATTTTTGGACCACAGGTGACTGAGGGCAACTGAACAAGGGGGTGGTGGGAACTACTATAATATATTACATGTGCCAGGCACTGTTCTAGGCCCTTGGAAAAACACATCTTAAGATACTGGAGATACATGATAAATAAGACAAAGTCTCTACCCTCGGCCAGGCACAGTGGCTCACGCCTGTAATCCCTGCACTTTGGGAGGCTGAAGTGGGTGGATCACTTGAGGTCAGGGGTTTGAGACCAGCCTGGCCAACATGGTAAAACTCTGTCTCTACTAAAAAAAAAAAAAGAGGCCGGGCGCAGTGGCTTACGCCTGTGATCCCAGCACTTTGGGAGGCCGAGGCGGGTGGATCACAAGGTCAGGAGATCGAGACCATCCTGGCTAACATGGTGAAACCCCATCTCTACTAAAAATACAAAAAAATTAGCCGGGTGTGTGGGCGCCTGTAGTCCCAGCTACTCGGGAGGCTGAGGCAGGAGAATGGTGTGAACCCGGGAGGCATAGCTTGCAGTGAGCCGAGATCGCACCACTGCATTCCAGCCTGGACGACAGAGCGAGACTCCATCTCAAAAAAAAAAAAAAAAAAAAAAAAAGCCTCTACCCTCAAGGCGTTTACTTTACAGAGGGACAAGGGAGGAAATGGTTAAAAAAAATACATAAGCAAGGCCGGGTATGGTGGCTCATGCCTGTAATCACCGCACTTTGGGAGGCCAAGGCAGGAGAGGATTGCTTGAGGCCAGGAATTCAAAACCAGCCTGGACAACACAAGAAGACCTTTTCTCTACAAAAAAATTAAAAAAGAAATTAGCAATTAGCTTCGTGTGATGGCATGTGCCTGTACTTAGGTACTCAGTCCCAGGTACTCAGGAGGCTGGGGTGGGAGGATCGCTTGAGCCCAGGACAGGATCCCTTGTCCCAAAGTGCAAGACTGCAGTGAAGCAGTGAACTGTGATTCACCCACTGCACTCCAGACTGGATAACAGAGTGAGACCTAAGCAGAGAAGATTTTGAAAAGTGCTATGAAGGAATTAAATAAGATAACAGAAAAAAAGGAGTCAGCGGATATTTTAGATCAGGTTATTACGAAAGGCCTCGGAAGAAATGACATTTACATTGAGATCTGAAGGATGAGAAAGAAGATATGCAAAGAGCTAGGGAAAGAACATGCCAGGCACTAGCAAAAGTAGATGCAAAGGCTCTGAGGCCAAAGAAAGCTTGAGTGTCCAAGGAACACTGTAGTATGGTACCCAGTGCCTAGCTTAGTTTCTAATACATTGTAGGTGCTCAGTAAATACACTGTTGAGTGAATGAAGAGGCAACAGTACAATATGAGATTAGAAAGGAAGGCACAGAGGCCAGATCATAAAGGTCATTTTAGGATACGATCACAAGTTTTTACTTTATTCTAAGTGCAATAGAAAGCCACTGAAAGCATTGTTTTCTTTTTCTTCCCTTCCTCTGTCAACTGAAGGATTTTTAAAAAAAAAAAACAATTCTCTATTGCTATATGAAGAATGAGTTTCAAGAATTACAGCAAAGAGATAAGTTGGGAGACTACTGCAGAAGTTAAATAAGAGAAGATGGTTGCTTAGAGATGAAGAGGAGTGGGTGGGTTTGGAAGTAATGAGTTATATTTTAAGGTGGAATTCATATAACTTGTTGATGAGCAGGATGTAGGCATAAAGGAAGGGAAGGAATCAGGATGACTCCTAAATTTTGTGTGAGGAACCAGGAAGACACTGGTAGCCTTTATAAGGAAGAAACAGAATAATTCCACCTCGTAAAATGCCTATTGGATATTGAAATGGACATGTCAAGTAAGCATCTGGAGTTTAAGGGAGAAGTAAGATTGGAAAGTTTGAGAGTCAACAGCATTTACATGATATTTAAAAGTCATGGCATGGGGTGAAAGACAATAGAGACAGAGAAAAAAATGAGACCAAGACCAATCACAAAAACACTCCAGTATTTAGAGATCAGTTCCATCAGGAGTCAATGATGTAGAAGAAGAGAAAAAGGAGTTTCAAGAAAGAGGGAGTGGCCACCTGCACTGAATGATATTGAATGGTTAACATGAGGGCAGAGGAGAGTTTAAAGAATGCCTGGATAGAATACCTGAACAACAAAGTTAGAGGGGACCAGTTTAATTTGTGAAGAAGTTGAACCACAGAGTCTGTGGGTCAAAAACCACAACAAATGGTAATGCTAAAAAAAAAAAAAAAAAAAAAAGTGGGTGGATTTCATGAAAGACTAAACACTGAAATGTTAGCCAATATTTATCTCCCTCTCATGCATACAAGTAGGCTCTACTCTCAAAACCCTGCCTACATGGCTTTAAAACGCTGGGCAAAAGTTGGTGAATTCATTCCTCTTTAGGGAAACTGACTAGCTCAAGAGAAAACATCTCCCAATCCTGATATTTAAGAGTTTCAGAGGGAAAATGCCAGCTGCCTGCCCAGTTGCCCCACAGTGAGACAGTCAACAAGCCTTGCCCTTGCACAGAAAGCTCTCATTCACTTTCATGAATAAACAGGCAGCTCAGGATTAGGAGACCTCTGAAAAGAGCCTCTAAAATCAAAGAGAGAGAAACGGAAACAAAAAGAAAGAATTCCGAAGAAATAAATCATGTGGAAACAGGAAAACAATCCTTTAAAATCCCACTATAATTTCCTAAGAGAAATGAAAAAGATTCCATAACCTCAAAATAAAAGCAAGATTCTATTTTTTAAAAGAAACATGAATAACAGAGCACTTAGAAATTAAAAATAGGATGAGGAAATTAAATATTCAATATAAAGTTTAAATGATAAAATTGACAGTCTCCCAGAAAGAACAAACAAAAAGAACTGAATATAAGCAAGTAAAAAAGAAACTTAAAGAATTAATTCAGAAGATCCAATATATGACTAATAAGAGTACCAGAATCAGAGAATAGGTATCTTAGTCCATTTTTGCTGCTATAACAAAATACCTGAGACTGATTAATTTATCAGCAGAAACCTACTTCTGGAAGTGCTGGAGGCTGGGAAGTCTAAGATCAAGGCAGCAAAGGTTGGTTTCTGGCAAGGGCTGCTCTCTGCTTCCAAGATAGAGCCTTGCGGCATTCAGAGGGGATGTGTCCTCATACAGCAGAGGGATGAAAGGAGCAAAATCACCCTTTTATAAGGTTCTAATCCATTCATGAAGGCTCTGCCCTCATAAATTAGTCACTTCCTAAAGGTCTACCTCTTTTTTTTTTTTTTTGAGACGGAGTCTCGCTCTGTCACCCAGGCTGGAGTGCAGTGGTGCCATCTCGGCTCACTGCCAGCTCCACCTCCCAGGTTAACGCCATTCTCCTTCCTCAGCCTCCCGAGTAGCTGGGACTACAGGCGCCCGCCACCACGCCCGGCTAATTTTTTGTACTTTTAGTAGAGACGGGGTTTCACCGTCTTAGCCAGGATGGTCTCAATCTCCTGACCTTGTGATCCACCCGCCTTGGCTTCCCAAAGTGCTGGGATTACAGGCGTGAGCCACCGCACCCAGCCCCAAAGGCCTATCTCTTAATACTACTGCATTGGCAATTAAGTTTCAACATATGTCCAGGAAGAATAAGGCAGGGGAAAAAAAAAGTTTCAACATATGAACTTTGGGGGACACATTTGGACCACAGCAATAGGGGGAAAATGGAGAAATATGTTTTTAAGTTATAGCTTAAGATAATCTAATGGGCCATGATGTAGTAACCAGGACCAGAATTGCCCTCCATAAAAACAAACAGAAACCTAGACAAAATATGTGAAACAACTTTTTCAGACCTTGGACAATAGGCAGCACAGGCCTGTTGTCCCTAAGAGAAAAAACAAGATGAATATTGACCACAGTGCAGGGAGAGGAACAGCAAACAAGAACCACAAAAATCTTGCTTTTAGATGTAGTCTTGTGGAAAAAAAAAAAAAAAAAAAAAGAAGCATGAAAATGTAAATCATAACCAGAGAAAAATCAGTCAAAAAAAAAACCCAGAAATGACATGAAGGATAGAATTAGGAGATAAGACTTTAAAAAAAAATTATAAATATACTGTATAATTTAAAGAAATCATGAACAGAAAGGGAAGAGAAATGGAAAGTGTGGGGAAAACATAACTTCTAGAGCTAAAAAATATTTTTCTTTTTTTTTTTTTTTTTTTTGAGACGGAGTTTCGCTCTTGTTGCCCAGGCTGAAGTGCAATGGTGCGATCTCAGCTCACTGCAACCTCCGCCTCCGGGGTTCAAAAGATTCTCTTGCCTCAGCCCCACCTAGTAGCTGGGATTACAGGCACCCGCCACCACGCCCAGCTAATTTTTTTTTTTTTTGTATTTTTAGTAGAGATGGGGGTTTCACTATGTTGGCCAGACTGGTCTCGAACTCCTGACCTCAGGCGATCCAAACCGCCTCGGCCTCCCAAAGTGCTGGGATTACAGGCGTGGGCCACCAAGCCTGACTAAAAATATTTCTAAAATAAAAAATTCATTGGATAGGATTAAAAGTAGATTAGCCATTGTACAAGAAAAGATCAGCGAATTTAAAGACATAGTATTAGAACTATCCAAAGTAAAGCACGGAAAAAAAAAAAACACTGAAAAAAAAAAAAAAGCGGGGGCAACAGAGCAAGCCCCTATCTCAAAACAAAACAAACAAGCAAACAAACACAGAACAACAAAAAAAGTGGCCCCAAAATTGCCAAATTTGATGAAAATTTTAATCCCTGATCTATGAAGCTCAACAAAACCCAAACGGGAAAATCCCAAAGACAATTACACCAAAGTACACTACAGTAAAATTGCTAGAAAACCAATGATAATAAGAATATCTTAAAAGCCAGGCACAGTGGCTCATGCCTGTAATCCCAACACTTTGGGAGGCCAAGGCGGGCGGATGACTCGAGGTCAGGAGTTGATGACTAGCCTGGCCAACATGGTGAAACCACGTCTCTACTAAAAATACAAAATTAGCCAGGTGTAGTGGCTCATGCCTGTAGTCCCAGCTACTTGGGAAGCTGAGGCAGGAGAGTTGCTTGAACCCGGGAGTCAGAGGTTGCAGTGAGCCGAGATCGTGCCATTGCACTCCAGCCTGGGCAACAAGAGTGAAACTCCATGTAAAAAAATATATATAGACATCTTAAAAGCTACCAGAAGAAAAGATATTTAAAAGATATTTTATGTACATAGAAAGATAAGAATTATTACAAGCTTCTTGTCAAAAGCAATGCAAGCCAGAAGATCATGAAACATATTTAAAATGCTAAAAGGAAAACACCCTTGTCAACTTAGAATTATATATGTCCAGTGAAACCATCCTTCAAAAAAATGAAGGCAAAATAAAGAAAAATAAAACCTGAGATAATTTTTGTTTTTAGACAGGGTCTTACTCTGTTGGCCAGTCTGTAGTGCAGTAGTGTGATCGCAGCTCACTGCAGCCTAAATTTCCTGAGCTCAAGTGAACGTCCTGCCACAGCCTCACTGTAGCTGGGATCACTGATGTGTGCAACCACACATGCAATAAAATGAAGGCAAAATAAATAATAACCATATAGCATGAGGTTTATGACATGTAAAAGTAAAATAAACTAACAATAGCACAAATGACAGGAATGGAGAAAATAGTGGTATATTGTTGTAAAGTTCTTACATTATACGTGAAGTAGTACCATGCTATTTGATAGTAACCTGTGCATATTTAAAAATGATTGTTTTAAACGCTGAAGCAACTACTAAAATATAGTCGAAGATTTTTACAACTAATAAGCCAATAAGGGAAACTCAAATGTCACAAAAAAGTAGGGGATAGGAAAAGAAAAGGGAAATAAAGAACAGATAAGATAAATAGCAAGACAGTAGTCTTAAACTCAGCCAATATCAATAATTATATATTAATATTAATATTAATAATTATATTAATGTAAATAATTTAAATAGTTCAATTAAAAGGCAGAGATAGTAGGACCGGATTTTTTTTTAAATCCAATCTTAACCGGGCATGGTGACGCCTGTAATGTCAGCACTTTAGGAGGCCAAGGTGGGAGGATCACTTGAGCCCAGGAGTTCGAGAGCAGCCTGGGTCTTGTTATCTATGCTTTAAAAAAAAAAAAAAATCCAATGGTACTCTCTAGAGAAACACATTTTATATATAAAGATATGTGAGTTAAAAATAAAATTATGAAAAAAATATACTGCAAACACAAATAATATGAAAAATGAAATGGCTACATTAATATAAAATAAAAGATTCTAGGACAAGAAATATTACCAGAGATATATAAGGAAAATTTATAATGATAAAAAGTGCCAACTCTTTAAGAAAACATAACAATCCTCAAAGTTATGCTCCTAGCAATAGAATTACAAACTATATGAAGTAAAAATTCACAGAAGTAAAAGGAGAAATGGACAAACCCATAATTATAACAGAGATTTCAACACTTCTCTTGCATTGGTTGATAGAACAAGCTGATAGTAAACCAGTAATGATATAAAAGATAGGTATAACATAACCAACCAACTTGATCTAATTTACTCTTATAGAACATTCTACCTTAAAATAGGAGTTAGAATATTTAGAGCTGGGTGCAGTGGCTCACGCCTCTAATACTATCACTTTGGGAGGCTGAGGCAGGTGGAATTTTTGAACCCAGGAGTTCAAGACCAGCCTGGGCAACATAGTGAAACCCTGTCTCCACTAAAAATACAAAAATTAGCCAGGCATGGTGGTGCACACCTGTAGTCCCAGCTACTCAGGAGGCTGAGTTGGGAGGATCGTTTGAGCCTACGAGGTGGAGGCTGCAGTGACCGAGATCACACCACTGCACTCCAGCCTGGGCAACAGAGTGAGACCCTATATCAAAAAACAAAATTATCAACATAATCCATATGAAATGAAACAAAGTCCATAGAAATCACAAAGAAAATTAGAAAATACTTGAACTGAATGAAAATGAAAACAAAACATTTGAAAATTTGTGGGATACAGTAAAGTAATGCTTAGAGGGAAAGTTATAGCTTTGAATGCTTATAGTAGAAAAGAAAAAAATTATAAAATGACAACAAGAATGAGGGAAAAATACAAACAATAATGATAATAAATTTAAGATGAAGAAAAATTAAAACAATGCTCTAATCTTGTACCTCAAGCAGCAAGAAAAATACATGTAAATTAAATTCAAAATTAATTTGAAGGAAGGAAATTAAAATGAAGGAAAAAAGGAAATAAGGAAAATAACAGCAGAAATTAATGAAATAGAAATACAGGCAACCATTAGAGAAAAATCAATGATGCCAAAAGCTGGTTCTTTGCAAATATTAATAAAATTAATAAACAATCTAGGCTGTTCAAGAAAACAGAGAAAACACAAATTAACAATATCTGGAATGAAAACTATGTCACTACAGTTAAAAGGATAAGAAGGGAATGTTGTAAAGAACTTTATGCCATAAGGTTGGCAGCTTAGTTAAAAACATATTACTTGCAAGACATAAATACCAAAACTGACATAAGAAACAGAAAGTCTGAATAGCTCTGTATCTATTAAATACATCATATTTCACAAATAAAAACCTCACCGCAAAGAGAACTCCAAGACCAGATAACCTCACTGATGCACTTTATCACACAATTAAGAAAGAAATGATACCAATCTTACACAAATGCTTTCAGAAAATAGAAAAGCAAGGCCAGGTGCAGTGGCTCATGCCTGTAACCCTAGCACTTCAGGAGGCCAAGCTGAGCAGATCTCTTGCGCTCAGGAGTTCAAAACCCAGGCTGGGCAATGTGGGGAGACCCCATCTCTACAAAAAATACAAAAATTAGCCAGGGCTCATGCCTGTAATCCCAACACTTTGGGAGGCCAAGGCAGGAGGATCACCTGAGGTCAGGAGTTCGAGGCTAGCCTGACCAATGTGGCGAAACCCCGTCTCTACTAAAAATAAAAAAATTAGCTGGGTGTGGTGGCACATGCCTGTCATTCCAGCTACTTGGGAGGCTGAGGCAGGAGAATCTCTTGAACCCAAGAGGTGGAGGGTGCAGTGAGCCGAGATCATGCCACTGCATTCCAGCCTAGGCAACAGAGTGAGACTCCATCTCAAAGAAAAAAAAAATTAGCCAGGCATGGTGGTGCCCATCTGTAGTCCCAGCTACACAGGAGGCTGAGGTGGGAGGATCATATGAACCCAGGAAGTCGAGGCTGCAGTGAGCTGAGATCATGCCACTGCTCTCCAGCTGGCCGGGGGAACAAAGTAAGACCCTGTCTCAGAAAGAAAAAAGAAAGAAAACAGAGAAGCAGGGACTACTTCCCAACTCATGTTATCAAACCAGCAATATTACAAGAACACTAAAGAGCAATATACCCTATGAACAGAGAAGCAAAAATCCCTACTAAAATATTAGCAAATCAAGCCCAGAAATATATAAAAAAAAACACACAATGACCAGGTGAGGCTTATCTCAGGAATGCAAGATTGTTTTGGCATTCAGAAATAAATGAATGTAATTCACCAAACAGAATAAAGGAGAAATATTATATGATCATCTCAATAGATGCACAAAATGCATGATATTCAGCACCATGTATGATTTTTAAAAATTATCAGCAAACTGTAAATAGAAAGGAACTTAACCTGATAGTAGGCATCTATATAAAATCTACATAACAACATACTTAATGATGAAAGATTGAATGCTTTCCCTAAGATTAAGAATAAAGGAAGGATGTTTGCTATACCACATTACTCAACCTTAGAGTTGCACCTGTCTTAGCCAGTGCAATAAGGCCAAAAAATGAAACAAATGACATTGCTTGAAAAGGAAGAAACAAAATGTTCTTTATTTGCAGACTATGTGATTGGGTACATATAAAATGATAAGAAATCTGCAAAAAGCTATTAGAACTTATGGAGTGTATTTAGCAAAGCCATATGCTTAATGGCAAGGTCAATATGTTAAACGTAACTGTGTTTCCATTGACTAGCAGTGAACAACTAGAAATGAATTTTTTTAAAATGGCATTTATAACTTCATCAGATATATAAAATACTTAGGGATACATTTTTAAAACTGTGCAAGAGCTGTACAATAAAAACACAAAATATTGGAAGAAATTAAAGAAGATCTACATAAATGGAGAGAGATACCATTTTCGTGTATTAGCAGACTGTATTCTGGTTTTGATTTTTTGTTTTAATAGACTTTTTTTCTGGTTTTGATTTTTTTATTTTAATAGACTTTATTGTTTAGATTAATTTTAGATTCATAGCAAAATTGAAAGGAAAGTACAGAGATTTCTCATATACTGCCTGCCCCTACACATGCATGGTTGAAGGCTCTGTATTCTTAAAGTGCTAATTCCTTTTCAATTGATCTATACATTCAACATAATCCCAATCAAGATCTCAGATTCTTTTCTCTTAGAAATTGACAAATCAACCCTAAAATTTATAAGAAAAGGCGTAAAAAGAACCAATTGGTAAAACCATCACAGGCATGGTAACTCATGCTTATAATCCCAGTACTTTGGGAGGATGAGGCAGGAGGATTGCTTGAGCCCAGGAGTTTGAGACCAGCCTGGGCAATATAGCAAGACCCCTCCTCTAAAAGGTGTTTTTTTTTTTAAAAAAAATTAGCTGGGAATGGTGGCCTATAGTACCAGCTACCCAAAAGGCTGAGGTGGGAGGACTGCATGAGCCCTGGAGGTCGTGGCTACATTGGGCCATGATTGTGCCACTGTACTTCAGCCTGGGCAACAGAGTGAGACCGTGTTTCTTGGGAAAAAAAAAAAAAAAAAGCCAGGCACAGTGGCTCACATCTGTAATCCTAGCTCTCTGGGAGTCTGAGGCTAGAGAATCACTCTTTTTTTTTAATTAGCTGGGTGTGGTGGAACATGCCTGTGGTCCCAGCTACTCAGGAGGCTGAGGTGAGAGGATCTCATAAGCCCAGGAGGTTGAGACAGCAGAGAGCCATGATCATGGCACTGCACTCCAGCCTGGGTTTCAAAGTGAGATCCTTTCTCAAAAATAAAATAAATAAAATAAAATACATTTGGAGACTTACCCTACCTGATTTCACAACTTTAAAGTTACGATAATCAAGACAATGTGGCATTGACATAGGGTGGCCATGAAGATTAAGGAAACAGAACAGTTTATAAATAAACTCACACATAGAGTCAACTGATTTTTAAGAGTCTCGCTCTGTTGCCCAGGCTGGAGTGAAGTGGCACAATCTCAGCTCACTGCAACCTCCGCCTCCTGGGTTCAAGCAATTCTTCTGCCTCAGCCTTCCGAGTAGCTGAGATTACAGGCACATGCCACCACACCCAGCCAATTTTTTATATTTTTGGTAGAGACAGGGTTTCGGCATGTTGGCCAGGCTTTTCTTGAACTCCTGACCTCAAGTGATCCACCTGCCTCAGCCTCCCAAAGTGCTAGAAATACAGGTGTGAGCCACCGTGCCCAGCCAAAAATTCCAATATTTCAATGGAAGAAAGGATAATGTTTTCAACAAATGGTGGAACAACTGGATATCCAAATAGAAAAAGTGAACCTTCACCCTTTACCCCATGCACAAAAATTTACTCAAAATGGATCATATCCAAATTTAGCTGCTAAAATATAAAACTTCTAGAAAAAATATAAAGATTTCTTTAAAAGAACGCAAAAAGCACGACCCATAAAAATTGAGTATTCCACCTAAACAGGAGAGTAAACTAGGAAAAGGGAAGACATGGTATCTAGGAAACAGTAGAAAAGCTAAGGAAATTCACAGAAGTGAAGGTAAGTCTTAGGACAGCAGCTGTACGGTAGGCTAGAAGGCACCCAGCCCATGCTGCAACAGACTGAACTGTGGTAAGTACATAGAAAACTAAGAAATTAGGCAATTTTTAACTCTAGGGAAAAGAAGAGGCAATCCTAGTGTACTATGTAGTTTAGCTGTGAAGAATACTTAATTGAGCTTAATAATATAGTCACTGAAACTTGGCCAGGTGCAGTGGCTCACATCTGTGATCCCAGCACTTTGGGAGGCCAAGGCAGGAGGATTGATTGAGCTCACGAGTTCGAGACCAGCCTGGGAAAGATGGTGAAACCCTATCTCTACAAAAAATACAGAAACACTAGACAGGCATGGTGGCACATGCCTGAGTCCCAGCCATTCGGGAGGCTTTGGTGGAAGGATCGCTTGAGCCTGGGAGGTCAAAGCTGCAGTGAGCCATGATCATACTACTGCACTCCAGCCTGGGTGACAGAGTGAGACTCTGTCTCAAATAATAATAATAATAAGACACTCAGTGAAAATTAATTAACAATGTTAGTATAACTCTACTGACATAGTGGGAGAAGGGAAGTGTAGTAGGGGTTGGAGGTAGTACTTATGAGAATTAAATCATCATCTTTCATAGTAGAAATTTAGTAGATAAATATCTAAGATTTAAAAATCAAAAATAGCCATTGTTATTTAGAAATGTGGACATAAATGTGTGTAGAAATAGCTGAAGAAGTTGAAAGTGGTTTTGTTATAAGCCCTGACATACTCTTTAAGTTTTGTTATAAACCCTATGATCTTATTTGATATTTTAACTGTGTTGATTATCTCACTTTAATTTTTTAACATAATTTAAATAGAGAATGGTTGGTGAGGAAACTTGATCAATATAACCTTGTTATTGTGTATCACCATATCCCTCATTAGACTGAGTAGCTTTGAATGCAAGGAATTTTGATTTATTTACTTCAGGGTTACCCAGAGCCCAGCCCAGTGCTTGGCACATAGCAGGCACCTACTGTATGTTTATAGAACAAATGAAGAAGGGCACAAAAAAATATTCTGGAGAAGGAATGCAAACCATTCACTGAGTTCCAGCTGTTGGTATATACCAAAAGTTGCTTTTCCCTCCCATAGAGTGAAGATATCCAAGGAGTAAGAATAAAATCTTAAGTTCTTTTACTTCCACCATGAAGACACAAACAATTAAAAATGCCTGGACACAGCTTCTTGGCATTCTGAATATAGACATTGCCCAGGATATGTTTGAAATGTGCTTTTTGTGGTTCATTTTAAATAATCTTCTGAAGGCTTAGTCAAAGGACATGTTGAAGCCTAGCATCAGAATATTAACTCGTTTTTCTGTTATGTATTCCTGGGCAGCATCTCTATATTTGGCTTTAATTTTTTCCTTCTTTTTGTTCACTGACATTGTCCAAAAGCTACTGACATCAAACCCTGTGCTATAGGCAAAAAATCTCTCATGCCATATATAAGGTCACTGACATCCATCCTGAATCGTCAGCAACAGACAGCTTTGTGCCATGGGGAAAAAGAAATGGACATCATTAGAGAATCCTAACAAAACCACTGTAATTACCCAAGGTTTTCAGCACTTAGAGCAGCTGCTTTTATATGGACCTAAGTTCCTTAAGTGTGCCTACAGAAAATACAGGAAATAACTAGTGTAGTTCTTACACAGGAAATTATCATTTTAAAGTTATTACTTTTGCTGATAATTTACTATTATCTCTAAAAGTAAATATTCAAAATTTAAAATTAATATTCAAATGTTTTTAAAAGGAACCTTAGTCACACCATTGTATTATTATAAATATTGTAATAGATTACTCCATACTATGAAAGTCCTGTTAATCAATATTGCAGATAGATTTTTGCAAAGTATTATAAACTAAAGCATCTTAGCAATTTGTGTGTATCTACAAATTGTCTTCTTGTAGTCTTGTTCCATCAAACTGAATGTATATATCTTTTGGCATAGAAGACACATTTTGTAAGTGACTACTTTAAGAAAATATGAAAAAATAATGATCCCTTAGGATGGTTAAACAACTTTGAATCTTTCAACCAAGATTCTTGTTTGAGCAGTGAGAAAGGAAGATATTTAAAGGAACACATGTAGCAAGGAAAAGTGCTACCAAGGGACTGAAATTCTTGAGCTCTGTGGAAAGAAAAGAGAGAACTGGGTTTCCAGGAAATATAAGCATTCTGAAACAATGCCATGCCCTAGCTTACTGAGGGTCCTAGAGCCACAAGGGAGTGGCTGCATTAGAGGCTGAGGCACAGGATATGCCTCATTACAGAGGCTACCTGTAAGAAGCTGGGTAGCCAAGCAACTTTTGGCCCTCCTGCTGCTTGAGATTTCATTCCCTCTCCTCTCCTCACATCTTTAGACCCACAACTGCCAAGGACTCCTTACCACCAAGATCCTCTAACTCTGCCTTCATCTCTGCTATTCCTTAATCCAAAACTGGTCCAGGGCAGGGACTTCTAGACAGGAGGATATATAAATGGAGAGAAGGGATAGAGGAGGAAATAGAAGAAAAGAGAAGATAGTCTTTCTTTTCTCTCTCTTTCCATGTCTGCAGCACCTCTAATTAGCAACTTCTTCAAAAATGGTTCCATCTTATTTCTCCCTATAATTCCTGTCCTGCTTCTAGCCTTAGGTCACCTGGCCCTCTCTTGTTCATTCATTCATTCATTCATTCATCTCTCATACATTCATTGAAAACACCTACTATGTGGCAGTACTTGCTAGACAATGGGGGACACAAAAGTGAGCAGAAAACAGATATGATCCCTGGCCTTGAGGAATTCTCAACATTCAGGGGAAGAGAAACATTAAGCACATAGTCATCCCAAAACAAATATAAAATTGCACAAGTACCACAAAAATGAAGTATGTGTCTCTGCGAGCCTATTATAAGAGAGGGATCTGTCCTAGTTAGAGAGGTCACTAAAGGCTTCTCTAAGAAAGGGATAGCTGAGCTCTGAGAGAAAAGAAACACTTATCAGGCAAATAAAACAGCATGTGCCAAGGTCCTGGGGCAGGTTGGAGCATGGCAAATATGAGGGATAAGAAGCTGAGATAGTGAAGGTGGAACATAGTGCAGAGGCCAGCGGGTAGATGGGCCACATAGGCATGAAAGAGAGTTTTGCCTTTATCCTTAGAACAATGAGGAGCCAGTGGAGGTGTTTAAGCCAGGAGTGAAGTAACTGGAGATTAGCGGTTTGAAAAGATCTGCATGGCTACAGTGTGAAGAACAGACTGGAAGAGGCCAGGCTAGTTACAAAGTGAGAGATGATGGAGACTTTAATAAGGTAGGGATGGAAATGGAGTGGACAGATTGGAGAGCTGTTTAGGAAGTAAAGTGGATAAGACTTGGTTGTGAGTTGGATATAGGGAGCATGGGAGAAGGAGAGGTCAAGAGTGATTCCTGGGCTTCTTGCCTTGCACAATGAGAAATAAAGAAGTCAAGAGTCAAGTTTGAGAGATAATGAGTTTTGGTAGTGTAGGGTTTGAAGCGCCTTTGAAATGTTCCAGAGAAAATGTCAAGTACATAATTGGACATATGAGGCCACAGCTCAGAGGATAAATAAATGTGAATCTTCAGCGTATTAAGTGGTCACTGAAACTACTATCATCGACAAGATTGCCTATAGTCGGGAGGGGAGAGAGTACAAAGAAATGCTCAGCTTGGCCTCCCACATAATTTGGTTCTTCCTCTTGTGAATAGATGACCTCTCTTTCTTTAGGGTAACAGAAGTTTGACTATTATCATAAATGTGGCCATTCTTTTTCTATAAAGGGTCTAAGTATAAATAGAGAAGGCAATGGGTTACGGGAGGCAAACTTTTTTCTAGCTGTGATTTTACATTCTGCTGTGGTCCAGGGAAGGGAAACCAACACTGTTTGAAAGGAATAAACATAGATTATAGAAAAGGAGTCAAGTGAATTGGTCCCCAAGGTTCTCCCACCAGGGACATATGCTCCTGCTCCCCAGTGAGAGCTCTCGCTCTCTGGAAACGTGCTGATGCATTATGGGGAAGACTGTCACTGCATAGATGTTCTTACAGCATTGCTTTTATTAGTTAGATGTTCTATTAGTTAGATGTTTTATTAGTAGTTGCTTCTATTAGTTAGATGTTTTATTAGTTAGATGTTCAGTTCTCGGTATGTGGCTGAGATTAGCGGTTTGAAAAGATCCACATGGCTACAATATGAAGAACAGATTGGAAGAGGCCAGGTTAGTTAGGAAGTGAGAGATGGTGGAAACTTTAATAGAGATTTCCCCAATGTATGAAACAGCCTTTTCATACATTGGGGATTTCTGTAGTCAGAGGTTTGTTACTTGTGGAGTCAGAGATTCATGAAGGATCCATGCAAGAACGTAGAATCACAAAGCCATGGAGTGGTGACCAGGGTACGATATTCCAAAGAATTGAGACTGGGAAAGTATGTGATTGGCAATGTGTGGATCAGTGATAAGGCTAGCAATGCCTTTTCAGTGGCACCAGATTGCAGGAGTGCCCAGTGGTTGAAGAAGCAACCAGCTGTTATCCACACTATAGCCATGCAGTAGACTAGGCCAACTCCAAGTGGGGACCTAGACCAGCAGCAGCAGCAGAAATGCAGAATCTCGGCTTCTGTCTCAGACCTAACAACTCAGAACCTGCATTTAAATAAGATCACTCAGGATTCTTAAGCACATGAAAGTTTGAGAAGCATTAGTCCGGATCAGTCTTCAAGAAGTTTGGCAATGGTAGGTAAGAGATAAAATAAACTCCAGATAAGACGGAGATACTGGAAATGGAAATGGAAGGGAGAGAAGATCCCAGGAAGAAAAGGCTGGGAACAAAAGAACTACTTAACCTGGGGAAAGAGGTGTGACTCTTCCTTTGTTGAGAAAAATGGAAAAGAAGAATGGAAGAGAAAGTGTGAAATCAAAGGCAGATAACTGAGAAAACTTGGTGGACGGATGACCCACTTCTCCCCAGTAAAATTGGTGGCAAGGTCAACCACTGAAGAGAAGGCGAAAGAGAGGTTTTAGGCCAAACAATACTCCATAGTGTAGAAACTCCTTTAACTTACAGGGCTCTAGTTTAAATGACATTTACTTTTGGTTAACATGTCTTTGCATGTTTTTCCTGTACCTCCTTTAAACAGATATTCATCAATGTATAAAAATTATTAGATAGTTTAACAACAATTTACAATAAGACTTTTGCATTTGTACAAGTAGCCTGATGAGGCTAAGTTGAGCCATGAACTTCACTAGGGCCAGCATTATATAGCTTGCTGACACTATTAAGTCAAATAAATATCATGGCTCCAAAAATGTATAAAACTTGAAGAACAAAAAAAAGTTTAATCTTTACCTATAGTTTTTAAGTCTGTAAAGTTTGCTAAATCAATACAATTATCTGAAAAGTTCATCTCAAAATCAGATATATTAGTGATTTACTTCATTGGTTTTCTGATGACCATTTATCATGAGGTATAGAATCTTCAGTATGAATGAGGGAAATAAAAAATTTGACATGTTTGCCTCTTATATGAACTAAATATCTGATTTATAAGACACAAATGAACAAACTTCTACGGCCTGTCATGTTTTCTCAGTTTCTAATTTATTCAACCTCTGCTCAATATTGATCCTGACAAGCAGAGTGACCCAAAGATAAATTTATTCATTGCACAGTTGAGTCAGGAACAAGCCAAAAATTATAGATTTTCCCAGGCAGATGATGACAGGCAGTCAGAAGGATGACAAATGGCTGTCTTTAGATTTAGTAAGGACGGTTGGTCCAGACATTTCCGATAAAGATTGGAGTATGCTGGTCAAATACAGGTTCATCAGCGGTCATCATTAATGGTAGAGAGAGCATTGCTGTGCTGCAGACGCCTAGAAAGGAGCTTAGGCATCAGCCCTGCAGGGGAAATAGAATTTGCTCCTTAGTATTTTGCAGCACTCCTCTAAGTGATAGCATGACATGATCATTTATCAAATAGAGACTGTCCAGAAAAGTGTCTGCTTCCTTTAGTAACTTATTGAAGAGCAGGAAAGTGAAAGCTTTTTATTAAAGACAGGAAGGCAATGAACAACCAGAGCGTATCCAAAGGGTAATCGTATTTCAGCACAGGATTAGTTTAGTCTTAAATAAACATACACTGGAGGGAGTATGTCGAAGGTCATTTATCAAGTAAAGAACAATTAACAAAACTCTAAGCACTCTTTATCTATATTAATTTAACGTTCTCTAAGTGTTTGTATTAACTTTTAGATGATGGGCATCACATTCAACACTGTAAAAAATGTGATACATAATCCCTTCCTTATAGGTTTTTAGAGTAAGAGAAATACAATGTAACTCTCAACGTAAAATAAGATAGTTACGGCTCTATTAAACCCTGCCAAACAAATGCTGTTGGAGAAGGCATATTCCAGAGCCCAGAACTGAAGGCTGAAGTTATAATTTATGAAGATAACTTTCTTATAAAAAGTCAACTACTTATTTGTCAATAGGTCAAGAAGTTTCTTCTTCCTTACTTAAAATGTTTTCGCTCTCTGTTGACAAAAATTAAGAGAAAGGGAATTAGTTAAGAGGTAGCAGGGCAGGCAAACAGGCAGAGAACTGACACATTTATTACTTTCTTTGTTCCAGGCACTTTATATGCCATGGCAACTAATCTTAATTAACCTCAAGTTATAGATGAAGACATATATTTGCCTAAGGTCACACAGTAAGCAGCAGTGCCAGGAAGTTTAGGATTGCCTTATTTTTAAAAAAACAATGTCTTATATTTTCACATAAATTACTTATTGGAATCCCTCAAAGTCTAGTGCAGACTAAATTTAGGGTATATATCCAAAGAAAGTGAAATTACTATTTTAAAAGCAACATGTGCACTCCCATGTTCTTTGCAGCAATATTCACAATAGCCAAGCTATGTGCACTACTTTTGTTGAGTAATTCATTACAGATTAAATGTATCTGATATTAAAAATAAAGAACAGAAAAAATAAAGAAAAATAAAGAACAGAACTTTGGCCACTTATAAGAAATACTCAAAGTGTACTTCATTATCATTAAATAGCAGTTAAGATAAAATACACTTTTTAGAAAGCGGGGAAGGGGAGAAAGCAAGACATAACAGACAAAGTACTGAGGAAGGAGTGACACTGGATAGGAAAAGAAACCCAAATAGGGACAAAGATGCTGTGAAAAAAGCAAACTGAGACAGTTAGTTCTTAAGTTCCGTTAATCTGTTTTCCTTACATTTATTTGGGTTGTAGACCATGGAATAACTTTATTATTCCTTGAACTATCAGTTAGCTGATTTTCTTCTTATAAGCTATAAAAACATGCAAATATTTATGATATAATATAAAACAAAATTGTACTCACAGTACAATTATGACAATTAAAAATATGTACCCTCCCGAAAGTCCCTATGCTCAAAAAGATTAGAAGGATACATAACAGCATATTAAAAGTGATCTTTGCATGATAAGCATACAAATGATTTTTTCCCCCTTTCTTCCATTTTTCCCTTTGGTAGGTGTTTGTTTTTTGGTCTTTTTTTTTTAACACTTAAAAAATGAATATGCATTCTTTGTAAAATAAAAAGCAACAACACACATTCCTTACAATCACCAGGGACTGCTTACTCACTACCCCTTAATTGCCTAATCTGTAAACTTCTATGAGCTACACTAAGAATAGGGCATCTTCTGCAGGAAAAAGTTTTTTCTGAGCTGCAGTGGGGGCCATTTAAGGGAGTATGACAGAGAACAGTTGTGTGGCCCTCAACTTAGGACCTCTTTTTTTTGCCTCATCTTCAGTGCCTTCTATTATCAGTATAGATTGTTTTATTCAAAATTTAGTTATTATGCACCTTCTAAGTACCTGGCTCTGAGCTAGAACTCCATGAAAGCAGTAATTACCTTTAAAAACAATAACTGACATGCTAGAAGTATTGGTAAATATGAAATGCTTGTGCTTTGCTTTTTCTTCTCTAATTATAGGATTTGGAGTTTTTACTGAACAAGTTGATGAAGCTGTGGAAAATTGATCTAAATGGAAATCCTGTTTGTCTCAAACCAAAATACAGGGACAGACTGATATTGGTGTCCAAATCACTGGGTACATATTTATATTAATATAATTTTTAAGAGAATGACACCTAGTTAACTTTTTGGTTATTTTACCAGCAAGCTTTCAGAAATATAAATCTGACATCTGGATCTGTGAAAATTGTCAACTTTAAATTCAATATTTTGAATAAGAGCAAAAGTTAAAATTGACAAATAAAGCATGAAAAACATCTGCTGTTCAGAAGTAATTAAAGCACCTGATACTTATTCCTTAAGGAGGATATTTTGCTATTACCAATAAAAATGGTTAGTCATAAATGTGTAGAACTTGCTGACCTTTTGCCAAACTTTCGTTAGCACAAATCCTTTGATGATCCCAAGAGACTCCTTAGCTCTTGGTTCTGTAGATAAAATTGATCAAAGTTTTCATTGCTTGACATTTGCCAAATGTTACCCTAAGAACATACAGGAATCCCTTTCGTTTGATAGGAGAGCTGGGTGACGAGACCCTTTATGAGATCCTTACAAATAACATTCCTGAATGTGCACCATACTGGGGGAAATGGACAAAAACACTCGATTAATAGTGACCAAGTGACACAGCATCAGAAAGATGGGCAGTGACCTCTCACGAAGGCTATGGGAGTCATTTTATGTTTTTTAGGTTACCCAGTCCTCACCAAATAGAGTGACAATCCACATATTTGGTTTACTTAGCATGAGTGGAAGCAAATTTTGTATTGAGAGAAACTTATTAAAATGAAATAAATCTCATAGTTCTATAATCTTGAATTCATTACCTGGCTCCCAGTCTTCAACCATGTTCACACCTATTAACTTCAAATAAGAACATTTGAGGCCGGGCGCGGTGGCTCACGCCTGTGTTCCCAGCACTTTGGGAGGCCGCGGTAGGTGGATTGCCTGAGATCAGGAGTTTGAGACCAGTCTGGGCAACACGGTGAAACCCCATCTTTACTAAAATACAAAAGAATAGCCAGGGGTGGCAGTGTGCACATGTAATCTCAGCTACTCGGGAGGCTGAGATAGGAGAATCGCTTGAAACTGGTAGGCGGAGGTTGCAGTGAGCCGAGATCACGCCATTGCACTCCAGCCTGGGTGACGAAGTGAGACAATGTCTCAAAAAAAAAAAAAAAAAAAAAAGATCATTTGCTAAAAATGAGATGGAGACAGGTTAACGGAGGCATAGTTTCCTAGTCATTCCTCAGCTCTGTTTGGGACATTAACATGAGGAAGAAGAGATTACAATAAAAGACTTGGAATTTTCATTCCTTATCTTTATAGTATATTTTTAAAGTATGTATTGATTACATATATCTCATCCAAAAATATACTAACAAGCTATATAATTATTAATAAAAATAGATCTGGAAAGACATCAATAAATATAAGTAGCTGGAAAAACTGAGCATCAAAGAATGACCTTTAGAGTAGAGGCGGGGTTTCATTATGTTGGCCAGGCTGGTCTCGAACTCCTGACCTCAAGTGGTCCACCCGCCTTGGCCTCCCAAAGTGCTGGGATTACAAACATGAGCCACCGGCCCAGCCTGACGCCACTGTTAAATTAGGGAGAAAAGGTTAAGGAGGGATGGCTAATTCTAGTTATCACGACTGTGAAAGTATTTACTTTCTATCAGAAAGGCTATGTTTGAGCACAAACGCAGAAGCCTCACTCTTCGTTCTAGCAGTTTACTTTTGCGCACTTATTCTCCATATAAGGAAAACTGCAAGTAGCCTAATTTCCGCTTCAGGAAGTTAAAGACATTAACTTGGCAGAAACAGGCTTAGTCCGGGAAACAGAAAGCAAGCAACTTGTTCACGGAAACGTTTCGGTTCTGCGACGCATGCGCTCTGCCTCCAGGAAAGTGGCAAACATGGCTGCACGAATTGGCGGCCCGGCCCACTCTGGTCACGTGTTGGGAGACAGCGGCGTGGCAGCTGCCGTGGCGATAGGGACAACAGGCCTAGGGCAGTCAGAAGGTTTCTGGTTCCGGTTTAACTTTCGGCCTCCGTCTCGGGGCTGAAGTTTGTGAGCTGTAGTATTGAGTCCCATTTGAGCTATTCTTTTTCCTGAAAAATGGCACTAAGAGGGAGCTGGATGAGCTGAAACCATGGATCCTTTCACAGTCGTTGATAACTACAATTAGCCACTCTTCCTTAATCTTTTCTCCCTAATTTATCAGTGATGTCAGGCAGGGCGCGGTGGCTCACGCCTGTAATCCCAGCAATTTGGGAGGCTCCAAGGTGGGTGAGAAGACAGTGAAAAGCGTGCTGGGTTTCTCAGAGCCTACAGTGGTCACAGCAGCATTGAACTGCTGTAGGGAAGAGCATGGACAAGAAGAAGGCAGCCGATCATCTGAAACCTTTTCTTGATGATTCTACTCCCCGATTTGTGGACAAACTGAGGCTGTAGGAGGAAGGCGGAAGCTCTAGGCATTCCAAGTCTAGCAGTGACGGAAGCAGAAAACGAAAGCTAAAGAAGGTGTTTGGTGATGACTCTTGAGCTCTCCAAGGAATCATCAGGAGTAAAGAAGCAGCAAATACCCCATTTTGAGAAGGTGGAAGAAGAGCCAGAGGTGATCCCTGGGCCTCCATCAGAGTCCTGGCATGCTGACTAAGCTCCACATCAAACAGATGATGGACGCAGCAAAATGGCAAATCCAGGAGAGGAAAAAACAGCTGTGCTTCATTAGCCCCCCTACACCTCAGCCAAAGACTCCTTCTTCCTCCCAACCAGAGCAACTTCCAATTGGCCACACTATTCAGCCCTCCCAGGGTGCCACTTTCATGAATGATGCCATTGAGAAGGCAAGGAAAACAGCTGAACTACAAGCTCGAATCCAAGCCGGGCTGGCACTGAAGCCAGGACTCATCAGCAATGCCAACATGGTGGGCCCGTCTAATCTCCATGACATGGGCATTGCTTCCCCAAAGGGGGAGTTAAAAGACCAAATTAAACCTACACCACTGATCCTAGATGAGCAAGGGTGCATTGTAGATGCAACAGGCAAGGAGATTGAGCTGACACACTGCATGTCTACTCCTGCCAATATTCGTGCTGTTCCCTCTTCGGAGGGAACCATTCAAGCAACAGCTAAAAGAAAAGCCATCAGAAGACATGGAGTCCAATACCTTTTTTGACCCCGAGTCTCCACTGTCGCTTCCCAGCGCCAGAAACGCACTTTTAAATTCCATGACAAGGGCAAATTTGAGAAGACTGCTCAGCGATTAAGGACAAAGGCTCAACTGGAGAAGCTTCAGGCAGAGATTTCACAAGCAGCTCAAAAAACAGACATCCATACTTTGACTAGGCTTGCCCTTATTGCTCCTAGGAAGGAGCTAAAGGAAGGAGATATCCCTGAAATTGAGTGGTGGGACTCTTACATAATCCCCAATGGCTTTAACCTTAGAGAGGAAAATCCCAAGAGAGAAGATTATTTTGGAATCACAAATCTTGTTGAACATCCAGCCCAGCTCAATGCTCCAGTTGACAATGACACACCAGTTACTTTGGGAGTGTATCTTACCAAGAAGGAACAGAAAAAACTTCAGAGACAGACAAGGAGGGAAGCACAGAAGGAACTACTAGAAAAAGTCAGGCTGGGCCTGATGCCTCCTCCAGAACCCAAAGTGAGAATTTCTAATTTGATGCGAGTATTAGGAACAGAAGCTGTTCAAGACCCCACGAAGGTAGAAGCCCATGTCACAGCTCAGATGGCAAAAAGACAGAAATTGCATGAAGAGGCCAACTCTGCCTGAAAACTCACAGCAAAACACAGAAAGGTCAAGAAAATTTAAAAGCTTAAGACATTTCACAGGGGGTACACGTATCTGTATATGGAGTTAGAAATTTGAGCACCCCAGCCAAGAAGTTCAAGATTGAGATGGAGTTAGAAATTTAGCACCCCAGCCAAGAAGTTCAAGATTGAGGCCAATGCTGGGCAACTGTACCTGATAGGAGTGGTGTTACTGCACAAGGGTGTCAACGTGGTAGTAGTGGAAGGGGGCCCCAAGACCCAGAAGAAATTGAAGCATCTTATGCTGCATCGGATAAAGTGGGATGAACAGACATCTAACACAAAGGGAGATGATCATGAGGAACCTGATGAGGAAGCTGTGAAGAAAACCAACAAATGTGTACTATTCTGGGAGGGTACAGCCAAAGACCGGAGCTTTGGAGAGATGAAGTTTAAACAGTGTCCTATAGAGAACATAGCTCATGAGCATTTCAGAAAGCATGGGGCTGAACATTACTGGGACCTTGCGCTGAGTGAATCTGTGTAGAGTCCACTGATTGAGACTACTGCAAGCCCTTGCCTCTCCCCTCTTGCCTTTGTCTCTTCTGTCCTCTCACTTATTCTGTTTCCCAACCCACTCCCACTTGTATGATCTCAGAACTGTGCCAAGCAGACATTGGGACAAAGGGAGAATATCTTGCTCCCTTCCCCAGTCAGCCTGGTGTTGCCCTTTATTCCCCTTATGTGCGTATGATTAAAGAGTTTGTTTAAATAAATAATAAAAAAGAATGACCTTTATTGTAAAGTTATAAGTACTAAGATGTTTGACAATTTCTTATGGTTTGGAGAGTACTAGCTAGTTCAGTGAAAAAAAAAGTACATGAAATAAGATATGGAGACAGTTTTACTTCTAGATTCTGTGGTTCTAGTTTATATTCTTTGTTTCAACATTTTGTTTTCTACTTTGGGTATAACACAGTATTATGGCTCATGTTTAAGTGGTAGTGTTAATATTTTCAGTAGTACAACTAATATTTTATCAGAATATTGTCATTATCCCTGAAAGGATGTGTGATCTAATAAATTTTACTGCATCCTTTCTACATTCTGGGATCTAGTGGATTACATGGATAATGAGAGAAACTATCTAATTTTCAAAACTACTATACATAAATTTTATTAGAAAAAATCTATCAAGCAGAGTCCTATGGAAAGAAAGAAAAAAATTTTGAAGAAAAAAACCATCCTTCTATTAAATGAAGATCATCTGTGTTCATGTAATTAAAGAAACAATATAGGCAATATAAATATCCTATAATAAGGGAATTGTTCAATATTTTATAATATATCCATAAACAACAGAAAACCAGCCATTAAGGAAACATAAGCCATATTTAAGGAAAAAATGGTAAAATGTTCACAACACAATATTAATAAGCAGGATGCAAAACTAATATAGAGGATTCCAATTTTATATACATATATAGAAAATAAAAACATGCTAAGAAATATACAAAAGTGTTATCAGTGATTATTTCTCATTGGGGAATAATTTTTTTATTTTTTGTGTGTTTTCCAAATGTCTTACAACTTGCAAAAATTATTTGTATAATTTATGAAGCGCAATTTCTATCACACCTCTGTAATCCCAGGGCTTTGGGAAGCCGAGGATCGTTTGAGGCCAGGAATACAAGAGCAGCCTGGGCAACATAGTGAGATCCCATCTCTAAAAAAAAAAAAAAGCTTTTAATTATCCAGGCATGGTGGCACATGGCTATTGTTCTAGCTACTCGGGAGGTTAAGGCAAGAGGATCACTTAAGCTGAGGAGTTTTGAGGTTGCAGTGAGCTAAGATCATGCCACTGCATTCCAGCCTGGGTGACAGAGTGAGATCCTGTCTCAAAAATAAATAAATAAACAAACATAATAAGGGGTATGGTCAGGAACGGTGGCTCATGCCTGTAATCCCAGCACTTTGGGAGGCCAAGGCAGGCGGATTGCTTAAGCTCAGGAGTTCCAGGCCAGCCTGGGCAACATGGCAAGACCTTGTCTCTACTAAAAATACAAAAAAATAGCTGGGGATGGTGGTGCACACCTGTGGTCCCAGCTATTCGGGAGGCTGAGGTGGGAGGATCACTTGAGCCCCAGGGGGCAGAGGTTGCTGTAAGCCAAGTTCACTCCATGCACTCCAGCCTGGATGACAGAGCGAGAACTTGTCTCAAAAAAAAAATAAATAAATAAAAGGGGGATAATAATTACAGAGCCTTTTAATGTTTTATTTAATGATATTTCCATTGTTTATAACAAGCACATATTCTTTTTGGAATCAGAAAAAAATCTATAAATAAAATCTCAACAAAAGTACATGCGTTGTATAATTAATGTATTTTAAAAACAAATTTATTTCAGTCTATGGTGTAACTTAAGTTTCTGTGCTCTGAACCAGAAGTGCATATTTTGACTTATGTTTATATGTATATATTGTATTTTTTAAATGTATGTATTTTTCTCCAGAATTTCTTGATGGAAAAGAAATTAAAAATATAGAAAGACAATTCCTAATGAATTGGAAAGCATCCAAAGATGCCAAGAAAATCAGCAAAAAAAGGAGCAGTAAAAATGAGGATGCAAGCAATTCACTCATAAGTAAGCACTCTGTCACTCATTAGGTGACTGCTCTTCTAGCAAAGGAAATATTCTAGGCAACAAAAAAATGCCAACAAATAAAATAGTTTTTGTTTAGTTTTTTGTTGTTGTTGTTTTATGGGGTTTTTTAAAACTTATTTACTTAGTTGTACATAAGTACAATTTGTCTTGTATTAGAAATTTCACCTATAATGTTTATGTAAATGGTAGCCACTGTGAACAACAGCTGTGTTTGGTTTTGTGTAAACATAGAGCCACAAGGGTGGGGAAAAATGTATAATTGTATACCTGGCAAAAGTGCATGATATCAGCTATGTAAATTGTGAAACCTAAGCCACTAGTATATTTGTTAAGTAACAGTGCAAAAAGGCCAGGCACGGTGGCTCACACCTGTAATCCCAGCACTTTGGGAGGATGAGGCGGGTGGATCACCTGAGGTCAGGAGTTCAAGACCATCCTGGCCAACATGATGAAACCCTGTCTCTACTAAAAATACAAAAAATTAGCCAGGCGTGGTGACAGGCACCTGTAATCCCATCTACTTGGGAGGCTGAGGCAGGAGAATCGCTTGAACCCAGGAGGCGGAGGCTGCAGTGAGCCGAGATTGCGCCATTGCACTCCAGCCTGGGCAGCAAGAGCAAAACTCCATCTCAAAAAAAAAAAAAAAAGTGCAAAAATCACATTTTTCATCAGGATAGAAAATAAAAATATATCACGACCACATCTGTGGACTGTCTCCCTTCTTATGCACATACTCCAACACCTGAAAATTTGGATTATAATATACCTAAAGTTGTGTTACAAACGACATACCAACCTCCCTTGCCTAACTAATGCAACAAAATGTAACTAAGAGTAATGTGTAACAGTTATCTTAATTTTGGAGCATCCAAGAACTGACTAGTCTGGCGGGGCACGGTGGCTCATGCCTGTAATCCCAGCACTGTGGGAGGCTGAGACAGGCAGATCACATGAGGTCAGGAGTTCAAGACCATCCTGGTCAACACGGTGAAACCCTATCTCTACAAAAATACAAAAATTAGCCAGGCATGATGGCAGGTGCCTGTAATCCCAGCTACTCGGGAGGCTGAGGCAGGAGAATCACTTGAACCCGGGAGGTGGAGGTTGCAGTGAGCTGAGATTGCGCCATTGCACTCCAGCCTGGGCGACAGAACAAGACTCCGTCTTAAAGAAAAAAAAAAAAGAACTGACCACAGATTTTTTAGCCCATGACATTGCAATGAGCCCCTTCCTCCTTTCCATGATAGTGTTTGA
Source organism: Homo sapiens (assembly GCF_000001405.40). Lineage (NCBI taxonomy): Eukaryota > Metazoa > Chordata > Mammalia > Primates > Hominidae > Homo > Homo sapiens. The sequence goes on along the minus strand of NC_000008.11, from coordinate 66,980,773 downwards.
ATGCTAATGTTCTTGTTCTACAACTGACTAAGGGAAGGCATAAGGACATAGTGAAGGGGCTAGGCCAGGGAAATAGGAAAAGGGAAATGGGGACACTGTAGTGAGGCTTTATGCTAGGATAGGATAGCATATCCTAGGAGCTCTGTCACTCTAGGACATAGTGTCTGACATGAGGAGGAGCACGGGTGGAGAGGCATGGAGCTCTAGTGATTTTGCCATATCATGTTCACTGAATACGAACTACGGGCCAAGCATGGTGGTTCACACCTGTAGTTCTAGTACTTTGGGAGGCTGAGGTGGGAGGATAATTTGAGCCTAGGAGTTCAAGATCAGCTTGGGGAACACAGTGAAACCTCATCTATAAAAAAAATACTTTAAAATTAGCCAGGCATGGTGGCATGTGCCTGTCGTCCCAGCTACTTGGAAGGCTGAGGAAGGAGGATCACTGGAGCCTGGGAGATCAAGGCTGTAGTGAGCATGATTGTGCCACTTCACTCCAGCCTGGGGAACAGAGCAAGACCCCATCTGAAAAAAATAAAGAATATAAATTATGGAAAATCATTAAGTAGAATGGGATTTTCTTAGTTGATAATATACTCATGAGTATATTACAGTATACTGTGTTGCAATGTGAATTTCTCAAGATCTGAAACTTCTAAAATAGTCAGAAGGTATTTTTCCTCTGTTCATTCCTGGCTGGCTGTGAAGGGCAGAACTAGACCTAGGGTAAGGATTCTAGTATTTTACATATTTTCAGTATTACACCAAAGATGTCACTTTTTAAATATTTAATACCAGCCCTCACCCCAGAATTGGGCCAATTCTAAAAATAATGTAGTTTCTTTCATTTTAACTGATTTCAAAAATTCTTCCTAATTTAGGGACAACTACATTAATTAATTGTTAACTTCAATGAAATTTGACAAAATAATAATATGTCTTTAAATTTACAACTTAAAAAAATTATAGTCTACTAACCAAAGCAATCTATACAATGCAATCCCTATAAAAATACCAATGACATTTTTCACAGAAATAGAAAAAAAATCCTAAAATGTGTGTGGAACCCCAATAACCAAAGCAATACTGAGCAAAACCAACAAAGCCAGAGCCACCACACTACTAGACTTCAAGATATACAACAAAGCTATAGTAACCAAAACACCATGGTACTGGTATAAAAACAGAAACATAGACTAGTAGAACAGAATAGAGAACCCAGAAACCAATCCACTTAGCTACAGCCAACTGATTTTTGACCAAGGTGCCAAGAACATATGTTGGATCACAGCTCACTACAGCCTCGATCTCCCAGGCTCAAATGATCCTCCTACCTCAGAACTCCCAAGTAGCTGAGATGACAGGCGTGTGCAACCATACCCGGCTAATTTTAAAATATTTTTTGTAGAGATGAGGTCTCACTGTGTTGCCCAAGCTAATCTTGAAATCCTCGGCTCAAGCTATCCTCCTCTTCAATAAATGGTGATGGGAAAACTGGATATCCATATGCAGAAGAATGAAACTAGACCCCTAGCTATCACCCTAAGCAAAAATCAACTCAGTATGGATCAAAGACCTAAATATAAGACCTGAAACTATAAAACTACTAGAAGAAAACAGAGGAAATGCTTCAGGACATTGGTCTGGGAAAAGATTTTATAATAGAACCTCAAAAGCACAGGCAATGAGAACAAAAATAAACAAGTGGGATTATGTCAAACTAAAAAGCTTCTGCACAGCAAAGGGAACAATCAAGAGTGAAAAGACAACCTATAGAATGGGGAAAATATCTGTAAACTATTCATCTGACAGGATTATTATTCAGAATATACAAGAAACTGAAACATCTCAAAAGCAAAAAAACAACCCAGTTTTAAAATGGGCAAAGGATCTGAACAGACATTTCTCAAAAGAAGACATACAAATGGCCAACAAATATAAGAAAGATATGCCCAATATCACTTAATCATCAGGATGCAAATCAAAACCACAATGAGGTGTCATCTCATCCCAGTTAGGATGGCTATTAACAAAAAGACAAAAAATAACAACAGGTAGCCAGGCACAGTGGCTCACGGCTGTAATCTCAGCATTTTGGGAAGCTGAGGTGGGTGGATCACTTGAAGTCAGGAGTTCAGGAACGGCCTGGCCAACATGGTGAAACCCTGTCTCTACTGACAATACAAAAGTTAGCCAGGGGTGGTGCACACCTACAATTCCAGCTACTTGGAAGGCTGAGGCACGAGAATCGCTTGAACCCAGGAGGCAGTGAGCTGAGATCGCACCACTGCACTCTAGCCTGGTGACAGAGTGAGACTTAGTCTCAAAAATAAAAACCAAATGCTGGTGATATGGTTTGGCTGTGTCCCCACCCAAATCTCATCTTGAATTGTAGCTTCCATAATTCCCATGTGTTGTGGGAGGGACGTGGTGGGAGATAATTGAATTATGGGGGTGGTTTCCCCCATACTGTTCTTGTGATAGTGGATAAGTCTCATGAGATCTGATGATTTTATAAGCAGTTTCCCCTTTTGCCTGGCTCTCATTCTCTCTTGTCTGCCACCATGTAAGATGTGCCTTTTGCCTTCTGCCATGATTGTGAGGCCTCCCCAGCCATGTGGAACTGTGAGTCCATTAAACCTCTTTTTCTTTATAAATTACCCAAGTCTTAGGTATGTTTTTATCAGCAGCATGAAAATGGACTAATACAGCTGGTGAGAATGCAGAGAAAAGGGAGCTCTCTTATACACTGTTAGTGGGAATGTAAAGTTGTACAACCACTATAGAGAACAGAATGGAGGTTCCTCAAAAAACTACAAATAGGGTGCTGGACATGGTGGCTTACAACTGTAATCCCAGTGCTTTTGGAGGCCAAGGCAGGAGTATCAGTTGAGACTAAGAGATCAAGACCAGCCTGGGCAACAAAGCAAGACACCATCTCTTCAAAAACATTATTTTTAAAATTAGCGGCCAAGCGAGGTGGCTCATGCCTGTAATCCCAGCACTTTTGGAGGCCAAGGCAGGTGGATCACTTGAGGTCAGGAGTTCAAGACCAGCCTGGCCAATATGGTGAAACCCCTTCTCTACTAAAAATACAAAAATTAGCCGGGCATGGTGGTGCACACCTGTAGTCTCAGCTACTGTGGAGGCTAAGACAGGAGAATCGATTGAACCTGGAAGGCGGAGGCTGCAGTGAGCCAAGATCATGCCATTGCACTCCAGCCTGGGAAACAGAGCGAGACTCCATCTAAAAAAAGAAAGAAAGAAAATTAGCTCAGTGTGGTAGTACACACCTGTAGTCCCAGCTACTCAGGAGGCTCAGGCAGGGGGATTGCTTGAGCCCAGGAGCTTGAAGCTGCAGTGAGCTATGATCACGCCACTGCACTCCTGCCTGGACAACAGAGCAAGACCCTGTCTCTTAAAAAAAAAAAAAAAAAGCAAGGGTGGGCGCGATGGCTCACGCCTGTAATCCCAGCACTTTGGGAGGCCATGGCAGTTGGATCATAGATCAGGAGTTCAAGACCAGCCTAGCCAAGATGGTGAAACCTCGTCTCTACTAAAAATACAAAAAAAATTAGCTGAGCGTGGTGGCACACGCCTGTAATCCCAGCTATTCGGGAGGCTGAGGCAGAGAATTTCTTAAACCTGGGAGGCGGAGGTTGCAGTGAGCTGAGATCACACAACTACACTTCAGCCTGTGTGACAGAGCAAGACTACGTCTAAAAAAAAAAAAAAAGCAAAACAAAACAAAAACCTACAAATAGAACACTACCAGATTTTCCTTGAATTTAAAAAAATTCCTTGAATTAAAAAAAGAAGAAGAACTACCATATGATCTAGCAATCCCACTACTGACCATCTATCCAAAGGAAAAGAAATCAGTGTATCAAGGAGACATCCACACCCTCATGTTTGTTGCAGGAGTATTCACAATAGCCAAGATACAGAATTGCCCTAAGTGTCCAACAGATGAATGGATAAAGAAAATGTGGTATATATACACAATGGAATACTATTCAACTATAAATAAGAATGAAATCCTGTTATTCGCAACAACGCGGATGGAAATGGGGGACATTATGTTAAGTGAAATAAGCCAGAAACAGAAAGTGAAATGGTGCATGTTCTCACTCATCTGTGAAAGCTAAAAAAAAAAAAAAAACCAAAAAGTTGATCTCATAGAATTAAAAAGTAGAACGAGGATACTACAGACTGGGAAGGCCAGAGGGAATAAGGCAAGGGAAGAGAGAGATTTGGTAAAGGTTACAAAATTACAACCAGATAGGCGGAATAAACTTTAGAGTTCTATAGCAGCTGTCCCCAACCTTTGTAGCACCAGGGACTGGTTTTGTGGAAGACAATTTTTCCATGGACCAGAAGTGTGGTGGAGGGGGATATTGTTTTGGGATGATACAAGTACATTACATTTATTGTGCACTTTATTTCTATTAACATTGCACTGTAATGTATAATGAAATCGTAATTCACCATAACGCAGAGTCAGCAGGAGCCCTGAGCTTTTTTTCCTGCAACTAGATGATCCTATCTGGGAGTAATGAGAGACAGTGACAGATCATTGGGCATTAGATTCTCATAAGGAGTTCACAACCTAGATCCCTCGCATGCACAGTTCACAATAGGGTTCATGTTCCTATGAGAATCCAATGCTGTAGCAGATCTGATAGGAGGCAGAGCTCAGGTGGTAATGCGAGTTATGGAGAGCAGCTGTAAATACAGATGAAGCTTCATTCGCTTACCTGCCACTCACCTTCTGCTATGCGGCCCAGTTTCTAATAGGCCACAGACCAGGACCATTGGGGTTGGGGACCCCTGCACTATAGGATGACCATAGTTAACAATCATATATAGTTTCAAATAGCTAGAAGGAGAATATTGAATGATGCCAACACAAAGAAATGATAAATGTTTGAGATGATGTATATGCTAATTTCCCTGATTTGATCACTATACATTATATGTATTGCAACATCACTATGTACCCTATAAATATGTACAATTATGTCTCAACTAAATTTTTTTAAATTAGCCATTTAATTTTCTCAAAACAGTCCTTATTAATCTCTTTATAATCTAGTGTGAGCCCCAACTAACAAAAACCATCTTTTTTTTGATAGAGTATCACTCTGTCACCCAGGCTGGAGTGCAGTGGCACAATCTCAGTTCATTGCAACCTCTGCCTCCCAGGTTCAAGCAATTCTCCTGCCTCAGCCTCCCGAGAAGCTGGGATTACAGGCGTGTGCCACCACACCTGACTACTTTTTGTATTTTTAGTAGATGGGATTTCACCATGTTGGCCAGGCTGGTCTTGAACTCCTGAACTCAAGTGATCCACCCACCTTGGCCTTCCAAAGTCCTGGGATTACAGGCATGAGCCACTGCGCCCCGCCCAAAAACAATGTTTAAAGTCATATAGATAAATTAGCAACAAACTATCTGAAAAGAAATTATGAAAATAATCCCATTTACAATAACAACAAAAGAATAAAATACCCAGGAATAAATTTAATTAAGGAGGTGAAAGACATATGCTGAAAACGACAAAACATTGATGAAAGAAATTAAGACATCTTCTGCAATGTCTGCTTATAAATTTTAAAAGAAATTAAACAAGACACAAATGAAAAGACACCTCATGTTCATGAACTGAAGACTCAATATTGTAAAATATCCGTAAGACCAAAAGTGATCCACAGATTCAATGCAATTTCTATCAAAATCCCAATTGCATTTTTTATAGAAATAGAAAAAAGCAATTCTAAAATTCATATGGAACCACTGAAGACCACAAATAGCCAAATCAATCTTAAGAATGAAGAACAAAGCTGAAGGCACCACATTTCTTAACTTTGAAATATATTACATAGATACAGTAATCAAAACAGTATGGTACTGGCAGAAGACAGGCATATAGAGAAATGGAACAAAATAGAGCACCCAGGAAAAAAATCCATGCATATGTAGTCAATTGATCTTTGACAAGGTGCCTAGAATACACAATGGGGAAAGAAAAGTCTCTTAAACAAATAGTGGTTTTTGTTCCTCCAAAGAAGACATACAAATTTCTCCAAAGAAGACATACAAATGGCCAACAGGTATATGAAGAAATACTCAATGTCAGTAATCATCAGGGAAATGCGAATCAAAATAGATATGAGCTATCACCTCACATCTGTCAGGATGGCTTTTATTTTTTTTTCCGAGACAGAGTTTTACTCTTGTTGCCTAGGCTGGAGTGCAATGGCGTGCTCTCAGCTCACTGCAACCTCCGCCTCCTGGGTTCAAGCAATTCTCCTGCCTCAGCCTCCCGAGTAGCTGAGATTACAGGCATGTACCACCACACCCGGCTAATTTTGCAATTTCAGTAGAGATGCGGTTTCACCATATTGGTCAGACTGGTCTCCAACTCCTGAACTCAAGTGATCCACCTGCCTCAGCCCCCCAAACTGCTGGTATTACAGACATAAGCCATTGTGCCCAGATGGCTATTATTTTAAAAAAGGCAACACGTGTTACAGAGGATGTGAAGAAACTGGAACCCTTGCACACCATTGGTGGGAATGTAAAATGGTGCAGCCACTATAGCAAACAGTATGAACGTTCCTCAAAAAGTTAAAAATAGGACTGCCATATGACCCAACAATCCCACTTATGGATATTTATCCAAAAGAATTGAAATCAGGATTTCCAAGAGACATCAGTACTCCTATGTTCATTGCAGCACTATTCACAATAGTCAAGATGCGGAAACAAGGTACATGGACATTGGACAGATGAATGGATAAAGGAAGTGTATATTAAATGGAACACGGAACACTATTCAGCTTTACAAAGAAAGGAAATTCTGCAATATGTGACAACATGGGTGAGCCTTGAGGGTATTATGCTAAGTGAAATGAGCCAGGTCAAAGAAAGACAAATACTGATTCAACTTATATAAGATATCTAAAATAGTTAAATTCACACACTCAAAGAGTGGAGTGCTATTTCCAGCAGCTGAGGGGAGGAAAGGGAGACTTACTAATCAATGGGCATAAAGTTTCGGCCAAACAAGATGAATAAACTCTAGAGATCTACTATACGATATTGTACCTAAGGTAAAAAAAATAATGTATTGTACATTTAAAACTTTGTTAAGAGGGTAGATTTTGGCTGGGCGCGGTGGTTCACAACTGTAATCTCAGCACTTTGGGAGGCTGAGGCAGGCAGATCACTTGAGGTCAGGAGTTCGAGACCAGCCTGGCCAATATGGCGAAACCCTGTCTCTACCAAAAATACAAAACAATTAGCTGGGTGTGGTGGCGTGCCCCTGTAGTCTCAGTTACTTGGGAGGATGAGGCAAGAGAACTGCTTGAACCTGGGAGGCAGAGGCTGCAGTGAGCCGAGATGGCACCACTGTACCCCAGCCTGGGTGACAGAGCAAGACATCGTCTCAAAAAACAAAACAAAAAACAAAACAAAAAACCAAAAAAAAAAAGGAGGGTAGATCTCATGTTAAATAGTTTTGCTACAATTTTTAAAAGTCCATATAGAATGTTATAGTATGTAAGCTTCATTTCAGACCTTGTGGTAGTTGCTGTTATGATAATTATTAATAATTTAAAATGGAAAGCACTCAGAATTAGAAGGCAAAGAAGAGGGGGCAAGGGAAGAAAAAAGAACTGACATTTACTGTGCTAAACATTTCAGATATTTACATACATTACTGCATTTAATCATTATAACCTGTGAGGCAGAAGATCATTATATGCATTTTGCAGATGAGAAAGTTCAGTTTCAGCAAATGAAGTGACTTGTCTTGAGTTTACAAAGCTAGCAGGGGGCACAGGCTAAATGAAGCTGGGATATAAGGACAATTAATGTTCTAAAGCAATAATGCTCTACTTAGAAATTCACTTCAATTTGGTGGGAATTTGGGAAAATAACAGATGTGGAAATATGTGATATGTAAACAATTTTTATAACTAAAAAGGAGCTAGAGGAAATAGGATAATATGACAAATTTCAAAATTTTAAAGGGAGTACTCAAATAGATTACATAATTTACTATATTGAAAAATGGTCTCGGCCAGGTGCGGTGGCTCATGCCTGTAATCCCAGGACTTTGGGAGGCTGAGGTGGGCAGATCACCTGAGGTCAGGAGTTCACGACCAGCCTGGCCAACATGGTGAAACCCCGCCTCTACTAATAGTACAAAAATTAGCCGGGTGTGGTGGCAGGCGCCTATAATCCCAGCTACTAGGGAGGCTGAGGCAGGAGAATCACTTGAACCCGGGAGGCAAAGGTTGTAGTGAGCCGAGATTGTGCCACTGCATTCCAGCCTGGGTGACAAGATGACACTCTGTCTCAAAAAAAAATGGTCTCTAAAATCAATTAAAATAAAATTTAAAGTGAACACACTGAGTAGCTGCAGCAGAAAATTTTCTGAGCTTTTCTCAGGAGTACTTGGTTATTCTTCCTTGGCCATTTGTAGGTCCTCCCTCCCCTTTGCCCATGTTTGCCATCCCCATCCAAACAGATGGTACAAACCTGGAACTCTCAGGCTTAAAAGCAGTGACATCCCTGTATACACGTATGTAATATACAATAACTCTATCCTTTTGTATATGTCCAATAGCATACTATATGGTCTTTATGCAAAGACTCTTTTATAACTGTGCAAGAGAAAGGGAAAGCATAAATTAAAATCTAGAAAATATATTATGTATTTTCAAAATCTACAGTATACCTACCTTTCAGGTCTTTAGAAGAGTTAAGATGAACTTTTTAAAGGCACCTCTGTGCAACCAAATACATTGTAAGGGAACAGGAATTCTTAAAAAGATGGTAATAATTTTTGTACTTCCTAATCTTTTATGTGTTTTTGATAGCCTTGTAAATTTGGAGCTCTATATTGGGGATTATGGTAAAATTATAGGAATTATTATAACCTCTAACTTCAAGGATCTTACAATTTAAAAATCTTATCCTAAGTATAGCCATATAGCTATATAACACAAAATTGTAAACATACTTTAATATCTTAATAAAATCCAAAATATTATACTCACATCTTTTAGCCCTTTCTTTTATAGCACTTCTATAGAAAAATTCATAACAAACATTTAATAAACATTTATTAAGCACCTCGAATGTGTCCAAGAATATGCCAGCCACTGTGGATTAGAGGTGAATAGGGCTGTCCCTACTTAAAAGGAAATTACTGCTGGAAAGGGAGGAGGATCTGAAAGCAGGTAAATGATATGGAATGTTAAGTGCCAGAATAAAGGTATGGACATATCCCCAAAACGATACACGATTAATTTACTCCCTACAAGTTAAACAATTTGAAAAAATAAACTAACTCAGAACAGTAAAATTAAGGGCAGTTAATGTTTATATTAATGTTGGCATGCTCATTTTATTTTAAGAGTTGATCATGAACTTTCCTGTATAGGTTTTTGTATATGAAAGTCTGTGCTATTTTTTCCTCGGGTTATTAATTTTATTACTAGTTTTACTGTGTATTCATTTGGCTTTATTTAATTTTTAGATAATCTAATATTGTTATACCCTTTTTAAAAATTTAGTTATTAATTTCAAAGCAGAATGCTTTTATTTCTTTGTGTGCTACAGGTAACTTCAAAACAATGCATCATATAGTTCCTGTTTATTACCCACAGGTGGGTAAGCCAAAATTAGCCTTTTTCTCTGAAATACAGAGATACCCTGTAAATGCAAATGCATCTCCAGAAAGTTCCTGAGAAGATTACACTAAAATTATTTAAGAGATGGGGTAGGTTCTTTCAAATATTTATGTGACTTTATCTTTTTGGTGGGGAGGAGACATCTTCACAGTAAACAAAGAGGAACAGAGGCCATCCAATCTGTCTCCTAGTTCTTTGTTCTCAATCCTTTTTGGCCAAACATAGAAAGAAAGAAAAAAAAAGTTCATTGTTGGTCTGCCCAAACACTCAGAAAGTTACGATGGGAAGGGGTGTTTCCAGAAGACTTCGGCGTTAGACTGGATACACCCACTGAGGTAAGGTAGGAGACTCCGAAAAGTCCCAGAGGCAGTAGGTAAAGATGTCTCAATGATCAGGGATTCTGTCAAAGGAGCCTGAGGCCTAGCTGATGATGACTAGTCCACCAGTGGGTGGGCGACTTCAGAGCATATGGTTGCAGAAAGTCCAGAGGCCTACAGAATTAGACTACTTTCACCACTTCTACAAACCAGATTTTTAAGCTGTTGTCTCTGAAGGAGGCAGAAGTTTCTCCTGATGAGGAAAAATTTGCTTTTTGGTTTAAAAAAGGTATTGCTTTGATGGAAAAATAAACCAGAGCTGGGGACAATGGTTCACGCCTATAATCTCAGCATTTTGGGAGGCTTAGGTGGGCAGATCATTTTAGTCCAGGAGTTCAAGACCAGCCTGGCCAACATGGAGAAACCCCTTCTCTACAAAAAAAAAAATACAAAAATTAGCTGGACATGGTGGTGCGTGCCTATAGTCCCAGCTACTTTGGAGGCTGAAGTGGGAGGGTCACTTGAGCCTGGGAGACAGAGGCTGCAATGAGCTGAGATCGCTCCACTGCACTCCAGCCTGGGCAACAGAGTGGGACCCCATCTCAATAAATTAAATAAATAAATACCCATACCAGAAAGTAATTTCATTTATATATAAAACATGAGACATCTGCCATATGCTGGGCAACACTGAATATAAAAACTCAAATGAGATAATCCTGATCTCAAATATTTTGCCACAAGCTAGCTGGGGAGTCAAATGTGATATAATTACTCTATAATGTGATAAATGCTATGGGCTTTAAAAACCAGATCCTAATACATCTTATAAATTTTGCATTAAACTTATTTTTTCATTTATAATCAATACAATGATTGCTCTATTGATCCTTCCAACCAAATAAGATTAGTGATCGCAATATACTAAAGGCCAATAATAGCATATTTCATTGAGAAAGTAAACAGAGCCAGGGGACATACTTTGGAATCGTTTTCCTTTTCCCAGAACTGCCTGCTGAAGGTCAAGTGGGCTTATCATGACACCCTCTTCGAAGGGTCCCATCGAGGGATGATGATTTAGAATTGCCTAGTACAGCCCACCTCAAGAAGCCCTGTGAACATTACTGCTGCACTGTCCTACCCCTATTCCCTGCAGAGTGGCTCAGGCTTGCTGGGATGCAGTCTTAGGAGAGAGAAGGTCTGTGGGTATGGAAAATGCTTTATTTGGGGAGAAGTGAAAGGATATGCAGGGAGTCCTCGTTTTGGTCTTGCCTCCTCTCCATTCACAATAAAACAGGAGCTATGTGAGACATTTACTGCTTATGTCCATTGTCATTATCACCAAACCATTGCCTACTTGTCCATAGCACCACAATAATTTCTTAAAGATTTACACAACTGTTATCAATTCCACAACAGTGTTCTTAAGTTTTGTTGCTTTGCCAAGCATTTTGAAAAATCTTGCTAGTATATCATCAAGGAAGAAAATAAAACAATAAAAATGTACACAGCCTCAGAAAACAATGTTGATGAATTCTATACATTGCCACGTGCATTGTTAGATCAATAGTGAGCTGTGGCCCATTCCACATATTCTGTAGCCCCAAGCAAAGCTCAAGTCACTAGGAGTACACTGATAAAACATCAAATAAATCACTCTACCCTCATTTTCCTAACTACGAACACTAAATACAGAACTAAATGCATTTTTTAAAATACAAACTACTATGTACTGCAAAGATAGGCTATCCTAAATGAAGCCAGCAAACCAAAAGGGTTCTGTGAGAACATAAGAATGTCCTGCCTCTGCCACCATCAAGTGAAGCCAATTATGTTCAATCCTGAGTCTTCAATTTTATCCTGTGAAAAAGCATTACATAAATTTTTAAATGCTTATTATTTCCTCAGGCAATACTTTCACCTTAGGTATGCCAAAATATTGTTTTAGTATATCAAAAGATTTAATACGTATTAAATGAGATTATCAGTTCTACCTCTCTTTAATAAAAGGTAATCAAATATATTACAGAGTTTCATCAAACTCTTGATACAGATTTTCAGGGCATGCCTTTTGCTAATTTTAGCAATTTAACATAAATCCAGGAGATAATCAAAATAAAGCTAGAAGGTCAGTAAAGTGTTAAAAACAAAATACTCAGCCTAAACACAAAGAACAGATTTTTAGTTTCTAGAAAATTGATTAAAGCTACCCCTTGCCTTAATTACTTTAAGGGAAAGAATGAGCTGGCATCAGCAGACGTGTCCCTACACTCTATATTTAATATTCAAGGTGGGGAGCCTGCTCAGAGGTAGAAATAAGCTTACGGTGCATCTTCCAAAAAGCTAAAGGTATGTGCCCCACACTCCTTTAGGGTTCTACACACTGGGGGCTGTGCCTGTATCCTATGTGGAGCCAGTGAAGCAACATCTGTCCAAAGACAGGGGAATGTTTTCCACCTCTTTTATAAATGTGTGCAATCTGTGCTCATGTATGTTTATACAAGCCTGCTTTCTCTACTGGGAGGAAAAAGTCAGACTCATTGACGTTGTTTTTGACCCTCAAACTGAACTTGATACTATCAATGTATACTTTAATTAAAGATTAGGTCAAACCTATTTTTTATTTAAAGGCTGATTCTGAACAAATGCCTTCACTGTTCAATTTTTTAAAATATGGTATTAAACAAACAAAAAAGTACACATTATTGCTTCTTTCTGTGTTTGTCACAGTAAATACTTCTGACAGATGTTTCCTCTCTTTGCAAACATGCTAGGAGGTGCCTGAGCCTTAGTAATTTTAAAATAGACATTAAATGCATTTATATATTGCATATAAAATCCACCGAGAATACTGTGTAGCACCATACAATGAAAAACTAATTGTTACTTGATTATTTAACTATCTTTCAAACCCAAGCAATGTTAATAGAGTCAATCCATCTCTTTTGTTAATGTAAAAATAGTAACTTTCTAGCTGGGTAAAAATGCCCTTAATTTCAGATACCTTTAAGGAATACAAATCACTGGGACCCATAATTCACAGGAAATATTCACTGTATATTATTTAGCTATTTATAAAATACCTAGTACCCTTTGTTAGAATATGGAAGCATTAGGTTTCTTTGAATTAAAAAGTGAACTCGAATAACAGTTAAAACAACTTTCCTTCACCACTGTTAAGGTTATATTTGAACAGTTGTAACAACAGATCTATGTGCTTAGGGAAGAATTTTTAAAACTCAGATATTTTTAGTCACAAAACTCTGGAATGATGTTATATAAACTCACTTGCAAATTTTGCTTTGTTAAACATAACGGTCTATTTAATTTTATATGCAAAATAAGCTTATGTGTATCAGTAATGTAGGTATAATGCTAATATTTGGATTTGCAGTTCTCAAAGAACCATTTTGAAATTATGGTAGTCCCCCCTCTTTCCCAAAAAAAGCACAATAGTGGTAAGCAACAGTGTTTTTAGGCTGGGTGAGGTGGCTCATGCCTATAATTCCAGCACTTTGGGAAGCTAAGGAAGGAGAGAGGATTGCTTGAGTCCAGGAGTTCGAAACCAGCCTAGGCAACACAATGAGACCTCATCTCCATAAGAAAAAAAAATTCAGGTGTAGTAGCTTGTCTCTGTAGTCCCAGCTACTCGGGAGGCTAAGGTGAGAGGATTGCTTGAGCCCAGGAGGTTAAGGCTGCAGTGAGCCGCGATTGTGCCACTGCACTCCAGACTGAGCGACAGAGCAAGACCTTGTCTCAAAAATCAAAAACTTTTTTTAGTTAAAACAGACTAGTTTTAGTTAAAACAAGCTAGTTTTTGTGACTTCTGATCTCAACTCTGTCAATGGTTTACTCTGTGAACAAGAGTTATATAAGATCTAATTCAAAAGAATTATATTATTTTCCATTTTAAAATGCCTATATTTTGAAAGCTGAATCTTCATTATCCAAACAATTTTTTTTTTTTGGAGACGGAGTCTCGCTCTGTCACCCAGGCTGGAGTGCAGTGGCGTGATCTTGGCTCACTGCAAGCTCTGCCTCCCGGGTTCATGCCATTCTCCTGCCTCAGCCTCCCGAGTAGCTCGGACTACAGGCGCCTGCCACCACGCCCGGCCAGTTTTTTGTGTTTTTAGTAGAGATGGGATTTCACCGTGTTAGCCAGGATGGTCTTGATCTCCTGATCTCGTGATCCACCCGTCTCGGCCTCCCAAAGTGGGGGGATTACAGGCGTGAACCACCGCACCCAGCCTATCCAAACAAATTTTAAAAGACAACGGAACTCTTTTAAGAATACTATAAGCCCCATTTTATAGATGGGAAAATGAGGCTTGAAGAGGTACAATCAGAAGGACCCAACGTCACACAGTTGCCATGAGCAGGGCTAGGACTTGAACACAGCTCACTGACTCCAATAGCCAACCTCTCAAGTACTCTGCTGGGGACTCTCAAAGAAAACCACCCTTAGGAACAGGAAGGGATAATAAGTGAGAACAGGTGAGGGGGTGACTAAGGTGAACTGGTAAGCACATGCCCAACTAAAGGCAACTGTAGCTATTCAGCTCCACAATGGTGTGGCCAGATGGACATGCATCGCACTAGCTGGCAAGTGAGATATCTCGATTATGAAATCATCTGATTTTTAAATATTTAACTTTTTCTTAAAAAATAACATGTACTAGAATGGATAAAAAGAAAAAACAAAAGCTGGTAATGCTGGCTAGGATAGGGAGCAACTGGAACTCTTGTGTACTACTGGCTGGAATGCAAAAATAGTACAGACACTTTGGACAGTAGTTTGACATATTCTTTTATTATGTATTTATCTTTTGAGAGACAGGGTCTCATTTTGTTGCCCAGGCTGGAATGCAGTGGCTCAAACACAGCTCACTGCAGCCTCAACCTTCTGTGTTCAAGCAATCCTCCTGCCCCAGCTTTCTGAGTAGCTGAGACTACAGGCATGTTCCACCACGCCCATCTAATTTTTTAAATTTTTTTGTACAGACCGGGTCTCACTATACTGTCCAGGCTGGTCTCAAACTCTTATACTTAAGCAATCCTCCTGCCTCAGCCTCCCAAAGTGCTGGGGTTGCAGATGCGAACCACTGTATCCAGCCAGTTTGACATATTCTTATAACGTTAAGCTGGGCGTGGTGGTACGTGCCTGTAGTCCCAGCTACTTGGGAGGCTAGGGTGGAAGGATCACTTGGAGGATCACTTGATCCCCGGAGTTCAAGCCTGCAGTGAGCTATGATCACACCACTGCACTCCAGCCTGGGCGACAGAATGAGAGCCTCCAAAAAAAAAAAAAGAAAAAAGAAGGTAAACATACATTTAACACTTCTAGCAGCTAGTGGTTCACTCCTGGTTATTTTCCCAAGTTAAATGAAAACGTATACTCACAAAAACCTGTACCTGAACATTTATAATATTATTCATAATCACCAAAAACTGGGAACAATCCAAAGGTTTTCTTTTTTTTTTTTTTTTTTGAGACGGAGTCTCACTCTGTCGCCCAGGCTGGAGTGCAGTGGCGCAATCTTGACTCACTGCAGTTCCAAAGGTTTTCATCTGAGGAATGGATAAACAAACTGTGGTACATCTACACAATGGAATACTATTCAGCAATACAAAGGAATGAACTAGTGATACACTCAACAACATGGATCTCAAAAGCATTATGCTAAGTGAAAGAAACCAGACTCAAAAGGCTACATACTATATAATATGCTTCTATTTGTATGACTTTCTGGCAAAGGCAAACTACAGAGCCAGAAAACAGATCAGTAGTTGCCAGAAACTGGAGGTGGGAGAAAGGGTTGACTGCAAAGGGTCAGCACAAGATAATTTTGGAGAATGAGAGTAATGTTCTGTATCTTTATTGCATTGATGGTTATAAGACATATGTTTATGAAAGCTTGCTGAGCTGGGTGAATTTACACTGAAAAGGGTGAACTTAACTATGTAAATTACAATTTAAACAATGAGAGAAATAGTTGAAATGTGAAAAAAGTACCAATTAATCTACTGTTTTATATACATATAAAACATTTATATATAAAAACAATATGGAATAAATTGATATGTATGATTATTTTGCATTATAAGGACAATCTGGGTGCAAAATATAAGAAGCCCCAGACACCTCAAATTTGCCTCATCTTAGACCTGGTCCACCTTCCCTCTAATATTATTTCCATACCTCTCACAAATCATAGATTTTTCACATTCTTCGCTACACCAAGAGGAAAATCTTTGTTTCTGCTTCCTTTTTAAAGCCCGACAAGATTCACACTGTTTGGTGATTAATCATTAGCCTTTAATATTGTTATTGTGTCCTAGATTCTGTATGTTTGCTACCTTTTAGGGATACTTTCATTTTTTTAATTTAATGCTTTTTTTTCCCTCTCTATAAATACAGGAATCTCTCTTTGAAGCAATCTGAAAGCTTGCTGACAAAAAATGATGTGCATGAACCTCACCTCTTCCATAACCCAGAAGAAAAAGAAAATTTGTTTGTGGAAAATGAGTAAATTCAGCCTCAAGTGACAGGAAACGTTTGATTTTGTTTTTAACCTTATATGACTAGGCAACAATATCTTTTGTGGGTTTGTAGCTTTATGGTATCTCATAATATAAGGAAAAACTTTTAAGTTATTGTTTGATTTGCTGCTTTATAGAATCTGAAACATTGCTTTCCACCTGTGAATTCAGGGATCTAGTTGCTTTATTCCTCATTACATACAATTTACTGGGAAAATATGTACTTTTTCATTCAGCAATAGAAGTCCCTTGGACGTTGCGATCACAGCTCACTGCAGCCTTAACCTCCTGGGCTCACGAGATCTTCCCGTCTCAGCCTTCGGGGTAGCTGGGACTACACATATAAGCCACTGCACTGGGCCCCTTTTTGAATCAATAGAATATCGGTGTACTTCTTTCTAAAGTGTAAATCTAATTACAGTTATTGGGTGGGAATTGAGATGAAAGTCTAAGTACCATTCTGACTCACTAATGTACTTAATTTGTGGGCCAGTACATCCAAATAGTGCCACCAGGACTGCTGACGGCTTGGTTACAGTAGTTCCAACATAGAAATCTACTGGAAAGTATGAAGTGATGGTGCATATACAAGAGCGCCATTTCTGTAGTGACATTTTAAATTTGATATTCCGTTTGACCCCAAAGAATATAAGAAAATATCCTGCTCTTGGCTTGAGCCCGAGAGTTGGAGGCTGAGGTGAGCCGAGATGGCACCACTGCACTCCAGCCTGGGCGACAGAGACCCTGTCTCAAACACAAAAACAGAAAATGTCCTACTCGGAGAACTGCAGGCATTGTTTCGAGTGTGTTCTAATTATGTTGCTGAAAAGTACTTAGATTTCACCTACGAAGGCGACGGGTCCAGGACCTGCAGAAACCGCTGCGGTTTGGGGCGGTCGGGGACCCACGGCTTCCTGGGGCGGCTCTGAACAGGCCTTGGGGCGCAGCGTCCGCTTTCTAAAGAAGCCTGGGATCGGGTCCTGCCTCGCTGCAAGTCACGCTTCCCGTGAGTCCACAAGTGCAAAACCAGAAAAGAATGTTTCGCCCAAATAATTAAAGAGCGGTGGCCCCCGCGGGGGCAGCGGAGGCGGTCAGCAGGGTCCCCGTCCCCGGGGAGAAGTGCCCACGATCCAAGGGCTGTCTGCTCTAGGAACTTCTTAAAGAATTACAGACACTGAGAGCATTCGGGGTCTGGTAGGAAGTGCAGTGTATCTCCCAGCTTTAGGGTAACTAGGACAGCATGAATCTTTTACCTTGTGGTAGAATAAACGGCTAGCGCCTCGATGTGGCGCGCTCGACTTTTCCTCACAGAGCCTAAAAGTCACGCTCAACCAAACTGCAGCGTTCCCGCCTCAGCTGGGCACCGGCCTGGAAGCGGCCTGGAATCAGACTGGACTCGAGGAGGTAAGACCTCGGCAGCGCGAGGTTAACCACAGGCCTCACCCGCGGCCTCCAGCCCGGCCCCACCGCAGCCGGCGGCAGACACCCCAAACTCTCCACACGCCGCCCTCAGCGAGGCGCCTCGGGGAAAGCAGCGTGAGGCAGTGAGCCGAGGGGCGGGGCCAGGAGGACGCCCCGCCCCCGAGCCCGCCCCGCCGGAGGGTTTGATTAATGACCCTCTAAGCCGCCTCAGCCCCCGGCGTAGCCTCTCCGGTGGGCCAGGTCCTCCGCCCGACCTGCCTTAGCCGGTCGGAGCACACACGCCTGGCCGCGGGGCGCCCGCATAAAAGTCACAGCCAGCGGAGGTTGGAAACAGCCGTCGACTTGGGCATCGGCCGGACGAGGATGGAGTGACCAGCGCGGCCCTGGCCACACAGGCCCTGCTCCACGCCCCTCGCCCGCCCTCACGACGGAGCGGAGCTCCACTCAGCCGCTCCAGGAAAGGTGAGGGGCCCGTCAGACGCGTACTGCGCAGCTCTCGGGCTCGGAACGGTGGCGGGTGCCGTACCCCGAGGTGAGGCTAAGGGTCCCCCGCTCCTCGGGCAGAAATCCCCCCTGGCGTGAAAGGCCGAGGGCGGCTGGTGAGCCGTGGTTTTCCGCGGCGTCGGCGAGAAGGAGCCGCGCCACCTCTCGTGCGTGCCGGGTTGGATAAAGTCACCCAAGCGCGAACGAGTGCTGATCCTGAGCTGTGCTTCCGAGATCTTTCTTCCCGGGTAGAGTAGACCTTTTGCTTAATTTGCCCCTGAAAAGCAAAGCCGGCACTGCGCCTCTTCTTATCCTTCTAGGAAGCCCAAGAACTCCGGAGTTCCGCAACTCTCCCCAGACGTCCGGAAGCAAATCGCGTCCCAGGCAAAACGAGCTCGCTTGAGAGCGCCCTTAGCCCCGTTGGGCTGCTGGTGGGCGCACGGGGAGAACCAGGGGGCTGCGCCTCTCGGGTTAAGCCCGACCGCCCCCCGGCCTCACCGCACCTTCGGTCCTTTGCAGCGCGCGCGGCGCGGGAAGCTGCCATGGACCGCGGCCGCCCAGCGGGCAGCCCCCTCAGCGCCAGCGCCGAGCCCGCGCCCCTGGCCGCCGCCATCCGCGACTCGCGTCCCGGGCGGACCGGGCCGGGGCCGGCGGGCCCTGGGGGCGGCTCGCGTTCCGGGAGCGGGCGGCCGGCGGCGGCGAATGCGGCGCGGGAGCGCAGCCGGGTGCAGACCCTGCGGCACGCTTTCCTGGAGCTGCAGCGCACGCTGCCGTCCGTGCCGCCCGACACCAAGCTGTCCAAGCTGGACGTGCTGCTGCTGGCCACCACCTACATCGCGCATCTCACCCGCAGCCTGCAGGACGACGCCGAGGCGCCGGCGGACGCCGGGTTGGGCGCCCTGCGCGGCGATGGCTACCTGCACCCGGTCAAGGTAAGCGGGCGGGGCGCACCGCGGGGCTGGGGCCGAGACCAGGACACCTTGATCTGCCCTGCCAGTCACCGTCTTGGGTAGATGCTCTAATTCCTTTTCGGGTGAGGCGGGAAGCCGACCGGGAGAACGACCTCGGCCCGCGAGGGTACTGGTGGCAAGGTCCCCGCCGCGAAAGCCGGCTCCTTCGCGGTTCACAGGTGGCTGGAGAGGCGTTTAAAGCCGGGGTGGCTTGGTAAGAGTCTCGCAAGCCTCTTACAGGATGCCTCCGAAGGATTTTTGTGCCTACCAAGGTGAGAAATGGGGGCTTGGTTGCACATCCTGATAATGTTTAATATCTGAGTTATATGTATGACCCTCTGAGAGTTTTTAAGCATCTTTTATTTACATAATTACGCTTTCATTGATTTTTATGGGATATTTGAAAGATTTCACTGGAGTAATGGCCCTAAGTGATTCTAGGAAAACACTGTTGAAATTTTTTGGTAAAACTAATAAGAACAAATGAGACCATTCTGCATCTCTATGGAGTAAAATTTGTCCGTTTAAATAAAGGTTAAATATCATAGACTTGACAGCTACCAAAAGTGTTAGAAAAAACTAGTGTTTTTAAATACGTTCGTAATAGATTGGCATGTATGTTGAGTGAATTGATTACTAAATTCAAAGTCTCATGTACAAAATTAGACAAGAGAATCCATTTTGCGTAATTTCTTTACATATTGGTAAAATGGTCACAGTTTTCACTTAACATGGTATATATGATTATGCTTCGTTACCTACTGCAGTATTCAGTTTTTGCATCATCCTCCTCTTCTAGATTTGATTGTTTTGAAACCTTACACTGATTTTTCTGTTCCAAATGCATCATCTCATTACTTGCTAAACCTAAATTTTCAGTTTTGGCTCCACCACCCTGAAATATTTGGCCACACGCGCGCACACACACACACACACACAAATGCAAAGTTAAGACTTAAGACTTAGCTTTAAGTATATCAGTGTTCAATAAATTATTTAATATGGTAAAGCACACCCTCTGATATTAACTGAACTTACAATTCTGTGATAAGTTTTAACAAAATTTACTTTGCAAATATAATCATAATGATAGACTTAAATGATTTCAATATTAAATATGAAGACATGAAATATCATTATAATTACGATAGACTTTATTTCATTTGTAAGTTTTATAATCTCAGCAGAAAAGTCATTATTAAGGGGTTTTGTATTACCGTGTTCATTAGATTGCTATTCGAATATACCATTAATATTAAATTTCTTTTGACTTGACATTTGCCATATACTCTAAGGAAGTTTATTTTAATGTGAAGTAGATTGTAATACAAAGAGCATCTGTTAAATACTTTATGGGAGATATAATTCAGAATGAGAAGTCAGGATGCTTTTCAACTTATTTTCTTGGAATGCTTTTTTTGAATGAATAATGTTGGAAGCATCATTTCCATGTAATAATAAGCATAGCAAGCGTCTTTTTGCACTTGATTCATGTACCAAATGTTTTTGTAATCATAACTGTTTTTATTTGTAAATATTGATTGTTTTTATTTTAAAAGACAACTCTAGAGATAATGATCCAAAGCCAAGGATTATTTTTTTAAATGAAATTAATGTTGCTTGAACAAGTGACTAAAATCAAGCATGTTTTAAAATCAAACATTTATTGAATTCCTACTATGTGCAAAGCACTATTTTAGGGGAGTGAACACAATTAATAAGACTCAGTCCCTTTCCTATATGAACATATTATTGAGACAAAGACAAAGAAACAAATAACAGTGTTGGAAGTGAGAATGTTATATTTTCCATAAAAGAACTATAATTATGTGCTACGGAAGTTCAGAGGAAAGAGATGTTATGTACATAATTGAAACCGCCTGTTAACTGTTAACACATTATTTTACAGACACTACCAAAATGTTTAAACATTGTCTACCTTTGATTAATGCGAAAGAAATTAAAATATCCTAACTATTTATACTTTTATGGTCAACTAAAGGCTCATTATAAACTATTGTTTGTAAAAAGTGTTCTAAAATGACTTCATTTTTCTGCCTTACAACATAGTGTTAGGTCTTACCCTGATGATCAAAGCTTTTTAACAAATATTTCAAGGCCATTATTTTGAATCATCAGTCCTTATTATCAGTATTGTTAGCACATTACCACTGTTGGGGATTTACTTTAAGAGCATTTCATAGCAAGACTTCCTCTCTACTAAGAATTTTAAAAATTAGGTGGCTGTGGTGTGTGCACCTGTAGTCCCAGCTACTGGGGAGGCTTATGCGAGAGGACTGCTTGAGCCCAAGAGATTGTGGCTACATTGCACCACTGCATGCCTGGGCAACTGAGCAAGACCCTGTCTCAAAAAAGAAAACAAACATCTCAAATGAAACTGGAAGTTTAAGAGACTGGGAACCTGGTGCATAGCCTGAAATGGCAGTTTTTAATCCCTGTGGGGTATGAGCAATTTATTTCCATCAGCATCAGCTGCCCAAAAGGCAGTGATTCGCTAAGAAACAGGAGTGTATTTCAGATCTCTACATTGGCAGAAAAACACAGATGACTTTATTATTGTGCCCCTTATTTAATAATCATTGTCTATGATAGGTAAACAATAATTGAAAAAAATAGATAACAGGGTTTTGTTACTTTTGAGTCACTTAATTAAGTGCTTTTTTGTTGTTGTTGTTTGAGATGGAGTCTCTCTCTGTCACCCAAGCTAGAGTGCAGTGGTGCGATCTCAGCTCACTGCAACCTCCGTCTCCCATGTTCAAGTGATTCCCCTGCCTCAGCTTCCCGAGTAGCTGGGACTATAGGCGTGCAATACCACACCTGGCTAATTTTTGTATTTAGTAGACATGGAGTTTCACCATGTTGGCCAGGATGGTCTTGATCTCCTGACCTCATGATCCACCCACCTCAGCCTCCCAAGAGCTGGGATTTTTAAGGTCTTCAGTTTCAGGTTCAGTTCTAGTTAATTATGAGTTTGCTAAATTTTCTAAGCTTAATGAAACTACAGTAAATGGTTTTAAAGATACCCTATGAGGGAAAGTAGAGCTAAGTAAGGATTGTGTTAATCTGCACAATCCTGAAACAAACTGTTGAAAAGAAAATGTAAATCAGTCAACTGGCTTTTTTGGCATCCTGATGACATGCAACCTAACCAATATTCTATGTACATTTTAATTTCAGACTCTTAAAACTGTGTGTCTACATTAAATTAAGTTCAATAAAATCATTACAAGCCTTTTTGAAAATCAAGGACACAATATTCTTAAAAAAGAATATTTATTTTATTAATCCATGAAAAAGGAGGCACAATTTCACATATACAATTTTAGGTTTGCTTCGTTAATTTTATCCTAGCAAGGATGAAATAGACGCCTTCATTTGTCTCCACACTTGGCTGAATGATTTAGAGCAATTCTTTTTTTTTTTTTTTTTTTTTTTTTTTTTAGCAATTCTTAACACAGTGGGACCTGGATAGCATGTAAGAGGACCACCAGTAGAGCATTCAGTAGTATTTTAATTTTATTTGCTTTCAAGTGTATTTAGTTCATATAATTCTCAATTTACATTTGACATTTGAGCATGAGATTTTTATGCTTATGAAAATGGGGCAGGTAAAAGGTTTCAAAGCACTGGTATATAATGTAGCCACAAATTATGCACTTAAAGTTGATATCTGTGCTACACTATTCACTATATGTATTAGTCTGCCATAACAAAATACCACAGACTGGCTCTTTTAAACAACAGAAATTTATTTTCCCACAGTCTGGAGACTGGAAAATCCAAAATCAAGATGCAGGGTTTAGTTCCTCGGAAGGGCTATCTTGCTAGCTTGTAGATGGCCCACTTCTCTCTGTGTTCTCACTTGGCCTCTACATGTACACAGAGAGAGAGAGATTCCTCTTTTTTTTTTTTTTTTTTTGATATGGAGTTTCACTCTTATTGCCTAAGCTGGAGTGCAGTGGTGTGATCTCGGCTCACTGCAACCTCCGCCTCCTGGGTTCAAGCAATTCTTCTGCCTCAGCCTCCCAAGTAGCTGGGATTATGGATGCCCACCACCACGCCCAGCTAATATTTGTATTTTTGGTAGAGACAGGGTTTCACCGTGCTGGCCAGGCTGGTCTTAAATTCCTGACCTCAGGTGATCCACCCACCTCGGCCTCCCAAAGTACTGGGATTACATGAGCCACTGCATCCAGCCTTTTTTTTTTTTTTTTTTTTTTTTTTTGAGACGGAGTCTTGCTCTGTCGTCAGGCTAGAGTGTAGTGGTGCGATCTGGACTTACTGCAACCTCCGCCTCCTGGGTTGAAGCGATTCCCATGTTGCCCAGGATGGTTTTGATCTCTTGACCTTGTAATCTGCCCGCCTCAGTCTCCTAAAGTGCTGGGCTTACAGGCATGAGCCACTGCCCCCGGCCCGATTCTCCTCTTCTTAAATGGGTATTAGTCCCTCATGAGCTAATCTAACTCTTTTTACCTCCCAAAGGCCTGGTCTTTAAATCCCATCACCTTAGAGGTAAGAGCTTCAACATGTACATTTTGGAAGGACACAAACATTCAGTCTGTAACACTACAGCACTGGGGTCTTCAGCATAATGAAGGACTTTAATCTGATATAACAATGCCAGATCTTGATATATCAGATAAACCTCACTCCAGTTTCTAAAACATATTAGTTTGGCTGGGCGTGGTGGCTTACACTGTAATCCCAGCACTTTGGAAGGCTGAGGCGGGCGGGTCACTTGCGGTCAGGAGTTCGGGACCAGCCTGGCCAACATGGCAAAACCCCATCTCTACTAAAAATACAAAAATTAGCCGGGCATGGTGGCACATGCCTGTAATCCCAGCTACTTGGGAGGCTCAGGCAGGAGAATCACTTGAACCCAGGAGGTGGAGGTTGCAGTGAGCCAAGATCTGCCACTGCACTCCAGCCTGGGTGACAGAGCAAGACTCTGTCTCAAAAAAAATAAAAATAAAAAACACATTAGTTTATCTTTGGCAAAGATCCCAGGAACAGGACCACTGACAATGATACACCTAGAATGTATAGGAATGCATATGTATTATTTTTAAAAATTGAGTCCAGGCATGGTGGCTCACCACCTGTAATCCCAGCACTTTGGGAGGCTGAGGCAGGAGGCTCACTTGAGCCCAGGAGTTCAAGACCACCCTTGAACTCAAAGCAACATAGTGAGACTCTGCCTCTGTAAAAACAAACAAACAAACAAACAAACAAGTTTTTAATTAGCCCAGCGTGGTAGCACGCACCTGTAGTCCTAACTCAGGAAGCTGAGGCAGGAAGATTGCATGAACCCAGCAGGTTTAAGCTGCAGTGAGCCATGATCACACCACTACCACTCCAGCCTGTGCAGCAGAATGAGACCCTGTCTCATAAAAAAAAATAATAATAAAATAAATTTAAAAAAATAAAAATTAGGACTTTGGTTGGTTGCCACAGAACAAAACTTTCCAGATAGTATCACATGCCCACTTATTCTTTATGGCTATGTTTTACATTTGGAGTCCCAGTTTAGGTGAAAATAACTGTGCTCACAAGTGCAATGAGAGTTTATATTATTCCATCTAAGATCTAACTCTGCTTACATTCTATTAACTCTGTAACAGAAGTAATAGTCCATTCTGACTTAATTGGTCTGGGGTGTGACTTTGCCATCAGTATTTATTTAAAGCTCTCTGGGTGAGTCTAATATTAGCAACTTGGGTTGTGAACCCAGAGCTCTTAATGTTCTTTGGCATGTTAATAATTGTACCTCTATTTGAGCACTGTGGATTATCTACCAGGCATTTAAAAACATTTTATGGTGCTATGTAACTAGCAGTTGGCCTGTGTGTGTTCCGTGATGAAGATAAGTAGCCTGCTTACATAAGGCAGCACTTGCTCCCTGGAGAGTGTGGGACCAGATTGCTGACCTTTAGGAGTTGTATTTTTTTTTTTTTTAGTCCCTCTCTGTAGTAAAAAAAAACAAAAGTAGTATTCCAAGGATCTTAGAACTTAACTGATTATATGACACCTGCCTCCCTCCCAAAAGAGTTTTATTCTGAAAGAACTACTCATGTAATATGTTTTTTCATCATTATGTCTGTCTGGCAATAAATTATATTGTTTGAGAGATTGCCCACCATAAAGATGAATTTAGAAAAATCACCATCAGTAATTCAAATGTGATGATTACCAAAAGGTTAGAGCTAGATGATGTCGAGGGGAGGAGCCAAGATGGCCGAATAGGAACAGCTCCGGTATACAGCTCCCAGCGTGAGCGACGCAGAAGACGGGTGATTTCTGCATTCCCATCTGAGGTACCGGGTTCATCTCACTAGGCAGTGCCAGACAGTGGGCGCAGGTCAGTGGGTGCGCGCACCGTGTGCGAGCCAAGGCAGGGCGAGGCATTGCCTCACTTGGGAAGCGCAAGGGGTCAGGGAGTTCCCTTTCCGAGTCAAAGAAAGGGATGACGGACGCACCTGGAAAATTGGGTCACTCCCACCCGAATATTGCGCTTTTCGGACCGGCTTAAAAAACGGCACACCACGAGATTATATCCCGCACCTGGCTCGGAGGGTCCTACGCCCACGGAGTCTCACTGATTGCTAGCACAGCAGTCTGAGATCAAACTGCAAGGCGGCAGCGAGGCTGGGGGAGGGGCGCCCGCCATTGCCCAGGCTTGCTTAGGTAAACAAAGCAGCCTGGAAGCTCGAACTGGGTGGAGCCCACCACAGCTCAAGGAGGCCTGCCTGCCTCTGTAGGCTCCACCTCTGGGGGCAGGGCACAGACAAACAAAAAGACAGCAGTAACCTCTGCAGACTCAAATGTCCCTGTCTGACAGCTTTGAAGAGAGCAGTGGTTCTCCCAGCACGCAGCTGGAGATCTGAGAACGGGCAGACTGCCTCCTCAAGTGGGTCCCTGACCCCTGACCCCCGAGCAGCCTAACTGGGAGGCACCCCCGAGCAGGGGCACACTGACACCTCACACGGCAGGGTATTCCAACAGACCTGCAGCTGAGGGTCCTGTCTGTTAGAAGGAAAACTAACAAACAGAAAGGACATCCACACCAAAAACCCATCTGTACATCACATCATCAAAGACCAAAAGTAGATAAAACCACAAAGATGGGGAAAAACAGAACAGAAATACTGGAAACTCTAAAATGCAGAGCACCTCTCCTCCTCCAAAGGAACGCAGTTCCTCACCAGCAACGGAACAAAGCTGGATGGAGAATGACTTTGACGAGCTGAGAGAAGAAGGCTTCAGACGATCAAATTATTCCGAGCTATGGGAGGACATTCAAACCAAAGGCAAAGAAGTTGAAAACTTTGAAAAAAATTTAGAAGAATGTATAACTAGAATAACCAATACAGAGAAGTGCTTAAAGGAGCTGATGGAGCTGAAAACCAAGGCTCGAGAACTACGTGAAGAATGCAGAAGCCTCAGGAGCCAATGCGATCAACTGGAAGAAAGGGTATCAGCAATGGAAGATGAAATGAATGAAATGAAGCGAGAAGGGAAGTTTAGAGAAAAAAGAATAAAAAGAACTGAGCAAAGCCTCCAAGAAATATGGGACTATGTGAAAAGACCAAATCTATGTCTGATTGGTGTACCTGAAAGTGACGGGGAGAATGGAACCAAGTTGGAAAACACTCTGCAGGATATTATCCAGGAGAACTTCCCCAATCTAGCAAGACAGGCCAACATTCAGATTCAGGAAATACAGAGAACGCCACAAAGATACTCCTCGAGAAGAGCAACTCCAAGACACATAATTGTCAGATTCACCAAAGTTGAAATGAAGGAAAAAATGTTAAGGGCAGCCAGAGAGAAAGGTCGGGTTACCCTCAAAGGGAAGCCCATCAGACTAACAGCGGATCTCTCGGCAGAAACCTTACAAGCCAGAAGAGAGTGGGGGCCAATATTCAACATTCTTAAAGAAAAGAATTTTCAACCCAGAATTTCATATCCAGCCAAACTAAGCTTCATAAGTGAAGGAGAAATAAAATACTTTACAGACAAGCAAATGCTGAGAGATTTTGTCACCACCAGGCCCGCCCTAAAAGAGCTCCTGAAGGAAGCGCTAAACATGGAAAGGAACAACCGGTACCAGCCGCTGCAAAATCATGTCAAAATGTAAAGATCATCGAGACTAGGAAGAAACTGCATCAACTAACGAGCAAAATCACCAGCTAACATCATAATGACAGGATCAAATTCACACATAACAATATTAACTTTAAATGTAAATGGACTAAATGCTCCAATTAAAAGACACAGACTGGCAAATTGGATAAAGAGTCAAGACCCATCAGTGTGCTGTATTCAGGAAACCCATCTCACGTGCAGAGACACACATAGGCTCAAAATAAAAGGATGGAGGAAGATCTACCAAGCAAATGGAAAACAAAAAAAGGCAGGGGTTGCAATCCTAGTCTCTGATAAAACAGACTTTAAACCAACAAAGATCAAAAGAGACAAAGAAGGCCATTACATAATGGTAAAGGGATCAATTCAACAAGAAGAGCTAACTATCCTAAATATATATGCGCCCAATACAGGAGCACCTAGATTCATAAAGCAAGTCCTGAGTGACCTACAAAGAGACTTAGACTCCCACACATTAATAATGGGAGACTTTAACACCCCACTGTCAACATTAGACAGATCAACGAGACAGAAAGTCAACAAGGATACCCAGGAATTGAACTCAGCTCTGCTCCAAGCGGACCTAATAGACATCTACAGAACTCTCCACCCCAAATCAACAGAATATGCATTTTTTTCAGCACCACACCACACCTATTCCAAAATTGACCACATACTTGGAAGTAAAGCTCTCCTCAGCAAATGTAAAAGAACAGAGATTATAACAAACTATCTCTCAGACCACAGTGCAATCAAACTAGAACTCAGGATTAAGAATCTCACTCAAAACCGCTCAACTACATGGAAACTGAACAACCTGCTCCTGAATGACTACTGGATACATAACGAAATGAAGGCAGAAATAAAGATGTTCTTTGAAACCAACGAGAACAAAGACACAACATACCAGAATCTCTGGGACGCATTCAAAGCAGTGTGTAGAGGGAAATTTATAGCACTAAATGCCCACAAGAGAAAGCAGGAAAGATCCAAAATTGACATCCTAACATCACAATTAAAAGAACTAGAAAAGCAAGAGCAAACACATTCAAAAGCTAGCAGAAGGCAAGAAATAACTAAAATCAGAGCAGAAATGAAGGAAATAGAGACACAAAAAACCCTTCAAAAAATTAATGAATCCAGGAGCTGGTTTTTTGAAAGGATCAACAAAATTGATAGACTGCTAGCAAGACTAATAAAGAAAAAAAGAGAGAAGAATCAAATAGACACAATAAAAAATGATAAAGGGGATATCACCACCGATCCCACAGAAATACAAACTACCATCAGAGAATACTACAAACACCTCTACGCAAATAAACTAGAAAATCTAGAAGAAATGGATAAATTCCTTGACACATACACTCTCCCAAGACTAAACCAGGAAGAAGTTGAATCTCTGAATAGACCAATAACAGGAGCTGAAAGTGTGGCAATAATCAATAGTTTACCAACCAAAAAGAGTCCAGGACCAGATGGATTCACAGCCGAATTCTACCAGAGGTACAAGGAGGAACTGGTACCATTCCTTCTGAAACTATTCTACTCAACAGAAAAAGAGGGAATCCTCCCTAACTCATTTTATGAGGCCAGCATCATTCTGATACCAAAGCCGGGCAGAGACACAACCAAAAAAGAGAATTTTAGAAGCCAATATCCTTGATGAACATTGATGCAAAAATCCTCAATAAAATACTGGCAAAACGAATCCAGCAGCACATCAAAAAGCTTATCCACCATGATCAAGTGGGCTTCATCCCTGGGATGCAAGGCTGGTTCAATATACGCAAATCAATAAATGTAATCCAGCATATAAACAGAGCCAAAGACAAAAACCACATGATTATCTCAATAGATGCAGAAAAGGCCTTTGACAAAATTCAACAACCCTTCATGCTAAAAACTCTCAATAAATTAGGTCTTGATGGGACATATTTCAAAATAATAAGAGCTATCTATGACAAACCCACAGCCAATATCATACTGAATGGGCAAAAACTGGAAGCATTCCCTTTGAAAACTGGCACAAGACAGGGATGCCCTCTCTCACCACTCCTATTCAACATAGTGTTGGAAGTTCTGGCCAGGGCAATTAGGCAGGAGAAGGAAATAAAGGGTATTCAATTAGGAAAAGAGGAAGTCAAATTGTCCCTGTTTGCAGACGACATGATTGTATATCTAGAAAATCCCATTGTCTCAGCCCAAAATCTCCTTAAGCTGATAAGCAACTTCAGCAAAGTCTCAGGATACAAAATCAATGTACAAAAATCACAAGCATTCTTATACACCAACAGCAGACAAACAGAGAGCCAAATCATGAGTGAACTCCCATTCACAATTGCTTCAAAGAGAATAAAATACCTAGGAATCCAACTTACAAGGGATGTGAAGGACCTCTTCAAGGAGAACTACAAACCACTGCTCAATGAAATAAAAGAGGATACAAACAAATGGAAGAACATTCCATGCTCATGGGTAGGAAGAATCAATGTCGTGAAAATGGCCATACTGCCCAAGGTAATTTACAGATTCAGTGCCATCCCCATAAAGCTACCAATGACTTTCTTCACAGAATTGGAAAAAACTACTTTAAAGTTCATATGGAACCAAAAAAGAGCCCGCATCGCCAAGGCAATCCTAAGCCAAAAGAACAAAGCTGGAGGCATCACACTACCTGACTTCAAACTATACTACAAGGCTACAGTAACCAAAACAGCATGGTACAGAGATATAGATCAATGGAACAGAACAGAGCCCTCAGAAATAACGCCGCATATCTACAACTATCTGATCTTTGACAAACCTGAGAAAAGCAATGGGGAAAGGATTCCCTATTTAATAAATGGTGCTGGGAAAACTGGCTAGCCATATGTAGAAAGCTGAAACTGGATCCCTTCCTTACACCTTATACAAAAATCAATTCAAGATGGATTAAAGACTTAAACGTTAGACCTAAAACCATAAAAACCCGAGAAGAAAACCTAGGCATTACCATTCAGGACATAGGCATGGGCAAGGACTTCATGTCTAAAACACCAAAAGCAATGGCAACAAAAGACAAAATTGACAAATGGGATCTAATTAAACTAAAGAGCTTCTGCACAGCAAAAGAAACTACCATCAGAGTGAACAGGCAACCTACAAAATGGGAGAAAATTTTCGCAACCTACTCATCTGACAAAGGGCTAATATCCAGAATCTACAATGAACTCAACCAAATTTACAAGAAAAAAACAAACAACCCCATCAAAAAGTGGGCGAAGGACATGAACAGACACTTCTCAAAAGAAGACATTTATGCAGCCAAAAAACACATGAAAAAATGCTCATCATCACTGGCCATCAGAGAAATGCAAATCAAAACCACAATGAGATACCATCTCACACCAGTTAGAATGGCAATCATTAAAAAGTCAGGAAACAACAGGTGCTGGAGAGGATGTGGAGAAACAGGAACACTTTTACACTGTTGGTGGGACTGTAAACTAGTTCAACCATTGTGGGAAGTCAGTGTGGCGATTCCTCAAGGATCTAGAACTAGAAATACCATTTGACCCAGCCATCCCATTACTGGGTATATACCCAAAGGATTATAAATCATGCTGCTATAAAGAGACATGCACACGTATGTTTATTGCGGCATTATTCACAATAGCAAAGACTTGGAACCAACCCAAATGTCCAACAATGATAGACTGGATTAAGAAAATTTGTCACATATACACCATGGAATACTATGCAGCCATAAAAAATGATGAGTTCATGTCCTTTGTAGGGACATGGATGAAATTGGAAATCATCATTCTCAGTAAACTATCGCAAGAACAAAAAACCAAACACCGCATATTCTCACTCATAGGTGGGAATTGAACAATGAGATCACATGGACCCAGGAAGGGGAATATCACACTCTGGGGACTGTGGTGGGGTGGGAGGAGGGGGGAGGGATAGCATTGGGAGATATACCTAATGCTAGATGACGAGTTAGTGGGTGCAGCGCACCAGCATGGCACATGTATACGTATGTAACTAACCTGCACAATGTGCACATGTACCCTAAAACTTAAAGTATAATAAAAAAAAAAGAAAAAAAAAGAGCTAGATGATGTCAATACATACAGACATTTAATCAGGATGTTCTCTTAGTATCATACCAAATATTCTAATATTTATGACTTCTAGATATCGTTTTTTAGCTAGATAAGATTTAGCTCACGCCTGTAATCCCAGCACTTTGGGAGGCTGAGGCGGGTGGATCACTTGAGGTCAGGAGTTCAAGACCGACGTGGACAGCGTGGTAATACCCTGTCTCTACTAAAAATACAAAAATTAGCCAGGCTTGGTGGTATGCTCCTATAATCCTAGCTACTCAGGAGGCTGAGGCAGGAGAATCACTTGAACCCAGGAGATGGAGGTTGCAGTGAACCGAGATTGTGCCACTGCACTCCAGCCTGGGTAACAGAGCGAGACTCCGTCTCAAAAAAAATAGATAGATAGATAGATAGATAGATAGATAGATAGATAGATAGATAGATAGTTGACACTTTTCATTGTGGTCCTTTTACATCTATAGACACATAATACCACATAGAACTTTTTAAAATATAGTGCTCACTTCAGCAGCACATATACTAAAATTGGAACTTTTAAAAATATTTTTAAAGCCCAGGATCTAGTTTTAGTCTTAATTTTGTTTTAGGTTTAGTTTAAAATTAAAACATTACGGGCAGATATATTTTTCTACACTTTAACTATATTTATTTTTCATGATTTCTTGCAGTTCTTGTCCATAAGCACACATATTACTTCTAAAATGTTAATCAAAGTCTGAGTATATTTTTGTTTTTTACTGTTAGCATTAATAAACATTTTTTCTTGTTGTTTCTTATACTTCATACTTATAATTGTTATTAGCTACATAATATTGCATTTGCATTGGGCTATTTACAATCTTTAACATTGTAGACCATGTTAATATATGTCATAGATACTAACTTTTGAATTCTTGTTGAAATAATCTTTTTCAGAAATGGCCCATGCGATCAAGATTGTACATCGGTGCTACTGGTCAGTTTCTGAAGCATTCTGTTTCTGGAGAAAAAACAAATCATGACAACACTCCAACAGACTCACAGCCTTAGGCTCTCCCCTGGTGGGGGCTGGTAGAAGTGGTGGCTATTGTTTTTAAATACTATGACATAATTCTATATTTATTATATGAGACATAACAAAATTTCTGAAAGTTTACATGTGAACCCATAGTTGGATGTTCAGGTTTATCTGTCTAAATGTGGAATGAAATAATCAGTGTTATATAAAACACACAGCTTATCTGTTCAGTGTGAGAGTCACTACTATATAGTGCAAGAGAAATTATTAGAAAAAAGTCACATGAAAGCAAACAATTGTGTATATAGCTAAAGAATGCAATATAGATATTGCTATAGTGTATCTATTACAAACAGAAAAGTTCATATCTATTGGTGCAGTCTTCCTAGTTTAAAAAGATAAAAATCTGTGTTTATAATATACGAGTATTCCTTTTTTGTGAAAACCATACTGTTCTTAAGTTGATCTAAGACACCATTTCAATTGAAGAAAACTGTTGCAGTAATATGAAGATGCAATAAATTCAATAAGTAGTTACTTTTCCCTCTTAGAAAACTTGTTTGGAGTATTAGAAATGGTTTGCTCAGAGGACAGGGCTTGGTCACCTTCCTAGAGGGTTATTCTGTATCTTACAGTGTTTGCAACTTGTGGAAGGCACTGGGAATCCCTGCAGTCCAGTGTGAACAGGAGACCAGGTGTCAGCGGACAGCAGAGTTCACAATGTAGGTGCATGTCACCACACCTGGCTAATTCTTTTATTTTTTGTAGAGATGGAGTCTCACTGTGTTGCCTAGGCTACTCTTGAAATCCTGGCTCAATAAATCCTCCTGCCTCACCTACCAAAGTGTTGGGATTATAGGCTAGAGCCACCGTGCCTGGCCCAGTTTTATTGTTTTAATGTGAATATACTCATAATGTGACAGAAGCATATCTTTTTGCAAGAAAGATATATAATAGTTCTCTACATATTAATATGTAGAAAAGTACTTGCATATTTAAATATTTGTAAACATATTTACCTACTCATGGAAAGAAATAAAAAGTAAAATGAGATTTGGATTCAGCCATTCACTATTATAAGTTATTGACATAAGAAGTGCTAAAAAGAATCTTTATCCTAAGGAATGAAATCAAAACTTCTTCAAAGTTACCTCAAACTGAATTGTAAACACTAAATTTAACAGCAAGAATTTCAGAAAAATGATTTTCTTGCTAATAATTCTTAAGATTTATTAGTTTGGCTAGTTTTTAAAGCATTTAACTGGGGAAAAAACTATGTGTTGAATAATTAGATTTCTAAGTCATCCTGTTAAATAGTTAGTAGAGCTTTGCCTTTGATGGTATTACTTTTTAATTCTTCTCATCCAGTTACAAGTTGTATTAATGCCAAAGAAGTGTATTTGTTACAGATTTTCATAACATTTTATTAAATTGCTAGATATGATGATAGGTTTTGGTATGTTTACAGAGGAGAAATTGCATATTTTCACTCAGATTCAAAAGAGCATGCTCTTTTAATGCTTTAATGGTGAATGGTCATGATAAGAGGTATTATAAAAATAAAGTACTAATTTGAAAATTAGTCTGTTAAATTTGCGTTTCTCTCTTTGGATATTTAACAAACACCGAAGCTACTTTTGAAAATCTTTTTAGACGATAGATACCTACTTGGTGTTAGCTTCTTTTTTACCGCGCTTTTTTTTTTTTTTTTTTGAGACAGAGTCTCACTCTGTTTCGCAGGCTAGAGTACAGTGGCACAATCTCCACTCACTGCAACCTCCACCTCTTGGGTTCAAGCGATTCTCGTGTCTCAGCCTCCTGAGTAAGTGGGACTACAGGCATGTACCACCATGCCTACCTAACTTTTGTATTTTTAGTAGGAGACAGGGTTTCACCATGTTGGCCAGGCTGGTCTCAAACTCCTGACCTCAACTGATCCGCCTGCCTCGGCCTCCCAAAGTGCTGGGATTACAGGCACGAGCCACGGCACCCAGCCTCTGTTGTTTTTCGAGATGGAGTCTCACTCTGCTGCCCAGGCTGGAGTGCAGTGGCGAGATCTCAGCTCACTTCAATCTCCACCTCCCAGGTTCAAGCGATTCTCCTGCCTCAGCCTCCCAAGTAGCTGGGATTACAGAGGCGCGCCACCATGCCCAGCTAATTTTTGTATTTTGGGTAGAGATGGGGTTTTGTCATGTTGCCCAGGCTGTTCTCAAACTCCTGGCCTCAAGTGATCCACCCACCTCAGCCTCCCAAACAGCTGGGATTACAGGCATGAGCCACCACTGAGGAAATAATCTAATACAAAACATCTCTTTACAGTGGCCAACATGATTCACTTAGAAATGAACACGTGATTTATATTTGTTATCATGACATGATAAGACAAGTGGCTTGTTGGCTCCATGTATAATTGTATTGTTCTTATTAGCTGGCAGGGAGAAGAAACCACAAATCAGACTGCTTCTGATCTCAATTTATATATTAGATATTTTGAGAGATGGCTTAATCTAAATGCTCTTTTCTTACTATGTGTGGGTTACTGCAAATTATATCAATTGTGTATTTTATTTGAAAAGCTAGGAACTTTGACTCCTCTAGCACTAGCAGATTCTGTCTTAACCTGGTGACAAATTAATGAGGTTTTTGTTTTTTGTTTTGTTTTGGTTTTTGAGACAGTCTCGCTCTGTCGCCCAGGCTGGAGTGCGGTGGCATGATCTCGGCTCACTGCAAGCTCCGCCTCCGGGGTTCACACCATTCTCCTGCCTCAGCCTCCCAAGTAGCTGGGACTACAGGTGCCCGCAGCCACACCCAGCTGATTTTTTTGTATTTTTAGTAGAGACGGGGTTTCACCATGTTAACCAGGATGGTCTTGGTCTCCTGACCTCGTGATCCACCCACCTCAGCCTCCCAAAGTGCTGGGATTACAGGCGTCAGCCACCGCGTCCGGCTGAGTTTTTTTAAATCATTGCTGGTGGCCGGGCGAGGTGGCTCATGCCTGTAATCCCAGCACTTTAGGAAGCCAGGGTGGGAGGATCACTTGAGGTCAGAAGGTCGAGACCAGCCTGGGCAACACGGTGAAACCCCTTCCTTCTCTACTAAAAATACAAAAAAAAAAATAGCAGGGCTTGGTGTGTGTGCCTGTAGTGCCAGCTACTCAGGAGGCTGAGGTGAGAGGATTGCCTGAGCCTGGGAGATTGAGGCTGCAATGAACCATAATCATGCCACTGCACTCCAGCCTATTATGGCTGGAGGATGTGATTGATTACCTAATTTCCCAGATGATGTAAGACACACTATAGTATTGCTGTTTTTCTCTGATACATGCACTTTTGATTTTTTCATTTTGTTTTTGTTACTGTCATTTTAAAAGAACTCAAAAGCTAAGATTGTAAAATTTTAAAAGCACTAGGAAAATACTGTAAAGTTGTGTATCTCAAAGATAATATGTACTTTTGTTATGTGATGCTAGCTGGTGGTCTTATATGCAGCTGTTGTACTGAAAAATAAATGTCGCTTAAATCCTGTAGATTTGCTGCCTATAGACTCTGAGCACTGCACAGATGGCACTGCAGCACAGTTGGGAATGAGGGACATTAAGTATTCTTACCTAACTACATAAACCTGGGAAAGATTTCCCTTTTTATGTTTATACAAGTCTTAATTTCAACTCATAAGACAAACCAGCTCAGTGAAATATACCTCAATCACTCAAATGCTTTCATTATAAATTATACCTTAGCATTTTAGCTGTCATAAGGTTTTAAATAATAAACTGAAGAATAATCCTAACTATTAAAGATTATGTCAGTAGTCATTTCTTGTGCATATGAATGTTACTAAAGAATCTCATGCATTCCTTCCCTCCCAGGGCCAAGAAGTATGTCCCAGGGATGAACTTCAATCACTCATCTTCAGTTTTTTTAGCCATTAGAAACTGGGGGCCATTTCAAGCAATGTGATGTCTAAAGAAAAATTTATTTTAACCATTTTTATTTTCAGATAGACTCTGAAATCACTAACTTAAAAATGTTAAATGTTTGCTATTATAAGGTTTCTTAATTCCATTTTTGTTTTTTTGAGACAGAGTTCCCTCTGTTGCCCAGGCTGGAGTGCAGTGGCACCATCTTGGCTCATTGCAACCTCTGCCTCCCGGGGTCAAGCAATTCTTTTGCTTCAGCCTCCTGAGTGGCTGGGACTACAGGCACCTGCCACCATACCCAGCTAATTTTTGTGTTTTTAGTAGAGATAGGGTTTCACCATGTTGGCCAGACTGGTCTCGAACTCCTGACCTCAAGTGATCTGCTCACCTCAGCCTCCCAAAGTGCTGGGATTACAGGCGTGAACCACTGCACCTGGCCAAAGTAGCTTAATTGTTTATGTAGATGGATATATGATGTGGAACAAAAAATTTTTTAAGGCCAGGTGCAGTGGCTCATGCCTGTAATCCCAGCACTTTGGGAGGCTGAGATGGAAGGATCACTTGAGCCCAGGAGTTCAAGACCAGCCTGGACAATGTAGTGAGAACCCGTCTTTACAAAAAAATTAAAAAATTAGCCAGGCATGGTGGCGTGTGCCTGTGGTCCCAGCTACTCAGGAGATTAAAGTAGGAGGATTGCTTGAGCCCAGGAGGTGGAGGCTGCAGTGAGCCATCATTGTGGCACTGCACTCCAGCCTAGGAGACAGTAAGACCCTGTCTCAGGAAAAAAAAAAAAAAAAATTTTAATTAAGCTGTATTTTTAAAAAGTAGGCCTGTGCAAGAGTGTCCCTACTCTGTGTGTAGAACATCTGTACCACCTTGCGGCCATAAGACCCTGTACCAGAGTCATCTTGAAACATGGGCTACAATCAAGTAAAAATAATGGTATGCAATGGCAGAGGCAGGCGAGTCAAGAGAGGAGGAAAGGTGTGAAGCTATTTTCAGATCCCCCATTTAGAAAGAAGAGGCCAGTTCCACCAGTGTCCAGTCCTGCTATAGTGTGTGGTTATAGGGACACACAGGAGAGACTGCCTCAAAGAGGAGACCTGACTTTAGAACCAGACCAGAACAACTAAAGCTGCCAGTGCTGAGCCACACTCGGTCTGAGAGATCCAGAGAGCAGCCACACCTGGTGTAATGAAGACTGGGCCCAGGTGGTCTTGTTTTCCTCTCCAGCCAGCCAGTGCCAGAGACTGGACACTGGACAATGTCTAGGGTGATGGTGGTAGTGGAGATGGCTTAACAGAAGACAGAAAACTTGCCATAAGCAATGACTACTGGTCTCTCCTCTTCCCCTAACCTATGTGAGCCCACCCAGACTTGTGGCTACTCTAGGGATACACACTTTGCTTACATTAGCACATTCCTTTTCTTTGTTGACAGGAAATAGAGCTTCTTGCAGGAATGGACAGTATGGTTCAGTGGTGGGAGGTAAGAGCTTATTTTTCTTTCTTTTTTTTTTTTTTTTGAGAACGGAGTCTCGCTCTGTTGCCCAGGCTGGAGTGCAGTGGCTCGATCTCGGCTCACTGCAAGCTCTGCCTCCCGGGTTCATGCCATTCTCCTGCCTCAGCCTCCCATTATTTTTCAAGATAGAGGTTTAATCAAACTTGAGGAAGGGGGAAAGGGGAGGTAAGAAGAGGTTGAAGAAGAAATAGATCGTACCAAAAGACTTAGCTTCTACTTCTTAATAGGCGATGAGTTGGGGACTTTTTTTTTTTTTTTTTTTTTTTTTTTTTTGAGAAACAGTTTTACTCTTGTCACCCAGGCTGAAGTGCAGTGGCACAATCTGGACTCACTGCAACCTCTGCCTCCCAGGTTAAAGTGATTCTCCTGCCTCAGCCTCCTGAGTACTGGGATTACAGGCTCGCACCACCAAACCTGGCTAATTTTTGTATTATTAGTAGAGACGGGGTTTCACCATGTTGGCCAGGCTGGTCTCAAACTCCTGACCTCAAGTGATCCACATACTTCGACCTCCCAAAGTGCTGGAATTACAGGCGTGAGCCACCGCACCCAGCTGAGTTAGGGACTCTCACATTAGTAAATATCCTTAGGGCATGCAGCAGTTTAGAGGAGGGAGGAGATAATATATTTTTCATTACTAAACTGATCTGTGGCCCTCAGCCTCCCTAACTCATTGACTTAAGGCCCTCTTGGTTAAGGGCAGATTCCTCCTAGAATGAAGTCACTGTACGCCTCTGTACGCCTTTGAAAATGCAAAAATAGACTGGGCGCAGTGGTTCGTGCCTGTAATCCCAGTACTTTGGGAGGCCGCGGTGGGTGGATCTCCTGAGGTCAGGAGTTCGAAACCAGCTTGGCCAACATGGTGAAACCCCATCTCTACTAGAAATACAAAAATTAGCTGGGCGTGGTGGCAGGCGCCTATAATCCCAGCTACTTGGGAAGCTGAGGCTGGAGAATCGCTTGAACCCAGGAGGTGGAGATTGCAGTGAGTGGAGATAGCACCATTGCCCTCCAGCCTGGGTGATGAGAGCAAAACTGTCTCAAAAAAAAAGAAAATGCAAAAATAACTTTGAGAGTCCCTAGCAAGCAAGATAATAGACTTAAATTTCAGACTTTATGAAGAGAGAAAATGGAATTTTAAGTTCCAAAAGCTGCCCTCTATGTATAAGCGCCAAGATTGGAGGTCTATAAATGGAGTTTTACTAAAGGTGCTAACAGGGAAGGGAGGCCAAGGCACTGAGAGGTAGTGGAGGTGTCAACCTCCACTGGTGTCCATCTTGAGAAAAATAGGGAAGTGTGGGGTAGTGAAAAATTGGAGACAAGGGCTGACCTTGCCACAGTTCTCTAGACAAAGCCCAACAAAGCCCTAGATTCTGCCCAGAGCCACACCCTGGGCAGGCAAGATGAGCAATGGCTGAGGGAGGGTCCTGAGGGCAGCCCCACACCGCAGGCTGCCACAGGTCACAAGCTGCTGAGAGTACTCAGGCCAGGATGCCAGGACACAGGAGGCCGCAGAGTACAGGGCCCCCAAAAGGGGACATTGTAAGCAGGATGCAGGATCTCAGCAGTGGATGCCAGCATGACCCTGAGGGACCAGGTAGTGACAGACACACTATGTCAGAGTGCAGTCTAGACCCAGAGGACAGACAGCATGGGAGCCTGCAGTCCCTCCCTCCATGTCCTTTTGATTCACAACTGCTCCCTGAAGCCATCTAGGGATGAATGGAGAAGGACAGGCAGGAAGCCCATTGAGTGTAAACAGCACTGATAGAGCTTCAACTTTTACTTGGCTGAATATTTAATGAACAGAGACTAACATCAAAAGGGATCTGTTTGGCAGTTTTCCTCTTCAGGAGTGAGGATTCTAGAACAAGATGAGGTTGGATACAGGACATAAAGCTACGTTATTTTCCTCACATTCCAGTCATGGTATGGACATTTTAACCCAATTATACAGTAGAGATGGACTATCTGCATCAACAGTTTACACCTAATTGCTCAGTATTCCAACTTATTTGACCTTATAGTTTAGAACACACCAAAATGACTGTGTTGGTACTGAGGACCTTCCTGGACCTTTGCAAATGGATTAGGAAAGAGTCTTGAGAAACTTGCCCAGCGTTGTCCAGCTAATCAGAGGCCAGATTCAGGCCCAGACAGTATGGCTCCGAGAGCCTGGTTCCTGTCCTAGACTACCTACTCCGTTAGTGCCTGGATGCTTAAAGCACTTGAGTTTGCACCCCTAGTTTGGTTGGAAAACACTGTCCTTTGCTGCAGGTCTCTCACTGTGGTAAGCACTTGGTATAGGGTTTGTTCTCAATACATTTCCCTTGCCTTTTGCCCTCTTCCCCTTAGCTCACAAAGTTGATATGAAATAATAGCTGAGAAAGTGCATGTAGGCAGCTCAGTGCAAGCTAGGTGTGTCTTCCCTGGCTCATTAGCTCCATTTGATGAAGAGTTAAACATGTAAGGTGAAGCGTGACACAAAAACCCGCAAGCTGCCTTAAAGGGAAAGATGGCTAATTTTGACTACATAAAAATAAATTCACAAAACAAAAGACAAGGTCAAAAGACAAAACACAAGCCAGAGGAAAAAAATCACAACACATGATAAAGCAGTAAATCTCTTTACATAAAATCAGTTCTCAGATTTCAAAAAAGCAAAACACCAACAACTTAGTGGAAACTTGCACAAATGGGAGCAAAGACCGAGCCCCTGCACTCCAGCCTAGGCAACAGAGCGAGACTCTGTCCCCCTACCCCCACAAAAAAAAATAAAAAAGAGAAACTTCCACAAATGGTAACAAACAGCAGTTCATAGAAAGAAACCAAACAGGGCCGGGCACGGTGGCTCACGCCTGTAATCCCAGCACTTTGGGAGGCTGAGGTGGGCGGATCACTTGAGGTCAGGAGTTCGTGACC
This sequence comes from Homo sapiens, assembly GCF_000001405.40. NCBI lineage: Eukaryota > Metazoa > Chordata > Mammalia > Primates > Hominidae > Homo > Homo sapiens. Next base: position 66,939,720 of record NC_000008.11, on the reverse strand, counting down.
AGCCTGGCCAACATGGTGAAACCCCGTCGCTACTAATAATACAAAAATTAGCCATGCATGGTGGCAGGCTTCTGTAATCCCAGCTACTCAGCAGGCTGAGGCAGGAGAATCACTTGAACCCACGAGGTGGAGGTTGCAGTGAGCCGAGATTGTCCCGCTGCGCTCCAGCCTGGGCAATAGAATGAGAATCTGTTTCAGGAAAAAAAAAAAAAAGAAACCAGCCAATATATTTATGAAAAGATACACAAGTTCAGGCATAATTAAGAAACACACATTTAGAAAGCAATGGAAGAACATATTTCACCTGTCAATGATACAAAAAATACTCATCATTAGTGAAGGTGAGGAAATGAGGACTTTTGTACTGTTGGAAGCATAACCTCTTTTAAATGTAATTTGACAGTATCTCCCACTATTATAAGTATACACACTCTGACTTAGCAATGCCATGTTAAAAAATTTCCCTACCAGGCCGAGTGCAGTGGCTCACACCTGTAATCCCAGAACTTTGGGAAACAAGGCGGGTGGATCATGAGGTCAGGAATTCGAAACAAGCCTGGCCAAGATGGTGAAACCCCGTCTCTACTAAAAACACAAAAATTAGCCAGGCGTGGTGGCATGTGCCTGTAATTTCAGCTACTCAAGAGGCTGAGGCAGGAGAATCGCTTGAACCTGGGAGGCGGAGGTTGCAGTAAGCCAAGATTGAGGCACTGCACTCCAGCCTGGGCGGTGGAGCAAGACTCCCTCTCAAAAAACAAAAAACAAACAAAAATCCCTATTGATATACTTACATTTGTAAATGTATGTAAGAATAATTATTGCAGGTATTCATCATTTTTACCTTATAATTTGTAGCCTTGACAGTTTCCCCAGCCTTCAGTATTGGCTGCACCCAAGTAACCTATCAAAAAATGCAAACCTGAAGATATAACATACTTGCTCAAATCCCTTCAGTGGTATCCCATGATCTAAGGATGAAGTCTAACCCCTTAACTTGATTTATGAACCCTCTTCCTATGTCACTGCCCTCCACCACTTCCTATTTTACATTTTAGTTATTAGTAAACACATGTGCACACACACACACAGCTATTTCACGCTTCAGTGCCTTTGTTCATCAATCATCAGTTGGTCCACAAATTTTTTTATTTTTTTATTTTATTTATTTATTTTTTGAGATAGAGTCTCACTCTGTCGCCCAGGCTGGAGTGCAGTGGCTCGATCTCGGCTCACTGCAAGCTCTGCCTCCCGGGTTCACGCCATTCTCCTGCCTCAGCCTCCCGAGTAGCTGGGACTATAGGCGCCCGCCACCACGCCCGGCTAATTTTTTGTATTTTTAGTAGAGACGGGGTTTCACCGTGTTAGCCAGGATGGTCTCGATCTCCTGACCTCGTGATCCACCCGCCTCGTCCTCCCAAAGTGCTGGGATTACAGGCGTGAGCCACCATGCCTGGCCCACAAATGTTTTTTTAATGCTACGGCAGGCATTGTTCATTGCTTACTAGATTAGTTAGGAATTGCATTCAGCTGCTAATAAGAAAGACCCAACTATAGTGGCTTTAGTAAATTAAAAATTTATTCTCTAAAAGAAATCCAGGCCGGGTGCTGGGGTCTCACGCCTGTAATCCCAGCACTTTGGGAGGCTGAGGCGGGCAGATCACGAGGTCAGGAGTTCAAGACCAGCCTGGCCAACACAGTGAAACTCCATCTCTACTAAAAATACAAAAAAAAATTAGCCGGGCTTGGTGGGCGCCTATAGTCCCAGCTACTTGGGAGGCTGAGACAGGAGAATCGCTTGAACCAGGGAGGCAGAGATTGCAGTGAGCTGAGATGGCCCACTGCACTCCAGCCTGGGTGACAGAGTGAGACTCTGTCTCAAAAAAAAAGAAAAAGGAAAAAAAGAAAGCAAAGAAAAGAAATCCATAAGTAGGCAGTCCAGGACTGGTAAGGTGGCTTAGTGTAATCAAAGCTTCCACTTACTTTTTTTTTTTTTTTTTTTGGCGACAGAGTCTCGCTCTGTCGCCCAGGCTGGAGTGCAGTGGGTGATCTCAGCTCACTGCAAGCTCTGCCTCCCGGGTTCACACCATTCTCCTGCCTCAGCCTCTCAAGTAGCTGGGACTACAGGTGCCCACCACCACACCTGGCTAAGTTTTTGTATTTTTAGTAGAGACAGGGTTTCACCATGTTAGCCAGGATGGTCTTGATCTCCTGACCTTGTGATCCACCTGCCTCCACCTCCCAAAGTGCTGGGATTACAGGCGTGAGCCACTGCGCCTGGCTGCTTCCACTTATTTTTTATCGGCCAGAACTGGGTCATAAAGTCACCTCCATGTGTAAGGAAGGTATATCAGTTTGAGTTTGGCTGCAGTATCTGCTTTAGCTAGTTTAAAAAGAAAGGGGCTTACCAGGGTGATGAGGCTGAGCGAGCTGTGATTGAGCCACCACACCAGCCTGGGTGACAGAGCAAGACCCTGTCTCAAAAAAAAAAAAAAAAGAAAAAAGAAAAGAAAAGGAGAGAGAGAAAGAAAGGAAGGAAGCAAGGAAGGGAGGGAGGGAGGGAGGGAAAAGAAAGGGAGAGAAAGAAAGAGAGAGAGAAAGAGGGAGAGGAGAGGGGAGGGGAGGAGAGGAGAGGAAGGAAGCTTATAGGTTATTAGTGACTTACAGAATCATGAGATGAAACTAACCTGGGCTGGATTTATAGTAACAATTTCTAAATCCATTCCATGGAACTGGGCTGCCAAGGTAGCTGATACTTCTGCCATGATCTGAACTCTGCTTGCCAAACAGGAAGCTGCCTTACAGTGGCTGACTCCAGAAGCATGCTGCCCTTGCTAGACATACATGATGGTTAATTTTTTGCGTCATATTGATTGGGCCAAGGGACGCTCAGATCACTGGTTAAACACTATTTCTGGATGCTATGGACCGAATGTGAGAGAGGCTGAAACAGGAGGCTCAAACTGTTGAGCCCAGGAGTTTGAATCCAGCCTGGGCAACAAAGTGAGAACCCATCTCTAAACACAAAACAAAACAAAACAAAACAAAAAGTGTCTGCCAGGGGCAACTAACTCAGTTGTAAGAGATCAAGGAAGGCAAAGAGGGATGAAAAGAACCTTCTAGGCTGGGCACAGTGGCTCACGCCTGTAATCTCAGCACTTTGGGAGGCCGAGGTGGGTGGATCACCTGAGGTCAGGAGTTCGAGACCAGCCTGGCCAACATGGTGAAATCCCGTCTCTACTAAAAATATAAAAACTAGCTGGGCGTGGTGGTGGGCGCCTGTAATCCCAGCTACTCAGGAGGCTGAGGCAGGAGAATTGCTTGAACCCAGGAGACGGAGGTTGCAGTGAGCTGACACGGTGCCACTGCACTCTAGCCTTAGCGACAGAGTGAGACTTGTCTCAAAAAAAAAAAAAAAAAAAAAAAGAAAGGAAAAGAAACCTCTAGACTGAGGAAAAAGCAGGCAAGTAAAACATGATACTTCGAAGGAAAGTGCATTGAGGAGGGGGGTGGATTCTTCATATATATTATTTCATTTAACCCACAAAATCCTCGGAATAAGTACTGTATTACTTCCAATTTTCAAATCAACGAGGACCTTGAAAGGCATGTTAAAGGATTTGGACGTAAGGGTTACCAGAAATCTTCTATAGAAATGCTGAGGTGTTGGGTGCTGGGGAGCTCCTGGGAAGCACAGACTTCCCAAGAACATGAAACTCCATAAACCTACTAAAAAACAAAACAGACCAGGAGAAGTTATTTGCAATGTATATCTGTTAATTGATAAAAGATCAGTATCAGGCCAGGCGCAGTGGCTCATGCCTGTAATTCCAGCACTTTGGGAGGCCGAGGCAGGTGGATCACTTGAGGTCAGGAGTTCGAGACCAGCCTGGCCAACATGGTGAAACCCTGTCTCTACTAATAATACAAAAATAAGCCGGGCTTGGGGGTGGGGGCGTGTTATCCCAGCTACTGGGGAGGCTGAGGCATGAGAATCGCTGAATCGTTTAAACCCAGGAGGTGCAGGTTGCAATGAGCCGAGATCGCACCACTGCATTCCAGCCTGGGTGACAGAGTGAGACTCCATAAAAACAAAAAGAAAGAAAGAAAGAGAAAAGATTAGAATCCCATACATCAATTTTTAAAAATACAAAAACATGATACTTTGCCGGGCATGGTAGCTCACTTTGTGCAAAGGGTCTCACTTTGTGCAGTGGCACTATCATGGCTCACTGCAGCCTCGACCTCCTGGGCCCAGGCGATCCTCTGTCTTCAGCCTACCGAGTAGCTGGAATTATAGGTCTCAACATCTTAGCACATGTATCTGAGTTGTTTTCAGAAACCTGGACCCCCACCAGGTGGATCTGCTGGCATGTAGACCTCAGATGCGGGGGAACTAAGGACTGAAATCTGACCTCCGTTCTTTGTTCTAAATTTCTTCCTGAGGGGTCTGGAAGAAGTCATGCCCACGGGCCAGACTGTAACTTCCTTTCTGGTGACCCCAAGTTTTTAGACAAAACTTCACTTACTTAACCCACCACAAACAAATCAGGGAGTGTTTGAATCCACCTATCGTCTCTAAGCACCTCTGCTCCAAGATACCCCACCTTGGCGAGGGGGAGGGTGGGGGGGGGGGTTGGTGGGGTGGAGGCCCTAGATAAGGTATAGCAGCTAGCCAGAGAGTAAAGGCTTATCCACATGAGAAAATGTTCTTTGTTTGAAGAACTACAAGATTTATAGATGATGGTTGTTGCAAAATGGAAGATAGTCATTCATTTTCTTTAAACAGGGCCTTGCTGTTTTTGTGTCCTGTGTGGTTATCAAGGGGGTAGGGAGCCCATGTCCATGTGTAACCTCACCAGTGGACCAAAGTTTCCAGGTTCCTGGGAGAGGGCTCATACACACAGAAGGATGACACTCTCTAAAAGGTGACTTTTGTCTTTTGGGGCACAGGAATCTCTGACATATATGTATGTAACACACAAGAACATGTATGTAAATACACACACACGTGAAGGATATTCAAATCAGTTTTCTACCTGGCTGCAATTGCAACATTATGCCCTCTAGTTAACTGTTCCTTCCAGTTAATATCTTCCTTGTCGATCATTATTTTTTTCCCCTGGAGACTTTTGAGAACAGCATACTTATTGTCCCTTAAAAATGAGATGGTGGCCAGGCACGTGGCTCAAGCCAGTAATCCCAACACTTTGGGAGGCCAAGGTGGGCAGATCATGAGGTCAGGAATTCGAAACCAACCTGGCCAACACAGTGAAACCCCGCCTCTACTAAAAATAGAAAAATTAGCCGGCCGTGGTGGCACAACCCTGTAGTCCCAGCTACTCGGGAGGCTGAGGCAGGAGAATTGCTTGAACCCGGGAGGTGGAGGTTGCAGTGAGCCGAGATTGTGCCACTGCACTGCACTCCAGCCTGGGCGACAGAGCGAGACTCCGTCTCAAAAAAAAAAAAAAAAAAAAAAAAGTGAAGCCGGTAAAATTTCAGAAAAGGGTTGCTGATTCCTTATAGTAATTTGTTGAAAGCTTTAATGGGATGTTAATTTCAGGACATAATTTATATTATATTATCGCTGAGGTGTGAATAACATAATTTAACCTTAGTTTGAATGTTTCAATTACTTCCACATTCTGGACTCTCTGTGTAATCATTCTTGAATACTTTTTTAAGAGTTAAAAAAAATTATTATTTTACGTAACAAGAAGCCTACGCTGGAGTGGCTCCCTGGCTAGTTCATTCTATTTAATTTGGTGACTATTAGATGTCTTTATGTTGCTGGGCTCCTTCTCTTTTCCACTTTGCCATCTCAGATAAACTCCCCTCATTTAACAAGACATTTGCAGCAGGGCCAGGTGTTCTTTCAGTGTCTAGATGAGAATATTAATGGGAAGAAGAGGCATTTCTTCCCATATGTGTCTCTTCATCACAGAAGAAAACCTTCCCTCAAGTTCCCTAGCAGACTTCCCATCAGGTCTCATTGGCCAGCTTGAATAATTTTAAAACATTCCTTTGCATTCAGAATTTGTAGTATTTAAGTAGTTATTTGCAAAGTTTATTCATAACGTAAAATTTAGATGTTTAAACAGAAAAGGAAAACACTAGTGTCTCACATTGACAATTAAAGCCACTGTGGCTACCTCATTATTTTGGATCCTGGCAGAAATCATAAGTATAAGTAATTTAGTTAATTTTCACCAAAATTATCTCAGTAAAGTTCATATATTTCAAGTTTTAAGAATCAATTTTCATTTAGATCAGTGCCCTAGTTTCTGACAATTTAATGTATTTTTCCACAGATTTGGAACTTTAACCTTGACGAGAGGTATAAATACTATGATTATCTCAATGTCAATATTATGTTTAAAAATAATTCTGCTTGAGGTAAAAGAATCTTATATAGAAAAGTCATGCATTTATGACTAGGGTCATTTACATTTCTCTTGGATTAACTCTATTTTGACATGCTTACTATTGAGCAAGGAAAAGCACAAGGATGTGGTTATTACAGCCAACTTCCTACCAGTTCCAACCCCATCTTCTGCTGCAAACATCTAGGGGACATGGGAGGCTCTCTAAATCATTCACTAATATGAAAAAGGGCCGAGGGCCAAATGTATTAAATTACTAATGAGATTCACATATGTAAGTGCAGACTATAGATTATGACAGCCCATAAAAAATAATACCCTATATGTCCCTGAATCGACATGTATGTCTATCTACAAAACGTAAACTTCCTAAGGTAATCATGATTATATTATCAAAGAAGCGCTATTTTTTAAAAGTTACTTTTGATAAACTAACTATATCACATTTAAACCATGAAACTTTCCCCTTGAAGTGGTTTTAGTTGTATTTGCAATTGTCAGCATTAGCTCAGTTCAGCAACTTAGAGACCAGCGACCCCCAGGGAGGCACTCATTGCTGGAAAATGCTGAACCCTTTTTATAATGCCACTCAGGATGAAGAAATAATGGACTGATGGGGCAAATCTTAGAAATGGTCTATTTTTGCACCCTGCAGAGAAAATGTACTACTTTAATAGTATTTTTCAATTTAATTTAATTACAAAATCAATACATATGCATAATAAAAATCCAAATAGGAAAGAATGATATAATAAAAAATAAAAAGATCACTCTCCCCACAAACCCAAGTTTCACTCCTAGAGGCATTAATTATAAAATTACAAACAGGTTATTTTTTGTTTTCTTGTTTGTTTGAGACAGAGTATTGGTCTGTCATCCAGACTGGAGTACAGTGGTGCGATCTCAGCTCACTGCATCCTCCACCTCCTGGGCTCAAGTGATTCTCGTGCCTCAGCCTCCCAAGTAGCTGGGACTACAGGCACGTGCCATCACACCTGGCTAATTTTTTTGTATTTCTTTTGTAGAGACAGGGTTTCACAATGTTGCCCAGGCTGGTCTGGAACTCCTAGGCTTGAGCAATCCACCGGCCTTGGCCTCCAAAAGTGTTGGGATTACAGGTGGGAGCCACCATGCCCAGCCACAAACAGGTGCTTTTGTAGTCTCTTAAAGAAAAGTCCTATGCATTAACAATCATATATATGCTTCTTTTTTCTTTTTCTTTTCTTTTTTTTTTTTTTGTGAGACAGGGTCTCACTCTGTCACCAAGGCTGGAGTGCAGTGGTGAGATCAGATTCACTGCAGCCTCGATGTTCTGGGTTCAAGCTATCCTCCCACCTCAGACTCTATGTAGCTGCAACTATACCACCAGGCACGTACCACCACACCCAGATAATTTTTTTATTTTTTGTAGATACCGGGTCTCCTTATGTGGCTCAGCTGGTCTTGAACTCCTAGGCTCAAGTGATCCTCCCTCCCGCCCTGCATTTTTTAAATCTAACCAAAAATGTAGTCTTTCCAAATACCTTCTGCACCTAGCTTTAAAATTTTTAAATATCTTGAAAATTTTTCCAAATCAGCACATATGTGTGATTCATTTATTTATTCATTCAACAAATATTTATTAAGTGCTAGGGACTGTATTAGGTGCCAGGAATAAAAAGGTGAATAAGACAAGAACTTTCCTCTTACAGGATTTATATGCAGTGAGGGTGTAAAAGTATGTAAGTAAATAAATAAGAAAATTGCAGATTATGCTAAGTGTTTTTTTTTTTTGACAGAGTTTCACTCTTGTTGCCCAGGCTGGAGTGCAATGGTTCAAGAAATTCTCCTGCCTCAGCCTCCCGAGTAGCTGGAATTACAGGCATGCGCCACCACGCCTGGCTAAATTTTTGTATTTTTAGTAGAGACAAGGTTTCTCCATGTTGATCAGGCTGATCTCGAACTCCCGACCTCAGGTGATCCGCCCGCCTCGGCCTCCCAAAGTGCTGGGATTACAGGCGTGAGCTACCGCGCCCGGCCTATGCTAAGTGTTAATGAAGGAAATTAAAAGGGAGATGTGTTGGAGTTGGCCCACTTTAGACAGGTAGGGGAAATGTGGCCTCTCTGAGAAGTTGACATTAAAATTGAGATTAAAAAAAGGAAAGAAGTCAGCCACTCAAAAATCTGGGACAAGAGAATTCCAGGCAACAGTAAAGGCCTTAGGATGTGAAAATTATTTGACATGTTCCAAGAACTAAGAGTAGGCCATGGTGACTGGAGCATCACCAGAAAGGAGAAGCAGAAAATGAGATAAGCCATGTGAAGATAGGTGGATTTTTTTCCTTTTTAAAATGTCTTTTTAAAAATTATTTATTGTAGGCCAGATGTGGTGGCTCACGCCTGTAATTCCAGCACTTTGGGAGGCTGAGGTGGGTCAGGAGTCTGAGACCAGCCTGGCCAACATGGTGAAATCCTGTCTCTACTAAAAATACAAAAATTAGCCAGGCAGTGGTGGCAGGCACCTGTAATCCTGGCCACTTGGGAGGCTGAGGCAGGAGAATCGCTTGAATCCAGGAGGTGGAGCTTGCAGTGAGCTGAGATCACACCACTGCACTCTAGCCTGGGCGACAGAGTGAGACTCCATCTCAAAAAAAAAAAAAAATTGCTTATTGTAGTAAAATACATGTAACAAAATTTACTATCTTAACCAATTTTAAGTGTATGGTTCAGTGTTATTAAATACATACCATCCACAGATTAGGAGAAAATATTTGGAATATATGAAGAACAAAAATTACAATTTGTTTTGCTAGGCTTAGATATTCATGCTCTATGTTACTTAAGGCAAATTGAAATTTTGTACTGGATTTTGTATTTGTTTCTTAGATTTCCAGTTTTTAAAGGAGAGATTGGCCAGGTGCTGTGGCTGATGCCTGTAATCCCAGCACTTTGGGAAGCAAGGCAAGAGGATCGCTTAAGGCCGGGAGTTGGAGACTAGCCTGGCCACTCTCTTGTCAGTATCCCTTGATGCACAAAATTTTTTAATTTGATGAAGTACAATTTATTTTTCCTTTTGTTGCCTGTGCTTTCGGTGTTATAGCCAAAAAATCACTGCCAGATCCAGTGTCATGAAGATTGTCCCCCATGTTTTCTTGTAGAATTTTATAGTTTTAACTCCTAAATTTAGGTCTTTGATTCATTTTGAGTTTTTTTAAAATATAATATCGGATAAAGGTCCAACTTCTTTATTTTATTTTGTTTTATTTTTTTGCATTGGATATCCAGTTTTCCCAGCACCATTTGTTGGAAAGTCTGTCCTTTCCACATAGATGGTACTGGCACCCATGCCAAAAATCAATTGGCCATACACACAAGTGAATATTTTAAAAGTACAATGGGAAATGATGGACACTAGTAATCAAGGCTTCTAGGCAACTCTGAGTCTCTAGATTAACTTTCTTAAGCCCTTTTGGAGATGATAGACTCGAAAGGGAAAAGGGAGTTCTAAATTCCAAAAATCCCTTTACTAACAGCAAAACATAAAGTAGTGAACATTAAACTTTGCATTTTTCCAACAAGAAACTATAGGAAAAAAAGTTTTGCATAGGAAGAGGAGACTCAAGAAATGAACTCAAAGAAGAGAGGAAGTCAAGGAAGTCTTCAATAGAGACGAAAAAATACAAAGGCTTCAACAGAAAAAGAGAGAGAGGAAGAGGAAGAGGAGAAGGAAGAGAGGAGAAGGAGGAAGAGGAAGAAGAGGAGGAGGAGGAAGTGGAGGAGGAGGAAGAAGAAGAGGAGGAGGAAGAAGAGGAGGAGGAGAAGAGGAAGAGGAAGAAGACAGGGGCCTGGTGTAGTGGCTCACATCTGTAATCCCAGCATTTCGGGAGGCCAAGGCAGGCGGATCACTTGAGGCAAGGAGTTTGAGCCCAGCCTGGACAACATGGTGAAACCCCATGTCTACTAAAAATACAAAAATTAGCCAGGCTTCATGGCAGGCGCCTGTAGTCCCAGCTACTCGGGAGGCTGAGGCAGGAGAATTGCTTAAACCCAGGAGGCAGAGGTTGCAGTGAGCTGAGATCCTGCCACTGCACTCCAGCCTGGGCAACAGTGCGAGACTCTGTCTCAAAAAACAAACAAACAAACAAAAAACAGAAAAAAAAATTGTGGTATACTCAGATAAGGGAATACCATTCAGCAATAAAAAGGAATTAACTATTGTAACACACAACCACATGGATGAATCTCAAAATAATTATGCTGAGTGAAAGCAGCCAGACCAAAACACAGTGCATACTGGCCCATCAAATTGTATAGATTAAATATGTGCAGTTTTTTGTATGTCAATAATACCTCAATAACACTGTAAATAAAGTATATTCTGAATGATTTCATTTAAACTAGTTATAGAAAAAGCAAATTGATCTATAGTGACAGAAAACAAATCAGTGGTTCCCTGGTGCAGTTGAGGGGAGTGATGTGAGGGTGACTTTTGGATTAGGGAATGAAGAAATGTTTAGGGATGATGAATATGCTGATTATTTTGAATGTGGTGATGGTTTCACAGGTGATGGTTTCACATATGTCAAAACTTATCTGATTTTTCATTTTCAATATGTGCAGTTTTTGTATGTCAATAAAGCTATGCTAAAGAAAAGCTATTTTTGCTTTTGTAACAGAAGTGGAACTGGAAATCTGTACCCATTCTTTGTCAGAATTCCTCTATCTTTCATCATATCCTTGTAATCTTCTCTCACTTTGAATAGTAATGAGAACTGAGCTCATGGATTCACAGCAATACGCTCACACTTTAAAGTTTCCCCTGTGTGCAGGCACTATTAGCAGCCCACCAAACAGGCGTCTCCCTTCCCTTTCTGTCAGAGTCCACTTTCCCATATTATAAGCTGATAATGCCTGGACTTGTAACCCAATCAAGGCCAGTGAGACCTGAAAACAAGTCTACTGTGGGCATTCTGGGGAAGATTTTCCAACCTGGTTAAAAGAGAAACATGTGAAATGTCCCTCCTTCCCACCTTTGAATGTTGTTATATGAAGACATAGCTGGGTGCAGTGACTCACGCCTGTAACCCAGCACTTTGGGAGGCCAGGGCAGGTGGATCACTTGAGGTCAGGAGTTCGAGACCAGCCTGGTCAACATGATAAAACCCCATCTCTACTAAAAATACAAAAATTAGCTGGGTGTGGCGGGAGGCACCTGTAATCCCAGCTACTCTGGAGGCTGAGGCAGGAGAATAGCTTGAACCCAGGAGGTAGAGGTTGCAGTGAGCCAAGATCCTGCCACTGCACGCCAGCCTGGGCAACAGAGCAAGACTGTCTCAAAAAAAAAAAAAAAAAGAAAAAAGATATGATGTTTACAGCTATGGGAGGCTTTTTGCAACTATGAAGGGAAAACCAAGAATCTCAGAGAATTCAACCAGCAACCCTGACAGTGTTTTCCTGCTAAATCAATCAACCCGAGAGCCATCTACCTCTGGATTTCTTGTAATATAGAATAATATACTCCTCATTTTCCAGAAGCTACTTTAGTTGCATATTTTGTTACTTGCAGTTGAAAACATACATTTAATGACATTATTAATTAAAGTAACTGACATAAGATGATAACCTGAAATGGGTGGCTGCACAGTTTTGGCAACATCTAAATTTTAGTCAAGATATTTAATTATATCCTTTCTGAAGAAAGAACATAGTAAGTCAATAAGGCAGTGGCCCCTTCCTAATCTGTCCACCCGGCTCAGCTATTTCTTCCCAGTAGAGGTCAATGAATGCCCTGTGAATGCCTGCAGGAGACAACACAAAGCTGTTAGCAACGCAGGAGCTATCCTCTCTGGAACCATGGCAGGGGAATTGTCCATGTTTGCCTCCAGTTATCATATGGCCCTGCACTCAGTGACACCAAGAACTTGCCTAAATTGTTGCCTTAGCATCTATGGATTTAATGTCCAAACTAACTCTCACTTATACCTTTTAGTAATGGTGGCTCCCACAGCTTCCCCTTCACACTGGAGGTGACAGCCCAGGTTGCAAAATTAGGTTGTGGAAGCAACATCCAGCCAGGAATCTTAGTCCAAGAAGCAGGTTGAGGTCCATGTCACTACTTAACAGGAGAAACGGCTTCCATTTGGAGGCCCAAGCAAAGATTTTTAAGCTCCTGTAAAATACTTTGCAATCCTTTGTTAAAGGAGGTACAATCACAATTTGTTTTGCTAGGCTTACTAGGCTTAGATATTCATACTCTATGTTACTTGAGACAAATTGAAATTTTGTACCGGATTTTGTATTCGTTTCTTAGATTTCCGGTGTCTAAAGGAGAGATTGGCCAGGCGCTGTGGCTCATGCCTGTAATCCCAGCACTTTGAGAAGCCAAGTCGAGAGGATAGCTTAAGGCCAGGAGTTGGAGGCCAGCCTGGCCAACATAGTGAGACCCCCGCATTTCTACGAAACGTTTTAAAAATTAGCAGGGCATGGTGGTGAGCATTTAGCTACTCAAGACTGAGGTGGGAGAATCTCTTGAGGATCCTAGAAGATGGAAGCTGCTATGAGCCATGACTGCACTACTGCACTCCAGGCTGAGCAACAGAGGGAGACCCTGTCTCTAAAAACAAAACCAACCAACCAAAACACAAAAACAAATTGGCCGGGCGCAGTGGCTCACACCTGTAATTCCAGCACTTTGGGAGGCCGAGGCAGGCAGATCACGAGGTAAGGAGATGGAGTCCATCCTGGCTAACACGGTGAAACCCCGGATCTACTGAAAATACAACAAAATTAGCTGGGCGTGGTGGCGGGCGTCTGTAGTCCCAGCTACTCGAGAGGCTGAGGCAGAAGAATGGCGTGAACCCGGGAGGCGGAGCTTGCAGTGAGCTGAAATCGAGCCACTGCACTCCAGCCTGGGCGACAGAGAGAGACTCCGCCTCAAAACAAAACAAAAGCCAAAAATATTAAGGAGAGATGACCTATCTTTAAGTGAGTAGATTGTTTAATCATATGCTTTCATGTGTATTCTTTCTGGCAACAAGATCATAAGCCTTTCTGCTCCAGCATCAAGCCCAGTGCTTTGCAGTCAGGATTCTATAATACAATGAGAAAAACAGAAGTAATAAGACGTGAAAATCAACAGCAAATTATAACATGTTCATAAACAAGGTAGGTAACTGCTTTATGAATGCTATATATATGTTTTTTGGTTTGTTTGTTTGTTTTGAGACGGAGCCTTACCCAGGCTAGAGTGCAGTGGCGCGATCTTGGCTCACTGCAACCTCCGCTGCCCGGGTTCAAGCGATTTCTCGTGCCTCAGCTTCCGGGTAGCTGGGACTACAGGCACGCGTCACCACAATCGGCCAATTTTTTTGTATTTTTAGTAGAGATGGGGGTTTCACCATGTTGGCCAGGCTGGTCTCGAACTCCTGACATCGGGTGATCCTCCCGCCTAGGCCTCCCAAAGGGCTGGGATTACAGGCTTGAGCCACCGCGCCCGGCCTTTTAGGGCATATTCTGCTCGTTTGCATCCACTGCAAACTGGTAAATTAAACATTGACTAGCTCTAGCAGAGTTACTCCTGAGCCTGAAAAGCCCCTGCGGGAAGTCACAAAGCCCCCACATAAACTTGCTGTGTGGCACACAGCGTCGCCGCACCGCGCAACCAGGGAAGAGGGCTAAGGTGCGGGTCTCATCTCCCCTCCGCCCCCTCCCCAGAGCCGGTGCACTCAGCCCCCCTTCGCACCCGCGGAGGGGCGGGGCCGCGTACCGGAAGAGGCGGGGCCACCGGAGTGCCTAAGAGCTGTCTTCCGATGTCGCTCTTCCTTTCCCGCGCGACCGGCGAGGGAGGAAGAAGCGCGAAGAGCCGTTAGTCATGCCGGTGTGGTGGCGGCGGCGGAGACTGCGGGCCCGTAGCTGGGCTCTGCGAGGTGAGAGTGATCGCGGTCTTAGGTCCAACTCCTCTACGTGCCGGGTTCCTCCGCCATATGGGTGCCCAGCGCGGCCCCTGTCCCTTCCCCGGGCGCAGCGGAGCGGGCGGCTGCTGCGTAGGCCAAAAGGCTACGCTCCCGGTGCCCCCAAGGCCCACGAGCTTTCCCCACAAGCCATTTGCGCAGTCGCGTTTTGTGAGTAACCACCTGGAAGGCTTAGCTGACCTTTCTCCGTCAACACCGGTTCGCTGTCCTCTGCTCAGAAACTGGGCAAGGGCCTTCTGACTTAAGGAGGTGCCTGCAAGGGACCGTCGGGAGGCTTCGTGCTCCACCCGGTCTTGGCCAGATCTCTCTTGTGTCCCCAGCAAAGTTGTGCGTGCGGCCTTGGCGGTTTCAGGCTCTTAGGCAGCTTGTTTTCCTTAAAAGGGAGCGTTTTATAAATAGGAAGGTGATTATCCCTTAGGTGTCAGGACGACCCTTAGTTAACCGTACTTTGTGAGTGGCTTTGAAACTGTAATGAGCGCAGTTTACTGAGTCATTACTAGTCTCGACCCATTCGTAGAGCTAGTCAGTATTTGTTCCTGGACCTTCCTTCGTAATACGCGCTAAAGTCAAGGCATGGAGGTTGGAGAACAACACGTGCAAGTATAGGAGGCCCTTAGGCTAAATGCCTGCTACACACGGAGATGCTTGTATTTACATAGAGATGTGTATTTCTGGACATAATACAGAAGAAACCGGTCAGCAACTGGGAGGCTGGGAAAACCTGTTAGCTATTCAGAAACTTTTTTTTTTTTTTTTTTGAGCCAGAGTCTGTTCTGTCGCCCAGGGTGGAGTGCAGTGACGCGATCTTGGCTCACTGAATCCTCCACCTCCCGGGGTTCAAGCAGTTCTCTGCCTCAGCCTCCCGAGTAGCTGGGATTACAGGCGCCTGCCACCACGCCCGGCTAATTTTTGTATTTCTAGTAGAGACGGGGTTTCACCATCTGGCCAGGCTGGTCTTGAACTCCTGACCAGCCTGACCACTCGTGATCCACCCGCCTAGGCCTCTCAAAGTGCTGGGATTATAGGCGTGAGTTACCGCGCCCGGCCATAGAAACAAATTTTAAAATTTCATCAGTGAGACTTCGTATAGGTTTTTTTTTTTCTTCAAATTTGAAATGCATTGCTTCGTCTGAAATAATCATTAACTGTCAAGAAGACGAATGTCATGGCTTATCCTTGAAATATTTTAGGTATTATTATTTTTGAGGCTTCAGTAGCTTGAATTCTGTTTTCACTGGTAAGTGCTGGGACTTCTAAAAATTTTCAAACTAAATAATTGATAAAATTGGTAGTGCAGGAAAGTTCTGAAGCATAATACAAAAGAATCCACCGATACATTTGAGAACTATAATATTACCAATACTAGGGTATCTATTGTTTACATTTCCCTGCTTCCTATTCATAGGTACCCACCATTTGGAATTTTGTGCCCATCAGTCTTTTGGGTTTTGTGGGGGAGGGGGGTGGTGTGGATAGCTTTGTGGGGTTTTTTGTTGCTTTTTTGAGATGGATTCTCATTCCTGTCGTGCAGGCTGGAGTGCAGTGGCGCGATGTCAGCACACTGCAACCTCCATCTCCCAGGTTCAAGCGATTCTCCTTCCTCAGCCTCCCGAGTAGCTAGGATTACAGGCACCCACCATCATGCCCAGTTAATTATTGTATTTTTAGTGGAGATGGGGTTTGGCCAGGCTGGTCTAGAACTCCTGACCTCAGGTGATCCACCCGCCCCGACCCCACAAAGTGCTAGGATTACAGGCGGGAGACACCGTGTCCGGCCCATTTTTTAAGCTTTGTAAAGACAGGATTATGCATGTAGTTGTCTGTAGTTCCTGTGAATCATAATATTAAACTGAAACTTTTTTTGTTTCAGTTAATTTTTTTTGAATTATTCAAAACCAGTAGTTTATATTCCTAATACTGATTGTGTGAAACATTTTCAGCATTTCAGCACATGAAAATGATTGTTTTTGCAAGCTCCAACCTTGTATGTCTTCATAAATCATTTCGTATTGCTGCCTGGCTCAATGATTTATTCTCCTGGGCTGCTGTATGACATGATTTTTTGCCCCAGTCCATGTTCTTTGCAGTTTTTAGTTAACTTGGGACTTAATTTTACAGGAATGTGTCCAGTAAAAATGCCAATATAGGTATCCCTGCTCTGAAACTGCTAGGTTTGCCGTTATAATGTTTTTAGGTGAAGGTCTTCACGTTAGTTTTTATACATCTAACCTGGCTCATAGCTCATCCTTGTCGAGCTGTGAGACAGAAAAGCAACGGCTGTGTACTCACTATGACCATTATGTCTTAAAATCAAAACTGCCACAGTGAAGGATATCATGAAATGTTTCCACCATTTTCCTGCCAGTGCTAATGGCTCCTGTTTCCAGTTTGGAATAAGCTCATTTGTGGAAATACTAGGTACTAATGAGACAAACATACTCAGTTACAGAGGTTTGGGTTTGTCAGTACTGACTATCAAAAAAGCAGAAACAGGTAATAGAATAATAGTACTTTTTTATTAAAAAGTGGTTTGGGAGTCTGAAAGGTAGGTTGCAAGTACAGTTCCTAAAGGAATGAGATTCTCTTCTTGGACCATTCCTACATATAAGATGCCCAACAAAATGCAAATAAAAATGGGAATTCGAAATGTAATATTTAATTTCCAGGTGCAAGAAAGCCTTTGAGGTGAAGGTGTATGAAAGTCATCATAACAGATGTTTTCCAAAAACTTGTAGAAGGTTGTGAAAAAACTACTAGGATCACGCGGCATGTATTGAGGTACCTAAATTTAATTAATGTTAGTTATGTGATGTATTCTTGACAGATAGGTTTAATAGCTGGCACAATGATGACTTAAATTACTTTTTGCCGTTTACCCAGCTGAGGTTGTCTTTGAAGAAATAATTTTAAGACTGAGATGCCAGTACTGTACATTGATTAATTACTGACATGTATGTAAGGCAATAATTTAATTAAGGGTGAATATTCTTTGTTTTTAGCATATAGGTTGCTGTAGATGAATGTTCTTAGCTGTCATGTTTAAAAATACTTCTGCTTCGTTACCTCAAGTAAGTGATTTGTCAAGCAACTATGTCTGCTGACAGTTCAGAAAGTATCTGATAAACTTAAGGGTGGGGGCAGATTCTTGTTGAAGTTGCTTTTGCATGTGTGGTATTCTCAACATTAGTTTTTTGAGGGGCACTTGTGAATATTGAGGTTATATGAGAACTTTGAGTATGGAATGATTTTCACTGTGGTTTCTGACTTTGTTTTGGAGGTGTGGCATGCAGCATTTTGGAAGGAAAATTGAAGACGTGTTCAAGAAAACATGAACAGAAGCAAATGATGAAAATGAGCATTTTACTTGATGTTGATAACATCACAATAAATTATGGAGAAAAATACATATTTGGCTAACTTTTAATTGCTGAACAATAAAGTGTTTTCTTTTAAATCAACTCTAAATAGCTCCATTCTCATAGTCACTAGTCAGACCTGTTTTGAACATATTCGAAAGATTATAATCTTGTCAATAATTAGCTTATTTATGGGTGGTGATTCTCATTGAGGCTGACAGCTGGGGAGACATTGCTTGTACCTCTAGGTTCCCTGTCTGGCTTCCCCTTCAGAGCCTGCTGTTGTACCAGGTGGTTGAATCTTAAAACTCTTTAATACCAAATAGCAATCAAATTCCCCCTTACAGATAAAGGTTTCACCTTTTTTATTCAGTTTGCTTTCATCTTTGTGAACAAAAAAGTCATCCTAATACTAGTACATGTAATAACTAAGCAATATGCTATGTTAAGAGAAATGACTGAGCAGACCAGTCTGTCTAGGACTAAATTGGCAAGAATTCTAAAGCTGAATTTATATCTGGGTGAAGGTTTAGAGCTAAATCTTTTCTCCTGTTGAGTACTAGCTTATAAATTCCTTTTACCAAGGTTATAATTTTTATATGATAAATGGTATAAAACCTGTATAGCAACATCTTAGTCACTTCCCTCAGTATAGATTTGGGGGGTATAAGTGCAGTTCTGTTGCATAGGTATATGAAGTAGTTTGGAGTCTGAGCTTTTTGTGCAGCCATTACCTGAATGGTGTACATTGCACCCATTAATTTTTCGTCCTGCACCCCACCCCCTTCTAATTCTCCAATAACCTTTAAAATACCGTTGGCATATTTAATATTAATGAATTACCTCCCATAATTGTTTCTGAATGTACACTTCTACTCTTTAATGAGAAACTTAAACATTTTAATTTTTTTGTGGTGAAGTAACCATCTTTGAGACTGAGGTTGGGTTTTTTGAGCTGGGGAGATTAAGGTGGCAGTGAGCTATGATTGCATCAGTACACTACAGCTTGGGTGACAGCTACATATAAATATGTATATATAAATATAGATAAGTAAATAAAAGCCATCTTTGTGCCATGCATGGTGGCTCACTCCTGTAATCCCAACACTGGGAAGCTGAGGTACTGAGATGGGAGGATGACTTGAGACCAGCCTGGGAAACATGGCAAAATTCCATCTCTACAAAAAATGCAGAAGTTATCCCAGGGTGGTAGCATGTCCCTGTAGTCCCAGCTACTCGGAGGCCTAAGGTGGGAGAATTACTTGCAAGGTCAAGGCTGCAGGGAGCTGAGGTGGCGCCACAACCCTCCAAACGGTGACAGCCCCTGTCTCCAAAAAAAAAAGTTTTTAAACTTTCCAATTGTAAAAGGATCCTAGTTTTATAAAATAGGAATGTGTTTTGCCTTCCCCCCATAGAGAGCCAGACATGTTTGAAATGTAGTATTTGAGAAGCACAAAATAAACGTCTTAACATTATAGAACTGTAATATGTAAGTATTTTGTTGAAAACTACAGTCGCCAGTCGTGTTGGCTCATACCTGTTGTCTTAGCACTTTGGGAGACTGAGGCAGGCAGATCACCTGAGGTCGGGAGTTCAAGACCAGCCTGGCCAACATGGTGAAACCCTGTCTCTACTAAAAATACAAAAATTAGCCAGTCATGGTGGAGTGCACCTGTAATCCCAGCAGGAGAATCACTTGAACCCGGGAGGTGGAGGTTGCAGTGCCAAGATAACACCACTGCACTCCAGCCTGCATGACAGAGCGAGACCCCATCTCAAAAAAACAAAAAACAAAAACACTACCTTTGGCTTCTGAAAACTAATACTGTTTACTCCCTGCTACTAGTAGGTATTCAGTAATAGTGAACAACTTCCTCCGGGTCCTGTGGAGAGTGGGAGAGGTCCAGCTGTACAGTTAAGCATCTCTGTTAAGGGACCAGTTTTGAAAGAATTGATGCATGGTAACATCTTGGTTAATAAAGTGGCAATTTGGTAATGACATTTTGCTTTTCTGTGAATAGAACTGATCTTTTATTAAAGTTATGGAAACTGAACTAAAAAGGATTTATAAATTTTACAAGATGGATTTGTTTTCTCATGGTGCCCCTATCTTTTCAGAGCAGATATCTTCCCTCCAAAAATGAGGACTAGATTTGCAAGTTGGTTTCTTTGCCTTTTGGAGCCTTTCTTGTAACCAGTTAGGGTTAGAGAGCCAATTTATAAGTTATTGGCTCCTTGTTTCCGTGTAAAGTATTTTTTTCATTTAACCTAGCGTATACGTATGGAAAACTTCCAAGGCTTTTCCCGATTCCATATTTAGGGCTTCTAAAACAGTAGTATGTAATGGACAGGCCAGTAATAAAGTATGAAAAGGCCTTACATTTGAAGCTTCGGGTTATATAAAGTATTTACTCATCAGTTTAGCAAGTTCACAAGTGGAAGAAAAATGTTTTAGAGTAATTTGTAGGTAAAGAGTTATTGCCATCTTGTGACAGTAGAGTGAACTACATAAAGGTTGCCATTTTACACACTGCTCAAATTGCAACATTTACATTTTTATCTGTTCACCACTGGTATTCTGGGCTAACCAGGTTTTTCTTTATAGTATTCTCCTTGACAACTTTATCACTTTAAATTGTCCACATTGTTCTAAGTTTTAAAATTCTGTTGGTTTTAGAGGTTTGGATTAGTATTTATCCCATTAGCAATTAGTTTTGAGGGGACTATATTTTATATTTTTAAAAACAGTATTGTAATATATTCCTGTACAGAGTATTATCAAAGCATTACTTCAAAGTCACTCTCAAAATAGTCACACTTTTTCTCCACTGCTTAAGTAGGAATGAACAAAAATTCCTCAAATTGCTTATTCATCACTAGAGAAAATAGTTGTCCCAGGTCCATATGTGGCAATAAATTGTTCCAGCTGTTGTTGGCACTGAGTCAGATAGAGATCCCTTTGCTCTAAGTATTCTTCATTATACAGTTCAAATGGAAATACTGCATTCGGAGCAACACAAAATACAGTGGCCCCTAAATGAAGAAGATAATAGAGTGTAAATGACAAATACTCCTTAAAATGACAAGTATGAAATCACATTTTCAACCAAAATATTTTAATGGAATCTTAAAAATTAAGTCTGAGCCCATGTGGTTCTGTGAAAAATAAAAGTCAAAAAATTAAGTTCTGACCTATTCAGTAGAGTATTTCAATAATCATTATTGAAATCTGACTCTTGTTTTCTGAAACCCAGAAAGCAGGTTCAGTAAGTGCACACGCATTGGTACCAGGGCCAATGGAAGAAGTATGTTGATGTTTATATTTTAAAGTTTGGAACTAGAAACTTGCCTTCTACTGAAATAGTCATTATAGTTTTGAAGCTGATGAGTGATGTGAGGAGGTGACAGGAGTAGGGAGAAAAGGTACTGGAAGGTAAGAAATACTAATCTTTATTTGATAACGGCTAAGTGGACGATCAAAGATAAAGACATTGTAGTACATTTCTCAGTTGTTAAAACCATTCACATAAAGGCAGACAACATAAATCTATGGAAGGGTTTCAAGACCATTCTAGGGGAAAGGACAGATTCACTTTGGATTTGGCCATGATTTCCTGAATGTGACATCAAAAGTACAGGCACCAAAAGAAAATACACATAAATGGGACCATATCAAAATTTAAAACTGCATAAAACAATACAATCAACAGTGAAAAGGCAACCTATGGAATGGGAGAAAATACTTGCAAATCAAATCTCTGATAAAGGGGTCTATAAATCTACAGTAAGAAAATAATCATTAAAAAATAGGCGGAGAACTAATATCGTTTCTCTAAAGAAAAACAAATGACCAATAAGCACATGAGAAAGATGTTCAACATCACTAATCACTAGGAAAATACAAATCAAAACTACAATGAGCTACTACCTCACACCTATAAGGATTTATTATAAAAATAAAAAACAAAATGACAAGTGTTAGAGAGGATGTGGAGAAATTAGAAGCTTTGTGCACTGTTGGGAATGGAAAATGGTGCACCCACTGTGGAAAACAGGATGGCGGTTCATCAAAAAGAGTAAACAATTACTGTATGATACAGCACTTTCACTTCTGGGTATATACCCAAAAGAACTGAAAGCAGGATCTTAAAGAGATATTAGCACACCCACGTTCATAGCAGTGTAATTCACAATAGACAAAGGTGGAAGCAACAGAAATGTCCATTGACAGGTGAATGGATAAACGAAACATTCTATTTACATACAAAAGGATGTTATTCAGCCTTAAAAAGGAAGGAAATTCTAATACATGCATAATATGGATGAACCTTGAGAACATTATGCTAAGTGAAATAAGCCAGTTATGAAAGGACAAATGTATGATTCCACTTATATGAGGTACCTAGAATAGTCAAATTCATAGAGGCAGTAGAGTGATGGCTCCCAGGAGGAGTAGAGGAGGAAACGAGGAATTACTGTTTAATGGGTACGCAGTTTCAGTTTGGGAAGATGAAAAAGCTCTGGCGACGAAGGGTGGTGATGGTTGCCCAACAGTGTGAATGTGAATGTACTAAACACACTGAACTGAACATTTTAAAATGGTTAAAATAAGTAGATTTTATATTTTACTTCAATTTAAAAATTGACCATGAGGAGGTAAGCTCTTCTCTTTTATTCATTAATTCATTGAACAAGTACTTAATGTGACAGGCCAAGAGTACAGTTTAGCAACTGTGCCAAGCAGTGCCCACCTTCCTAGAGCCTCATAAGAACAGCCTCAGACTTCTGACTGCTTCCTTTCCTACCTGATCTTCTCTGAAAGCTTACTATCTCTTAAGAACACTGCTTTCCTTGTGCCTCTCCAAAATGAAGCTTTTTTTCCCCAAACATCCCATATACATAGTGTCACAAGACACAGTCAGAGCCTAGCTTGCTGCCCCTCTGCTGCTTCCAGACCATTCTTTCCCATGCTTCCCTTTTGGTAAAAAATTCTTTCTCCTTTGATGCTCAGTGCCACCTGGTTTTACTATCCTTCTCCTTCTATAGTCAACCAGCAGCTCTTAGCACTTTGCTCAAAATCTTCCTTTCTCCCCTAATACCTGACATTCAGTGATTTTCATGTGGATAACCCATTTAACTCCCTTGCGATGTCCCACCTTTCCCTTCCGCCTCAGCCATACATCCCACGGTCATAGGAAACTAGTATCACCAGAAACTTACTTCAAAACCTTGAGTTCCCACTTACTTCAAAACCACAACCCACTCCCCTACTCTACCTCCTATGCTTCCAGTTCACTTGCTCAAATGTTTCAGGTCTACAGAGACCCCCAGTCTGCTTCCTCTAATTCACTTCCTTCCTTAACCAGCTTAAAAGTCCCTCCCTTTAGCCAGTCCCTCCACTCCTTTGCCCCTCAGCACCACTCTGCCACACTCACCTATCAAAACCTCAACTCTGCACGAACCCAACCATTCATCTTGTGCTGGCACGAAGGCTGCTAGGCAGAAAATCACACAACTGGCATTTCTTCTTTTCCCTTTAAGTGAATCACAGTAACTCCAAACGATCACCTGCCTGGCAACCCTGCTGAGTTTCCCTCGGACACTTCTCTTCTAGCCCCCACAATAACTATTATATTCCATTCTTTCCTCCTCAAACCTTTCATTTTCAGCTGATGACATCAAGTAAAGTATATGGCCAGACTTACAAACCTACTTGGTTCTGTATCCATTTTCTTCCCATCTGTAAAATGGCCAATACATGTACCCTGGATCCTAACCCCTCTCACCTTTTTTGTACTTCACTTGTTGATCTTCCTGTCTTTCTATAGTGTTACTAGTTTACTCTTTACTGCACATCATATGATTTTATACCTTCTATCTTTAAAAAAAAAAAGTTCCTTCCTGAACCACACATCCTTCTCCAGCAATTCCCTCATTTCTTTCCTCATCTTCATAGTTTGTCTATGTGTGCTGTCTCCATAGCCTCATCTCCATTCCCACGCCACTGAAATATCTCTGATCATGGCTACCTACAACCTTTAGGTTACCAAACTGAATCTTACTCAAACTCTCAGTAGCATGTGATTCAGTTGACCACTCTGCCCCTTTCTGGAAAAACTCTCATTCTTAGAAAGAAAATCACACAACACTTGATTTTCTTTCTACATTCTAGGCTGCTTCTAAGCCTCCTTTGTTAGTTCCTCCTCCACAACCCCATTTATAAATATTGGAATCTTCAAGGGCAGTCCTGGGGTTCCCACTAGTCTCCATCTAGGTGATTTCATCCATTCCTTGGCTTTGAGTACCACCTCTATGCTGGTGATCCCTAAATTATATTCCTAGGTTAGAGCTTTTCTCTAAGCTCCAGATTCTTTTATCTCTCTATTGATATATCCGTAGGATATCTCCTTTAAAAAAAAAGTTATATATATACTCACACTTTTCCTCCACTGCTTAAGTAGGAATGAACAAAAATCATACATATATACATATATATAAATATATGTAAATATAAATATATAAATATATAAAACATATATAAATATATAAATATATATATAAATATATAAAACTTTTTTTTTTTTGAGACGGAGTCTGGCTTTGTCACCTAGGCTGGAGTGCAGTGGCATGATCTTGGCTCACTGCAACCTCTGCCTCCCAGATTCAAGCGATTCTCCTGCCTCAGGCTCCCGAGTAGTTGGGATTACAGACGCGCGCCACTACGCCCAACTAATTTTTGTCTTTTTAGTAGAGACAGGGTTTCACCATGTTGGCCAGGCTGGTCTTGAACTCCTGACCTTGTGATCTGCCCACCTTGGCCTCCCAAAGTGCTGGCGTGAGCCACCGCTCCTGGCCATTTATTTTATTTTTTTTAATTAGGGTCTTGCTATGTTGCCCAGGTTGGTTTCAAACTCCTGGGCTCAAGCAATCCTTTCGCTTTGGCCTCCCAAAGTGCTGGGATTACAGATGTGAGCCACTGTGCTCAGCCTATAGAATATCTCAAAGTTATATCTATAATTTGATTTTTCTCCCAGCTCTTTTTCTTTCTTTCTCCCCAATCTTGATAAATGGCATGATTATCCACCCAGCTACTCAAGGCAGAAACATGGGAGTTTTCCTTAATTACCCCCTCTCCTCCCTTCCGCTGCCCCCAACTCTTAAATCTAGTTCATGAGCACAACCTATTGGTTTGTGCATCTAACGTGTATCTCTAATTCACTAATTTCTTTCCATTTCTACTGACTCTACCTAGTTGAATCTCTCATTATCATCTAACTGGACTACAACAACTGGTCTCCCACTTTCTGCTCTTAACCATTCTCCATACCTCCAACCCATTCTCCATATCAACTCCAAACATGGTATTTCAAAAATATAATTGAACACATTAGTTCTCTGTTCCTCATTGCACTTGGATTACAATCCCAATTTTCTACCATGGTCTGTCTGGTCTTACTTTCCTCTCTAACCTCAACTACGATGCTTACTCGGCTTACTATGTTTTAGCCACCCTGGCCCTCTTTCAGTGTTTTGAAAACACCTGCATATGTGGTTCCCCTCTAATTTGACTTCTCATTCTTCAGCTATCTGCTTAAATAAATATCATTTCCTTAGAGAGGTCTCCCTAAAATCCAAAGTAAGTCCCTTCCATTGTTCTTTCTCATAACATCCTGTTGATTTTCTTCATAGCATCGATCTCAATTTGTATTATATATTCATTAGTGTCTTTAGTTTTTTTTTTTTTTTTTTTTTGGATACAGGGTCTTACTCTGTTGCCCAGGCTAAAGTGCAGTGGCATGATCATGGCTCATTGCAGCCTTGACCTCCTGGGCTCAAGCCATCCTCCCACCTCAGCTTATCGAGTAGCTGGGACTACAGGTATACACCATCACACCCATCTATTAAAAAATTTTTTTTCTGTGTAGATGGGAGGTCTCACCATGTTGCCCAAGCTGGTCTCGAACTCCTGGGCTCAAGTGATTCTCCTGCCTTGGCCTCCCAAAGTGCTGGGATTACAGGCATGAGCCATGATGCCCCACCATGTGTTTACTTTTTTTTTTTTTTTTTTTTTTTAGACAGAGTCTTGCTCTGTCACCCAGGCTGGAGGGCAGTGGTACGATCTCGGCTCACTGCAACCTCCACCCACCAGGTTCAAGCAATTCTCCTGCCTCAGCCTCCCAAGTAGTTGGGACTATAGGCACACACCACCACACCCGGCTAATTTTTGTATTTTTAGTAGAGATGGGGTTTCACCATTTGTCCAGGCTGGTCTCAAACTCCTGACCTCAAGTGATCCGCTGCCCCGGCCTCCCAAAGTGTTGGGATTATAGGCGTGAACCACTGCGCCCGGCCCATGTGTTCACTTTTTAATGTCTATTCTCTCACTAGGCTGTAAGTTCTACCAGGGCAGAGACTGCAACTTTTTTCACTACTATGTAACTAGTGCCTAGCACCTAGTTATCATTCAATAAATATTTATTGACTCACATATTGGAAAAAAGATCACGAATATTTAGTTCAAATAGTGATAATTATGAGGCATATTATGAGAACATATAACACACTATAATTTTAATACATCAATCCTCAAATTATAATTAACCTCAAATTACCTTTACAGTTTTACTTTAATATATACAGCCATACCTCAGAGATATTGCAGGTTCAGTTCCAGATCACCACAAAAAAGTGAATATCACAATAAAGCAAGCCACGTCAATTATTTGTTTTCCCAATGTACATAAAAGTTATATTTACCCTATATTGTAGTCTAAGTGTGCAATAGCATTATGTCTAAAAATAAGATGCAAACATACCTTAATTTAAAAATGCTTTATTGCTAAAAAATGCTAAAAATCATCCTCTGCCTTCAGAAGTCATAATCTTTTTGCTGGTGGAAGGTCTTGTCTCCATGTAGATGACTGCTGATTGATCAACATCAGCATACTGTTTGTTGAAGGTTGGGATGGCTGTGACAATTTCTTAAAATGAGACAACAATGAAGTTTGCTACATCAATTGACTCTTCCTTTCATGAAAGATTTCTTTGTAGCATGTGATGTTGGTTTTTTTTTTTGGTCATTTTTATTTTATTTATGTTTTTTATTACACTTTAAGTTCTGGGGTACATGTGCAGAACGTGCAGGTTTGTAACATAGGTATACACGTGCCATGGTGGTTTGCTGCACCCATCAACCCGTCACCTACATTAGGTATTTCTCTTAATGCTATCCCTCCGCTAGCTCTCCCCACCAACAGGCCCTGGTGTGTGATGTTCCCCTCCCTGTGTCCATGTGTTCTCATTGTTCAACTCCCACTTATGAGTGAGAACATGTGGTGTTTGGTTTTCTGTTCTTGTGTTAGTTTGGTGAGAATGATGATTTCCAGCTTCATCCATGTCCCTGCAAAGTACATGAACTCATTCTTTTTTATGGCTGCATAATATTCCATGGTGTATATGTGCCACATTTTTGTTATCCAGTCTGTCATTGATGGGCTTTAGGGTGATGTTGTTTGATAGCATATTTACCCACAGTGGAACTTCTTTCAAAATTGCAGGCAATCCTCTCAAACACTGCCACTGCTTTATCAACTAAGTTTATGGACTATTCTAAATCCTTTGTTGTCATTTCAACAATGTTCACAGAATCTTCCCCAGGAATAGATTCCATCTCAAGAAACCACTTTCTTTACATCCATAAGAAGCAACTTCTCATCCGTTCATGTTTGATCATCAGTCTATAGCAATTAAGTCACATCTTCAGGTTCCACTTCTAATTCTAGTTCTCTTGCTGTTGCCGCCACATTTGCAGTTACTTCCTCCACTGAAGTCTTGAACCCCTCCAAGTCATCCAGGAGGGCTGGAATCAACTTCTTCCAAACTCCTGTTAATGTAGATATTTTAACCTCCTCCCATAAATCATGAATGTTCTTAATCACATCTAGAATGGCAAATCTTTTCCAGAAGGTTTTCAATGACTTTGCCCAGCTCCATCAGAGGAATCATGACAGTGATGGACTTAAGAAATGTATTTCTAAAATAACAAGTCTTGAATGTTGAAATTACTTCTTGATCCAGGGGCTGCAGAATGCATGTTAGCAGGCATAATAACAACATTCATGTCCTTGTACATCTTCATTAGAGCTCTTGGGAGGCCAGGTGCATTGTCAATGAGCAGTAATCTTTTGAAGGGAATCCTTTTTTTTTTTTTCTTGAGACAGAGTCTCGCCCAGTCACCCAGGCTGGAGTGCAATGGTGCAATCTCGGCTCACTGCAACCCCCGACTCCCAGGTTCAAGCAATTCTCTGCCTCAGTCTCCTGAGTAGCTGGTATTACAGGCACCTGCCACCACACCCAGCTAATTTTTGTATTTTTAGTAGAGACAGGGTTTCATCATCTTGGCCAGGCTGGTCTTGAACTCCTGATCTAGGGTGATCTGCCTGCCTCGGACCCCCAAAGTTTTAGGATTACAGGCGTGAGCCACCACGCTCGGCCTCCCTCAGTAAATACTTCAAGAAAGTCTTGACAAAATAGTCACCGTACTAGTCCATTTTCATACTGCTATAAAGAACTGCCCAAAACTGGGTAATTTATAAAGGAAAGAGGTTTAATTGACTCACAGTTCAGCATGGCTGAGGAGGCCACAGGACACTTACAGTCATAGTGGAAGGTGAAGGGGAAGCAAGGCACCTTCTTCACAGGGCAGCAGGAAGGAGAAGTGCCAAGTGAAGGGGAAAGAGCCCCTTATAAAACCATCGGATCTCATGAGAACTCACTCACTACCACAAGAACATCACCCCCATGATTCAGTTACCTTCATTTGGTCTCTCCCTTGACATGTAGGGATTATGGGGATTACAATTCAAGATGAAGTTTGGGTGAGGACACAAAGCCTAACCATATCAGTCCACCCCAACCCCTCCCAAATCTCATGTCCCTTTCACATTTCAAATCCAATCATGCCTTCCCAACAGTCCCCCAGAGTTTTAATTCATTCTAGCATTAACCCAAAAGTCCAAGTCCAAAGTCTCATCTGAGATAAGGCAAGTCCTTTTCACCTATGAGCCTGTAAAATCAAAAGCAAGTTAGTTACTTCCTAAATACCACAGGGGTACAGGCATTGGGTAAATACACCTGTTCTAAATAGAAGAAATTGGCCAAAATGAAGGGGCTGCAAGCCCCATGCAAGTCCAAAATCCAGCGAGGCAGTAATTTTTTTTTTTTTTTGAGATGGAGTTTTGCTCTTGTTGCCCAGGCTGGAGTGCAATGGCATGATCTCATCTCACTACAACCTCCGTCTCCCGGGTTCAAGCGATTCTCCAGCCTCAGCCTACCAAGTAGCTGGGATTGTAGGCACCCGCCACCATGCCCGGCTAATTTTGTATTTTTAGTAGAGACAGAGTTTCACCATGTTGGCCAGGCTGGTCTCCAACTCCTGACCTCAGGTGATCCACCCGCCTCAGCCTCCCAAAGTACTGGGATTACAGATGTGAGCCACTGTGGCTGGCCAGTCAAATCTTAAAGTTCCAAAATGATCTCCTTTGACTCCATGTGTCACATCCAGATAATGCTGATGTAAGAGAGGGGCTCCCACAGCTTTGGGCAGCTCTGCCCCCGTGGCTTTGTAGGGCACAGCCCCTCTCCCCACTGCTTTCACAGGCTGGTGTTGAGTGTCTGCAGCTTTTCCAGGTGATGGTGCAAGCTGTTGGTGGATCTACCATTCTGGGGTCTGGAGGACAGCAGCCCTCTTCTCACAGCTACACTAGGGAGTACCCAGTGGGGACTATGTGTGTGGGAGGTCCAACCCCACATTTCCCTTCCTCACTGCCCTAGCAGAGGTTCTCCATGAGGGCTACATCCCTGCAGCAAACTTCTGCAGGGATATCCACACATTTCCACACTTTGTCTGAAATCTAGGCAGAAGTTCCTAAACCTCAATTCTTGACTTCTGTGCACCCGCAGGCCCAACACCACGTGTAAGCCACCAAGGTTTGGGGCTTGTACCCTCTGAAGCAACAGCCTGAGCTATACGTTAGCCCCTTTTAGCCAAGGCTGGGATGCAGGGCACCAAGTCCCGATACTTCACAAAGCAGGGAGGCCCTGGGCCTGGCCCACAAAACCATTTTTCCTCCTAGGCCTCTGGGACTATGAGGGGAGGGGCTGCTGTGAAGACCTCTGACATGCCCTGGAGACATTTTCCCCATTGTCTTGGTGATTAACATTTGGCCTCTTGTTACTTATGCAAATTTCTGCCCTGCTTGAATTTATCTCCAGAAAATGAGTTTTCTCCTTTTTACTGCATAATCAGGCTGCAAAATTTCCAAACTTCAATGTTCTGCTTCCCTTTTAAATGTAAGTTCCAATTTCTGATTATGTCTCTCAAGTTCAAAGTTCCACAGATCTCTAGGGCAGAAGCAAAACGGCGCCAGTCTTTCTCTTTGTAAAGCACAGCAAGAGTCACCTTTATTCCAGTTCCAAACAACTTCCTCATCTCCACCTGAGACCACCTCAGCCTGGACTTCATTGTCCATATCACTATCAGCATTTTGGTCAAAGACATTCAACAAGTCTCTAGGAAGTTCCAACTCTCCCACATCTTCCTATCTTCTTCTGAGCCCTCCAAACTGTTCCACCCTCTGCCTGTTGTCAAGTTACAAAGTCAAGTCCACATTTTTGGGTATCTTTATAGCAGCACCGCACTCTCTGCAGTACCAATTTACTGTATTAATCTATTTTCATACTGCTATAAAGAACTGCCTGAGACTGAGTAATTTATAAAGGAAAGAGGTTTAATTGACTCACAGTTCAGCGTGGCTGGGGAGGCCTCAGGAAACTTACAATCATGGCAGAAGGTAAAGGGGAAGCAAGGCACCTTCTTTCAAGGCAGCAGGAAGGAGAACTGCCAAGCGAAGGGGGAAGAGCCCTTATAAAACCATCAGATTTGTGAGAACTCACTCACTATCATGAGAATAGCATAGGGGAAACTGCCCCCATGATTCAGTTACCTCCACCTGGTCTCTCCTTTGACATTTGGGGATTATGGGGATTTCAATTCAAGATGAGATTTGGGTGGGGACAAAAAGCCTAACTGTGTCAGTCACTAAGTAAATATATTCAGCCATATGGCTGGGCGTGGTAGCTCACACCTGCAATCTCAGCACTTTGGGAGGCCAAGGAAGGTGGATCACTTGAGGTCTTGACAGTTTGAGACCAGCCTGGCTAACATGGCAACACCCCATCTCTACTAAAAATACAAAAATTAACTGGGTGTGGTGGTGCATGCTTGTAATTCCAGCTACTCAGGAGGCTGAAGCAGGAGAATCACTTGAACCCAGGAGATGGAGGTTGCAGTGAGCCAAGATTGTGCCACTGCACTCCAGCCTGGGTGATGGAGTGAGACTGTCTCAAAAACAAAACAAAACAAAAAACTCAACCATATTCTATCACAGGAGTCCTTAATATAATAATACTATAATTCTTCAATTCAAAGACATATATTTTCATCTTATTACCGTACTCCAGTTGTATCTTAACAATTGATGGCATGGCATGGTAAAATTGGCAGAATTTTTTCTTTACAGCACATAAAATAATGTGTCTTAGACTTAATGAAATGTGGTCTTAAACATAGACTAGGAGAAGCATGTAAAGATAAAGCAAATTGATAATCTTCAATAAACCTGACAAAAAACAAGCAATGGGGAAAGGATTCCCTATTTAGCAAATGGTAGTGGGAAAACTGGCTAGCCATACACAGAAAACAGAAACTGGACCCCTTCCTTACACCTTATACAAAAATTAACTCAAGATGCATTAAAGGCTTAAATGTAAAACCTAAAAGCATAAAAACCCTAGAAGAAAACCTAGGCAACACCATTTAGGACACAGGCATGGGCAAAGACTTCATGACTAAAACACCAAAAGCAATTGCAACAAAAGCCAAAATTGACAAATGGGATCTAATTAAGCTAAAGAGCTTCTGCACAGCAAAAGAAACTATCATCAGAGTGAACAGGCAACCTACAGAACCGGAGAAAATTTTTGCAATCTCTCCATCTGACAAAGGTCTAATATCCAGAATCTACAAGGAACTTAAACACATTTACAAGAAAAAAAACCCCATCAAAAAGTGGACAAAAGATATGAACAGACCCTTCTCAAAAAAAAGACATTTATGCAGCCAACAAACATATGAAAAAAAGCTCATCATCACTAGTCATTAGAGAAATGCAAATCAAAACCACAATGAGATATCATCTCACAACAGTTAGAATGGTGATCATTAAAAAGCCAGGAAACAACAGATGCTGGTGAGGCCGTGGAGAAACAGGAACGCTTTTACACCGTCGGTGGGACTGTAAATTAGTTCAAACATTGTGAAAGACAGTGTGGCGATTCCTCAAGGATCTAGAACCAGAAATACCATTTGACCCAGCAATCCCATTACTGGGTATATACCCAAAGGATTTTAAATCATTCTACTATAAAGACACATGCACACGTATGTTTATTGCAGCACTATTTACAATAGCAAAGACTTGGAACCAACCCAAATGCCCATCAATGATAGACTGGATAAAGAAAATGTGGCACATATACACCATGGAATACTATGCAGCCATAAAAAATGAGTGCATGTCCTTTGCAGGGACATGGATGAAGCTGGAAACCATCATTCTCAGCCAACTAACACAGGAACATAAAACCAAACACCACATATTCTCATTCATAAGTGGGAGCTGAACAATTAGAACACACGGACACAGGGAGGGGAACATCACACACTGAGGCCTGTTGGGGGTTGGCGGGGGCAAGGGGAAGGAGAGCATTAGGACAAATACCATGCGGGGCTTAAAACCTAGATGACAGGTTGATAGGTGCAGCAAACCGCCATGGCACATGTATACTTATGTAACAAACCTGCATGTTCTGCACACTTAACCCAGAACTTAAAGAGAAAAAAAAAATAGGTGGGACACGGTGGCTCACGCCTGTAATCTCAGCACTTTGGGAGGCCAAGTCAGGCAGATCACCTGAGGTCGGGAATTCCAGACCAGCCTGACCAACATGGAGAAACCCCATCTCTATTAAAAATACAAAATTAGCTGGGCGTGGTGGCGCATGCCTGTAATCCTAGCTACTCAAGAGGCTGAGGTTGCTTGAACCTGGGAGGCAGAGGTTGCAGTGAGCCGAGATCATGCCATTGCACTCCAGCCTGGGCAACAAGAGTGAAACTCCATCTCAAAAAAAAATAATAATAATAATAAATAATAATTTAAAAAAGAAATGCTAATTAAAAAAAGATAAAGCAAATTGAAATGAAAAACATATATATATCCTCCCTAACTATTATTTAGTATTGGTTGGGAACCAGCGTTATTCTCTTTTGGTAAATAAAACTAATTCAGGATGATATTTAACCTCTTTTAGGGGCCATAAATCTCTATTTCATAAAAATTAATGCTCTATGTTCCTCGGAAAAAAATGTATAAGGCACACACATGTGTACATTTGTATATTATTTAGGGATTTGCAAGCCCCTATACCAAGCATCTATGGATCCTAGATTAAGAATGCTTGACATTTATAGAACAAAGACAATTATAGAACAATTTATAGAACTTTAGACAATAATAGAACAAAGTTCTAATATTCGAATGGATCTCTGCAAACAGGTATTACAATATAAATGTAATTTAAAGCAAATGTAATCACCAGCACATACACACAGGAAAGCTAGTGTTAATACATTCTTTAAGTCCCAGGGCTGGAACCAAGGTTTGGTTTGAAGAATGGTATCGCTAATCAAAATTAATGTCTCATCTAATTCAACCAAGAACTTTGGGAGAATAACTCTCCTTTACCCTTACCTTAAAAACCTCTTTTGCGTGTTTATTAGCAAAAGCATAATAAGTGCCATTCATTTCAAAAAATTAAATGCTATAGACATAGTATTAAAACTAGTAATTCAGCAAAGGTGGTGATACAAGATAATCAGATTTTCTTTTCTTTCTTTCTTTTTTTTTTTTTTTGAGATGGAGTCTCACTCTGTCACCCAGACTGGAGTGCAGTGGTGCAATCTCAGCTCACTGCAACCTCCACCTCCCAGTTTCAAACGATTCTCTTGCCTCAGCCTCCTGAGTAGCTGGGACTACAGGCACCTGCCACCACACCTAGCTAATTTTTGTACTTTTAGTAGAGACGGGTTTTCACCATATTAGGCAGGCTGGTCTTGATCTCCTGACCTTGTGATCCATCTGTCTCGGCCTCCCAAGGTGCTGGGATTACAGGTGTGAGCCACCACACCCAGCTGATGATCAGATTTTCTTTTGCTATGTTGCCTAACTCCACTGTGGGGGATTGTTTGATACCTAAATGTTGCAAGTTATTTTAAAAGGAAGATAAATTAAAATCATTTTATGTGTTGTAGTAAGTACTTTTTCCCCCAGAATTCTTTAAGCAATGCAAATGTTCAAATATGAAAACAATCATGCATAATAAGGAATTTAATATCAGATGATGATACTACCCAGAAACAGTTAATAAATGCCCAAATTAAAACAGGCCTTACCTGGTAGAGATTTGTTATTCTTTAAAATAATATTTTAAAAATATATGTAACATTTTAATTTAACCAACTAAGAATATTTAAGGTTAAATAAAAGTTATTTGTAGTGATCATTAATAATTTAATTCATTACCATATTTCAATGTGAGGGATGTTTCAAATAGTAAGGCTGCAATCAGCACATCTTCTTTAAGCACTTTGTTCCTTAAGTTCAGTCGTGCATGGGCTTCAGATAGGAAAACGCTAAAAAAGAAAATAGTTGCCAAAGAAAATATGTTGATATTATAAAAATAATATATATTTTGGCAGGAACAAATCGAGATATATATGAACCTTAGCCACACCTAAAGCATATTCTTACTTTAAAAAAATTTTTAGTTTCTTTTCAAAGGATTTTTTTTCCCCACCGACTTAAATAGACTGTTCCAGAACAAGCCAGTATCCTTTTGGTTTCCATCCTGGCTTTTATTTATCATTCCACACTCCCCTCCCGAAGTTTTGTTCAGATAAATACACAGTTGGGAAAATTAATCTAACTAAATATCTTTTACAGACAAATCCTTGACTTTTTCTTTTAGTCCTTCATTTATCTAAAATCCTCATAGATTTGCAAGATTTTTGTTTGCAATTTCAGCATTGGAAGAGATCTTGGAATTCAAAGTTCAAACTTTCATCAGAAAACTAAATTTCCTCTACAACATCCTGGGCTATTCATTTTCCAGTCTCTTTTGGACCTCTCCTAGCATTCATGGCTTCATGAGGCAATCCGTTCCTTTATTTTTAATTTTTTAACCAGCTTCCATTACTTGAAAGATCTCCTTCAAGCAAAAGTGATGTATCTGAATGACTGCTGAACTTGGGAATCAGAAAACCTAGGCTGAGTCTCTAGAATTTACTAGCTGTATTACTTTGTATAAATCATTTAATGTATGAGATTTTTTGAAACTCAGCTGTAAAAGGCAGATAAGTAAAGGCATTTGAAAGTTTTGCAACTAACTATAACCATAACTAACTATAACCAAGATTCTATCAATCTAAGCTAAAATTAGTTTCACTGCAATTTCTACCCACAGGTCTCTTGTTCTGTCTTCTGAGACCTCTTAATATGATGCTCTTCAGATATGCAAAGATAACTTTTTGATTGCTCCGTGTTTTCTCTCCTCCAAGTTAAATATTTCTAGTTCCTTTACTATGCTATGAGACATAATTTTCAGCTCCTTACCATGATGGCTACTCTCCTCATGACCTAATTTGGTTAATACTCCTTTTCAGTGCAGTACGACAGCAGTTTTGACCATCACATTAGAGATAAGGCATAACTAGCATTTTGTTGCTCTTGATATATATTCTATTAATATGACCCCAACTCTCAGTATTATTAATAGCCATATTACATTATTTACTCTTATTAAACATAAAAAGAATGAAATATCAAATCCTTTTCATATCTTTTCATATTAAGCCACATTACCATTTTCTCATCAATTCACACTTATACTAGGGAGTCTGGGCATCTAACAGAGGGCTTTACATTTATCCTATTAACTTTCTTCTTTTAGATTAAGATCACAGTTCAAGCTTGTGAAGTTCTCTCCAATATTGCTCATTTATAAATGTAATTATCATGTCTCTGATATCCTCATCCAAGATCCTTCTAAAAATGTTGACCGGGACAGAATATGTATAGAGCCTTTAGAAAGTATTGTTCAGCTCCACTTCTCTAGAAAAGCAAAGATGCTTGTGATTAGGTACCTGTCTGTAGAAATGGCAAAAAAATTCAAGGTTTATGACTCTTCTAGCTAGGGGTTTATTTACTCTGCTGTTTCACAAACCACCCTTAGTATTTATTTCTACAATGCGAAAAAGTAGAGTTATCATATTAAAATTAACTACTTTATTTTTGAAATAATAGCTGCATCACAGCTTCACTGTGTTGTGATGTAGCAGTACCATAGTTTAAACAGTCCCCTACTGATAGACCATTTCTTTATTTGATATAGTATTAAAGTGTAATCTCAAAATAATTGTTAAGTAGAACCAGGAGTAAAATAATTCATTAAATAAATAAATAAATATATTGTTACAACTGCAATATAAAATAAGACAGATGAAGAACTGGCAGAAAATGTCAAGTATAAATCTGTAAGATTTAGACATGTTTAGTTAATTTCCCCAACTGTATATTTATCTTCATAGAGCTGAAAAAATGCTAAAGATAAGCCAAGTAGAAGTCAACTCTTTGATAAATGTTTCAAAATGGAAAACAGAATTACATAATGCTTTCTGTTTCCTGAAGTAACATTTAAAATACTCAGATCAAATTACACTGTTTGCTTTTTTTTTTTTTTGAGACAGTTTCACTCTTGTTGCCCAGGTTGGAGTGCAATGGCCCAATTGCAGCTCACTGCAACCTCCGCCTCCCAGGTACAAGTGATTCTCCTGTGTCACAGCCTCCCAAGTAGCTCAGATTACAGGCATGTGCCACCATGCCTGGCTCATTATTTTGTATTTAGTAGAGACAGGGTTTCATCACGTTAGTCAGGCTGGTTGTGAACTCCTGACCTCTGGTGATCCACCCAACTTGGCCTCCCAAAGTACTGGGATTACAGGTGTGCACTACCGTGCTTTAAGAGTTCTATTTTCTCATAATGTTCTTTTCTCTATAGTAAAAATATGTTTTGTATTTGAACTCACATAGTCTCAGTTTACATATGAAAAGATATATGTATATATATATATATATATATATATATATATTTTTTTTTTTTTTTTTTTTGAGACAGAATCTTGCTCTGTCGCCAGGCTGGAGTGCAGTGGCACAATCTCGGCCCACTGCAACCTCCGCCTCTGGGGTTCAAGTGATTCTCCTGCCTCAGCCTCATGAGTAGCTGGGACTACAGGCATGTGCCACAACGCCAAGCTAATTTTTTTTGTATTTTTTTGGTAAAGACAGGGTTTCACCATGTTGGCCAGGCTGGGCTCAAACTCCTGACCTCAGGTGATCGCCCCACCTTGGCCTCCCAAAGTGCTGGGATTATAGGCATGAGCCACTAGGCCAGGCTTTTTTTTTTTTAAATTGAGAAGGGGGTTTCACTCTGTCACGCAGGCTGGAGTAAAGTGGCATATCTAGGTGCTCTGCAACTTCCGCTTGATGGGCTCAAGCAATCCTCCCACCTCAGCTTCCTGAGTAGCTGGGACTACAGGCACCTGCCACCAGGCCCAGCTAGTTTTTTGTATTTTTGGTAGAGACAGGATTTCACCATGTTGCCCAGGCTGCTCTGTTTGTTTGTTTGTTTGTTTTAAATACAGATGAGGTCTCACTATGTTGCCCAGGCTGTTCTTGAATTCTTGAGCTCAAGTGATCCTCCCACCTCAGCCTCCCAAAGTGCTAGGATTACAGGTGTGACCCACTGCACCCAGCCCTGAGGCTGGTCTTGAACTGAGCTCAAGCCACCCACCTGCCTCAGCCTCCTAAAGTGCTGGGATTACAGGCATGAGCCACCGCGCCTGACCAACACCCATATTTTTTTTCTTTTTTGAGACGGAGTCTCACTGTGTCGCCCAGGCTGGAGTGCAGTGGCATGATCTCAGCTCACTGCAACCTCTGCCTCCCGGGTTCAAGCAATTCTCCTGCCTCAGCCTCCCAAGTAGCTGGGACTACATGAACGCACCACCACGCCTAGCTAATTTTCTGTATTTTATTAGAGACAGGGTTTTACTGTGTTGCCCAGGCTGGTCTTGAACTCCTGACCTCAGGCAATCTGCCCTCTCGGACTCCCAAAGTGCTGGGATTACAGGTGTGAGCCACCGTGCCCGCCCAACAGCCACATTTTTAAAAACAAGGATTTGCATTTGAAATCAGTGCACTTTTCCCAGACATATCTCATATGGCATCCAATAAAAATCAGTTTAGTAAAAAAATTATTAGAGATTAAAATGATGTAACATGATATAACAAAAGGAATTGTGAAGCCTTTAGTCCTTTTGGAACAAGGCCATTTACAAACCAACCAACTAGCAATCAAGCAGAGAAACAAGTGAAATAGGTAAATTAGCAATTTAATTAAACATATCATTTGAAACTCAATGCTGATTTTAAAATCTTGAATTGAATACCTACAGATATTTTAATGCAGATGCTGACAGCTTTGATCCACATACAGAGCCTGTTCTGATTCTGCGACTTGCTAGATAATAGCCATGGGTCATTCTTTCTGCTTCCAAGCTGAATTCTACATTCAAATTCTTTGCAAAAGCCAATAGCTAAAAAGTGTGAAAAATCCAAGATAATCAAGCTTTATTATGGAATCAATATAACAGAAATCAAAAGTATACTGGCACTTTATTTTTACAAGTTTGCATATTTTATTACATAAAAAAGAGTAAATGTCTGGGGCCATCTTGAAGTCACTGAACACTTTAAATCACAGTGTTATACTTGTAAACGATATTAAAGTTTACCCAGAATAATCTCCTCCCTCTCAGTGCAGAAATGTTCTGTGCAATATATTTGAATGACTTTACAACGTCTTTGCTCCCAGTTAAAGGCTCACCTCCCTCAGAAGCTAACTTTCCTTTGAATAGCTTTAATTCTCTGACAGTTTTTTCCTCGTAAGTTTCTCTCATTGGCCTAGAGCTACTTGCCCTCCTTACTTCCCTTCCTTCCTTTTAAAGAACACAACGTTTGGTATGAGGGGAAACATTGTGTTAACTGCTTTGAAGGTGGGCTTTGGTGATTTAGTAAGATTTGGGTAGAGAATAATTCTGCAACACATGATTATCACTGTTTTTTTTGAGTTTTGTGCTTTTCTTTTCTTTCACAGTCAGTGATTCCTAGTTCCCAAAGTTCTTCTCTGTGACGTAATTTCCAAATTTTTTACTATCCTAGTTATTTTCTAGTTTTTTCAATTCAGATAACTGCAGGAAAAATTAACTATAATAAGGTTACTGTTTTTTTTCTGACACTACCTACACCTGGAGAAAGGTTGCTATTAACTATAAAATTTATATGTTTTTTTTTTATTTATTTTGAGAAGGAGTTTCGCTCTTGTTGCCCAAACTGGAGTGCAATAGCGCAAACTCGGCTCACTGCAACCTCAGCCTCTGGGGTTCAAGCGATTCTCCTGTCTCAGCCTCCCGAGTAGCTGGGATTATAGGCGCGTACCACCACGCCTAGCTAATTTTTTGTATTTTTGGTAGAGATGGGGTTTCACTATGTTGGCCAGGCTGGTCTCAAACTCCTGACCTCAGGTGATCCGCCCACCTCGGCCTCCCAAAGTGCTGGGATTACAGGCATGAGCCACCGCGCCTAGCCTATTTTATTTATTTATTTTTGAGATGGAGGCTTGCTCTATCGCCCAGGCTGGAGTGCCGTGGCACGATCTCAGCTCACTGCAAACTCTGCCTCCTGGTTCAAGTGATTCTCCTGCCTCAGCCTCCTGAGTAGCTGGGACTACAGGTGTGTGCCACCATGCCCAGCTAATTTTTTCTTTTGTTTTTTTTTGTATTTTTAGTAGAGACAGTTTCACCATATTGGCCAGGCTGGTCTCGAACTCTTGACCTCAGGTGATCTGCCCGCCTCAGCCTCCCAGAGTGCTGGGATTACAGGCGTGAGCCACTAGGCCCGGCCTAAAATTTATATTTTAAATTTAACTTTTAAAAAAGCATAGAGACAGCTGGGCACGGTGGCTCACACCTGTAATCCCAGCACTTTGGGAGGCCGAGGTGGGTAGATCACGAGGTCAAGAGATTGAGACCATCCTGGCCAACATGGTGAAACCCTGTCTCTACTAAAAATACAAAAAAATTAGCCGGGTGTGGTGGCGGGCACCTGTAGTCCCAGCTGCTCGGGAGGCTGAGGCAGGAGAATCACTTGAACCCAGCAGGCGGAGGTTGCAATGAGCCAAGATGGCGCCTCTGCACTCCAACCTGGTAACAGAGCGAGAGAAGAAAAAAGAAAAGAAAAGCATAGAGACATGTCCTAGATTGGACATGTCCTGGATTGGATGTATATCCTGGCTTCTTTGTTTTCTTTATTCTCCACAACTCTCTCCAGGCTTTCAGAACTGGATATACTATTAATAGCATCAATAACCCTCTCTAAGTTCTCTCTAAGATGGCATGATGATGAGCCACCAATATCCTCCTTCAGGAAAGGACTTGTTGCCCCAGCTACTGAGAGTGCTGTCAGCCCCTTCAGGGATTGCCTCAGGACAGTCCACATCACATGAGTAATTGAGGCAGAAGTCGGGGAGGACATTATAAAGTCCGTAGGTATTGACAGAAAAGCCCTCTCAAATACACATTGGCACACTAAACTCCATCTCAGTCTGTGTTCTGGAGAGCTCAGGCTGCAACAAATTCCATCCACTTTGATTTGTGTAATAGACAGATTTATCTTCCAGAGAAACCATTTTTACTATTTCACTTTTTACTATTTTACAGTTCACTCTACAACTGTTCTCTATAGTCTGACAAACCAACTATAAAATCTTTTGCCTGTGCAAGACTTATTGTAAATATGCCAAAATCCTATGACTCCAAAATACAATTTTTGCTCCAGTCAAGCTGGTCTTATCGTTTTCCATGTACACTAATTTCTACTTTTAAGTCTTTACTCCTACTGTTAATTCTACTTGGAACACCCATCCTTTGTGCATCTAAATTTTACCCTTTCTTACAGCCCAACTAATGTCCAGCCTCCTCCATGAAGTTTTCCCAGCTTCTGCATTCTACATGGGTATCTTCCTTTCTGAATTCCTAAAATACCTGAGTCAGCACCACTTAGCTTAGCACTTAAATTGTTCCTTAACTATTTTATGTATCTTTTTTTTTTTTTTTTTTTGAGACGGAGTTTTGCTCTTGTCGCCCAGGCTGGAGTGCAGTGGCGCAATCTCGGCTCACCTCAACCTCCGCCTTCCGGGTTCAAGCGATTCTCCTGCCTCATCCTCCCGAGTAGCTGGGATTACAGGCATGCGCCACCATGCCTGGCTCATTTTGTATTTTTAGTAGAGACGGGGTTACTCCATGTTGGTCAGGCTGGTCTCCAACTCCCTACCTCAGGTTTCTGCCCTCCTCGGCCTCCCAAAGTGCTGGGATTACAGGCGTGAGCCACCTTGCCTGGCCTATATCTTGTTTTTAATCTCAATTAAATGATAAACTAAAGAGAAAGTTTATATATCTATGAGAATATAAAAGAATGGAAATAGGCTCATATTTGTGAAGTATTCAGTAAATACCTGAATAATTAATAAATCTAGATTGTTTTGGCTTCTCAGGTAAAAAAATGGGCAACATTTGTCAGGGCCATTAGCCTGTCCATATTTAGTACCCTAACTCCTACAGACTACTTTTTTCCTATATAATAAAACCAAAACCAAAACCTTATTATATTATAAATATTATTCTTTTTTCTATTCTAATCTATGTGAATAAACAATATTCATAATTCATTTTTAAGACGATTTCGCCTTTCAACCTTTTACTCATGCAGTATGCTCACAAGGAAGATAGATATGAAAAAAAATTTTAATGACTCAGACCTCCACTTTCTGATATTCCCTGCCTTTTATCTATCATACCCAGACAGGTGAACTCTACTTGGACAGATTTTTGAGTAGTTAAAAAGGTTTCAGTTGTAAATATGTGAGTACCTTTAATAGCTATGAGAATTATTACTAAATTTACATCACTTACTCTCAGGTTCTCTGAACATGTCACATATGTTTTGATAATGTCAGGGTAATTAATTAAAATGGGTTAGTGAATCATGCTATATATCCCCTAAAGTCAGGACTCGAAGGTATTCATCTAAGGACAATCCCTTTGAATAGACAGTAAAATGCAGATAACTGTATATAGCCTATTATAATTTTCTATAGAAAAATTCTATGTTGGTTTTCTTTCGTTGAGATTCTTTCAGCTGTGCTGATTTGGACAATGGTACAAAAATAAAACTGAAAATTTTAATATTCATTACCTAACACAGTTGTTTCTTTAATTATAGCCCTAAATAATTCTAAATAATTTCTTTCTTTTTTCTTTTTTTCTTTTTTTTTTTTTTGAGACAGGGTCTTACTCTATCACCCAGGCAGGAGTGCAGTGGTGCGATCTCGGCTCACTGCAACCTCCAACTCCTGGGTTCAACTGATTCTCCTGCCTCAGCCTCCCGAGTAGCTGGGATTACAGGTGCCACCACCACGCCCAGCTAATTTTTGTATTTTTTGGTAGAGACGGGGTTTCACTGTGTTGGCCAGGCTGGTCTCGAACTCCTGGCCTCAAGTGAGCCACCCGCCTGGGCCTCTCAAAGTGCTGGGATTATAGGCATGAGCCACCACACCAGCCTAACCCTAAATAACTTCTATGCAATGTCCTTAAAATGTTTAAAAGCTGGAACCAAGATGGAATAAAAGAATCCTAAATAAAGAAAATCCAGCACTCAAAAGGACTTCTATATAATTTGAGAAACATTAGCACAGGCATTCTGGGTAACCGTTTTATCCACCTTTACCTTTTCAAAATCTTCAGTTGTGAACTGTCTAGAAGCCGCATAAAACAGCCCTTCAGGATTAATGGCTTTGTTCAAAGTGTGTTGCACAGTAGGAAGAAATGGGTGGCAGGGAGATGACTCGTTGCAGTTAATCAATAAACCAAATGCCTCCACAAGGTTAGCTGGAATCAAACTGCAATCCTACATCAAACCAAAAGGTAACAGGCAAACATTAAACTTTGTAATTTTCACAATTTGGAAATAATTAATTACAAAGTAATTATTATATGTTGTTATTATTAAAGTTATTATTTATCATATTAATTATAATTTAAGGTAATTTTTTAATAATCTGGGAACTTTTTAGTGATTGATTTTTTTAAAGCCTCTTTAGTGAGTATTTTCTTATACATTATTCATTAAAGACTCTCTAGTTACCTATTCAAATAGTAATTTCCAGTGAGCAGATATCTGATCTACATGGTTAAAAAACATTACAATTTTTAAACAACTGGGTCATCATGTAGTTCTGGTACTCAATAAAGTATAGAAACAGGTTAATAACAAAAATATTA
Source organism: Homo sapiens (assembly GCF_000001405.40). Lineage (NCBI taxonomy): Eukaryota > Metazoa > Chordata > Mammalia > Primates > Hominidae > Homo > Homo sapiens. The sequence continues at coordinate 66,896,405 of NC_000008.11, read as the reverse complement.
AGATGTATTAAAATTTATGACTTTATTCCTTGAACAACATTCTAACAATAAAATATACATATACCTTACCATCTGACCAATTAGAGTGTTGATTTTCTGTGCATTTCTCCTTGAAGATGAATCCACATCAACAAAAGACCAAAAACTGCACTGAACTGGAAAAGTCATCTGTTGATCAATATCCTCCCCAAACTTCTTTCCTGGGATGTACACTGTGATGCTTCTGCTCTCCAGAACTAAGTCAGAAGACATTATCCATTTGTTATTTAAGTTCATTTTGGTCTAAATGTCTACAAATTGCTAACACATTATTATATATAATTATACTGTGTAGACTTTGGATAGTGAAAGAAAGTAAATTTGACTGTTTTGCAAGACAATGCTCTAAGTTCTGCCATAAAAAATATGTATTTGAAGCCTTATGTGTCCCATGACTTGATGAGAACCAGGAGTCCAAAGCACGTAGCTGGAATTGTGGCTGGGCACCTGAGTGGACTAGGCAGGGGGCTAAGAGATTGGTCATATAATACAGACTTACAAGAGAGGCTAAAATTAAATCCTGTTCTTTTATGTGGGGAAAATGATAGAAAGCAGGCCATCCATGTGGGAGTGAGAGAGGAAAAGACAGAGATAATATGAACTACAATGACTGGGGGGAAATATATCTCAAATTCAACATGTTCAAAGCCAAATTCATTGTCCCCTCACCTCCCACTTAAAACCCAAACAAAAAATATGGAGCACTTTGGGAGGCTGACACGGGGGGATTGCTTGAGCCCAGGAGTTTGAGACCAGCCTGGGCAACGTGGCAAGACCCTGTTACTACAAAAAATTAGCCAAGCATTGTGGGATGTTACCGTGGTCCCAGCTACTTGGGAGGCTGAGGTGAGAGAATTGCTTGAGCCCAGGAGTTGGAGGGTGCAGTGAGGTATGATGACACCATTGAACTCCACCCTGGGCAACAGGGCAACAGAGTAAGACCCTGTTTCAAAAAAAAAAAAAAAAGAAAGAAAGAAGAAGAAGAAGGAAGAAGGAAGAAGGAGAAGAAGAAGAAAGAGGCCAGGGCCATTGCGGAGGACCACATATCATTTGATTCCATTTATAGTCAGCCATCTATATCCAAAGGGTCTGTCTGCATCTGTAGATTCAACCAACCACTGATGAAAAATATTCAATAAATAAATAAAACAATAACAACAATAAAAAACAACACAGTATAACAATTTGCAAAGCATTTACATTGTATTGACTATTATAAGTAATCCAAGGATGATTTAAAGTATATGGGAGGATGTGCATAGATTATATGCAAATACTCTGCCATTTTATATAAGGGACTTGAGCATCTGTGGATTTTGGTATCTGCAGAGGCCCTGGAACCAACCCCTGGAGAATACTGAGGGAAGACTGCCTATGCAATGTTCAGAATAGGCAAATACACAGAAACAGAAAGCAAATAGTGTTTGCCAGGGACTGTGAGGGAGTAGGTGACGGGAGGCAGGGACTGGGGGTTGACTGCTAATGGGTATGGGGCTTCCTTTTGGGGTGATGAAAATATTCTGAAGTTAGTGGTAATAGTAGCACAACTCTGTGAATATTCTAAAAAGCACTTAACTGTACACTTTCAGTGGGGAATTGTATGATGTGTGAAATCTCAATAAAACTGTTACAAAAAATGTAATAGTAGTATTGCCATTCTAAATAAAGAAAAATTAAAATTTTATATTGACATAAATTTTACCTTTTATCTTTATATTGTACAATACTTTTATCTTTATATTGTATAATGCAAATATATGGGCATTTACCTCATAAGTGGAACCAATAGTATTTTGCATATGCATATGTATTTTGTTTTTACCAGGACAGTGGAAATGCTGCACAAAACAATTTTTATTTTACTTCTTGATATGCATACATTTCACCAACACTCTCTACCTTCAGCTTACTGATAAGTGAGGAAGGACTGAAAAGACAAGGAACTATGGATTTGCCCTATCTTTCCCTTTCCTCCTGTGTCATTTTCAGTGTAAGTGGTTGGCAAATACAGGGAAGCAACCAAGTAAGAAAGAGTATGATATGGCTACTTGGTCATTTGTGTTTCTTGAAAGGCCTTTGCCTTCTTTCTGTATTAGAAGTACACCTAGTTCAAATGAAAAGCATGGCCACTTGGGGTTATTAGCATTCCCTCTTACTCAGTTGAAAATGTGTTGATATGGAAATATAAGCACTGGCTTATAGTGCACCCATGACACATGGGAGTCCAGCAACAATCAGAGAAAGTACAAATTAAGTGTGTTATGAATGCTGCATAGTGATCACAAATGCTGTATGAAATAGGGCAGTAAGGCACAGTAAAAACAGGCATCCATGTGTCTCCTCTACTCACAGTCAAGTGCCATTATCTCGTTGGACTTCCTTACAATACAAAGATAAAATTATTAAAAATTGAATATGATGACAGCAGAGTTTTAAACCAAATGCCAAGTTCTTGTGGGGAGAGGACATACTAGCAGGGCCAACTTCACGAGTGTGGAACCAAGTGCAGTTGTACCGAGGCCCTCCTCTGTAGCAGCCAGATGTTCCACCATCCTTTGATGAAAAAAACTCCTTTTCCCACTGACTAGCTTTGGTGCTGTAGTCAAAAATCAACTGACCATAAAATGTGGGTCTAGTTCTACACTCTCTGATATGGGTTGGCTCTGTCCCCACCCAAATCTCATCGTGAACTCCCACGTGTTGTGGGAGGGGCCTGGTGGGAGGTAACTGAATCATGGGGGCAGGTCTTTCCTGCACTGTTCTCATGATAATGAATAAGTCTCACAAGATCTAATAGTTTTAAAACGGGGAGTTTCCCTGCACAAGCCCTCTTCTCTTGTCTGCCACCACTTGAGATGTGCCTTTCACACTCTACCATGATTGTAAGGCCTCCTCAGCCATGTGGAACTGTAAGTCTAATAAACCTCTTTCTTTTGTAAATTGTCCAATCTCAGGTATGTCTTTATCAGCAACATGAAAACAGACTAATACACCCTCATTTTGCTTTTATTGCTTTTTTTTGTAGAGATGGGGTCTCAGTGTGTTGCCCAGGATGGTCTAGAACTCCTGGCCTCCAGCAATCCTCTTGCCTCAGCCTCCCAAAGTGCTGGGATTCCAGGTGTGAGCCACTGGGCCCAGCTAATTTCTGCATTCTCTTATAAAGTGAAGCAATATGCTATGTGCCCTGAGCACACTTATACATTCATGCTGGTATGCCAAGAAGGCAAGGTTCTGACTACTCTTTGCCCAGTCCATGGCTGTCCATATCCTTGCTAGTTATAAATCTTGCCCAACCAGTATTACTCTAATACAGAACCAGACAACGACATTATAAGGAAAAAACCCTACAGACCAATATCTCTCATGAACATAGATTTAAAAAATCCTCAACAAAAATAATAGCATATCAAATCCAACAATGTAGAAAAAGAATTATACACCATGACCAAGTAAGCTTTATCCCAGGTATGCAAGGCTGGTTCAATATTCAAAAATCAATTAATGTAATCCATCATATCAACAGGCTAAATGAGAAAAATCATATGACTGATGATGGCAGGAGGCAGACAGGTTCCTGGGCAGATAGGGGCAGGTCCCTGGTGGAACCCAACCTTCAGGCAGGAGACAGCCTGAAGCCTGAAAACCAGGCTGCCAGTTCTGGGTGGAGTCCACCACCTGGAGTGAGAACTTCCTTGATGCCTTTCAGCCAATCAGATGGTGCTTTTTCTGGGCCCACCCATGGACCAATCAGCATGTACTTCCTCCATTCTTAGCCCATAAAAACCCCAGACTCAGCCAGACTCAAACACAGGTTGGGACTACCCGCCTGGGGGTACGAGCTACCCACTTCAGGTCTCCTGTCCACTGAAAGCTGTTCTGCCATGCAATAAAACTCTTCTCCACCTTGCTCACCCTCCAGTTGTCCACATAAGCTAATTCTTCCTGGACGTGGAACAAGAACTTGGGACCTGTTGAATGGCAGGTGTGAAAAGGGCCATGACATTCTCCTGGCAGGCTTGCTGAGCTGCAAGTGGGAGCAAAAAGGGCTGTAACACTTTCCTAGCCAGCTCACTGAGCTGTGAGTGGTGACACACTCTTGTTTGCTGGACTGCAGGAGTGAAGAGCAATGACCCTTCTGGAGGCCCAGACCTCAGGATTTCCTGAGTCAGAGCTGTAACACTATAATCCTCTTGCCTTCTGCCAGCCTTGGGTGGCTGCCCCACAACAGAAAGTGGCGATGGGCTGGGCCAGCCCAGGAGCCACAGGCTGGAGTGAAGCAGTGGACTGAAAGAGCTGTTAACATGTGCCCCACCATCTGCTGAGCTGTGGGCAGCAGGAACGAGAGAGCTGTGGCATGCTTCCCTGCAGCCCCTTGGGGCTCCACCGTTGCTGGTATCTCCAAGTTTTCAGGTGCCATCCTGTTCCCCTCATCCAGACACCAGGGCCCTCAGTAGAAGCCACTTGCAGTATGCCTGTTCCAGCTACAGCCTTGCATGAAGCCAGCACCTGTGCCAGCCCCTGGAGCTGCCTGCCCTGCCACAGCGGCTGGTGTGCCTGGCTATGTGCAGTGGCCAGACCCTGTGCTTACTCACTCACACACCCCTCGCTGCTCCGCTCCTGGCTTATCCTCAGCAGGCATGGGATCTGGACTGGTAGTGTGAGCCAAGTGCAGCCTGCCAGGCTGAGTGAGCAGAACAAGCCCAGCAGGCAGGAGTGAAACTCAAGCAGAGGTGCTGCTGGACATAGAGGTTTCTGGCTTGAGAAGCAACACCCGAAGGATCCTGTGACATGATCATATTAACAGAGGCAGACAAAGCATTTGACAAAATCCAATATCCATTTATGATTAAAAAAAACCCTCTCGGAAAATTAGGAATAGAGAAGAACTTCCACGGATAAAGAATGTCTACAAAAAATGTACAGCTAACATCATACTTAATGGTGAGAAACTTGAAGCTTTCCCACTCAGATCAGGAACAAGGCGAGGATGTCCTCTCTCAACACTACTTTTCAACTTTATACTGGAAGTGGTAGCTAATGCTATCACTAGACAAGAAGAGGAAATAAATCTGGACCATTACAAGCTCATGTGTTAGCACACTGAGAGCAAAGGCTAAAACTGGGCATTTGCACATTAAATTTCTGTTTAGCTTATAAAACCAAAATAAGAAATGCCATCTAACATAATTTCTTAAACCCTCAAACAACTGCAATACTATCTTAACTGTTAAGTATCTCAACATGGATGAGAGTATAGGTTAAACGGGTGAAAATTAATTTAAAAAATATTGTTTACCTGTTTGAAGCTGTTCAAGTTTATCTTTTTTGTGTGAAGCCAAGTCTCCTATAAAGCAGATACCACCTTTAGCTAGCAAAGCACTGCCAGCCTGAATGCTAACTGCTCCAGTTCCATACTTATTCCTGGATAGAGTGGGAAAAATTTCAGTAGAGACTAGATGACGTATACCACGGGGGACAAGGTTTATGCTAAAATTCAGAAGCCTAGGGAAAAAAAATAAACTTTTCATTACTATTATTTAATTTTCAAAAGTCACAATGTATTAAATTTAATTTTATTCTGTGTTTACTGAGCACCTGTGATACACCAGCTATTGTGCTAGGGATAAAAATATATATGACTAACATGGTAAAATCCCGTCTCTACTGAAAATACGAAAATTAGCCAGACATGCTAGTGCATGCCTGTAGTCCCAGCTACTCAGGAGGCTGAGACACAAGAATCATTTGAACCTGGAAGGCAGAGGTTGCAATGAGCAAAGATTGTGCACTCCAGCCCGGGCAACAGAGTGAGATTCTGTCTCAAAAAACAAAACAAAAAAATGTATACGAGACTTGGACCTTAACTTGGAAAGCTCACAGTCTAAAAAGAGAGACATAAAAAACTAAAACACAATGTGATAAGTACTAAAAAATGTCTTCATCCTGGTGACAGAGCAAGACTCCGTGTAAAAAAAAAAAAAGTCTTTAGAACATCCATGGTGGCCAGGCGTAATGGCTTACAACTGTAATCCCAACACTTTGGGAGGCCGAGGCAGGCAGATCACTTGAAGTCAAGAGTTCAAGACCAGCCTGGCCAACATGGCAAAATCCCATCTCTACTAAAAACACAAAAATTAGGTGGGCCTGTAATTACATGCCTGTAACCCCAGCTACTGGGAGGCTGAGGCAGGAGAACTGCCTCAACCCGGGAGGCGGACATTCCAGTGAGCCGAGATCACTTCACTGCACTCTGGCCTGGGTGACGGAGCAAGACTCTGTCTCAAAAACAACAACAACAAAAGAACATCCATGGGTGTATTATTTCTTCCTGGAAGGGAGTCAGAGAAAGTTACACAGAGATGACATTTGAATTAGGCCTTCTTCTTTTTATGGATTGCTTTCTTTTGCCTATTCAGAATTTTTGCATTAGGCTTGCTAGTGTCCCATCAAAACTATCACTCTGCTGTTTCTGTCATGGCAATTATGGGGTTTTTTGTTTGTCTTTGTTTTCTTTTGTTCTGTTTGAGTCTCTCTCAGTCGCCAAGGCTCTAGTGCAGTGGCGTGATCTCAGCTCACCGCAACCTCTGCCTGTCACTAGGCTGGAGTGCAATGGAGCAATCTCAGCTTCCAACCTCCACCTCCCAGGCTCAAACGATTCTCCTTCCTCAGCCTCCCAAGTAGCTGGGACCACAGACACAAGCCACCGTGCCTGGCTCAATTTTTTGTTTTTTTTGGAGAGACGGGTTTCACCATGTTGCCCAGGCTGGCCTTGAACTCCTGAGCTCAAATTATCCTCCTGCCTTGGCCTCCCAAAAAGCGCTGGGATTACAGGCTTGAGCCACTGTGTCCAGCCAAAATTTTTTTTTCTCTTAAGAGACAGAGTCTCGCTCTGTCGTACAAGCTGGAATGCAATGATGCAGTCATAGCACACACAGCCTCAAACTCCTGGACTCATGCAATCCTGCCTGCTCAGTCTCCCAAGTAGCTGGAACTACAGGCATGAGGCACCTGCCTGTCTCATGGCATTTGCTGATATGTCATTTTGGTTTCTAACCTCTTTGCTAATTGCCTCAGTCTCTTCATATCCCAAATTTAAATTCTGAAAAAGGAATATGATTACCTTAGCTTAGCTTTCAAATCCTTGCCACAGAAATTACAGCTTCCTAGTGCAATCACCTATGATGAGTAGACATAGACATGTGACACAAAAGGGGGTGATACAAAAGTAGGCATAGACATGCAGTGCAAAAGAGTGAGATGTGGATAGGTAGATGGTATAAAATATATCTAGCGCATGTTCTATTCTAAGGAATTTGGATGTTTGAAGATATATAAAATGAGAGAGAGAGAGCGATATTTAGAAAGAAACCTTTGCAAGCCTATAAGGAGTGGTTCTCAACCACAGCCTGCACTAACCTTACCTGGGGAGATTTAACAAATTCCAATGCCAAGTGCCACCCCAAACCACTTAAATTAGAAACTCTGGGGGTGAGACACAGTGATAAATATTTTTTAAAAATTCTCCCAGGTGATTCTAATAGGCAGCTAGGCTGAGCACTTAGTGATATGGAACAATGAGCCTCAAATTTGGCTACACATTGGAACTGGCTAAGGAACTTTTAAAACTACTGATACACAGAAGGTCACAGAATACAAAGTCAAAATATAAAAATCAATTGTATTTCTATATATTCATAGCAAACAATTGAAAATGAAATTAAGAAAACACTACCATTTTAGTAGCATCAAAAATATCAAATATTTTTAGAACCAATTTAACAAAATATTTGCATGACCTTTATAAAAACATCACTGAGAGAAATTAAAGAAGACCTAAATAAATGGAGAGATATGCCACATTCATGGATTGGAAGACTCAATATTATTAAGATGTTAATTCTGCCCAAAATTGATTTACACGTTAAATACAGTTCCAATCAAAATACTCAAAGGCTTCTTTTTGGTTGGTATTAACATACTGATTTGGCTGGGCTCAGTAACCCACATCTGCAATCCCAGCACTTTGAGAGGCCGAGGCGGGAAGATCACTTGAGCCTGAGAGTGCAAGACCAGTCTAGGCAATATGGCAAGACCTCATCTCTACAAAAAACTAAAAAAATTAACCAGATGTGGTGGTTCACGCCTCTGTTCCCAGCTACTCAGCAGGCTGAGGTGGGTGGATCACTTGAACCCAAGAGTTTGAGGCTGCAGTGAGTCATGATTGTGCCACTGCACTCCAATTTGGGCAACAGACCGTGACCCTGTCTCAAAAATAAAAATAAACTGATTCTAAAATTTATTTAAAAATGCAAAGGATCTAAAATTTTTTTAATCTTTAAAATGAAAGATAAAGTTGCATTACCTGATTTCAAGACTGAACATAAAGCTACAATAATCAAGGGAGTGTAGTATTGGTATAAGTATAGAACAATAGATCAAAGTATTAGAAAAGAGAGTTCAAATAGATTTACATCCAGTTCAATTTTATACCCTGATTCTGCCTAGTTCAATTGAATTTGAACAATGGTATCAAAACAATTTAATGGGGAAAGGAAAATCTTTTCAACAATTAGTGTGGAAAAATTGGATAAATGCATAGGAAAAACATTAACTTTAACTCATACCTCCTACCAATCTCTGGGAGATTAAGGCAGGAGGATTGCTTGAGCCTGGAAGTTTGAGACCAGCCTAGCAAGACTTATCTCTACATAAATAAATAAATAGTAAACTAAAACTATAATGCTTCTAGAAGAAAACATTTAAAAACTCTTCATGACCTTGGGATAGACAAAGATTTCTTCTTCTTTTTTCTTTTTTGAGACAGGGTCTTGCTGTGTCACCCAGGCCAGAGTGCAGTGGCAGTCTCTGCTCACTGCAACCTCCGCCTCCCAGGTTCAAATGATTCTCCTGCCTCAGCCTCCCCAGTAGATGGGATTACAGGCACGCACCACTATGCCCGGCTAATTTTTTTTTTTTTTTTTTGTATTTTTAGTGGAGACGGGGTTTCACCATGTTGGCCAGCCGGCCTCGAACTCCTGACTTCAGGTGATCCGCCCACCTCAGTCTCCCAAAGTGCTGGGGTTATAAACATGAGCCACCGCGCCCAGCCAGACAAGGATTTCTTAAACAGAAGTCAGAAAACGCTAAGCATAAAAGTAAATAATAAATTGAATTTCATCAAAACTTAAAAAGCCTGCTCATCAAAGATACCTTTAGACAATTTTTAAAAAGCTTTATATCTGGAGAAAAATTTTATAATACATATATTTGGCAAAGGACATGCATCCAGAACAACTAAACTAACAAATGAACAAACACTTTATAAAAACAGACACTTCATAAAAAGAGATATATGAGTGGCCAATAAGCACATGAAAAAGAGTTCAAATCAATAGTCACCTCGGAAATGCAAATTAGAACAATGACATATCATTTCATTCCCACTAGTATGGCTAAAATGCAAAGGGCTCACAACACCAAATGTTGATGAGGATGGAAACAAGAGGAACTCTTTACATTGTTGGTAGGAATGTAAAATGGTACAACCACTTCGGAAAACTGGCAGTTTCTTTCTTTCTTTTTTTTTTTTTTTGAGACTGAGTCTTGCTCTGTTGCCCAGGCTGGAGTGCAGTGGCACTATCTCGACTCACTGCAACCTCCACCTCCTGGGTTCAAGCAGTTCTCGTGCCTCAGCTTCCCAAGTGTAGCTGGGTCTACAGGCGCATGCCACCATGCCCAAATAATTTTTGTATTTTTATTAGAGATGGGGTTTCCCCACATTGGCTAGGTTGGTCTCAAATTCCTGACCTCAGGTGATCTGCCTGCCTCAGCCTCCCAAAGTGCTGAGATTACAGTCATGAGCCACTGCGCTCAGCTAACTGGCAGTTTCTTATAAAGTTATAGGCCAGGCACAGTGGCTCATGCCTGTAATCCCAGCACTATGGGAGGCCAAGGCGGGTGGATTACCTGAGGTCAGGAGTTCGAGACTAGCCGGGCCAATATGATAAAACCCTATTTCTACTAAAAATACAAAAATTAGCCAGGTGTGGTGGCATGTGCCTGTAATCCCAGCTACTCGGGAGGCTGAAACAGGGGAATTGCTTGAACACAGGAGGCGGAGGTTGCAGTGAGCCAAGATGGTGCCATTGCACTCCAGCCCGGGCAACAAGAGTGAAACTCCGTCTTAAAAAAAAAAAAAAAAAAAAAAAGTTATACATATACCTTATGACCCAGCAATTCTTCTCCTAGGTATTTACCCAAGATAATGAAAATACATGTCCACAAAAAGACTTGTGCAAGAATGTTTACAGCAGCTTTATTCATAATAGTCAAAACATGCAAAACCAAATGTCTTCCACTACGAGAATAGATAAATGAATTTTGGTACATTCGTATAATGAAATGCTACTCATCAACAGAAACAATGAACTACTGATGTACACAATTGGATCAATTCAAAAATATTTTGTTGAGTAAGAGAGACTAGACCCAAAAGAGGATGCACTGTATGATTTCATTATCTGAAGTTCAAGAACAGGAAAATTAATCTATGGTGACAGAAATCACCAGTGAAGATAGGAACTGATTGGAAGAGGGAAGGAGGGAAATTTCTGGGGTGATAGAAATGTTCTATATCTCATTGTGGTGGTGATTAAAGGAGTGTATGTTAAATTTGTCAAAACTCAATGTTTTTAGTGATGATGATAAGATCTGATTATTTCACTGTATGTAAATTTTACCTAAAAAGAAAAAAACAAACCAATCTCTCACACAGCCCCAAATATCATTTAAAAAGTCTAAAGGTTAATGGCAAACAGAAAAAGAAAGGCCTTAATTTACATGCATCACAAATCAATAATAAATAGATAAACAACATAATAAAAACAACAATGATCAAGAATGGGAGGTTCATAGAAAAATAATACATGTTTAATAAGTTTTATATGATGCAAAAATTATTTCCAATTAAATAAATGCAAATTAAAATAAAATACAATTTTCCACCTATCAGATTGCAATTTTTTTTTTTTTTTTGAGACAGAGTCTCGCTCTGTCGCCCAGGCTGGAGTGCAGTGGTGCGATCTCGGCTCATTGCAACCTCCACCTCCCAGGTTCTAGCAATTCTCCTGCCTCAGCCTCCTGAGTAGCTGGGACTACAGGCGCGTGCCACCACACCTGGCTAATTTTTTGTATTTTTAGTAGAGACGGGGTTTCACGGTGTTAGCCAGGATGGTCTCGATCTCCTGACCTCATGATCCACCCACCTCAGCCTCCCAAAGTGCTGGGATTACAGGCTTGAGCCACCACGCCCAGCCCAGATTGCAAAATTTTAAAGTTGGATAATGAGGTGAGAGGATCGCTTGAGCCCAGGAGTTCAGCCTTAGCAACATAGGGAGACTTTGTTTATATAAAAAATTAAAAAATTAGCCCAGTGTAGTGGCGTGCGCCTCTAGTCACAGCTACTCAGGAGGCTGAGGCTGGAGGATCACTTGAGCCCAGGAGGTTGAGGCTGTTGTGAGCCATGAACATGCTACTGCATTCCAGCCTGGGTGACAGAGTGAGACCCTGTCTCAAAAAATAATGATAACAAAAATATAAGTTTGATAATACCCAGAGCTGGTGAGGCTGTGAGGAAAAAAATTCTGTCAGTAGAAGAATAAAGTGGTACAATCTCGGCATTTGGTACCATATTTACATCACCAGTGGCAATTTAATTTTAGCAAAACATAATCTGTTCAATTAAATTATTGTTAATTTCAATTTTATTTTTTTCTATTTTAAATTCATTTTGTAAATTTATTTTTTGCTTTGGATTTGCATACAAGATACTAAATAGGGAGCTTATTTCTAACTTTGTGAATATTTAAGCAAGTTTTAAGGAAAGGGTACTTGCTAGTGGGGAGCCACAAAATGCTAAATAGAGGCTTACTCCAAAGTTAGGATGATGTTCCCCCCAGATAGTAATTATGGCACTTCTGACAGCCTTATCTGGATGCAGTGAGTCAATATTATTGATGGAATATTGAAGAAAAATAAGAAAATGGTTAGTTTGTTCCTTAGGGGGAAGACTATTCAAAACAAAGTACAGAAAGAGAATACAGAGCTAGGGAATAGGGGGAAAGGAAGGCTGGGAAGGATGTATTTATTTACAAAGGTCTGAGTGGGGAAATAGGTTGAAAATTGGAGTAATTCAACTTATCACTTATCAATTTATCTTTCAAAGGTTTTGAATTTTATTGATAAAGATTGATTTAAATACTTATACTGGCTCAGAAAAATTCTAAATATTCTTCTTGTAATAATGCTCATGGAAAGGATGTATGCAAATCTGTGACCAATTAATATTTGTAAAAATTCATGTCACATATATACCTGTCTATGAGTAGAGTATCACTTGTTATAATTAAAATATCCAGGCAATCTTCCAGTTCCTTGTTACGGTCAGTTGTCTGTACTAGACTCATCAACAAACAGAGCTTGAGCAAATTGTAAGTCCCAGGAGGGGTAATTTGTGATGCAAAGATATTGGCAAGTATTGCTGTAAACTTCCAGCATGAGCTGGAAGTTAAGGAGAGGAGACACCTGAAGTTGTCACTAATTCCTGAAGGAACTGAAAGTAAATATTAACATATATATTAGAAAGGGTTTTAAAACAAGACAACATTATAGATATTTGACTCCCTTTATCTAAAATGTTATCAAATTATAGTTCCAATAATACCATATTCTTTTTTTTTTTGAGACAGGATCTTGTTATGTTTCCCAGGCTGGTCTTGAACCCCTGGCCTCAATTGATTCCCCTGCCTTGACCTCCCAAAGTGCTATGATTACAGGCCTGAGCCACCGTGCTTGGCCTTTAAATTCTTAGAATGATATTAAATTATGATTCGAGGTCATGCTAGTTTACCATTTCTACCTCAAGGAACGTAATAGAAGGAAGAAGTCACCCTTTGTGTCCACATAGATTGGCTGTGGGTTGTAGGCAAATCCCTCATTCTTCTCCTTTTAAGATCTATGTGAGCAAACCAGATCATAGAGCGCCTGCATTGCTGTGTTTGCTCCTATATTTCTATGTATCACCTTCAGAGAGGAATAATAAGCAGAATGGGAAATATTTGAATGTTGCTGTTAAATGGAAAGATTTATATTCCACTACTTTGAAAGTGCTGTACTGTAGTATACTGTAAAATTCTAGATCTTCTCCATCCTCTCACTCTCCACCTCCTGAAAGGAATGAGTGATTTATCCAATTGGTAATTTGGGTGGAACAGCTGTGCATGTATAACCTAGTCCCATTCTCCTTCTTTCTGGGCTGCCATCAAAAAGCAGTGATTTCCTCTAACTCATCCATGCCCATGGACTAAGAGAGGCCTACTTTAGTCCAGCTCTTGCCACATTTGGGTAGTTAAATACATCTCATTCTGGAGTTCAGCATAAGAAAGCACACTCTCCACCTACAGAAAAGTCATGTTCTGCTACCAAATCAATAAATTTTTAAACACTTAGCAGAAAATATTTAAAAGATCACTAAACCCTCTATAATTCATCAGTGCTTTCTTTCTTTAACATTTTTGTTTTTTTAAGAAGCTTTTCTCTTCAAGTAAGTAGAAGTATTTAGAATCTACTTGCATTTAAATTCAACTTGGGTCTCTATTACTACTGATGATTATCCACAGTATGGAGGCTAAAGAAACTTCATCTTGGGCCAGGTGTGGTGGCTAATGCCTGTAATTCCAGCACTTTGGAAGGCCAAGGTGGGCGGATCATGAGGTCAGGAGTTTGAGACCAGCCTGGTCAACATGGTGAAACCCCATCTCTATTAAAAATACAAAAATTAGCTGGGCGTGGTGGTGAGCACCTGTAATCCCAGCCACTTGAGAGGCTGAGGCAGGAGAATCCCTTGAACTCGGGAGGTGGAGGTTGCAGTGAGCTGAGATTGCGTCACTGCACCCCAGCCTAGGTGACAGAGCAAGACTGTGTCTCAAAAAAACAAAAAAAGAAAAAAAAAGAAAAGAAACTTCATCTTGGAAGCTAATCTGCTATGTTGACTTCTGATAATCTGCGAAAGCTCGGAGATTTCCAGTTGATCTATTGTTCCTCATGCAAGAGCACATACTTACCATAAATCCTGCCCTTAGATCAATCAACCTTGATAAATTAATACCTACTGTAAATCCTGTCCTTATATCAATTCCTATCCAATCCCTCTAAAGCATGTGTACTCTTTCCCTATCTAATTCCTGGGTCTGGGGGTAATAGCATGGAGATCTACCTGTCTTGTGGCTGCCCAAGATCATGCTTCTGTCCTTAAGTTCACCAGTAAAACCACCCTATAATGACAAACTGGACTTGTCTGCCTCCTTTGTTTTCTCAGGTTCTTCTGCATTTGGGGATCACTTTGAATATATATAGCCCATTCAGGGAACATACGGATTACAAAAAAATCCAACTCTATTCAAGATTTAATCAGCCTTTTCTATATTTAGATACTTGTGAGCCAAGTTAAAAGAATAGGTCTGCTCTCCACTTTTGTTTACATAATGCTAACGCATGTTGGAGTTGTTAAAGGAAATTATCAGTAATAAAGGTGATATTTTGGTCCTCATCTGCCTTTATCTTATTTCTTGATTTGGTTCAGAATTCAGTTGAGGAAAAGGACGCTTTTTATTTTTTTTTCTTTTTTTTGAGACGGAGTCTCTATCACTCAGGCTGGAATACAGTGGTACAATATTGCCTCACTGCAACCTCTGCCTCCCAGGTTCAACCGATTCTCCTGCCTCAGCCTCCCAAGTAGCTGGGATTACAGGCACCTGCCACCATGCCCAGCTACTTTTGTATTTTTAGTAGAGATGGGGTTTCACCATCTTGGCCAGGCTGGTCTTGAACTCCTGACCTCGTGATCTGCCTGCCTCGGCCTCCCACAGTGCTGGGATTACAGGCGTGAGCCACAGCGCCCAGCCAAGGATGCTACTTTATTGAGCTCTCCTTCTCAGACCACAAAAGTTAACCCAGAATTGCCTTGGCTAGTGGTATAGAAAAATCCTTTGACTAATCTCTAACCTTGAAACATTTTTCTCATTATTAATTATTTAAAAAATTAAAATAAGGCTTAGCCCAAAGAAATAAGTCCTATATGCTAGAAAGTTTCCACAACATTATCCTGTTTTATTTCCTTCATGTACTTATTATCTGAAATTGTCTTTTGCTTACTTTATATGTATATTGACTGTCTGCCATGTGACTTAAGAACAGAAACCTTGACTGTCCTGTTTACAACTGTATTCTTAGTGCTTAGAGGAATGCCTAGCACATAGGCAAACAATACTTATCTGCTGAACAAATAGATTTAAATTTAAATATTTGTTAATATATAATACTAAAATTTTCCTTACCTTTTGAATTACAAAAAGTTATGCTATTTGCTTCTATACAGACAGCAGTTTGTGAGGTTTTTACACAGGTTGGAATTCCAATAATTTTATATTCATTTCCTATATTCATTTTATTCACTGATTCATCTAAAATTATTAAAGACAGAAGAAAATACATATTCACTAAATGAACTTTGTACATGAACATATGGTTCAAAGATCCAGAACTAGTAAAACAATTCAGTAGTTGAGTTAGGAGTATTTACTTTTGTTTAGGATAATATCCATATAGAGTGACACTAATAATATAATCTGATGCAATTTTATTGCTGATAAATTTTTATTCTTATGTGCTATGATGAATTAACTTCAAGAAGCATGTGATATAGCAACTAGACACTCTTCTATAATATGGTCAAAAGAAAATAAAATTATTCCATATAAGATGAAACATTTTTCTATTCAATGAAAAGGAATGTTAATAAAAATGACCTTATAAGTGATAATTTTATTTGAGAGGAAAATAATTTTCCTGTCTACAATACATGTAAGTACTTGTAAAAACATTATTTAACCTATAAAATATGGCTTTTTGTTTGTTTTTGAGACAAAGTCTCGCTCTGTTGCCCAGGCTGTAGTGCAGTGGCACAATCAGTTCACTGTAACCTCAAATTCTAGTGTTCAAGCAATCCTCTTGCCTCAGCCTCCTAAAGTGTTGGGATTACAGGTGTAAACCACCATGCCCAGCATGTAAGATATTCTTATCTGTACTTTATATATTAAGAAACTGAGAGGTTACATGGCTTGCACAAGGCTAAATAACTAGTAAGAAGCAGAACTGAAATTCACATTTAGGTTTGCCTACCCTCAAAGTCTACCCTCTTGCATTATACTAGGTTCCTCTCTCATACCTAGAGCTTGGGCAACACTTTGGATGAGTTCAAAATTTATTTTAAAAAACATACTAAAAATTTTGATCCTCCATTCCACAGTTAGAAGTTGGTTGGTTGTAAAGCTATGAAAGAAAGGTTTACAGGGAGGAGCAAGGGTTAACTTATCTCTGTGAAGATCAGAGTGGTCTTCCTTTTTTTCTCTTTTCTCTCTAGCCCCAGAGAGCTGAACAATAACTCCAATATTTATGTAAGACACACACACAGAATAATAGGAGATCCCATTGTCTTAAAATAACTGTGACCCTGGGACTTAGCTCAGTGCTTGGGACACATTAGGTCCTAATATCATTTTAAGTGAGTGTTGTATGACTGAATGAATAATTGATAATATTAACTAAATATGACTCTTTTAAAACACTCAAGAATTAGAAGACTTGTGATTCTTAAGCTATAGAAGTGCCATTTATAATTTATAAGCATAAACAAGTCAATTGCTTTTTTTTCTTTTTTGAGACAGAGTCCCATTCTGTCACCCAGGCTTGTGTGCAGTGGCACGATATTGGCTCACTGCAGCCTCTGCCTCCCGGGTTCAAGTGATTCTCCTGCCTCAGCCTCCCGAGTAGCTGGGATTACAGGCATCCGTCACCACACCTGGCTAATTTTTGTATTTTTAGTAGAGATGGGATTTCACCATGTTGGCCAGGCTGGTCTTGAACTCCTGACCTTAGGTGATTTACCATCCTAGGCCTCTCAAAATGTTGGGATTACAGGTGTGAGCCACCGCGCCTGGCCAGCTTTTCATTTATTATTTTGTTGTTATTATTATTTTTTTGAGACAGGGTGTCTCTCTGTTGCCCAGACTGGAGTGCAGTGGCACCATCATGGCTCACTGCAGCCTCCAACTCCTGGGCTTAGGCGATCCTCCCACCCTCCCACCTTAGCTTCCCAGGTAGCTAGGACTACAGACACATGCCACCACATCTAGCTAATTTTTTATTTTTTAATTTTTTGTAGAGATGGGGTCTCACTATATTGCTTAAGCTAGTCTCAAACTCCTGGCCTCAAGTGATCCTCCCACCTCAGCCTCCAAAAGTGTTGGGATTACAGGCATGAGCCAGCCACTGTGCCCAGCCAATTACATATTTATAGCAATTTTTTTTTAGTTCAAACAGAATTCACTTACCTCTTAGGAAAATTGTAAGTGATTGAAACCTAAATGGCTGGTTGTTAGAATATCCTTGAAAAGCACGAAGTGCCTTTGTGGCAATTATTTCAACTATTTGTTTATCTTAAAGCAAAGAGCAAAAAATAATTAGATATTAGAATATATATTCAATTTAATTTCCATATTGAAATATCAGACACTATTTTAAAAATTATAATTACAAAATATAAATGCATATTACCACCAAGTACTCTAAATTTTCTGTCTTCTTGAAGTGAAGATGCACATAGATTACACAAAAAGTCATTTCTTATCGTTGCAGATTCTGTAGCACCAGGCACATGCACTCTTATATACTGAAATCCTGAAAGAAAACAGTGGTAACATACATTTGCTTTCAGATTTAGCTATCTATTTTGTTTCTTTTGTTGTTGTCATTTTTTAATTTTTAATTTTATATTTTCTTTTTTCTTTTATTACTGACACAGATTGTAGCTATTACAGTCCTTTAAAATTAGTCTAATTCAAAACGGAATTAATTCAGTTTTGCACTTGGGTTCAGGGTAGTTCAATTAACAGTTAACAGCTGTTTTTTGCAAGGCACTGTGCTAAGGCACTGGCAATATGGATGCTTAAGCACACAATTTCTATATGTGGCAGTGAGAAACAGATAATTTCCACCTGTGGTATTCATTTGCAGCGTGTTCAGAGAGAAGAGAGGAGGGTCAATCAACCCAATTAGAGGTGGTGGGGATAATTTTGAAGTCCTGCAGAAGGACTAAACTGAAGTTAAGCCAAAGGGTTGAGAGAGGACATTAAACGTTTCACTCACAACGTCATGAAATAATGTGTGAGAAGAGCAAGTACTTCAGCAATATAGGTGCACTTGTTAAGATGGGGGCGGGGGAGAAAAGGAGAAAAAATGCATTTCAAGATTATGCAAAGTAAATATATAAACATTAGGAGACATAAAATTTTTATTCAATTTTTTTCTATTTTGTGTTTTATAACTAATTGTAAATATGATTTAGGATTAAACAATAAATTGTTCAATTTTTTTTTTTTTTTTTTTTTAGACAGGGTCACTCTTTGTCATCCAGGCTGGAGTATAGTGGCATGAACACAGCTCACTGCAGCCCCGACCTCCCTGGCCCAAGCAATCCTCCCAACTCAGTGTCTTGAATAGCTGAGACTACAGGCATGTGCCACCATGCTGGGCTAATTTTTGTATTTTTTGTAGAGACGAGGTTTCTCCATGTTGCCCAGGCTGGTCTCAAACTCCTGAGCTCAGGTGATCCTCCCTCCTCAGCTTCCCAAAGTGCAGGGATTACAGGTGTGAGCCACCATGCCTAGCCAATTGCTTAATGCTTTGATTTTCCTATTTAACATTTACCTTTTGAAAGAGGGCATGCTTCATCTGAACAAAGAAATCTTGCCCCTTGTGTATACTTGGTTATAGTTGTCATTGCAATCACAATTCCTTGCATCATATAAAATCTCTGAGATGTATAATCAAGTGGAAACTCACAAAGATCAAGACCATAACTTGGCAGGGGAGGTAAATGTGTTAATTTCAGCACTATATTAATCTAATAAGAACATAAAAATGGTATTAATGAAAATTGCAAATCCAATTTGACTTGTATTACAATATAGTAAGTATATTATAAAGAAAGTCAAGTAATGATATGTTATTGTTCTTAGGAACCAAAATTTTAAGCATTAGAGAAACAACATTCAAGTATAAAATTAAAGAAGTAAAAATCCTGTAATCTAATATTTTAATTGAAAATAGCATTATGAACTTTAAATTTTTCCTTAAATATACACAATTTCTGACCATATCCACTGAAAAGACTTAAAAAACAATGTCAACCAGGGCCGGGCACGGTGGCTCACCCTGTAATCCCAGCACTTTGGGAGGCCAAGGCGGGCAGATCACGAGGTCAGGAGATCGAGACCATCCTGGCTAACATGGTGAAACCCCTTCTCTACTAAAAATACAAAAAATTAGCCGGGTGTGATGGCAGGCGCCTGTAGTCCCAGCTACTCGGGAGGCTAAGGCAGGAGAATGGCATGAACACGGGAGGCGGAGCTTGCAGTGAGCCGAGGTCGCGCCACTGCACTCCAGCCTGGGCAACAGAGTGAGACTCCAGCCTGGGTGACAGAGTGAGACTCCATCTCAAAATAAAATAAAATAAATAAATAAATAAAATAAAACAATGTCAACCAGGTAGCAAAGAAGCACGCCTAGTGCCCAGATTGTGATCTCTTGTTAAGTATCATTTCTTACTAAAAGGAATCAGGATTCCTTGGGGGAAATGGCTGATTTCAGGCCTGGGATAGAAAATATAGCAGATGGACTTGGGGTATGGTCTAACAAATGGCCTGTGTCAAAAGGACATAGGAGCAACCTTGAAGGGACCCCCAGTGACAAAAGGTAGGCTAATATGAGCATCAAAAGGAATGACAAAGATTCACTGAAACATACCATATATATTTAAAAGTTCATGAGTTCCTTATATTTAAAAATGGAAACCCTCCCCCTCAAAAAATATTGGCCATTATTGGAAGCTGCTAGATTTCAACTCATTACTCTTTATAAAGGCAAAGAATCAAACATTTACCCTGCCTTTCCTGTACAAATTGTATTTCAGAGTAACTAAATAGCTGATGAGAGAAAATTACTCTTACAGAAGAATTTCAGCTAATTCAGAAAGAATGCTAAAATTAGAAAAATTACAGTTTTGCATCTCCTAATGAAATAACGAATTCTAGGCAATGAACATCAATGGCTGCTAAAACCATTAGGTGAAAGTTGATGGGAAATTGTATAATGGAGAGATGAGAATGACATCACAGGAACCCACTAATCAATTGTGACACTGTTAAAAGTGCAACAATAGATACTATATCCTCCTGATATAGCACAATATGTAATACATTATACTATTATGTATTCTTGTCAAGTGATTTGAATCTGAATCTAAAAAGCCTTTACAGTCATCTTCTATTTTAGAAATATGAGGTTGGGAAATAAGATAAATAGCCCTACAAGGAAGCAATTAGACAAATCAAGATTATATAACGTAGGACCAATTAGTTTCTTCAAAAAGGTAATGGTCTAAAAAGGGAGGGAGAGGAAATGGCTCTAGATTGAAAGAGACTTAGTGAGATGTAAGAACCAATTATAATGTGTGAACCTTGTTTTGGTCCTGATTTGGAACAAACCTATTGTAAGATATTCTTGAAACAATTGGGCAAATTTAAATGTAAACTGGATATTACATAATACCAAGGGAATTATTGTTACTTTTGTAAGGGTGATAACATTCTGGTAACATAACAAAAATGTCCATGGCCGGGCACAGTAGCTCACACCTGTAATCCCAGCACTTTGGGAGGCCGAGGCGGGTGGATCACCTGAGGTCGGGAGTTCAAGACCAGCCTGACCAACATGGAGAAACCTCGTCTTTACTAAAAATACAAAATTAGCCAGGTGTGGTGGCACATGCCTGTAATCCCAGCTACTTGGGAGGCTGAGGCAGGAGAATTGCTTGAATCCAGGAGGTGGAGGTTGTGGTGAGTCAAGATCACGCCATTGCACTCCAGCCTGGGCAACAAGAGCAAAGCTCCTTCTCAAAAAAAGAAAGAAGAAAAATGTCCATAATTTTTACAGGTTGATACTAAAGTATGTAGGGATAAAATAATAGAATATCTGGGATTTGCTTTAAAATAATTTAGAAAAAAATTGATGATGCAGGTATGAAAAAATATTATAACATTGAATCTGAGTTGAGTGGTAGATATATGAAGGTTCACTGTATTATTCCCTTTACTTCTGGGTATGTTTGAAAAGTTTTATTATAAAAGTGTTTAATGTTGGCCAGGCGCGGTGGCTCACGCCTGTAATCCCAGCACTTCAGGGTGCCAATGTGGGCGGATCATGAGGTCAGGAGTTCGAGATCAGCCTGGCCAGCATGGTGAAACCCTGTCTCTACTAAAAATACAAAAATTAGCTGAGCGTGGTGGTGGGCACCTGTAATCCCAGCTACTTGGGAGGCTGAGGCAGGATTGTTTGAACCCGGGAGGCAGAGGTTGCAGTGAGCTGAGATTGTGCCACTGCACTCCAGCCTGGCGACAGAGCGAGACTCCATCTCAAAAAAAAAAGAAGTGTTTAATGTTATAAAGGATAATACAAGAAATAAAGATGCCTATGTAAGATATTCTATTGAATTTTGAAAAAAAGTAGTATCCTTTTAAATAAAAAGTCTATGAATATAAAAATATTTTTTTACAAGTCATCATGTAAATCTGTACCTGAGTTTGCTTAAATGTAACTAAAACTTACTTGCGTTTCAGTCTGCAATTGTCCAATTAATGAGAGAGTCTTAACAGCAATAAAACAGACCTGTGATTTCAAACAAAAAAAGTTACCAAAAATTCCATGTGGCATAAAATTATTTCTTTTTTTGACTTACTGATTGAAAGACTTCAGCAGCTTTTAAAGGTTGGTGTAAAATGTGATTTCCAAGCTCAGCATCTAATTCAACAACATCAGAGGGATTTATTAAAATTTTGAATCGATAGACAGCATAGCTTTGTTTTGAATCTATGAAAATATACAAATGTAAAAGTCAGGATAGCTATGTGTAGGAGTTTATTTGAAAGTTTTAAAAATAACTCACCTTTGCTGAACGTACCATTGTAGTACTTGCAATCATCTATAAACTTTTGGAGGCCTCCACTTCTGTCAAGATAGATGAGGGCCGCCTCTTTCATTTTTAGATTTGACATTTTCTCCTGGTTAATATTTCTAATTGATTAAACCACAATTGTTGATAAAAGCTATAGATGGCGAAACTCATAGAAAGGATGTGAAAACCTAGAAATAAAATTAATTTTATTTTTGAAAATCTCTAATAAGACTTTACAAATTATTAAAGTTGACAGTGAACTAAAACTAGGCAAAATTTCCAACTTAAAAACATTCCTACCCAATGAAAACAAAACTTTTGTTTTCTTTTGCCAAATAACTTCTTTTTTTTTTTGAGATGGAGTCTCGCTCTGTTGCCCAGGCTGGAGTGCAGTGGCGCAATCTCAGCTCACTGCAACCTCCACCTCCCAGGTTCAAGCGATTCTCCTGCCTCAGCCTCCCAAGTAGCTGGGACTACAGGTGTGTGCCACCATGCCCGGCTAATTTTTTGTATTTTTAGTAGAGATGGGGTTTCATTGTGTTAGCCAGGATGGTCTTGATCTCCTGACCTCGTGATCCGCCAGCTTCAGCCTCCCAAAGTACTGGGATTACAGGTGTGAGCCATCGCGCCCAGCCCAAATAACATTTTTATCAAGACTGTTATGAGATCCTCCACAAGATCGAAAACTTAAAAACAGGAACCTCAAATGTCTCTTAACAGAGGTACTCCCAAAAATGTTTGTTGAAATAAACAATATCTGATGATGAGGGTCCTTTCCAGGTGTTGTTTAAAAAATGAAACTGGTAAAAGTTGTTTCATAAATTCAATCTAAGTAACAAAATATAGTAGAATTAGTATTAAACTGGGAAACCTGAGAACTTGGTTCTAGACCCAGCATTTCCTGGTTGCTATGGGGAAATCATCTGACCTCTCTTGGCTCAGTATCTATCTGTAGGAAAGGAAAGTGTTGTATCAGATGATTAAAGCCCCTTCCAATTTTAAATATTGTGTCAGTGACCAACATAAAACATTAAACCACAGTAATGAGTAAAGAATGGAATATGTGAAATTCATTGAAAGACAGCAAATACTAATTGGAAACAATATATGTCAGTAGTTGTAACAGGTGCTAGAAATAAAATGATTAATAGGTGCTAAAATAAAATGATTAAGATTGGATCCTGCCTTTCAAGAAGTTGCTAGGCAGAGACAGAGAAGTCAGAAATAATGACTAACACGTTATTCATTCATTACCAGGTTGTTTTTTTTTTTTTTTTTTTTTTGAGATGGAGTCCCAACTCTGTCGCCCAGGCTGGAGTACAGTGGCACTATCTTGGCTCACTCCAGTCTCCACCCCTGGGTTCAAACGATTCTCCTGCTTCAGTCTCCCAAGTAGCTGGGATTATAGGCATGTGTCACCCGGCCCAGCTAATTTTTGTATTTTTAGTAGAGACGGAGTTTCACCATGTTGGCCAGGTTGGTCTCGAACTCCTGACCTCAAGTGATCTGCCCGCCTTGGCCTCCCAAAGTGCTGGGATTACAGGCGTGAGCCACCGCACCCGGCCTCATTACCAAATATTTATTTGGCACCTACTATAGGTTGGATACTAGATTGTCCTAGGCACTTAAGGATACTAAGATGAGTAAAATATTGTCCCTATCCTTCAGAAAGAGTGCAGTGAGAGAAGACATATATGTAAACAGTTACATGGCAATTTAAGTGCTGTAATAGAAATATGAATATACCAGGTAGCATGAAAGGAACAACATATATGAAATATTTCACAAAATTTGGGGTCATCCTTGTATATGGGTCATAACATTTTCCATTATTTTAAGACATTTTCATTGAAGATGGTGGGGTCATAGGGAAGAAGGTATGAATTCTACTTTAAGGTGACATTTGATAGACGACTATTTCACTAATTGGAGGAGAGGTGAAGAGAAAGAGAAAGTGTTCCAGAGATGGAGGTCACCTTCCACCCTCATTATCAGTTTTACACTACTGGATCCACACACCCACTACGTGGAGTTCAGGCTACTTTCCAAAGAAAACCAATTAAGACTGTCCTTTTTGCTACAACATAAAAGTGAAACTTTAGCGTTTATTTCTCCGTGGCCATAAGGACAATGATCTCAAAATGTGTGTTGTGTTCAGAACATCACATCTTTGCTGCACTAGAACATTAGGTTTCTGGGGTGGAATGAAGGGCGACTATTGGTAATTAAATGGTTGGGTGAGGCCAGATTATGTACGCTTTTGAAGATTATATAGGCAAAGGGAAGCCATCAAAGTTTTTTTAAGGGGGTTAGTATTATAGTCAGATTTTTTTTTTTTTTGAGACAGGGTCTCACTATGTTGCCCAGGTTGGAGTTGCAGTGGCGTGATCTCGGCTTGCTGCAGCCTCTACCTCCCGGGCTCAAGCTATCCTCCCTTCTCAGCCTGGGACTATAGGCACGTGCCACCACATCCAGATAATTTTTAATTTTTTTGTAGAGACGGAGTTTTACTGTGTTGCCCAGGCTGGTCTCCAACTCTTGGGTAGCTGTCTCATCCTCCCAAAGTGCTGGGATTACAGGTATGAGCCACTACGCCTAGCCCATAGTCAGATTTTTATTTTGGAAACCTGTGCCTGCTGCCAATGTGGAAAGTAGGTTGGAATAGCGGGAGAGCTGATAATCAGTTTCTACCTATTGGGATATTCCTACAAGTTGGATGGCCTGATCCAGGGCATTAGGAACGAAATGGAATGGAGGAGATCGATTCTAGAATTTTAAAGATTGCACACTGGACCTGGTGATCAGTCTACAATACGCAGAAGAGTAATCGAAAGCTAAGTGGGGTTTTAATATGGGTATGGGTGGATGCTGCTGCTCTAATGGAAATACAGAGCCCAAGGAGAAGTGTTAAGGACATGAGGAAAAGTTCCCTTGAGATATCCTGACTTTGAGGACTCTTGGGATTCCCTGATAGATGTAAGCAGGAGGGGGCCATAAATCAGGGCCTGGAGTTCGGTGGCATCAAAAGAGTTAGAGCTAAGTCTGGGTGTCACTGCGTAAAGCGGAGGCCCTGGGGAGTGGACGCGTTTTCACGGAGGCATATTAAGTCGGGAAAAGACATAGAAGCCTGTGGAAAAGCGTTAAGTGAGGGAACAGGGATAAAATTCTAACTCCCTGTCTTCCCTTAGTCTAACGAACGCCGAGTGTTGCTGCACGTGGAACAGGCGCGGATTCTGTCTTCTCTCCGTGCCCTGTCAGCACCGGGGATGAACTGGTGAGGGGAAGACTGCAGGAAAACACTTCACAACCAAAGCGGATGAAAGCGAGTCCAGACTCATGAGGACCCCTCCCACTGACAGCGGTGACCTCGAGTTAGTGGGACCCCAGCGCTGTAGTGCTTTGCACTCACCTTGACTCCCACCAAGCTTGGCGGTTGCTCTCCGCCTGCAGCGTAGGCGGAGCGGAGTCCTAGCGCGCATGCGCGCACGTCCCGGCCGTTGGCTGCGTCGCGGGGCCTGCCGGGACCGCCCGCGCCCTCGGGTCAGCAGGGGAACTAGCCGGGCTTGTTCCCTTACGTTTTAATAGCTTCACTCTTGCTCCCTCCCAGCGAAGCAGAGAAAAAATAGGTCTACGTTTGGTTTTTGTTGTTATCTCAGGCAAATGATGTTATGTTTAAAAAATTCAAAACGCTGCTTCAGGGAATGCAAAATGTCTAGTCACTTTAGAAGACATTCCAGTATTCCCTCGAAGGACTCAACATAAAGTTACCCTATGATCCAGTAATTCCACTCTTAGGTATTTATAAATACACCCAAGAGAATTGAAAACATATGTTCACACAGAGACTTCTACACGAATGTTCATAGTATTATTCATAGTAGCCCCAAAGTGGAAACAATATGAATGCCCATCACCGATTAATGGATAACTGTGGTGTAAGCCATACAATGGAATGGTTTTGGCCATAAAACGTGATGAGGCACTAATACATGCTACAACATGGATGAACCTGGCAAACACTATGTAAGAAGCCAGACACAAAAGGCCATATGTTGTGTAATTTTGTTTATATGAAATGTCCAGAATAGGCGAATCCATAAGGAAAGAAAGCAGATTTGTGGTTGCCCAGAGGTTGGTTGAGAATGCAGAATGATTGCTAATGCGTATGGGATTTCTTGTTCTTTTTAAATTGTGGTAAAATATACATAAAATATACAATTTTAACCATCCTAAAGTGTAGTTACACTACCTACGTTCACACTGTGCACTCATCACCACTATCTGTAGAACTGTTTTCATTTTCCCAAACTGAAACTCCATACACATTAAACAACTCCCCATTCTTCTCTTCCTCATCCCCTGGCAACCATCAGTCTTTGCTTCCTTGAATTCGACTACTCCAGGTACCTCATGTAAATAGAATCAAACAGTATTTGTCCATTTGTGATGGGCTTATTTCACTTTGCCAAACATCTTCCAGTTTCATCCATGTTGTAACATGTTAGAGTTTCCTTCCTTTTTAAGGCTGAATAATATTCCACTGTGTGTGTACCATATTTTTTGTTGTTCATGAATTCACACAGGTTTTCTTTTAGAAGTGATGGAAATGATCTAAAATTGATTGTGGTGATAGTCACACAACTCTGAATCTACTGAAAGCCAGTTGATTGTACATTTTAAATAGTTGAATTGTACAGTACTTGAATTAAATCTTATTGAGGTTGGCCGGGTGCGGTGGTTCACGCCTATAATCCCAGCACTTTGGGAGGCCAAGGCGGGTGGGTCACTTGAAGTCGGGAGTGGACACCAGCCTGGACAACATGGTGAAACCCCATCTCTACTAAAAATACAAAAATTAGCCAGGTGTGGTGGCGCGCGCCTGTAATTCCAGCTACTCTGGATTAATACTATTAGCAGACAGGATAATCACTTGAACCCAGGAGGCAGAAGTTGCAGTGAGCAGATATCGCACCATTGCACTCCAACCTGGGCGATAGAGCGAGACCCTGTCTCCAAAAAAAAAAAAAAAGAAACTGTTACCAAAAAACCCCAAACCCTTAAATTGTACCTGCTTCTCCACCATTAGTATTTCCTTTTTTTTTTTTTTAAGACAAGGTCTACCTGTGTCCCAGGACACAGTGGCCCAATCAGGGCTCATTGCAGTCTCAATCTCCTGGCTCAAGTGATCCTCTCACCTCAGGCTCCCAAGTAGCTAAGACTTCAACTATGCCTGGCAAACTTGTAAATTTTTTTTCGTAGAGACAGGGGTCTCATTTTGTTTCCCATGCTGGTCTCATACTCCCGGGCTCAAGCAATCATCCACCTCAGCCTCCCGAAGTGCTGGGATTACAGGCATGAGCCACCGTGCCTGGCCTCAACCTTTAGTGTTCTTGATACAGTTATCAACTCTGCTCCATTGCATTGGGTTGGATCATTTTCCATGAAAAAGTAATTGAGGTCATCCCTTTTCATATATAATAGGAGTGGCAAAACACCTCAGAGTTTGTTTCTCTGGGAGAATATAATCTATTTTAGTTGTGAGATAAAATACTTTTTCAGAGTAGAAATCAATTTACAACAACAATGAGGATGTTCAAATTGTCTTGTACTACAATTCTGTGGTAATAACTACAGTTTTAGATGGGAATAGGCTATGGTCTGGTGATGGCCATTGTATTTTAAAGTAGAATAAATTCTTCTAGAGGGTATCCATATATTTTAAAGTTTTTTTTGAGATGGAGTCACACTGTGTTGCCCAGGTTGGAGTGCAGTGGCATGATCTCTGCCTCCTGGGTTCAAGCAATTCTCATGCCTCAGCCTCCCGAGTAGCTGGGATTACAGGCACATGCCACCACGCCTGGCTAATTTTTGAGTTTCTCGTAGAGTTGGGGTTTCACCATGTTGGCCAGGCTGGTCTTGAACTCCTGACCTCAGGTGAACCTCCTGCCTTGGCCTCCCAAAGTGGTGGGATTGTTATAGGCATGAGCCACCGCGTCTGGCTATTTTAAAGTTTTGATTAATCAGTTCATAGCATAACATCGTTCGTTTCTGCACCAGAGTAATAGTTTTATATCAACCAAGTCCAGCAAAATCTTCTAATAGATTTTTATGTATTTAATACATCCTATAAAATATCTGCACAGTCAGGCATGGTGGCATGCACCTGTAGTCCCAGCTACTAGGGAGGCTGAAGTGGGAGGTTGCAGTGCATTATGGTTGCACCACTGGACTCTGGCCTAGGTAAAAAGTGAGACTCTTAGAAAAAAAAAATCTGTTAGACCTAAAATTGGAATTTAAAACCTTAAGAATTCAGCACATTTTATACATTGCAAACTCTCTGAAAATGATAGCGATATCTAGAGTCAAAATGCCATTGCTGCTTATTGCTACATACTTACAATACTTTATTTTTACAAAACATCACTAAACAGCAGAAAGAAATTACATGCAATCTGGTAAAATGGCTCAAATATTAAGGTGGTAGAATTATGAATTATTTTTATTTTTGCCTTTCATATAGCTTTTTTGCCTTTTAATATTTTTCATTGAGGTATAATTCATATGTAGCAAAATGAACGGCTCTTACATATTGTCTTATGAGTTTTTGAGTTTTGAGAAACACAAAGCTTTTATTTTTTATTTTTTGTTTTTATATTATTATTATTATTATTATTATTATTATTATTATTTTGAGATGGAGTTTTGCTCTTGTCTCCTAGGCTAGAGTGCAATGGCTTGATCTTGGCTCACTGCAACCTCCGCCTCCCAGGTTCAAGTGATTCTCCTGCCTCACCCTCCTGAGTAGCTGAGATTACAGACACCTGCCACCATACCTGGCTGATTTTTGTATTTTTAGTGAAGACAGAGTTTCCCCATGTTGGCCAGGCTGGTCTCGAACTGCTGACCTCAGGTGATCCACCTGCCTTGGCCTGTCAAAGTGCTGGGGTTACAGGTGTGAGCCACTGCACCTGGCCAATTTTTTATTTTTAAAATTTTTTTCAAAGCTTTCTTTTAATTTTAATTTTTAAATTCTGTTTATTTTTGCCATGACATATTTTCATCAGATAATTAAAAAAAATTTTTTTAGACACGGTCTCACTCTGTCACCCAAGCTGGAATGCAGTGGTGCCATCTCAGCTGACTGCAACCTCCATCTCGTGGGCTCAAGGGATCCTCCCGCTTCAGCCTCTGCAATAGCTGGAACTATAAGTGCATGCCACCACACCTGACTTAACAGGTATTTTAAAGGATGTATTAAATACAGAAAAATCTATTAGAAGATCCTTCTGCCTCAGCCTCCCTAGTAGCTGGGACTACAGGTGTGCACCACCACACCCAGCTAATTTTTTTTGTATTTTTTGTAGACAGGGTCTCACCATGTTGCCTTGGCTGGTCTCAAACTCCTGGGCTCAAGCAACCTGCCCATCTCAGCCTCCCAAAGTGCTAGGATTGCAGGTGTGAGCCATCATGCCCAGCCAGCCTTGTAATATATATTAAAGTCAGGTAATGATGCCTCCAGCTTTGTTCTTTTTTTTTTTCTTTTTGTTTGTTTTTTTGAGATGGGGTCTTTCTCCGTCACCCAGGCTGGAGTGCAGTGGAGTGATCACAACTCACTGCAGCCTTGAACTCCCAGGCTCAAGTGATCCTCCTGCCTCAGCCTCCCGAGAAGCTGGGACTACTGGCACATGCCACCATGCCTGGCTAATTTTGAAATTTTTTTGTAGAGATGGGGTCTCTCTTTGTGGCCATGGGCTCAAGTCATCTTCCTGTCTTGGCCTCCCAAAGTGCTGGGGTTATAGGCGTGAGCCACCCAGCCAAGCTTTGCTCTTTTTGCTCAGGCTTTGTTTAGCAATTCAGGCTCTTTTTTGGTTCCATATGAATTTTAGGATAGCTTTTCTAATTCTGATAAGAATTGCATACAATCTATAGGTTGCTTTGGGCATCATGGTCATTTTAATGATATTAATTCTTCTGATCCATGATCCACGAGATGTTTTTCCATTTGTGTCATCTTCAATTTCTCTCTGTTTTGTAGTTTTCCTTGCAGAGATCTTTCACCCCCTTATTTACATTTATTCCTAGGTGTTTTTTGGTTGTTGCTGCTGCTTTGTTGCTATTGTAAATGGAACTGCCTTCTTACTTGCTTTCTCAGCTAGATCATTATTGGTGTATAAAAATGCTACTAGCTGGGTGCAGTGGCTCACGCCTGTAATCCCGCACTTTGGGAGGCCAAGGCAGGCGGATCACCTGAGGTCAGGAGTTCGAGACAAGCCTGGCCAACATGGTGAAACCGTGTCTCTACTAAAAATACAAAAAGTTAGCCGGGCGTGGTGGCGGGCATCTGTAATCCCAGCTATTTGGGAGGCTGAGGCAGGAGAATCGCTTAAACCCAGGAGGTGGAGGTTGCAGTGAGCCGAGATCGCGCCACTGCACTTCAGCCTGGGCAACAGAGTGAGACTCCAGCAAAAAAAAGAAAGCTACTGATTTTAGTGTGTTGATTTTGTATCCTGCAATTTTACGGAATTCATTTTTCAAACCTAAGAGTTTTGGGGTGGAGTCTTTTACTTTCTTTCTTTTTTTTTTTTTTTTTTTTGAGACAGGGTCTTATTCTGCAGCCCAGGTTGGAGTGCATTAGTGGTGCAATCACAGCTCACTGCAGCCTTGATCTTCTGGGCTCAAGCGATCCTCCCACCTTTGCTCCCCAAGTAGCTGTGACTTGGGGAGCAAGTAGGTAGCTGTAGACGTGTACCAACATGCCTGGATAATTTTTTATTTTTTTGTAGAGACAGGGTTTCACCATGTTAGCCAGGCTGGACTTCAACTCCTGGACTCAAGAGATCTGCCTGCCTTGGCCTCCTAAAGTGTTGGGATTACAGACATGAGCCACTGTGCTTGGCCAGGTTTTTCTAGATATAGGATCAGGCTAGGCGTGGTGGTTCATGCCTGTAATCCCAACACTTTGGGAGGCTGAGGAGGGAGGAATGCTTGAGGTCAGGAGTTCGAGACCAGCCTGGGCAACACAGCAATACCTCATCTCTACTAAAAATGCAGTTAGCCAGGCATGACTGGCTAGTTTATCACATATGATAAACTACAGGTGTGTGCCTGTAGTCCCAGCTACTTTAGAGGCTGAGGTGGGAGGATCACTTGAGCCTGAGATTGAGCTACAGTGAACCATGATTGCAGTACTGCACTCCAGCCTGGGCACCAGGGCAAGAACATGTCTAAAAAGAAAAAAAACATCATCAGTGGAGAGGGTCAATTTAACTTCCTTTTTTTTTTTTTTGAGACAGTCTCGCTCTGTCACCCAGGCTGCAGTGTAGTGGCACCATCTCAGCTCGCTGCAACCTCTGCCTCCCTTCTGGGTTCAAGCGATTCTCCTGCCTCAGCCTCCCTAGTAGCTGGTATTACAGGCACCCACCACTACGCCTAGCTAATTTTTGTATTTTAGTAGAGACGGGGTTTCCCCATGTTGGCCAGGCTGGTCTCAAACTCCTGACCTCAAGCAATCCACCTGCCTCGGTCCCCCAAAGTGCTGGGAGTACAGATGTGAGCCACTGTGCCTGGCCTAACTTCCTCTTTTCCAACGTGGATGCTTTTTCTTTCTCTTGCCTGATGGCTCTGGCTATGACTTCCAGAACTATGTCGAATAGAAGTAGTGAAAATGGGCGTCCTTGTATTGTTCCAGTTCTTAGAGGCAAGGCTTTCAACTTTTTCCATTCATTATATTACCTCTGGGTTTATCATATATGGCCTTTATTATTTTTAGGTATATTCCTTCTATGCCTTGTTTTGTTGAGGGTTTTTATAATAAAGAGATGTTGAACTTTATGAAATGCTTTTTCTCCATCTATTGAGATGATTATGTATTTTCTCCTTCATTCTGTTGATGTGATGTATCATGTGTATTGATTCGCATATGTTGAACCATCCTTGCATCTGTTACATATACTTGACATAGGATCAAGTATAAATCCCAGTTGATTGTGGTGTATTATCATTTTGATTTGGCTGTGATTCCATTCAGTCATAGGCTTTTCTTTGTTGGGAGACTTTTTGTTACTGATTCAATCTTGCTACTCATTACTGGTCTGCTCAGGTATTCTATTTCTTCCTGATTCAATCTTGGTAGGTTTTATGTTTCCAGGAATTTATCCATTTCTAAGTTTTCCTATGTATAGTTGTTCATAATAATTTCTGATAATCTTTTCTACTTGTGTGGTATCAATTGTAATGTCTCCTTTTTCATTTCTGATTATTTGGATGGTCTTCTCTTATTTTCTTGGCTAGTCTCGCTAGCAGTTTATTAATTTTATCTTTTCCAAGAACCAACTTACTTCATTGATCCTTTATATTGGTTAGTCTATTTCATTTAGTTCTGCCCTGATCTTTATTATTTCTTCGCTCATCTTGGGTTTTGTTTGTTCTTGCTTTTTCTAGTTCCTTGAAGTACATTGTTAGATTGTTAATTTGTAACCTTGCTACTTTTTGGATGTGGGCATTTATTACCATAGGCTTCTCTTAGTGCTGCTTTTGCTGCATCCCACAGGTTTTGGTATGTCATGTTTCCATTTTCATCTGTTTCAAAAATTTTTTTTCCACTTCCATCCTAATTTCTTTGTTGACCCAATGGTCGGTCAGTCGTCCAGGAGCATGTTGTTTAATTTCCACATATTTACAGTCTCCAGAGTTACTCTTGGTATGGATTCCTGGTTTTATTCCATTGTGGTCTGAGAAGATACTTGATACATTGATTTTTAAAAATTTGTTGAGGCTTCTTTTGTAGCTTAACATATGGTCTATTCTAGAGAATGTTCTATGTGCTGAAGAAATGGGTGTATATTCTGCAGTTGTTAGATACAACGTTGTGTAAATATCTGATAGGTCTATTTGTCTAAAGTCCAGTTTAAATTCAGTGTTTCTTGATTTTCTGTCTAGGTGATCTAATACTGAGAGGGGGATATTGAAATTCCCCATTATTGTATTGCTGTCTATATCTCTCTTTAGACCTAGTAATATTTGCTTTGTTTTTAATCTGGGTGCTCCAGTGTTGGGTGCACATATATTTAGAATTGTTATATCCTCCTCTAGGCCTAGCATGGTGGCTCATGCCTGTAATCTCAGCACTCTGGGAGGCCGAGGCAGGCAGATCACTTGAGGCCAGGAGTTCCAAACCAGCCTGGCCAACATGGTGAAACCCTGTCTCTACTAAAAAATACAAAAATTAGTTGGGTGTGGTGGTTCATGCCTGTAATCCCAACTACTCAGGAGGCTGAAGAACGGGAATCGCTTGAACCTGGGAGGTGGTGGTTGCAGTGAGCCGAGATTGCACCACTGCACTCCAGCCTGGGCAACAGGGTGAGACTCAGTCTCAATAAATGAATGAATGAATGAATGGGAAATCCCACTTTAAAAAACAGACCTAATTTCCAAACTGCTTGTATGAGGGATGAAGTTATCAATTTTAACACTGTATTGAAAAGGTCATTACAGCATTACCAAAAATGCTCATGCCTATCCCTACTTTTCATAGAGTACATTATACACAAAAGAATGACTTACAAAATGTTTGTGTACAGTTCTGTAGTATCATTTGGCTGTGGAAAATCAATATATTTGTTACAAACATGCTAAAGATATTGGTAATGATAAATTTTTCAGTGATAAAAATTCAGAATATTTAAACTCTCATTCAAATGTTTACTCCTGCTGAAATGATATCTGAACAGTTTGCTGGCTTTCTTTGTAAATTGCATATGAAAACTTCATACAGAGGATCTGCTACCACTGTCTGCATCGTTGGACACCTATTCCCCAAGTGTGACAAATTTGGTAATTTTCAGTGTGTATTATGATGTGACAATGGTTGGGAAGCCCTATTTTGTACCATATGCAATAAAATGGGAGGTATGGGTAACATTAAAAATATTATAGTCTTCATTTAGACCTTTGGTATATTTTGATAATAACCATGAAATGGTTATTCAAAGGGCATACATTTTCCTAAAAGACTTATGCTATGAGAGAAAAGGTAAACTTGAAACTTAGAAAACATTTTGCTCTCTGAATATTATACACATAAGCCTATGATAATCTAGTAATTCATGTGTCCAAATAATTTCTGTTCACATTTTATTTTTCCCCCACACACATATAAATAATTCATTTTATAATGACCATTGCAACCATTACCAATTTCAAATAATGACAGACATTAGTTGATCTTTTTGCTGATTTTATTATACTATATAGATTTGTATTTCTTGTGATCTGAGAAACATCAAAATTCTATTTTAAATTTGTTCTTAAAAATATACAATATTGCACTTTAATTTTTGGCAGCTTAACAGGAATGAATGAGTACAAAAAATCATACAAGAAACTAGAATTTTTATTTTGCTTCATAATAAGAGCTTTGTGAAAAACAAAACTTACAGTAGTGCCAAATAAACCAAATATTTACAGTATAGATATTAAAGTCTTACCTCTAAAGGAAGATTCAGTGTATTGGATGTAAATATTATTAATATAAGAAAAGTCACCCCCACTGCCCAATTCTGCTGAACATTTTAAGCCAAAGAGTATTGGTGAGAAATGCTTCTGTGATTTCTTTCTCAAGACATACATGGAAGGGATGCTTGTTCTTGGAGCATCTAAAGTGGGTCATTAAACTTTTACAAAAATGTTTCCTCCATAACTTAAAAAAAACCTCTACTCTAAGCCAAGAATCCAAGGTAAGCTTATTTTTTATTTTTTAAAGTTCTTCTGTAGTTACTCTCTCTTTTTTTTAAAATAAATAGAAATGAGGTGTCACTACATTGCCTAGGCTGGTCTTGAACTCATAGGCTCAAGTGATCCTCCTGCCTTGGCCTCCCAAAGTGCTGGAATTTTATAGGCATGAGCCACCGTGCCCGGCCAGTTATTCTCCTTTACTTTTATAAGCATGTAAGTTAGTTGGTAGGTTACAATTTTAAGGTCTGTTTCCTGTGCTTTTTCTAAGATATATTGAATTGGATACTGAATACACATCTGCCTGATTTTCAACTTTTGTTACATTGTAATAAAACTGTATACATTTACTTTGACCCACAATTTGTTTTTACTTTTTTTTTCTCTTAACTAGGGTCTCGCTGTGGCACCCAGGCTGAAAAGTGCAGTGGCACAATTTCAGTTCACTGCAACTTCCATCTCGTGGGCTCAAGCCATCCTCCAACTTCAGCCTCCAGAGTAGCTGGGACTAAAGGCATGTGCCACCATGTCTGGCTAATTTTTGTATTTTTTGTAGAGATAGGGTTTCGCCATGTTGCCCAGGATGGTCTCAAACTCCTGAGCTCAAATAATCTGCCTGCCTCGGCCTCCCAGGGTGCTTATAGGCATGAGCCACCATGCCTGGCCTATTATTTTACTTTTTAATTCCCAATTAGGCAAATATTCTAGAAAGCTCAATTTTTTATTTTACTTAACCAGTTAGGAAAAGAGCTTTGAAATACCTATTTGCAAAAGCAAATACAAAGATTCAGAATGACTTAATAGCATACTAAACATTCAAAAGATGAATAGAACATAAATATAATGTATTTGTAATATAAATATATGACAGACATTCATTTTTGGTACCACCTTAAAAAATCCAGTACATTTTATTACCCTTCAGATCTTTGGGAATACTTAAAAATCCTAACCATTAAGCCTTTTCTTTTCCTTCAGAGGAAAAATAATCCACAAAGTTGAACTGGTATTTCAAAAACAAATAATTTCCTTTTGTTACTTTTTCTTTTTTTTTTTGGAGATGGAGTTTCACTCTTGTTGCCCAGGCAGGAGTGCAATGGTGCGATCTCGGCTCACTGCAACCTCCGCCTCCCGGGTTCAAGCGATTCTCCTGCCTTAGCCTCCCAAGTAGCTGGGATTATAGGCATGTGCCACCACACCCTGCCAATTTTGTATTTTTAGTAGAGACGGGGTTTGTCCATGTTGGTCAGGCTGGTCTCCAACTCCTGACCTCAGGTGATCTGCCCGCCTCAGCCTCCCAAAGTGCTGGGATTACAGGCGTGAGCCACCGCGCCCGGCCTGTTACTTCTTAAATGATCTGCAGAATAAAGTTATTCCAATTGTTAACTAGCAGCCAATGTGTTAATTATGCTTTTACATTTCGATCATACCATGAACCAAATATTTCAAACAGTGATTTATCATGGAAAAATACGGTTTCTTCTTAAACAACCATGTACCAATTGCATAGTTTTGGTGTGATAACAAAAGCCATAGCAAAGAGTTACAAAGGTATTAATATATGTTAGCTGAACTGAAATTGACTGTTAAAAAACAGTCTATCTTGGGTAGATGTTAGTGTAAACTTAGAGGGAAAAAACAGTCAATAGCAAAAAAGGTTTCTTTAAAAATAGGTTAATGCTAAGAATAATAGCTTTTAAATTGTTTAAAAATAAGCTTATTAAACAAGAATATAAATTTTAATCAAAACAGCTCTTTGAAATGCCCTATTTTTCTTGCACATAGAAGAAAATACATTTTTTCATAGTTTTCATCATTACATATAAAAATGAGGCACTAGTTATACATATTTGAATATATTCACACAAATAGAAGTTTCAGTCCCATCTATAGACTTATTTTGCTCAATGGTTTCTGAATGGCAAACTGCTCACAAAAATAAGTCTTCTGAAGGAGGTGCATAAGAGAAACCAACGAATGCATCATCTGCCTCCAATACACTGGCATTCACTATAGAATAGTCAGAAGATACACACACAGAATATGGAACTGTTTCTTCTGTAAATGCTGTGTCAAAGTTTCTGATATCATCTGGTCCAGCCTAAAACATCAAAAGCACAGTATTATTCACCTTAGCTTTTCTTTCATTAATTTAATCCTTTATTTATTTATTTATTTGAGACAGAGTCTCACACTGCCACCTGGGCTGGCATGCCAGTGGCGCGATCTTGGCTCACTGCAACCTCCGCCTCCTGGGTTCAAGCAATTCTCCTGCCTCACCCTCCCGAGTAGCTGGGATTACAGGCGCCCACCTACCACGCCCAGCTAACTTTTTGTATTTTTAGTACAGACAGGGTTTCATCATGTTGGCCAGGCTGGTCTCGAACTCCTGACCTTGTGATTCACCTGCCTCAGCCTCCCAAAGTGCTGGGATTACAGGTGTGAGCCACCGCGCCTGGCCCAATTTAGTCCTTTATTACAACTCCTTTATGAATTTGTGTGTTTATTCCTGGCAAGGTTAGATGTCTTCCTAATTCATTCCCTTGAAACGCTTTTCTGCTTTTCCTTTCCTGACCTTTATTATTTAGGTCAAGTTATCTGTCCTCCTAAAACAGGGGTGTCCAATCTTTTGGTCCCCTGGGCCACATTGGAAGAAGAAGAATGGTCTTGGACCACACTCACCAACATTAACAATAGCTGATGAGCTAAAAAACAAACAAAAAAATGCAAAAAAGGTCTCATAATGTTTTACAGAAAGTTTAAGAATTTGTGTTGGGCCGCATTCAAAACCATCCTGTGCCTCATGTAGCCCACAGACTGTGCACTGAACAAGCTTATTCTAACAGTTAAGGTTCTTTTTGAGTTGGGGGAGGAGACAGAAAAGTAAGGAAGGCTCACAAACAGAGATTCATTGTTAATTTAAATCTCAAGGCTTGTCACTGATCCCCTTTCTCTCTACCCATCACTGCCTCACACTACACCCAAGTTTAGAAAAAGGTCTCAGGTAGGTTTTCAGGATAGCATTTTGTATTTTTTTTTTTTTTTTGAGACAGAGTCTCGCTCTGTCACCCAGGCTGGACTGCAGTGGCGCCATCTTGGCTCACTGCAAGCTCCGCCTCCCGGGTTCACGCCATTCTCCTGCCTCAGCCTCCCGAGTAGCTGGGACTACAGGCGCCCACCACCAT
Source organism: Homo sapiens (assembly GCF_000001405.40). NCBI lineage: Eukaryota > Metazoa > Chordata > Mammalia > Primates > Hominidae > Homo > Homo sapiens. The sequence goes on along the minus strand of NC_000008.11, from coordinate 66,858,326 downwards.
GCCCGGCTAATTTTTTCTATTTTTAGTAGAGACGGGGTTTCACCGAGTTAGCCAGTCTTGGTCTTGATCTCCTGACCTCGTGATCCACCTGCCTCAGCCTCCCAAAGTGCTGGAATTACAGGCGTGAGCCACCGCACCCGTCCTAGCATTTTGTATTTGAGCTTCCATAAAACGCCTGTCCATCTGGTTTCTCAATTATGGGTGGGTAAAGCCTTCTGATGAATAAATGAAGCGGTTATAAGTAAAATAATAATTTTTTGTTATCACTTATTTAATTAGGTTCTTGGTTATAAGTAAAATTGTGAAAGATGACTCTTACTGTGCTACAGAGACTGTCAATGAAGCATTTGACTAGGGCACCCTTAGCTCTGGAGGGCTTCCGAGTCCTGATATGAAAATTAAGCATGATGGCTGCTTAGGCTCAAAGGCAGTGGTTAACTTTCCTTTACAAATCTGATACAAGCTAATAGACTCTACCTTTCCTACACACACACACACACACACACACACACACACACACACACACATACACACACACTTTTTTGAGACAGGGTCTCATCCTGTAGTCCAGGCTGGAATGCAGTGGCACAATCACAGCTCACTGCAGCTTCGACCTCCTGGGCTCAAGGGATCATCCTGCCTTAGCCTTCTCCAAGTAGCTGGGACCACAGGCATGTGTCACTATACCTGGCTTATTTTTTATTTTTAGTAGAGTCAAGTTCTCACCATGTTGTCCAGGCTGGTCTTGAACTCCTAGGCTCAAGCAATCCTCCCACCTCAGCCTCCCAAAGTGTTGAGATTACAGCCATGAGCCGCCATGCCCAGCCCCAATATATTTATAGATAAAAACTGGGATACAAATTCAGGTGATTCATTCTTAAAGTCCATCCCTGAATTTCTAGGTTATTTCTGCTCTACAGGGAAGGGAACCCTTAAAATGTTCAAGTCATTAAGTCTAACTGAGGGTGTGCTGATAGAAATTCAGAGTGGATATTATAAGCAAAGGATAACAGCCTGGTACATCTACAAACTGAGCAGAGACCACAAAAACCCAGAATGCTAGATCCTCCCATATGAGAAAATCCCCCATAGAGACAAAGAATGCTAGAAGTTTTATATGTATGTATGTATGTACGTATGTATGGTTTTTTCCTCATCAAATTCTTATATACAATCCTTGAAGCATGGGCTCTTGGATTCTGGCTACAAAATTTGCTAGCTGTCCTTTTTTTTTGAGACAGAATCTCATTCTGTTGCCCAGGCTAGAGTGCAGTGGCGTGATCTTGGCTCACTCAAACCTCCACTTCCTGGGTTCAAGCAATTCTTGTGCCTCAGACTTCTGAGTAGCTGGGACTACAGATATGTGCCACCATGCCCAGCTAATTTTTGTATTTCTAGTAGAGACAGGGTTTCACCATGTTGGCCAGGCTGGTCTCGAACTTCTGACCTCAAGTGATATGCCCGTCTCGGCCTCTCAAAGTGCTTGGATTACAGTTGTGTAATTCGTTATATAAACTACTCTATCTCTATGAGCTTGTTTCTTCTTCCATAAAGTAAGAATACTATCACCTACCTCCTGAGGTTATTGCAAGGATCTGATGCGTTAATAAAATTTCCAGAATCTAACATGTAGAAGGCACTCAAATGATGGCAATGTTCTCTGACTTGCCTTTATAATGCCCTCATGGCTCATGGCTGGTACTGACAGGAATAATACAGGCTGAGCATCCCAAATCTGAAAATCCAAAATCCAAAATGCTCCAAAAGCCAAAAATTTTGAGCATCTACATGACAGTCACTGGAGCATTTTGAATTTCAGATTTTCAGATATGGGATGCTCAATCAGTAAGTAAATCCAAAAATCCAAAAAACAATCCCAAATCCAAAACACTTCTGGTCCCAAACATTTCAGATAAAGGATACTCAACCTGTACTATGTGGTTTATTAAGAGTGAGAGCGGGCCAGGCACGGTGGCTCATGCCTGTAATCCCAGCACTTTGGGAGGATGAGGCAGGCGGATCACAAGGTCAGGAGGTCGAGACCATCCTGGTTAACACGATGGAACCCCATCTCTACTAAAAATACAAAAAATTAGCCCAGCATGGTGGCCAGCTATTGTAGTCTCAGCTACTTGGGAGGCTAAGGCAGGAGAATCACTTGAACCCGGTAGGCGGAGGTTGCAGTGAGCCAATATCGTGCCACTGCACTCCAGCCTGGGTGACAGAGCAAGATTCCATCTCAAAAAAAAAAAAAAGAACAGTTGAGGGCTCTGCCTTCAGAGTATCTGAGAGTTAGAGTTCAAATTCTAGTTCTGGAACTTTAATTTTGAGAAAAGTTATTTAACTTTCTTTGTGCCTCAGTTAACTCATCCATATATATGGAAAATTACAGTACTATCTCATAGGATTGTTGTCAGGATTTAGTAAAAGGATACATGTAAAGTACTGAGAACACTGTATGAGAACACCTACTTCATCAAACCCTAGAATAGCTAACTGTTTGATCTTTGTTAATCTGCCAGGTGAAAAATGGTAACCTGTTATGGTTTAATATTGCACTTCTTCAACCGTCAGTATGAACTTCTTTTCATATAATTGAAAGCTATTTGTATTTCTTTTTCTGTAACTTCATGTTTTCTGTCTTTTGTCTATGTTTCTATTGGTTGTTGGTGTTTCTTCCCATTGACTAGTAAGAATGCTTTAGGTGTTAAGGAAAATTTTCCCAGTTTGTTATTTGCTTATAGTAATTTTTATGCAGATATTTCTAAATTTTATGTGGTCAGTGCTCACTTCGGCAGCACATATACTAAAATCTTATGTAGTCGGTTGGGTGCGGTGGCTCATGCCTGTAATCCCAGCACTTTGGGAGGCCCAGATAGGCGGATTGCCTAAGGTCAGGAGTTCAAGATCAGCCTGGCCAACATGGTGAAACCCCATCTCTACTAAAAATACAAAAATTAGCTGGGCATGGTGGTGCACACCTGTAGTCCCAGCTACTTGGGAGGCTGAGGCAGGAGAACAGCTTGAACCCGGGAGGCGGAGGTTTCAGTGAGCCGAGATTGCACCACTATACTCCAGCCTTGGCGACAGAACAAGACTCTGTCTCAATCAATCAATCAATAAATGAAATGAAATGAAATTTTATGTAGTCAAATCTACCAACTTTTTTCTCTTATGGCTTCTGGGTCATGCTTTAAAAAGCATTCTTCACTTAAAGATTATACACAAAAACATTATCTTAGGTCTTGCAAGGGTTACTTTTAGGTTCCTGGAATAGGTGTGACCACAGGTGCGTGCCACCACACCCAGCTAATTTTCACTTTTTGTTGTTGTTGTTGTTGTTAGAGACAGGGTCTTGCCATGTTGCCCAGGCTGGTCTTGAACTCCTGGGCTCAAAAAATCCACCTGCCTCAGCCTCCCAAAGTACTGGGATTACAGGTATGAGCCACTGTGTTCAGCCCATACCTAGGTTTTAATTCTTCAGAGGGTTTGGGAACCAAGGCAATGCATATCAAGGACCTAACACAATGCTGGGTACACAGTGGGCACGCACTAGAAGTTAATTCCTTTTTTCTCCCCTCCACTTGGAAATGTATAACATAAATATGTCCTGGTACTAATATGCACCCTCACTCCAATCTGTCCTTTCTGGACCCCTGTATTTTCATAGTAATCCCTTCCTACCACACCCAATCCCTTAACACTTAACTAATTTTAACAACCATTAATAAGAGTGATTCATTGACCCAGAAATGAATATTTTCTTTCAGCTTACAGAATTGTTAGAATGATGCCAGCCTCCCCCCAGGTCCAGACCCACCTCTCAGATGTGGCTTCTGAATGACCCACTTGGAGCATGGCCAAGCCACTCCTATCACAGCTCAATACCACATCTACCCCCTTCAGGGCAGGACTATGCCATACTTTTAATTTAGGGATTATTTTCTATGCTATACTTTTACTTTAAGGATTATTTGGGGGGAACCTCTAATTTGAAATGTTGGTGAGCCCTCTCCCACCAAGCAGTCAATTTTTGTTTTCATACTTTTCCAAAATTTTATATGTAATAAACAGAAATTCCTAAAGTAGGGACTGAGGCCACAGAACTGTAAACTATTAGCTATGCAGAATAGTCAATATTTCAAAAAGGGAGTCAAAACCCTTAGCAAGTTGTATTCTAAGAGATGCCAAAATGAAAGCAGCAACAAAGTAAGTTTTTCTGAGGATTAAAGTGGAGGCAAGGATCAAAACCTGGGTGTACCCAACATAGAATGGAATGTTAGGATATGCTTCATAGTAACTTACAGGATTTCAGATGGAGCTTCAATGAAATCCTACCTAAATACGGCTTATTTTGGAGGCACTTGTTTTGTGTTGGTTGTTCCGAAATGGTATAATGAGAAATCTTTTAAAGTATCAAAAACTACTTGTTGATAAGTTTTATAGCAAAAAAAGATTAAAATATAATAATGTACCCATTCATGGTTTGTATTAGCCCATTTTAGGTCACTGCTATTATCCTTTCTCTATCAGCTGCTGAGAGAATAAAATTAAGCAACCAATTCTTATTAGGATAAATTAAATATTTAGCAGTATAACCTCAATTCTGTGGGCTAAAAAAAGAGAATCCAGAATGCATTTTACCCATTGTAAACAGAGAAATAAACTGCTTCCAGTCCTTTTTTAATGTAGACTAGTTGGACACATATAATTGAAGTAAATACTTTATGCAACCTGTTAGATTTTGAAATAATTCTCAGTAACTGCTAGAAACATTCATCATAGAAATACTGAAGCTTAGCATGGTCAATAACCCCACTCTCCCTTTCCCTAGTAACTACCCTATTAAAATATAAAACACTAACCGATTGGAAAATCAACTAATTCATTTTATTCACTGAAAGAGTAAGCATCAAAGACTATTTCTGTCAACTGTTTTTCCCACAGATGCAATCATAAGTTATTATGAGGCATCTGCTTTTTTGCCTCACATTACATATTTTAATTCCACAACACTGAATGCCTAATATGCACTAAACATAGAATTATTTAACTCTTCTCTTTATATATTTTATCCCCTTAACTGTAATTTTCTTGAAGACAGAGCCCATGTTCTACTTGTGTTTTCTAAGTTACCAATAAATATTTAATGAAAACATTCCCAGAGGGAAAAGAATTAAAAAAAGGTATTATTAATTAAATATCTACTGTGTGCAATGCACTGAGGTGCTTTACAAATGTTACCTAAATTAAACCTCAAAGCTCATGTTGTGAAAGAAAAAAAAGTATAGAGAAGCTTAACTTCTAGTTAATCATAGAAGAGCAGGGATCCAATGCTGGAGCTATCTGAGTCTGAAGTCAATACTGTTTCCATTTCCAGTGTTGCTTAGGAGTCCCTTCAACATTCTTCAACATGCTTGATGATATATTTATTTGAATGTAATTAAATTCTGCTAAGATACTTAGTCTAAAGAGAAAAATAAAATAATTCTTAAGAGTCTTAGTTTCCTACCACAAACTCTAGAAATTTGGGACCGAAATTATTCCTAATGGAGTCATTCCTGGATGCACTACATGAAGTCAGTCAGTCTACAAATATTATGTATGTAGGTGTAAAATATTACACCTATTAATTAATACCAGCTATGAGCTATGTATAGAAATTAACCTGGAACAAAGCCTGATAGACTATTAAATAATACTTTCCTGATCTCCTTATCTGCTCTAATTTATTAAAAAAGTATTCCTGGCCGGGCACAGTAGCTCATGCGTGTAATCCCAGCACTCTGGGAGGCTGAGGCGGGTGGATCATGAGGTCAAAAGATCGACACCATCTGGCCAACATGGTGAAACCCCATCTCTACTAAAAATACAAAAATTAGCTGGGCGTGGTGGCGCATGCCTGTAGTCCCAGCTACTTGGGAGGCTGAGGTAGGAGAATCTCCTGAACCAGGGAGGCGGAGGTTGTAGTGAGCCAAGATCGCGCCACTGCACTCCAGACTGGCGACAGAGCAAGACTCTGTCTCAAAAAAAAAAAAAAAAAAAAAAAGGATTCCTTAAGTTTTGCAGCAACATCAAAAAACTTAAAAAAAGAAAATAAATTCACCTATGATCTTAAAACTCCAAATCAGTCTTGGCTTATATTCTATTCTAGTCCTTATCCTTATTTTTACTGCTATAATTATAAGTCACAAAAATTGTAATTACCATGTTTTCATGTAACTTTATAAGGATTTTCTAAGTGCTTGCTCATTTTTATATAATTTAACAAGAAAAGACAACAGAGCATAAGGAAACAGAATAATGACTCTGGAATCACGCATATATTGGAATCCTGGCTCTACTATCCAGCTATGAGACATCTCTGAGCTTCTATTTCCTCATTTATAAAATGTGTAATAAGAAAAACAGTAATAGTAGTAAGCTGGTAGCTTAAGAGTAAATTATATATTATAACACATACAAAGTGTATATCCCTATACAAAGGAAGCTATCATTAGTGACTAACATCATTACTGGCCTACTGATGATTATTAACAATTTCCCTGTTGTTATGTATTTACTGTATTTTCCAAAATTTTCTAACACTGTTAATAGTATAAAGCTCATCTTTAATATGGCTTTTTGCTTTAAACAAATTATCTTTAGGTGAAATGTTTCCATCAAGTAGATTTAACAAGTCTAGCTAACATGAACATTTTTATAATACTATCCTATTGTTTTCCCAAGAAAGTAACAATTTACATTAATATGATTTTATTAATAATGTTTGTCTATACCTGTTTTTTTTTTTTTAATTTTATTTTGAGACAGGGTCTCGCTCTATCACCCAGGCTGGAGTGCAGTGGTGCAATTTCGACTCACTGCAATCTCCACCTCCTGAGTTCAAGTGTTTCTCATGCTTCAGCCTCCCTAGTAGTTTGGGAGTGTAAAGGCATGCATCACCACACCCGGATAATTTTTTTTTGTATTTTTAGTAGAGACAGGGTTTCGCCATGTTGGCCAGGCTGGTTTTGAACTCCTGGCCTCAAGTGATCCACCCACCTCGGCCTCCCAAAGTGCTGGGAGTGATCTGCCCACCTCAGCCTCCTAAAGTGCTGGGATTACAGGTGTGAGCCACCATGCCTGGCTGACTTGTTGAGTTCATTCTTTTCTTATACATGCTCCAAAGAAACACTTTACAATTACTGTGCTGGAAGACATTTTTATCAACCTAATCTAACTATAATCTTACTGGTCTCCCTGAAGTTATTAGTTATACTAGACAACCCTGAGTGACATATTTCACAAATATTTAGGTAATGACTCCATTTAATTCAGGTGATTCTGAGATCTAGTTTCAAACTTACAATGAACTGCTATTAAGTTTCACGATTCTAGAAAGAAAGATTTGGATATATACTTACCACATTAGGATTAAATGGTGGTGGAATCTTCTTTTGTACAAGGTCAGCCCAGCTGAGTGATTCAAAAAAAGGATGATTCTGAATTTCAAGCTGGAATATTAAAAAAAATTTGTTTTACTAATGCCGAAGAATATATTAAGTACTAACTGCATAATTTTATGAAGCCAAACTATTACTATTTTGCCCCTCAATAACTCTTTTTAGGAACATGTGTATGTTATTTGTGTGGCAAAATGATGTTATTCATGTAAGCAATAGAAAGACTGAAAGAAAGTTACTTAGAATGACCTACTTAAACTTAAGTTGTATTCTCTTCACAGTCAGTTTCCTCAGTGGTAAAATGGGGATAACCTTTCTGCCCTTAATACTTCAGGGGAAGTATGTTTTAAGGATCAGTGTAAAGTATGGATGTAAAGTGCTATGAAAAGAATAAAGCACTACAGAGTTACAAAGAATTAGTGTTATTACTGGAGTAGGTGGGTAAAGAAGTTGGGCAGAGAGCTTTATACAGTGGAGTAGAAATAAAATCAGTCATGAGTTCTACTAATAAAAAAATATCCCACTCAGGGTTGGTATTACCAAACAATGGCACAGTATTGACTCTAGCTATTTTTCCTTCAAGGTGCCACAGGAGTGTATAAAGTAGGATCCAACCTAATTTGGTGGGTTAAAAAAGACTTCTTAGAGAAAGTGGTATCTCACCAGAGGTCTGAAAAATGAGTAAGAATTAAGCCAGACAAAAGAATGGGGAGAGCATGTTCCAGAAAGGCTCTGAGGTGGCAAAGAGGTTAGTATGGTCAAGAAAATGAGAGTCCAATATGGCTGCAGTGTAGGGAGGGATGGGACTGTCACATAAGGTGAAGCTCAAGAGCTAAACTGGCTGTATCATATCAGGTCTACATGAAACATTTTGGATTTTGCTCTAGGGTCATAAGAAGCCATCAAGGGGATTTAGTTATGAGAATGTCACAACTGGTTTTTCTATTTGTTTGTTTTTTAAAGCATCAGGTTGGTGAGAAATGTTTTTTAAACCACCACCCTGGGCCAGGCGCAGTGGCTTACACCTATAATCCCAGCACTTTGGGAGTCCGAAGTGGGAGGATCACTTGAACCCAGGAGTTCAAACCCAACCTGGGCAATATGATGAGACTCCCATCTCTACAAAACAGTGTGGTGGCACATGCCTGTAATCCAGCTATTTGGGGGCTGAGGTGGGAGGATCACTTGAACCTGGGAAGTTGAGGCTGCAGTGAGCCGTGATCACACCACTGCACTCCAGCATCGGTGACAGAGCAAAACCCTGTCTCAAAAAAAAAAAAAAAAAAAATATTCCCCCAAAACATCACCCTGGCTACAGGGAGAATTAGATTGAAGAGTCAAGACCAGATAAGGGAAAAATAGCAACCACTGTAACCAGACTAAAGATGACAAAGAGTAGGACAAGAGTAGTAGCAGTGGGGCTAGAAATGTCTGGATATGGGAAAGATTCAGGCAGCAAAAAGGAACTGGCTGTTTGTTGAATATGGAAGTAAGGAAGAGAGAAGAATCAAGAATGCCTCTCAGATTTCTGGCCAGAATAGCCACATGGACAGTGATGTCCTTTAATACAAAAGGGAGCACAGGGGGACAATAGCGGCATCTGAGGTACTCTCAGGAACTCCAAGTGGTGATGTTGAGCAGGCAGATACTATGTAAGTCTAGAGTTTAGAAGAGAGGGCTGAAGAGTACAGAAGATATAAATGTGTGAGATGAAAACATATAGATAACTAAAGCCATGGGACCAATTGAGATTGCCCAGGAAGACAGCACGGAAGAAAAGAGGGTTTAGGACGACAGGGCACTGCAACACTTGAAGTTTGAAAAGGAGCTTACACAGGAAATAATGGAGAACGGTCCAGAAATACAGAAAGAAAAGCCTGAGATGAGACGCACGTGTGCTCTTGCAGAAGGCTAGGGAACAGGAGAGTGTTGCAAGTTTAAATGCTGCTGAGGGCGGCATAAGTTGAGGAAAAGTAGTATCCAGCAATTCTACTGGCTATTTTGTGGTAGATTGAGAAATGAAAGAGCTTGGGAAAGGGAGACTGAACAAAGAAAACTTCCAACAAGTTTGGCTAAGAAGGGAAGGAGATAGAGTAGTACCTCTCAGGAGAGTAAGACTGAGGGTTTTTTTGGCTTAAGAAGCAACAGATTTGATAACATTTAATTACTGACTGGAAGGAACCAGAAAAAAAGGGGAGCAGTTATTTGTGCAAAACAAACAAACATGGACAGGGTTCCTTACAAATGGACAGGATACAGTGCACAGGTGGAAACAGACCTTTTCCACTACAATACGAAGAAGAAAATGACAGGATCCTGCAAGTGTATATAGGTCTGTGGATTTGATAGCAGGAAGCTAAGTTAGCTCCACTCTAATGGTTCTATTTTCCTTACAAAATAGAAGGCAAGATCATCTGTTAAAAGTGAAGAAGAAGAAAAGGAATCTGGGAAGTCTGGAGAGAAGGTGTGAAATAGTTAATACAGAGAGGAAGAGAGTAAGCTACACAGAGAAACAAAGAGTATTACCAGACAGTGGGGAAGCACAGACGAGGTTCACAGTGCTTCCAATATGCCCAGTTTGTTACCTTCTTTAGCACTGTTCAGCAGCCCATGAGATGATAGTTGGATTCATCTAGAGCTGCAATCTCTGTCAATGAATTCAATAAATGGACCAAGGGACAAGGAGGTGTGAAATATTAGCAAGACTGTCTGGAACAACGGAAAGGAAGTTGTTGGCAGAGCTACCAGCTGAACTGGGGAGCAGGGGTAAAGCAGTAGCAGCAAAGTCTTTTATTCACAGCTCAAGTTCAAAATTGATAAGCAGCCTCCAAGAATATCTGAGAAAGCAGTTCAAAAGTTCATATTCCTCAATATTTTTGTGCATTTACTGACACACTAACATAATGCCGGTAACTACACTACAAATTTAATTACCCTTATTTGAAACAAACATGCAGATTCCCTAATTATCTCAAGGAGGTCTCACCAAATTCTTAAAAAAAAAAAAAAAAAAAAAAGTGACTTAGTGTTCAAGGCAAAAGACATTACCTCATGCAGACAGGAGGCACTTAACAAATTCCTGCTAAAGGAAATGATTTAGACTTTAGATAGTCCCAAACCCTCAACAAAAAGCTTACTAGTTGGTTAGTCTCTGTGTTATTAGTTCATGAAAATGTTAGTATTATTTAGCAATAAAAACAGCAAAAGAAAGTTTAGGTAGTGAAAATATGCCACACAACACTTTTTAAAAAGAAGGGGAGGGGAATTTGTAATAAATGAAAATCAAGTAAATAATAGGGTGCGAAAGTGTATGTGGTGGATAGGGCAAAAGTGTATGCAACAGAAAGTGCTTTAAATACTACATAGTTTTATATAAATACAGGTGAAAACTGTGGAGACAAGTATGCTTTTTTTCCATGTTGCTATTCTCCGCATATTGTATTCATTCCATTAAATACCATATAAAATAAAGCTTTATTTCCAAATTTTAAATAAGCTTAAATAAAGCTGGAGCTAGAAAAGCTGTTACATACAAAGTCTTCCTTGGCACCAAGTCGATTTTGCCTGTCTTTTTCTAGGAGTTCTTCCAGAATGGACCAGGCTGTAAGACTCACTCCTGGCCTCAAACTTAGGGGTTTGTGAAGGATATTGTCATACATTTCAGCAACATCTCGGCAATAAAAAGGAGGCTGGAAAAAAAAAAAAGCAAAATAAACTTAGTGGTAAACAAATTATGCGCAAATGGGGTTAAAATGGCTTTAATCTTGAGGGAGCAGTCAGTTGAAAAAATGTATGGACCTCTTGGGACGTGTAGACACCTGCAGTGTGGCTTCCTGAAGCAAAGAGATTCTAAAACCGAACACATCACAGAGCTTAATAAGTGTTCACTGAATGAATTAGGGCCAGTTTGTTCAATAGCACCTTGTAGACAGCTGTTAAATTATATACAACTTGTAGTAGTACCTGTTTTAGAGAAAACCACCAACCTTATCATAGGCATAATGACAGAATCATTGGAAATAGAAGTTCAAGACAGATCAAACATTAATTTCAGACTTGGGAATAAACTCACTGAAACAAAGGGATTTCTAGTAGAGATGGAGGCCTGAAGATAATGTTTCTTAGGTACTTATGACAGAGATAATATTATGACTGTACTTTGCAGAATTAAAAATGCCACCGCAACAGCCAAAAGACTTGGGGTATAGCTTCAACACAAGCATTAGCTAGTTAATCATCTAATTATAAAGGTTTAAAGTAAAAATAAAGACCAGGCGTGGTGGCTCACGCCTGTAATCCCAGCACTTTGGGGGGCTGAGGTGGGCAGATTGCTTGAGGCCAGGAGTTCAAGACCAGCCTGGGCAACATGGTGAAACCGTCTCTACTGAAAAAATAAAAAACCAGCTGGGCATGGTGGTGTACGCCAGTAGTCTCATCTACTCAGGAGACTGAGGCATGAGAATCGGTTAAACCTGGGAGGCGGAGGATGCAGTGAGCTGAGATTGCGCCACTGCACTCCAGCCTGGGCAACAGAGTGAGACCCCATCTCAAATAAATAAAGTAACAACTTTTGAGAAAAAAAATGAGCTGTACAGGTTTCTGTACTCTGGGAATAAGAGGAAAGAAGATTATCATGCTACTCAGGTTCTATCTGCAAGGTTGTAATATGTAACCTACAAAACTACTTCCTTTTGAATTAATGTGTCCAGAGCACCAGAAACATTTTTCCAAAGAGGGAATTACCATGTAAAATGTTACTGTTCTTTTTTAAAAAACAAAAACAAAAACAAAAAAAAACCCAATTTATTCACCAGAGGACTGGTCTCTAATATTTTACCCTTGTGGGTTTGTTTTTACCTTTTAAATATTAGTTACCAGTATTTTTATAAAATAAGATGAATCTGACTTAAAACATTAAAATGACATTTTTTTCTTTTCAGTCTCTTTTTGTGAAAATTACAAAAGTAATATATGCTTGTTGTAACAAATCCAAACAATACAGAAGTTTACAAAATAAAAAGTGACGCCAGGCACAGTGGCTCACACTGGAAATCCCAGCACTTCGGGAGGCTGAGGTGGGCAGATCACTAGAGCTCAGGAGTTTGAGACCAGCCTAGGCAACATGGCGACACCCTGTCTCTACTATAAATAAATAAATAAATAAATAAATAAATAAATAAATAAATAAGCAAGCTAGGTGGGGTGGTGCATGCCTGTAGTCCAAGCTACTCAGCAGGCTGAGGTGGGAGAAGCATCAGAGCCTGGGAAGTCAAGGTTGCAGTGAGTCGTGATCATTCTACTACACTCCAGCCTGAGCAACACAGTGAGACTCTGTCTCAAAAAAAGTAAAAATAAAAATTAAAGTATACATAATTTTTAAAGTTAAGGGAGTTTTATAGGCTTGCCACTTTTCCTTTCCTTTGTGTAGGAAAGAAAAAGCTTATCTTTTAAAATATGACTTTTTTTGTTTTTTGTTTTTTTTTGAGACGGAGTCTCGCTTTGTTGCCTATGCTGGAGTGCAGTGGCATGATCTCCACTCACTGTAACCTCCGCCTCCCAGGTTCAAGTGATTCTCCTGACTCAGCCTCCCAAGTATCTGGGATTACAGGGGCATGCCACTGTGCCAGGCTAGTTTTTGTATTTTTAGTAGAGACGAGGTTTTGCCATGTTGGACAGGCTGGTCTTGAACTCCTGACCTAAGGTGATCTGCCTGCCTTGGCCTCCCAAAGTGCTGGGATTACAGGCGTGAGCCACTGTGGCTGGCCAAAATAAAACTTCATTTTAAAACAATAAAAGTTTGATTAATAAAATGTATGTTTTAAATGTTCTCTTTTGAATCAACTGCATTTTATGTGCAATGATATATTTTCAAAGTCCTCTAAATAAATTTGAAGGATTCTGAAATATCAAGATGGCAAATAAATAGTGCTTAAAGGGAAATCAGGTATAAAGTGGTTTTCCAATGTTCTAAGTCAGTAGCATAACCAGAAAACTAGATCTTTTAACATGCAGGTCACAGTCAAGGGCAAAGAAGAGATGGTGTTGGCTTTCACAGGAATCTATCATTCGAAACTAGCAAGATAAAACAAACGCTCTGAAATGTACTTCATGTGCTGAATTTCACTGTAAGCGCCACAGTTTTCAATAAAAAGCAAATAGACACTCAGCTCAGGTCTTGGCTGACAGTGGCATTTAACATCAGCGGTAGCAGCAGCCTCAGGGATTCGCACATGGTTCCCAGCATGAGGCTGCTGGACACTTAGGGGACCACAAAGGGAGTCTAGGAACTATTTCTAAACATGTCAAAAAGCCTACAGAAAAACATACATGTACTCTTATAAAGCTATCTGAGCTAACTAAAATGCCTACACTGTTTGCTTTGGGTTGGAATAATATTAACTCAATGTAGTGAAAAAACTTTATTCTCATTAATCAGAAGCTCTGGCCAGCCTATGTGTCTTTAACTAAATAAGAACTGGGCAAACTGACTGCATAAACATCACTTTTTTCAAGAAAATTTTTAAGACATGGTGTTTTCAGGGATGGGAACAGAGTGATCTCCAATCATGGGAAAAGCTGAGCACCTGTGTATTAATTAAATCTATTAAACAAAATAAAAGGCAAAAACCAAAAGATCTTCTGAAATACAGTAATTTATTGATAAATGCAAAATCATTTTTTGTCCATTATCTTAAAATTAGAGTGATATTTGAGTAAACTGAATGGAAGCAGATAATTTTAATATTACAACCAGTTGTCTATTTCTAAAAATGCCAAGGGGGTAAGAACATCTGAAGTAGTTATTAGAATAGCAGAGAAACAATTATATTAATTTAAAAAAACTAGTAACAAATAAAAAGGGTTTTTTTTTTTTTTTTTTTTTTTTTTGAGACAGAGTCTCCCTCTGTCACCCAGGCTGGAGTACAGTGGTGCAATCTTGGCTCACTGCAAACTCTGCCTCCTGGGTTCAAGCGATTCTTGGGCCTCCGCCTCCTAAGCAGCTGGGACTACAGTATGCACTACCACACCCAGATAATTTTTTGTATTTTTAGTAGAGATGGGATTTCGCCACGTTGCATAGGCTGGTCTCGAACTCCTGGCCTCAAGTGATCTGCCTGCCTTGGCCTCCCAAAGTGCTGGGATTACTGGCGTGAGCCACCATGCCCAGCCTCTTTTTGTCCTTATTCCTAATGTGGGTTTGGGTTCATTTAACCAGACTATTACTGCTCTGTTAGTGTTATCTAAGTGTCCATGAGATTCTTAAGGTGGGAGAGACAGACAGACAATCAAATCAATGATAATACATTGGAATAATGAGGTATAGAAATACATACCAATCCATACAGCATTTCATACAGAACAGCCCCAAGGCACCACCAATCTACAGTATTGTCATAGGGCTGTTTTCTAATTACTTCAGGTGCAAGATACTATAGAAAACAATAAAATATTAGAGCAAGTCAGTAAACAAATCAAGACAAAATTTATAAATAATTGAGAAATTTAACAAATTTTAGTTGTTGCTATCATACTGAAACCAAATTATCTAGATTTCCAGTGGGTTGGATATTCTCATTCTACACCAGTGGTTCTTAGCTAATGTCAACTAGAACACTTCACAATACATGTATTCTGCATTTCTCCTTGGAAACTGTGATACAGTTAAAATAAATAAGAGTATCGCGAAGGTAGAATCTATAATTCCCAATAGGTGATGTAGGTATTTGTGGGGAAAGTCTTTCAAAGATTATTTTAGAAGTTCATTTGGTCATTATTCATGTTTTCCCCTTAAATAATTTTTTTGTTTTTTTGAGACAGGATCTTTCTCTGTCGCCCAAGCTGGAATGCAGTGGCACAATCACAGCTCACTGCAGCCTTGACTTCCTGGGCTCAGGTGATACTCCCACCTCAGCCTCCTGAGGAGCTGGGACTAGAGGCATGCGCCACCACACCTGGATAGTTTTTCGTATTTTTCATAGAGACGGGGGTTTAGCCATGTTGCCCAGGCTGGTCTGGAACTTCTGGGCTCAAGCAATCTGCCCACTTTGGTCTCCCAAAGTGCTGGGATTACTGGCATGAGCCACGGCACCCGGCAAGAATACTTAATGTAGCAATTATAATCCTTTTTTTTCTTTTCAGTAAAAAAGAAAGAATTGCATTCTCATCTGAGAATTATAACAGCAATTCTCTAACATATTATTTAGAAAACTTGTATAAGTTGTAGATGTCTATTTACATTTTAATTTGTAGGAAATTTAGACTGATCACAACTTAACACATCTAAGACAGTGAACTTGAATTTTACATTCCAAAATATATTACCTCTTCCCATATGAAATACATGTAAGAAAATAATTTCCTCTTAAGCTTTTTTATGTGATCTAAAGAAATGGCAAAATATTGGGAGGCTGAGGCGGGTGGATCACAAGGTCAGGAGATCGAGACCATCCTGGCTAACACGGTGAAACCCCGTCTCTACCAAAAATACAAAAAATTAGCCAGGCGTGGTGGCGGGCGCCTGTAGTCCCAGCTACTCGGGGGGCTGAGGCAGGAGAATGGCGTGAACCTGGGAGGCGGAGCTTGCAGTGAGCTGAGATTGCGCCACTGCACTCCAGCCTGGATGACAAAGCGAGACTCCATCTCAAAAAAAAAAAAAAAGGAAAAGAAAAAGAAAAGAAATGGCAAAATATTTTAACTATGAAATTAATATACAATAACAAAGAATGTTTCTTCATCCAGAAACCAAAACACAATGGTTATAAATATATACAAGCACTAGGGTTAGACAGAAAAAAGAAGGAAAAACCCATTTCAAGGTAAATATTTATTACTTAGAGATACTTTTAGTTAAGTTTCTGAACTCAGTTAGAAGCCATTCTCTCACACGTTTTCAACATTGTATTTGCAAGTACTCCACGATAAAGATGAAATATTATGTGGTACCTAAAATCATTATAAATACCTTGGAATTTGGACAGTTCAAAATAAACTAAACTTGTTTATGTGTGTGAAGTATGAATAATAAAGCTTTTACATGATTTGTAAGGATCATTACTATTGTCACAAATAGATACTTTTTTTGCTAGCTAACATGATTAGAAAATGGGATGTTCTGATAAATAAATTCTGATTTGTGATTTGTTTTTCCATATCCACTGCTTTATTTTCTTCTAGTAAGTAAACACTTAATTTTGTTACAAAATATTTCAAGCATATAAAAAACAAGAGAAACCAATAAACTGCAACTGAGATATAGTCAAGTGTTAATATTTTGCCATATTTGCTTTAGCTCATTTTTTAAAAGAAAAACAGCTTTATTAAAATAGTCACATATCACACAATTCACCCATTTAAAGTGTGTGATTCAATGTTGTTAACATAGTCACAGAAAGAACACTTTCATCACTGATTTGTGATTTTTAAAGGATTAGAAATATAATTTTCTACAATATTTACCTTAGAAGAAAACAAAAACAAAAAAAGAAATATAATTAAATGCATAAAGAAGCCTAAGGTAAACTTCTAACACTAAAAACAAATAAACATAATTTATATTTGTTGGATTATTCAAAAGGGTCTTGCAGTATCTAACAATCACAGTTAAAAATACCCAACTATCAAGGCATGATTATCAGGTATTTCCAGCTGGCTGGAAGCTGAAATGACAGTTTTTATTCTACTTTTCTTATTTTAAATTTATATATGCAATCTGTAATTCATATTTGCATTTTATACATGATTATATAAATGACAATGAGATATATTTCTTACCTCTGGTGTCCCACAAAATGTGGTAGTGGTGTCAGAAATAGCAATTCCTTCTTTACAAAGCCCAAAATCTGTTAAGACAACATGTCCCTGACAAATACAGGGGCAGTAAGATAAAACAATGCATAAATATGAATTGACAATTTTTCAGTTAATTTTTTTTTTTTTTTTTGAAACAGAGTCTTACTCTGTTGCCCAGGCTGGAGTGCAGTGGTGTGATCTCGGCTCACTGCAACCTCTGCCTCCTGGGTTCAAGCGATTCTCATGCTTCAGTCTCCTGAGTAGCTGGGACCACAGGCGCGTGCCACCTGGCTAATTTTTGCATTTTTAGTAGAGATGGTGTTTCGCCATGTTGCCCAGGCGTGCCACCTCAAGTGATCCACCCATCTTGGCCTCCCAAAGTGCTGGGACTACAGGCGTGAGCCACCACACCCGGCCAATAAATTAACAATTTTCAAACTCCTTTTATTTTGACATAATTATAGATCCATATGAAATTGCAAAATAGTATACAGAGGAAATTGTCATTGGTACAATACTATTAACCAGACTGTCAACCTTGTTCAGTTTTCACTTTTTACATGCATGCTTTGTGTGTGTGTGTAGCTCTACGCAATACAGATGTATAGATTTGTGTAACCACCACCAAAGGAACTTCCCTAATGCTACCCCTTTATCTTTGCACTCTCTATCCCCTTGGACCCTGTCAACCACTAATCTGTTCTCCATCCCTACCGTTTTGTCATTTTGAGAATGTTATATAAATAAAATAACGCAGTACAGAATCTCTGAGACTTTTTTTGCACTAAGCATAAAAGCAACAACAAAAATTGAGAACTAGTAGATTTTTAAAAGAGAATACTTACTACTGAATCCAAAAGAATATTTTCTGGTTTCAAGTCTCTATCAAATTAAAAGGAAAGAAACGCAAAACTGAATACAAACCGAAATAAAATATTGTTATATACAATTTTTACAAGTATATTTTAAAATTGTACCTGTATACTATTTTGATGGAATGTAAGTAACCCAATGCACTAGCAATTTCAGCAGCGTAAAACCTAGCTCTGTGCTCAGGAAAGGACCGTTCTCTTTGTAAGTGGAAAAAAAGCTGTCAAATTGGTTGTGGGGGTGGGGGGAGAGAGAATGTTAGGATCATTCACACATAGCATTAAACAAATATATTCGGTAAATACAAAGGTAGGAATTGTTCTTTGTTACTTTGAATGTGAGCTAAAAATGTTAACAAGGCACAGAAATGTGACTCCCCTTCATCCATGTCCCCACCTAACAATCATTCTCTCTCTTCAACCACGTGTCTTTGTTTACCCTTGCTAATGTCACTCATCTCCCATTTACTACTTAATGCAAAAATGTCCTCACCCTTCCAGGCAACTGTTCTGGAAAAGATTATCGATGAAGATCAACGATCTTGATACTGCCATGTAATTATCTTACAGGGCCTTTCTGGACTATGTTTTCCATTTGAAAAAAACAAACACTATTCAGAGATTAAAAACTAGAGCCCAGCAGAACAAATATAACCCATATGAAAATATATATATATATATATATATATATATATATATATATATATATATATATATATATATATCTCCATACATATAATTTACTTGAGCCAAATACTGTTTTTCAAAAAATCTGAATTAGTTGATAACATTAAAAACTGGGAATTTGGGGGTAAAAATTCATGGTTTTAGTTTTTTTTTTTAAAAAGATAAGCTCTGGACCATTAGGCCTACACTTCACAGCAGCAGCAACCGGCTGCAGCTAAACAGCAGTTGGACTTTCTAGTTCATTTCTTATACTTCCTAATTTTTAATTTATTTCTTATAACCTGGCCTTTAACTAAGGTTACTGCCTGGGGGAAGTTTCCACTGGGTCCCTTGGCTTCTAAGACAAAAATCTCTCCTTGAGTCTTGGTGAATTCCATCTCTGCTCCTTTCTGGCCTCGGAAAATGCAGGGATGACAGGGTTTCTGCCCTTGGTCCACGTGTTATTTTTTCTCCAAATACCCTTCCCAGGTAACTTTATCCATTCTGTTGGTTTTAACCACCACCTCAATGTTGATATCTCCTATGTGGACATTAGCCAACAATTTTGACTCAGGAAATCGGAAGCTGAGGCTCAGAGAGGCTTGCTCATCTGCCAAGTGTCATAAAACTTATTTGTTTTTATTCTACTTTGCTCTAAAAAAGATATGAAGTAGTATACAAAGCTAAGTATTCGTATGTCAAAGTTAAAATTTTTAAGTATGAACACTGGGGGAAAATAAGAGTAATAATGTATGGAAACCACACTCCTATCCTTTCTCCTCATCTTTAACCCTTGTCTACCTATTACCCACTCAACTTCTCCTCCACCCACCCTGGCATTCTATTGTATTTTATTCTCCTTTTTTCATTATCTTGCATCTTTCAGATGACAAGCCTTCCTCTTCCATTCTTTGCCAGTGAGCAGTCACTGTACAAAAAGGTCTCAGAAGCAAAGCCCTAAAAGAGCACGAAGAAACCACACATAAAGCAGGGAGCTCGCAGTGGTATCTCACCTGCACTTAGATGCTTCACATGAACATTTCAAAGACACAAGGTGGCACTTAAGAATGGGCTCTGCAGTCGAGATATCTAGGTTAAATGCAGGGTCTGACACTTACTAGAACACCGTAACATTGAGACAGTTATTTAACCTCTCCGAACCTCAATTTTCTTATTTATAAATAAGAAAATTTCAGCCAGGTGCGGTCGCTCACGCCTTTAATTCCAGCACTTTGGGAGGCTGAGGCGGGTGGATCATGAGGTCAGGAGTTTGAGACCACCCTGGCCAACATGGCGAAACCCCGTCTCTACTAAAAATACAAAAATTAGCTGGGCGTCATGGCACGTGCCTGTAATCCCAGCTACTCGGGAGGTTGAGGCAGGAGAATCGCTTGAACCAGGGAGTTGGAGGTTGCAGTGAGCTGAGATCGCACCACTGCACTCCAGCCTGGTGACAGAGAGAGACTCCGTCTCAATAAATAAATAAGAAAGAAAATTTCATGGCATTTAATATAAATGCCATGGCAAATTAAATGGGCATAATAGTGTTTTCTGAAAGAGTTGTGATTTACTGACATAATGCATGTAAAATAATTGCAAAGTGCCAAGCCTCAATAAATTCTCTTTATCTGTCAGCACTTGGGCACACACAAAATTAAACGACAACCTTCAAGGTGAAAACAATGTGGGGTCACCTGCATCAATGAATCAGGATGCCTGAGAGATGGATAATCTTGCCTCTACACTGAAGAGTCTTAAGGGAATTTTTTTTTTTGACACAGGGTCTTGTTCTGTCACCCAGGCTGGAGTACAGTTGTGTGATCATGGCTCATTGCAGCCGCAACCTCCTGGGCTCAAACAATCCTCCCACCTCAGCCTCCTGAGTAGCTGGGACTACGGAGGCATGTCACCATGCCCAGCTAATTTTTGTTATTTTTTTTGTAGAGATGGGGTTTCGCCATGTTGCCCAGGCTAGTCTTGAACTCCTGGGCTCCAGTGATCCACCCACATCGGCCTCCCAAATTGCTGGGATCATAGGTGTTGAGCCACCACACCTGGCCTTAAGGGACTTTTGTGACAGATGTAGAAAGGTGAATAATCATTCTTTTTACAATCTTCCCCCAAAATGATCTAGGTGTGTCTGACCATCTTTCGGTTTTGCAGAATATTAACTAATTTTCCTTACAGTTCCTTTCTTCTACAGTTAAATGCTGAAATAGTCATTTTCTGCTCAGAGATTGGGGAATGAAAGATCCCTTTGTAAAGATATGACAATACCTATTAGTTAAAAAAATTTTTTAGACATTCACAGTTCAAAGACCAAACAAATTAGAAAGGTGTGAGGGTTGAGAGGTCAGCTGCCTAGATCCTGGAATCAGGCTGCCTCAGTTCAATCCCTGCCTCTGATACTAACCACATTACTTCTACAAGCTACCTAGCTTCTCTGTGCCTCAGTCAGTCTTACTATAGATTGTTGTGAAGGTAAAATTATATGTACAAAGAGCCAGAGTGATGGATACTAAGTAATACTCAATGGAAGTTAGTTATTATTGTAATTATTGTAATAGCAGCATTTCCCAAAGTGTATTTCAATATCCATCTGAATCAGAGTTTTGTGTAATACTTAAGAGATTGGTTGAAACAAAAAAGGGGACTGCACGGTTTTAAAAAATTCTCTTAAGATATCCAATTTGAGGAGGTTGAGGCTGTAGCGAGCTGTGACCACTGCACTCCAGCCTGGGTGACAGAGTGAGACGCTGTCTCAAAAAAAAAAAAAAAAAAAAAAAGATATCCTGACTTTGTTTAAGGCAGAATTTCTCGAAGTCTTTAACATGCTGAGGCATATTGTGAATCACCAAGAAATGGATATAACATGAAACATTTCCAAAACAGACTTTATCATAAAGCCTTTTTTTTTTTTTTAAAGAGATGGGGTCTCGTTCTGTTACCCAGGCTGCAGTGCAATCATAGCTTACTGTAGCCTCAAACTCCTGGACTCAAGTGATCCTTCTGCCTCAGCCTCCTGAGTAGCTGAGATTAAAGGTGCGAGTCACTGAGCCAAGCTACCACCACAGAGCCCCTTATTAGAGGATTATCTCATCTGATTAATAATTTGCACATCTTGGAAACTGAGAAGCTGGAGTAATATTTGTATGCAACTGTTGAGATAATTGCCTAAATTACAAATCACATTTTATTCTAATATTTCAATATGTTATTCTTGCTATACAGTTTAGTGACAAACCTGTCCATGAAGCCAGCAGCTTCATATCAAGGTTCTTTTATGAACCTTCTCAACTATACCATATGCTTAAAAGCTCTGTGTTACAATTCTCCACATCCTGTACTCAGCCAGTACCTTGAATATTATTGCTATAAAAAGCTACTGATTTTATACTGTCCTTCTAAAACTTACAAGAAAAACTTTGACTTTATGCTATTTTTCTAAACTATTAACATTAGAAAACTCATTATAAAACTCACCTCCCCTCCATTAACAAAATCCAGAACAAAATAAAGCTTTTCAGTTGTTTGGAAGGAATAATGCAATCCAACCAAAAACGGATGTTTCACATTTTTCAAGAGCACATTACGTTCAGCCATAATATGTTTTTGCTGGAAAAAAGGCAAAAGATCAATTGTATTATACACTAGAAAACAGCTCTCTTAATTGAGAAAATGGGCTTGAGAGAAACAACTATTTTATTTTACCTCTTTTCTGTTGAGAACTATTTTTTTCTGTAACACTTTGACAGCATAAAATTTTCCATCCAGTTTCCGTTTTGCAAGAAGAACCTGTTATAGTTAAACATTAGTGTATACTATTAGAAATTTCAAATTTTGATAGAAATAATTCACTTGTCAACACATCAATACTTCTTAAATTCTGTAAAAAGAAAGTCCATAAGGGACCTAGATCATGTTTTTGTTTTAAAAATCAAGTAATCAGGCACCTTTTCTTTGTCACTTAATGTGTTGATATTTGAGATTTTTTAAACTAAATTTAAGTGCCCAAATCTACACTGCTTGAGAAGTTTGTGTGTGTATGCATGCATGTGCTCCAGCCCTGAATCCTGGAAGTCTCCTGTACTTCCAGGAGAAAATATTGCCTGTAGAAAATATTGTTATAAACTTCATGGCTACATTAACAAGGATAAGGAAATGTTTTTTAGGTAATCAAAATGTACTGTTTCATACTGAGATTTTTCTTAACAGGTTTTAAATTCAGAAGAGTTCAGAAGAAAAAGTGCCATGGATTTCTATAGTGGGCTGGGTCCCATGCAGACGCTTTAAAGAATCTGAAGAAATCTAGAGTATCTTGCAGTGGTGCAATGTTCACTCACTTGCAGCCTTGACCTCTCCAAGGCTCAGGTGATCATCCTGTCTCAGTCTTCCAAATAGCTGGGACTACAGGCGTGTGCCACCATACCTGGCTAATTTTTGAATTTTTTGTAGAGATGGGGTTTTGTCATGTTATCCAGGCTGGTCTCAAACTCCTGGGCTCAAGTGATCCACCTGCCTCGACCTCACCAAGTGCTGGGATAACAGGCGTAAGCCACCGCACCCAGCCTTCTTTTGTTTTACTGCACTTTGTTGGTTTCTTTTTTTTTTTTTTTTTGAGACAGAGTCTTGCTCTGTCGCCCAGGCTGGAGTGCAGTGGCGCGATCTCGGCTCACTGCAAGCTCCGCCTCCCGGGTTCACACCATTCTCCTGCCTCAGCCTCCCGAGTAGCTGGGACTACAGGCGCCCACCACCACACGGGGCTAATTTATTTTTTTTTGTATTTTTAGTAGAGACGGGGTTTCACTGTGTTAGCCAGGACGGTCTCGATTTCCTGGCCTTGTGATCCACCCGTCTGGGCCTCCCAAAGTGCTGAGATTACAGGCGTGCACTTTGTTGGTTTCTAAGATTACAGGAGTGCACTTTGTTGGTTTCTAATCATTTTGCAAGATTTAAATTTTTTTATTAAACATAGCATACATACAGAAAAACTCATCACTACAGCTCAATAAATTGCTACAAAGTGAATACACCTATGTAACCAGTATGCAGTTCAAAAAAACAAAACAAAACAAAACAAAACAAAACAAAACCCTGCCAGTAGCCTAAAGCCTCTCTTTTGCTAAATCCCAGTCATGACTCACCCTTCTCCTTCTCAAAGGTAACTAACTACCACAATGTCAACTTCAAATAACACAGATAACTTTTGCCCTGTTTTGAATTTCACGTAATTAGAATCACATGGATAAAGCTGTCTGTCTCAATTCTTTCACTCTAAATTATATGAAATATTCATTAACATTGTGGCATATAGCATAGTTCTCATATTTTGTTATGCAGAATATTCCATTATATGACACACTACAATGTATCTACTCTCTTGCTGATAGATTAGATTATTTATGAATAATGATGCTATAAACATTCCTGTATATACCTTTCCTAGTGGATATTCATTTCTGTTGGATATGTAAACTAGGGAGTAGAACCAATGTGTCATAGGTAACGCATATATTCAGCTTCAAGAATTAACACCAATTTTCAACAGCATAAAAAACCAAACACCTGGCTGGGTGTGGTGGCTCACGCCTGTAATCCCAGCACTTTGGGAGGCTGAGGTGGGTGGATCATCTGACGTCGGGAGTTCGAGACCAGCCTGACCAACATGGAAAAACCCTGTCTCTACTAATAATACAAAATTAGCAGGGCGTGGTGGCACACGCCTGTAATCCCAACTACTGGGGAGGCTGAGGCAGTAGAATCGCTTGAACCCAGGAGGCAGAGGTTGCAGTGAGCCGAGATTGCGCCACCGCACTCCAGCCTGGGCAACAAAAGTGAAACTCCATCTCAAAAAAAATTCTAAACAGAATACCACAAAATAGTATTGGGAAAAATTAAAGATGAGCTACATTAACAAAGTAATATACCATGGTCACGGATTTGACAACACAATATTGTAAAGATGATAATTCTTCCCAAATTGATCTACAGAGTCAATGCCATCCCAATCAAATTCAAATAGAATTTCTGCAGAAATTGATATGTTGATTCTGAAATTTATTTATATTGATATGCAAAGGGCTAAGAATAGTCTCTTGAAGAAGAAGGGAGGACTTAATTCTGTTAGATATCAAGCTACAGGTGTCACAACAATGTGGTACTGGTGTCAGGATAAACAGATAGGCCAATGAACAGAAAATGAACAGAAATGCAATGTAGAAACAGAAACACAAAACTTAAAATCTAAAAAGAGGGTGGGCACAGTGGCTCATGCCTGTAATCCCAGCACTTTGGGAGGCCGAGGCAGGCAGATCACTTGAGGTCAGGAGTTCAAGACCAGCCTGGCCAACATGGTAAAACCCCGTCCCCACTAAAAATACAAAAATTAGCCAGACACGGTGGCGTGTGCCTGAAATCCCAGCTACTCGGAAGGCTGAGGCAGGAGAATTGCTTGAAGCTGGGATGCAGAGGTTGCAGTGAGCGGAGATCCCACCATTGCACTCTGCACTCCAGGCTGGGAACAGAGTGAGGCTCTGTCTTCAAAAAAAAAAAAATTCTAAAAACAGATCTGTGAAGGTGTAAATAGTGAATACATGATAAAGGTGGCCCTGCAGATCAGGTGGCCCATCAGATGGCAAAAAAAAAAACAAAACAAACAAAAAAACCAGTTTTCATAAACTGTATAAGATCAGCTGGTTATCCACATGGAAAAAAATGAATTGTGACGCTATGCCTCACATTATATGCAAGAACCAAATCCTGATAAGACTCTAGATCTAAACATGAAGTTTCCAAAAGATAATGACTTTTTTTTTTTTTGAGATGGGGTCTTGCTATGTTGCCCAGGCTGGTCTTGGACTCCTGAACTCAAGTGATCTTCCTGCCTCAGGCTCCCAAGTAGCTGGGATTACAGGTATGTGCCACAATGCTTTTGTTTTTAATGACAGATAATGCTTTTGTTCTTAATGACAACTATGTCAAGCATTCCAATAGAATTTTGGGGATTTTGAGAGCAGGATTAATTTCTAACTTTCTATTGCTTATACTAGCACAATACTCAGCATGTAGCAGGTGGATAATATATATTTGCTGAGTGAATAAACATACATGGGTTTAATTGCATAGCCACAGTTTCTAGTCTCAAGGAAACCCAGAAAACAAACTAGAGTTACCAAAAGCTACAAATATAGCAAAATATGATTAAACACATACATATTCCATTTTTACTAAAGACTGAAGTACACTGTAAAAAAAGCACTTAAATATATTCGATGATTCTGATAACTTCATCTATGATACTTTCCTGTTAACCCTGGCCTTAAGTGATTCTCCTTCCTTGGTATGGCTATACTGTCAAGTTACATGATTCATCTGACACCATAAGAAAATAAGCAGGGTCTTTACACATTCGTTTCCTTCTCAAACTGTTATTTACACAGCTGCTCATTTTTGTCTTTCCAGCTTTGGCTTAAACAGCATGTCTTCTGAGAAGCTATGTAAGTGGGAATCTTCCCTCAGCTGCCTATTGTCCTTTGTCATTTCACCCTATTCTTCATTTCCTGCACTGCTGTTATTATTTGTACTTATTTACTTGACTGAATATTTTAAATTGACTATCCCCCCACCGAGATTGTAAGCACCACAAAGGTAGTAACCATGTCAATTTCCATAATTTTTCTAACCAGGGCCCAGAAGGGTATCTGGCACACAGTAGGTGTTCAACAAACACCTTCTGAATAAGTGAACTTTATTATAGAATTTGAGTAGATGCCTTTTCTCCCTAATTATTGTTAGTATTTTGAGGGTGGGGAAAGTATCTTAATTCCATATCCTGAAACCAAAAAGTCCTGTGGCTCACACACATAAAGCATAAATTCCTTAAGTACTTATTTACTGAATGAGAAAATAAAAACACTTTAGGCTGGGGATGGTGACTCACATCTGTAATCCCAGCACTTTGGGAGGCCAAGGTGGGAGGATCACTTGAGGAAAGAAATTTGAGACCAGCCTGGGCAAGAGAGCAAGGCCCTGTCTACAAAAGAGTGAAAAAATTAGCCAGGCATGCTGGTGTGTGCCTATAGTCCCAGCTACTCGGGAGGCTGAGGTGGGAGGATGGCTTGAGCCCAGGAGTTCAAGTGTGCTATGACTGCACCACTACACTCCAGCCTGGACAACAGAGTGAGACCCTGTCTCCAAAAAAAAAACCAAAACCAAAACCAAATAAAAACCTCACAAAACACTCTTACCTTGCCAAAGCTGCCTTTTCCAATAACTTTTAAGAAATCAAAGTCAGTTGGTTTGGCACTGAAATAAATTAACAATAAGAATTAGCCTCCTAGAAATTGGAAATATTAACTTTTAAACATTTCTTAGCACCTCCCTCTTTAAAAAATAAATGTTAGGCACAAAACACTTCAGCCTATTAACTCTAGCTTTCCTGCTGAGTACTTCATCTTTCATGCACAGTAGGTAATATGTATAGTAATATCTACTTTCTGATCAGATAAAACATTTCATAACTTTAAGCCTCATTAAGTTCTGCTTAAGAGGAACTTCAATAATACTCTCTTTGGGAGAAAAGGATATATGCATATCCTATATGTAGAGTTTTGAACTTGAAATAGCTTCTATCTAAACCAATTTTATTAATCATGGTCCAATGTTGTTGAGGAAATTAAATAACTATATAAATAAGTGATACATTCTAAGGACTATATAACGTGGTAATTCTTCTGAAAATGAAGCTGCTAGTTGGATCACCTAGTAAAGACGCTAAGAATAATTTCTGATGGAGAAAAAAGTCATTACAGTGTTTCATATAAACCACTTATTGTACATTAAAGATAAAATACTTCTCAGCTTATTCTCATGAACGGTAATATAGGAAAACCAGGAAGAGAAAAGCAAGACTGCCCTTTTATTTATGTTAACTTAACCTATCAGGTAAAAACAGCATTGGCTGTTATGTAGACAAAAACACACGGCAGCAGAAAGGGGAGCTTAAGCAGCCAAAAGAGCCGTTTCCTCCAACATGGTCTGAATTCATAAGTTGTATGGGAAGAGGGGAATAAATCCATTTAGATTTGAAATTTGCTTAATCATCAAAAAATCGTTAATTCAAACATGAGAGTAAAACCAGAACTAGGTTAAATAATGACAGGTAAAGACTAGTGAGATAAACACTTAACTATATTTAGATGTTTTTCTTCTTCAAAAACCTGCTCTTTGAACTATTTTCTTCTTTAAAGATATGCAGAGGTACTGAAATAACTTTGTAAACAAATCTAACAGTGAAAAGCATGCAGGTCCCTCAAACAGTAAATAGGCGAGCTGAGGCCATACTCCAAGCCTCACTGTTAACTGCTGGAGATGAACCTTAACTTCAGGCAAATTTCCATTTTTGGCCAGGCACAGTGGCTCATGCCTGTAATCCCAGCACTTTGGGAGACTGAGGCAAGCAGATCACCTGAGATCAGGAGTTCCAAGACCAGCCTGCCCAACATGGTGAAACCCTGTCTCTACAAAAATTAGCTGGGCATGATGGTGGCTGCCTGTAATCCCAGGTACTCAGAAGGCTCAGGAGGGAGAACCTGGGAGGCAGAGGCTGCGGTGAGTGGAGATTGCACCACTGGACTCCCGCCTAGGCGACAGAGCGAGACTCTGTCTCAATAAAAAAAAAAAAAAAAAAAATCCATTTTTTGTGCTGCCATTTTTGTTCAATGCTATGAACAACAGAAAAGAATGCTTAAAACCAAACTTCCAGTTAGCATCGTATTTATTTGCTTTCCTTTGAAGCAAAAACTCTTCAAGTAAGTTTTGTAAACTCGTTGTCTCTACCCGCTGTCCTCTCCTCTAGTTCTCTTGTGAACCCTTTCTGATCAGGGTCTTATATCAACCACCACACCATTGAAACTGCTCATTAAAAGTCACCAATGACTTCATGAAATCCAGTGGTCAATTTTCAATCTTCATCTTACTTGCCCTATCAGCAACATTAACAGAGATAATTACTCCCTCCTCTTTTAGGCACTCTTCCCCTGACTTCAGGAAACCATATTCCTGGTTTTTCTCTTATCTTACTGTCTCTTTCTCAGTCTCTGTTAGCAGTTCTTTCCTGATCTCATAATGTTGAAGTGTACCAGGACGCAGTCCTTGGACCACTTCTCCCATCTGCCTATAATCATTCTCCAAGTAGAGCAAAAGGGTAGGGAAAGGGTAGGGAAAGCCTAGAATAAAAAAACACTTCAGAGTAAATGTAATACGCCTGTAAGGATAATTACAAGTAAGGGCAGCAAGACCACATTCCTCCTCCAATCCATGGCAGACATTACTAATCAATTAGCCTGGGAATATGGGGAGAAACTCGGTAAACAAAGTTTAATAGCCTTTAATATGCTAATGTCCATTATGACTCCTCTGGAAGAAGCTGGCTAACAACAGGGGTGCACCAATCACACCAAACACCAGCAGAATGTCAATTAGGCCTGCAAGGGTGCTTTTTTTCAGAGGACCTCATAGGACTTGTGGTCCCTTGGGAAATATGGTCTACTGATTTTAGACACACACACACACACACACACACACACACACCCCCCACCCACCCACCCAGAAAAGTGACAATGACAAAATAGCAGAACCCAATTAACAATCTGTGGATTAAAAATTCCTCAGGGCTATCCTAAAGCAGTGAAAAGCTGGAGCATACAAGCATATGACAGCACTGTATTCACTGTAACTATGGTTATATTTCAAAGGCCTACAGTTAAATTAGTGTAATTATACATATCTGCATACGCTCAAAAAAGATCTTCCTAAAATTCAGTTAAAAAATTGTTTGAAGCAAATTAAACATACTGAGGATTTCCAGACGGTCCCAGGTTGATGTTCTGTGAGGTAGAGTGTAGCTGTGAAGGTGGGGAAAGAAAAACAACATTCTTATTGGAGCTTCAAAAATTAATTAATGTTTTGAAATAAAGTATTTATAACTGTACCACAAATATTTGGTTTGTTGCCATGTTAAAGAAACCCAAAGTCCTGATTCTCAGTAAGGGTATAGACTTACTTGGAAATACACATAGACAAAAACATAATCATTTTTCTCATGGTAGTTTTCAAGAACTGTTGTAAGAAAAAAGGTAAGCCAGAAATCAAGCTCTAAGTTGGCAAATAAATGAAATAAACTGAGGAAAGCTCCTTTGAGGAGGTGGGTATTGCAACTGCAATTTAAGAGGGATCACTTTCTAAAAAACTGGTTAAAAATGGCTTTTTGTTTTTCAAGTTTTCAAACAGTTTATCAAAGACAGAAATGATAGGATGATGACAATGATGATTGCAAATGCTGGGTTTTCAATTTTAATTTGATGGTAGGTAAATACAGACAAAGCAAACATAGACAGCAGTGTTTTTCTTTTCTTTCTTTCTTTTTTTTTTTTCTGAGACGGAGTCTCCCTCTGTCGCCCAGGCTGGAGTGCTGTGGCGTGATCTCGGCTCACTGCAAGCTCCGCCTCCCCGCTTCACGTCATTCTCCTGTCTCAGCCTCCCGAATAGCTGGAACTACAGGTGCCCACCACCACACCCGGCTAATTTTTTTGTATTTTTAGTAGAGACGGGGTTTCACAGTGTTAGCCAGGATGGTCTCGATCTCCTGACTTCGTGATCTGCCTGCCTTAGCCTCCCAAAGTGCTGGGATTACAGTTGTGAGCCACCGTGCTCAGCCTTTTCTTTCTAATTCTAGCACTGTGGTAGTGCCAACATTTTATACAGGCTTTTCTCTTTGCAACAGTTAACACAGTAAGCTTAAGCCCTGGTATTAATTTAGAAGCAAATCTTTATTTACCTAGTATGCTATGAAGAAATTTAAGTAATAAAAGATTCTAGTTCATTAATAATTAGCTCTAATTTTAACTCAAAAATCCCAGATTAATCTAGTAATCCTATCAGTGATCATTTTTTATAAAAGCCACGTGTCAGTAAATTCTGCTTCACATAAATGAACTTTAAACCTCTTTATACATTCAGATAATTAAATCAGTTATAAATGTTTCAAATATGTATACTTTTACTAGTGTTCTATATAATATATAATTATACTTCATATAAGCTATAAATATAAAAAAGCTTTTAAAAACTTCTCTAATCAGAACCAATACTTTTTTTTTTTTTTTTTTTTTTGAGATAGAGTTTCACTCTTGTTGCCCAGGCTGGATGGAGTGCAGTGGCATGATCTTGGCTCACTGCAACCTCCACCTCCTTGGTTCAAACGATTCTCCTGCCTCAGCCTCCCGAGTAGCTGGGATTACAGGCATACGCCACCATGCCCGGTTAATTTTTGTATTTTTAGTAGATATAGGGTTTCGCCATGTTGACCAGGCTGGTCTTGAACTCCTGACCTCAGATGATCCACCCACCTTAGCCTCCCAAAGTGGCGGGATTACAGGCGTGAGCCACCGCACCAGGCCAAGAAAATTTTATCTTATCAAACTTCTTATTATAGACATATGTAGTATTTATTTTTACTTAAATTCATTTCAAATTTGTAATATCTAGAATATAAACTATTTTTTAAAATAAAGGGCAAATCATCTCATCCTTCAAAAGTTCTTAAGAAGTTTCTGAACGGGAGTGGTGGCTCACGGCTGTAATCCCAGCACTTTGGGAGGCCAAGGCGAGTGGATCATCTGAGGTCAGGAGTTCGAGATCAGCCTGGCCAACATGGTGAAACCCCATCTCTACCAAAAATACAAAAATTAGCTGGGTGTGGTGATGGGCACCTGTAATCCCAGCTACTCGAAAGGCCGAGGCAGGAAAATCCCTTGAACTCATGAGGCAGAGGTTGCAGTGAGCTGAGATAGCGGCACTGCATTCCACCGTGGGTGACAAAATGAGACTGTCTCAAAATAAAATAAAATAAAATAAAATAAAGAAGTTTCTCATGAAAAAACAACATTGGCACCAGTGTTGTAGTTACAATTCAAATTTATTTCCTGTTGTTATACCTATACATAAAAAATTCATTAAATGAGATTAGTCCTGTTGCGGCATAGTTTTAACTAAGAGTTGCCTTTAATGTTTAAATATTACAGTGTTCCTTTCTACTAAGTAACTGCTACAAAATAATCAAAACAAATCATAATAAAAACGGAAGAAAAAAATATTTCAGTGTTCCTTAGACTCTTACAATGTAATTCAAACTGAGTTGTAATTTCAATACACTTCTTCTGTTAATGAATGTGCAGATAACTGGTTTAATTTTCCATTCAATAAATTTTTCTTATAAAGATGAAGGAAGGCCAGGCGTGGTGGCTCACACCTGTAATCCCAGCACTTTGGGAGGCCGAGGCGGGTGGATCACGAGGTCAAGAGTTCGAGACCAGCCTGGCCAATATGGTGAAACCCCGTCTCTACTAAAAATACAAAAATTAGCTTGGCGTGGTGGCGTGCGCCTGTAGTCCCAGCTACTTGGGAGGCTGAGGCAGGAGAATCACTTGAAACCAGGAGGGGGAGGTTGCAGTGAGCCGAGATTGAGCCATTGCATTCCAGCATGGGCAACAGAGAGATTCCATCTCAAAAAAAAAAGATGAAGGAAGAGGATTAAATATAGTGCAGATTAAACAACATGAACAACTTGTCCCCTGAAGTATGTTAATATGTAATTAGATTTTATTATTTAGGCAAGGATTCCCCTAATGGAGCACATTTCTGAAATGATGAAAAGTATTAGGATATCGAATTAGACAATTGTACTTACTATTTTTGAAGACAACATCTAGTCACTAAATTGAGGGTGAGGTATAATTTATTAACAGAATGAATACTAATTGAGATCATTTAAGTTTCTTGACTTCCCTTGGCCTCTATTTTTCTCTGTGTAAATAAGGGAGTAGGTCCAGATGCCCTCTAAAATATTCCAGCTAGGAACTTCACTTAGTTATTCACTTAAAAGTCCTTAATAGGCCAGACGAGGTGGCTCATGCCGGTAATCCCAGCACTCTAGGAGGTCAGGAGATGGAGACCATCCTGGTTAATACAGTGAAACCCCGTCTCTACTAAAAAATACAAAAAATTAGCCGGGCATGGTAGTGGGTGTCTGTAGTCCCAGCTCCTCGGGAGGCTGAGGCAGGAGAATGGAATGAACCTGGGAGGCGGAGCTTGCAGTGAGCCAAGATCATGCCACTGCACTCCAGCCTGGGCGACGGAGCGAGACTGTCTCAAAAAAAAAAAAAAAAAAAGTCCTTAATAAGTAGTTACAATTATACAACAAAGTATGGCTTTTTCCTTTTTTAAAAGAGATTCTTTTTATCTGTATTTTAAAACCTCAAGGGATTCTAGTGGAAGTTTCAGACACTATGGATGAAAAAAGAAAAAAAGGAACAAAACTCAGATTTAAAGCCAACAGCGGCAGAACCCAGAAATCTCTCAGCTTGGTTCTATCTTCGAGTTGTCTGCAGCTGTCTTCCACTGCAAGGCAAGATAGGCTTCAAATAACCTAAACCTACCTAGTCTCACATGAGTAGCAAGCAAAACATGGAAAATCATGGTTACATAGATTTTAAAAACATTACTTGAAATCATTCATTTTTCAATTAAAAATACTAATAGTTGGAAAATGTCAAAAGTATTAGGAAAAAGGTTTTTTAAAATCCATAACCTTACCAATATATAATTTTGCAAATATTTACACTACTTTCATATAGTATTTGCATATCTTTTTAAAAAACTGACTGTAAATCATACTGTGTGAATATGCATATGTTTTAAATACTGATTTCATTTGATGTGTCAAAGCTTAACATCTGATCTTGAAAAATAATTTAAAATGTATAACATATATGGACAAACACTAAGTGACTGGTCAATATTTAGGTTGAGTCTAATATTGTTTTTAACAGATCATACTGAAATGAACATCTTTTGCTTTTTTCTGTGTGGATTATTCCATTTGCATCAATTCCTGATGTGAATATTTTTATATTTGATATGTACTGCTGAATTGCTTTCCAAAAGAGTTGCATAAAATTATGACACCAATGATGACCAAGGGTGCTTGTTTTACCTTACTGTTATCAGTTCTGCAATATTTTACTGTACATTTTTTTTTAATTTGGTAGAGCAATAAAAATCTCTAAGATTTTCATTTGCTAATAGCATCAACGTTCAACATTTTCCTCTATGTTTTTTTACTAAGAGTATTCCTTCATGCCCCATTTCCTTTTATCTACTATGGTGTTAAGTATCATTCTTTTCAAAAACCCATTTGTATGGGCTTTTCACACAGACGTTATTTCTTCTTATGCCTTATTTGTTACAAATCTTTTCCCAGTTTGTTGTTTCTCTTTTGACCAGCTACAGAGATTTTTTTTAAAGCTTTTTACATTGTCCTAGGAGCAACCATGTCACAGATGTAAAAGTAACATTTGTTCTCTTAACTGAGAATCTTCTTGGGGTATTGGAGAAGGAAAATTACTACTTTCCAGTAGTCACAAAAAAGGAATATGTCTTTTTTCAAAATGAAGGTTTTAGCTCTAGGACAGTAATATTCCAATGCACCATATTATCTTTTAAATCACAAAAACAGAACCATAACAAAATTAAAAGGCATTATAAAGAAAAACTGTATTTCAACCCATCATCTCTGATTTTCATGCATATATTTAATAATAGTTGTTTAAAAGTTTAAATTATGTAGATATAGTTATATAACATTTATAATAATTTAATTGCTACATAATAATACTTACAGTTAAATTATTACAATTTACTTCTCCCACATAACCTTCGAATGGTAAATGTTGAAAACATCTTCATAATAAGACACAAGCTTATTTTACTTATTGCTATCACATCTAGTTTAAAAAACAACACTGGTCAGGCACAGCAGCTCATGCTTGTAATCCCAGCACTTTGGGAGGCCGAGGCAGGAGGATCACAAGGTTAGGAGTTTGAGAGCAGCCTGGCAAATATGGTGAAACTCCATCTCTACTAAAAATACAAAAATTAGCCGGGCGTGGTGGCAGGCACCTGTAGCCCCAGCTACTAGGGAGGCTGAGGCAGGAGAATCACTTGAACCTGGGAGGCACAGCTTGCAGTGAGCCAAGATCACGCCACTGACTCTGGCCTAGGCAACAGTGCGAGACTCCATCTCAAAAAAAATTAACAAAAAAAAAAAAAAACAAGGCTACCCTATTCTCTGTTAGGAACACACATTAATTATGTACATATATCACAGAAATAAAAGTTAGTTGATGCCAACTGGCATGTATGTATTGACTGTTCTGTATATAAAATCCTGACAATGCAGAGTAAGTGGGATGTAATGTGGTCAAGAAGGCCTCTTCTGTTGGCCAAAATTCAACATAGTTTCAAGGGTGGCAATAATGATAAAATAAGATGTGAAGTGAAGAAAGCAGAATATAAAACTGTATACACTGCATAATTAAAATTAAGTAATTTTAAAACCCTATACATTAGAGAAGATTGGAAAGAAAATCACCAGGATGTTAAAAATTTTTAGGTGTGGGTGCAATAATATGGATAATACTTTTCTTTTTACCTATTTTCAAATTTGTCTGATTAACCTATATTACTTTTTAGTAAAAAAGTACTCATTCTATAGGTTTTATAAGAAATAGTGATCTGTGGCCTGGGCACAGTGGTTCATGCCTGTAATCCCAGCATTCTGAGAGGCTGAGGCAGGTGGATCATTTGAGGTCAGGAGTTTGAAACCAGCCTGACCAACATGGTGAAATCCCATCTCTACTGAAAAAATGCAAAAATTAGCCAGGCATGGTGGCAGGCGCCTGTAATCCCAGCTACTGGGGAGGCTGAGGCAGGAGAATCGCTTGAACCTGGGAGGTGGAGGTTGCAGTGAGCTGAGATCATGCCACTGCACTCCAGCCTGGGTGACAGAGTGAGACTCCATCTCAAAAGAAAAAAGAAATAGTGATCTGTAAGAGGTATATGCATTTGTTTTTATGTGTTCTACATAGTAGAAACTCTACTATGGATGAAATTACTTCATTTGAAGTAAGTGTCCTAAAGCCACTAATTTCACCTTTGGAATAGTATTTTTTCTATTAAGAAAGGCAATTCCTCTTACTACCTTCTGAGAACTTCTTTCATCCTCATCTTCAGATGGATCTGACTGGTGTTTTGGACTGTCCATTTGAAGGAATGCTCTGACATCTGGACTAAAAACAAAAATTAACTTTATTATAACTTCAAAAGCATTTCTACAGCCTTTCTCCCTTTTAAAATGAAAATCAAAATAGAAATAACTATATTAGTATTTACAGTAAGAAAGTAAAACAGAAT
Organism: Homo sapiens; assembly: GCF_000001405.40. Taxonomy (NCBI): domain Eukaryota; kingdom Metazoa; phylum Chordata; class Mammalia; order Primates; family Hominidae; genus Homo; species Homo sapiens. The sequence continues at coordinate 66,822,247 of NC_000008.11, read as the reverse complement.
CCATTAATATTCATTATTATAAATGTAATACGCAAATTAATTTTTTTTTTAATAGAGAAACCAATAGACAAATGGGCAAACATATAAACAGGCAGTTCATGGAAAAGAAAACCCAAATGGCAGCAAATTTGTGAAGATGGCTAACTTCACTAATAATCAGAGAAATATAAGTTAAAATGATAATGAGATATCACGTTATGTCCGTTACCTGGCAAAAGTTAGAAAGACAGATAATACCAAAAGTTGGTAAAAAAAAAAAAAATAGGGAAAGAGAAATGTTCAAATATTGTTGGTGACAATTCAGAATGAAGCAACTTTTCTGAAAAGCAATCTGGCAATACTTGGTAAAACTGTGTATGTATTTTCCCTGGGCCCAGAAATTCTAATTTTTGGGGTAAACCATAGAAAAAATTATGTGCTGCTGGCCAGGCACAGTGGCTCACGCCTGTAATCCCAGCACTTTGGGAAGCAGAGGCGGGCGGATCACGAGGTCAGGAGATCGAGACCATCCTGGCTAACATGGTGAAACCCCGTCTCCAGTAAAAATACAAAAAAAAAAAAAAAAAAAATAGCCGGGCGTGGTGGCGGACACCTGTAGTCCCAGCTACTGGGGAGGCTGAGGCAGGAGAATGGTGTGAGCCCGGGAGGCGGAGCTTGCAGTGAGCCGAGATTGTGCCACTGCACTCCAGCCTGGGTGACAGAGCGAGACTCTGTCTCAAAAAAAAAAAAATTATGTGCAGGTCCAGTGAAAGGCATGTAATTATAATGTTCATTGCAGCATTTTCTGTAACAGTAAGTTAGAAGCAAAATAGACATTTACCACCAGGGAAATGAGTAAGTCAACTATGGTAACTGCCTATAGGGAATACCAGTCAACAGCGAGAAGCAAGAAACTATAACACAGTATCATTTTTATATATATATATAAAATACTCATAGACATAAAGCATCAGTCTGTTTACCAAAGATACACAGACATATAAGGACATATATCAAACACATTAAAGTGGGTATCAACAAGGGGGATGAGGAAATGGCTATGAAGAAGAAGGATGAAGAGAAAAAAACGGACTAAAATTAGAGATGGCCCACAGATGGACTCATGACGACTGTGGGGAATAATTAAATCTCCATACCCGGCACCCTCTCCCCAATCTGTCCTTAATTATTTAATCAAATAATATTTGATTATTTCCAGGAAACTCAAAAGATGAAAAATTATTTTTAAAAAGAGGAGGCCTTAGCCAGGAGTGGTGGCTCATGCCTGTAATCCCAATGCTCTGTGAGGCTGAAGCGGAAGGATAATTTGAGGCCAGGAGTTAGATACCAGCCTGGGCAACATAGCAAGACTCTGTCTCCACAAAAAATAAAATAAAAAACCCCAGGCATGATGGTGTGCACCTGTCATCCTAGCTACTCAGAACGCTGAGGCAGGGGAATCACTAGAGCCCAGGAGGCTGAGGCTGCAGTGAACCAAGATTGCACCCCTGCATTCTAGCATGGGTGACAAAGCAACAACTTGTCTCTAAAAATAAATAAACAAAATAGGAAAAAAATAAAAATAAAAAGAATTGGACTGGTGTAAATGTAAAATGGTACAGCCACTGTGGAAAACAGTTTGGCAGTTCCTTGAAAAGTTAAACACAGAGTTACCTTATGACCCTGCAATTCCAAACCTAGGCAAAGACCCAAGAGAAATAAAAACATATGTTCACATAAAAACTCATTCATGATTTCTCATAGCAGCATTATTCATAATAGCCAAAAAGTGGAAATATCCCAAATGTCCACCAATAGATGAATGGATAAACAAAATGTGGTGTTATCCATACAATGTGATATTAGCCATAAAAAGGAACGAAGAGCACTAACACATGCTATAACGTGAATGAAGCTCATAAATATTATGCTAAATGAACAAAGGCAAAAAAAAAGTCACCTAGTATATAATTTCATTTTAATAGGCAAATCTGTACAGACAGAAAGTAGAATAGTGGTTGCCAAGGGCTGGGGGAGGAGATAATTTGGAGGTAAAGTTTCTTTTTAAGGTGATGAAAATGTTAGATTAGCTTTGGGGTGATAGAATTAGTGATGATGGTTGTAAAGCATCGTGAATACACTAAAAACTACTGGGCTGGGTGCAGTGGCTCACACCTGTAATGCCAGCACTTTGGGAAGCTGAGGCGGGTGGATCATGAGGTAAGGAGTTCAAGACCAGCCTGGCCAACATAGTGAAATCTTGTCTCTACTAAAAATACAAAAGTTAGCCGGATGTGGTGGCACGCACCTGTAGTCCCAGCTACTCAGGAGGCTGAGGCAGGAGAATCTCTTGAACCCAGGAGGCGGAGTCTGCTGTGAGCCAAGATGGTGCCATTGCACTCCAGCCTGGGTGACAGAGCAAAACTCTGTCTCCAAAAAAAAAAACCAAAAAACAAAAAACAAAAACAAAAACAAAAAAAACAAAAACTACTGAATTGTATGCTTTAGAATAATTAAAATGGTGAATTTTTAACTTAATAAAAAAGGTTTATAAAATGTAGGGGTGGGGATTTTCAATCTTACCACATGGAAGCAACCACTGTTAACATTTTGGCATATTTTATTTCAGTCTTTTTCTCTGCACATTTAAGATCACAATATATTTAAATTTTCACTTTAAAATTACATAATAAACATTTCCCCATCTTGTTAAAAACTTTGTAAACAATCACTTTTGATAGATACATGATATATAACATGAATGTACTAAAAATTACTCAATGATTCTTCCACTTGAGGGTATGACTTCCAACTTTTCATTACCATAAACAATGCTGCAGTTGACAATCTTTGTGCATAGTATTAGAACTCTACAACTTTCAGAACAGATTTTTAAAAATAAAATTACTCGTCTGAATTATAAACCATTTTACAGTATTAAACAAATACAGTTTGTAAGACTGATTTCCAGAGCAGCTGTACCAATTTATACTCTTCTAGCAGTATATGAACATCCTGAAGACTCTCAGGCTTGGTTAGCATTAAATGTTACATTTTATATTAACATCTTGGATAATTTGATGTGAAAAACTGTATTTTAAAGAGGAAGTACTCAGTATTGCTTACAGTAATAAGTGAAATGCAAAATTAAAGCAACAGTAAGATACCATTACCCACTCACCAGAATGGCTAAAATGGAAGACTAACAATACTAAGTGTTAATGAGGTAAGCAACGTGATTTCACATGCTGATGGAAAGTGTACAACTGGTAAATCACTTTGCACAACTATTTTGCATTATCCACTAAAGTTAAACACATACATATACTCTACAACCCACAAGTTCTACTCCAAGATATATCAGAAATGTTGGCACATGTGCACCAAAAGGTATGCTAATGGCAATATTATTTATAATAGTCAGAAAATAGAAATATTAGTATCTGAAATGCCCATCAACAGTAGAATGCATCAACTGTGGTATACTCATACAATGGAACATTATACAGCAATGGAAATGAGCAAACTATAGTTAATGAGACAACATGGATGACTCTCACATTGCTGGGAAATAAGCCAGACAGATAACACATATTGTATGATTCCATTTATATAAAGTTCAAAAACAGGGCACACACTAATCTGTTTTGTTAAAAGTCAGGCTGGTAGTTACCTTTGGGAAGGAAGAAAGAAACAGAGATTGAAAGAGGATGTGTAAGAGATCTCAGGGGTGTTCATAATATTTTCTTTTTTGGCCTAAGGGGATGATATAATTCAGTTACATTTATTTCTCATAATTTATTGAGCTGTACAGTCCTGATCTGGGCACTTTTCTCTTTGTTATGATGCAATAAAATTAAAATAAGGTATTTCTGCTTCCATTTCATTTCTTAAATACACAAGGAAATGTTTAGTTTCTCTGACAGTAAGCCATTTCTGTGTCCTTCTTTGTGAACCATTCAATGTGTTTTGTTCTGTTTTGTTTTGTTTTGGTGTGTCAAGTGTTTGCATGGGTTCCTTCTATGTTAAATGTATTTATCTATCGTCCTTTATCATGGAAAGCTTTTTCTATATTTTTGGTTTTCAATTTTACTTACTTATGATTTGGGGGTTCAAAAGTTTTGCTTTGTTTTTTTGCTTTTGCTGTTTTAGAGATGGGTCTCACTCTGCCACCCAGGTTGGACTGCAGTGGGATAATCACAGCTCACTGTAGCCTGGATCTCCTGGGCTCGGGTGATTCTCCTACCTCACTACCTCAGCCTCCTGAGCAGTTGGGACTACCGGCACATGCCACCATGACAGGCTGATTTTTTGCCTTTTTTTTCTGGAGAGGGGGTTTTGCCATGCTGCACAGGCTGGTCTTGAACTCCTGGGCTCAAGTGATCTGCCTGCCTTAGCCTCCCAAAGTGCTGGGAGTAAAGGCATGAGCCACCGTGCACAAAGTTTTTATTAGTCAAATTTTTCATTGTTTTACTTTGTGATAATGTCATTCACTGACAATATGCTCAGAAAACCCTTTTTCATCCAGAGATGAGAGAAATACTAACATTTTATTATAGTTTGAAAATGATTTTAAAATTTGTTTTTAATAAAGTAATCTTAAAAATTAGCTTTTTTGGCTGGGCGTGGTGGCTCACACCTACAATCCCAGCACTTCAGGAGGCCGAGGGGGGAGATAACTTGAGGTCAGGAGTTTGAAACCAGCCTGGCTAACATGAGGAAACCCTGTCTTCATTAAAAATACAAAAATTAGCCAGGTGTGGTGGCACACACCTGTGGTCCCAGCTACCCGGGAGGCTGAGGCAGGTGAAACTCCGTTTGTTTTTTTGTTTTTTTTTTGAGATGGAGTCTCACTCTGTCGCCAGGCTGGAGTGCAGTGGCACGATCTTGGCTCACTGCAACCTCTGCCTCCCAGGTTCAGGCGATTCTCCTACCTCAGCCTCCCAAGTAGCTGGGACCACAGGCACAGGCCACCATGCCTGGTTAATTTTTGTATTTTTAGTAGAGATGGAGTTTCACCATATTGGCCAGGATGGTCTCCATCTCTTGACCTCATGATCCGCCTGCCTCGGCCTCCCAAAGTGTTGAGATTACAGGCGTGAGCCACTGTGCCTGGCCAGAAGAAAAGCTATTTTAAAAGCACATTTCCTGCTGGGCACGGTGGCTCATGCCTGTAATCCCAGCACTTTGGGAGGCAGATCATCTGAGGTCAGGAGTTCCAACCCAGCCTGGCCCATTGATGAAACCCCGCCTCTACTAAAAATACAAAAATTAGCTGGGTGTAGTGGCTCACACCTGTAATCCCAGCTACTCAGGAGGCTGAAGTGAGAGAACTGCTTGAGCCCAGGGAGCGGAGGTTGCAGTGAGCCGAGATCACGCCACTGCACTCCAGCCTAGGCGATAGAGCGAGAGTCTGTCTCAAAAACATAAAAAATAAAAATAAAGTACGTTTCCTTAACAGTAATAACAGGTATATAGGAGGTGCTCAAGATACACTTGCTGACTGGCTTCTCTTCTTGCCCTCTTAAATTTCTACTGTCTTAAGAACAGCTTGATGTTCAAATGAAGAGCGTGAAAATTAAAATTCTGTCAACAGCAGAAAAGATCTAGAAAATAGGAAATGTTGGCCGGGTGCGATGGCTCACGCCTGTAATCCCAGCACTTTGGGAGGCCGAGGCAGGCAGATTACGAAGTCAGGAGATTGAGACCAACCTGACCAACATGGTGAAATCCCGTCTCTACTAAAAATACAAAAATTAGCCAGGCGTGGTGGCGCGCACCTGTAATCCCATCCACTTGGGAGGCTGAGGTAGGAGAATCACTTGAACCTGGGAGGCAGAGGTTGCAGTGAGCTGAGATTGCGCCACTGCACTCCAGCCTGGGCTACAGAGCAAGACTCCGTCTCACACACAAAAAAAAAAAAAAAAAAAAGGAAATGTCACATTTTGCTAAAAAGAAAATGCCAGTTAAAAAATTAAGTTTATCACGCCTGTAGTCTCAGCACTTTGGGAGGCCAAGGCGGGCAGATCATGAGGTCAGTAGATGAAGACCATCCTGGCTAACATGGTGAAACCCCGTCTCTACTAAAAATACAAAAAAAAATTAGGTGGGCGTGGTGGTGCGCCCCTGTAGTCCCAGCTACTGGGGAGGCTGAGGCAGGAGACTGGCATGAACCCAGGAGGCAGAGCTTGCAGTGAGCTGAGATCACACCACTGCATTCCAGCCTGGGCGACACAGTGAGACTCCGTCTCAAAAAAAAAATTAAGTTTAAAAAACTCTTGACTATTTTTGGGGTGCTGGAAATATCTTCTATCATGAATGGAATGGTGATGGTTACAGGGTGTATATATATTTAAAAATCCATTGAATTGTACACTCAAGAACTGTGTATTTCACAGTATAAGATTTTGGAAACTGGCAATTTAAAATAATCCAATTGCTTTTAGTTTAATTTTAATGCCAAATATAACATCTTTATAATACTGCACATCAAGATCCAGAATGAATACTTTATATATTATATAGTGTTAGGGGTTCTGAGTAACTTAAAATACTAGGAGAAGTAACAACCACTACCATTTATTGCATACTTATTCCATGCCCGCTCGTCAAAGGAAGAGACAAATTCAAGCTTTGAATGCATGAATTACATTTCACACAAGCCAGTAATATGCCAATTCAAAGTAATCTCCAATGTATACAGCAACAATTAGAGATAGAAGGGTGGGTCTAAGGTGAAGATAGCATAGCGTATATCCCCAGGAAAAGGCATAATGTTTAAGAAAATAAAAACAAAGAGCCAAATAGTAAGACTTTTTACTGAGGAAGAGACTAGACAAGGGAACTGTGAGTTCAAGTATCCTACCAAATTTCATGCCCTTCTGCCACCTGCCAGAGGTGGCAGAGGATACCTGTTCTTACTGCACTGTCTAATGCTGGTGTGACCACAGCTGTGAGACCTGCCTGACCCTTGCCTTACCTGGGAGCATCAGGGGAAATCCATATCTCTGACCAGAAGACCTTGTCAGAGGAGATCCAGTTTTAGCATTTTAGTAATTTAGTAAATTCAATTAAGTAAATTTAAAAAGCAGATCAGAGGGCCTGTTCAGAATAGTAGAAGGCCTCTGTGAGCTATAAAGAACCATATAAATGGTAATCATCATTTTTAGAACAATTACTCAAAAATACAGTTCTTCAATGTTGTGGTTCCGAAAAGACTGTTAAAGTGTGTCATATTTACACCATTGCCCATAGGCAACCTTTAGTTTACAGAGATAGGTGAGCTGCAGAAAAGCTCTCCAAATATTTTATCCTCTTCATTTCCTCTTAGAATACTTTATACATACAAGTACTATAACATAAATTACAAACCACAATAAATGTAATGAATACTCATAAACCAACTACCAGACTCAAAAATGAAAACACAAGCCAAACCATATATCTACCAATGTTTTTGTAGGTATTTCTGATACAACCCTCTATCTTCCTAGCTGGGAGCTACTGGCCTACAGAAAGAAGTTTAAACCTGTCCGCATGAGACACCCACAGGGCTGGGAAAGCGCCTTTATCTTAATGGCTGCTGGACTATTGTGTTGAGAAAGACTGGAGGCCTCATGTGGGTCAACAGAACACTGTCCCAAGTGAAGCAGAAATGGTGGCATGTGCACCCAACCCCAGACAACTCCTTCAATCTCGTCTTCTTTCCAAAAATCTACTCAGCTCCAGTCACCATGAAATGTTAAGTGTCCTGACGGTTCAGGCTTTCTGTATCCTGTTACGCCTGGAAAGCCTTCTTTTTTTCTCGAATGATTACACACCCTTTAAGTTGCAGGAAGCCTTCCTTACCTCCTCAAGAAGATATGCCTACACCTTTCTCTGCTATCTTCTAGCACCTCTATCATAAAAATTATCCAGCTTCAATTACTTGTTTATTAATATATGCCTGTTTTGCCCACTACACTGGGAGCCTGTGCCTCTGGACGGTAGGGACGACACTTAGCTTTATATTCCCAATGCAAGTAGCAGGTACTTAAATGCTTTTTGAAGGTATAGATAAAATATAATATCAAATAATTAGCAAGATGCTTTAATTTATTATGCAAATTCATTTCAAGTATAATCTATAAAACTAATGCAAGTACAAAAGGAAAAAAGAAAATAACTAAGATGAAGAGAAAAGGGGAGAAAGAGTATCAGGGAGAAAATGCTCAAAGAAGATTTTACAAACATATATAGCACAGTAACATTTCATAGAACAAACAAAATTTATATAAGGATTATTCAGTATTCTTAGGTTTAGTTTTAATGTCCCTTTAGAACGCAACAAAAATTACTTACTGGTTATAAAGTTCTGGATACCTAACTAGGTTCTGAATGAATTCGTTTAGTCCTGCTCGTCTTTGTTTAATAAAATCTGGAAGAGAGATATAAACTATTAGGATTATTTATGTCAGACTATGCAATTATCATCAACAGTTATATAATAGACAAGCACAAGATAGTGAATTTTGATTAAGAAGCTATTTTTAAATTCATGCTACTTGTCACACAAGGAATACATACTTAGAAATTATATATATGAATCATTGTATTTATAATATATAATTATATATTACATATATGTAGTTATATATTAAAATTAAGCAGACAATTTATCTCCAAAAAGAAAGTTCTCAAAACTGCCTATTATGGACTCTAAATAGACTAATTACAAAAATTGGAGAAGCACATTGCTTTGTCCAACTCCTCACGTACTACCAAACAATGAATAAAAATTAACACTATGACACTGATGACTGAAAATCACGGTAATTTAAAAAAATAAGGATTTCTGGAAATCCTTTGCAACTGGGCAATAATGATTAATTGGTTAACTGAATATCGCCAAAACTCTAGTTTAACTTCCACTGTGAAAAACAAACAAACAAAAAACCTTAAAAAAATGCACAGGCATACTTTCCTAACAAGTAATTGTACAGTATTTTCTTTTTAAAAATTTTTCTTTTTTCGTCTGAGATTGAGTCTTGTTCTGTTGCCCAGGCTGGAGTGCAGTGGTGTGATCTAGGCTCACTGCAACCGCTGCATCCTGGGCTCAAGCAACCCTCCTGCCTCAGCCTGCCAAGTAGCCAGGACTATAAGCATACACCACCATGCCTGGCTAATTTTTGTATTTTTTGTAGAGACAGGGTCTCACTATGTTGCCCAGGCTCATCTTGAACTCCTGGGCTCAAGCAATCCACCCTCCTCGGCCTCCCAAAGTGCTGGGATTACAGGCATGAGCCATTGTGCCCAGCCTGTCCAGTATTTTTGAAGTGTTTTGTTTGTTGATAATTGAAGCTCATGCAATAGCAATTTAGGAATAAATATTAAGCACAAACCTTTCTTTTCTTTGAAATACACACTTTTCTTGGAATTAGAAAACTTTATTCAAATATCTTTGTCTTTCCTACTTCCTAACCTTGAACTTTTCCAAGACTCATATTTTTACTTGTAAAATGTGGATAGTAACAATATTTATACCTCATAATGCTGTTATAGGATTAAATGAGATAATGCATCTAAGTTTATAGTAGCATGTTTGGCAGATGTTAAGAGTATTATTTATAGCTAATAATCATTAGATACTATTACTTTTGTTGTTGTTGTTATTATTAGTGGTTGGGGCGGTCTAAAAGCCATTATCCTAAACCCTCTTTTTTTTTTTTCTTTGAGACAAAGTCTTGCTCTGTCACCCAGGCTGGAGTGCAGTGGCGCGATCTCAGCTCACTGCAAACTTCACCTCCTGAGTTTCAAGCGATTCTCCTGCCTCAGCCTCCCGAGTAGCTGGGATTACAGGCACGCACCACCACACCTGGCTAATTTTTGTATTTTTAGTAGAGACGGGGTTTCATCATGTTAGCCAGGCTGGTCTTGAACTCCTGACCTTGTGATCTGCCTGCCTCGGCCTCCCAAAGTGCTGGGATTACAGGCGTGACCCACCGCACCCAGCCAATTCTTAAGAAATATACTCTAAAAACTTAACACATTTGATTTGAGAAACTGTCTCCTAACGGCAAATGTCTGGATAAAAACCCATAAAAAATATTCCACTTGACAATGAGTTTTGGTTTAGTAAACTTATTTCTACTGAATAAAGGTATAATGTATAGTGTTTGTCACCAAAATTATGGGTTATTTCCAGGTTTATTTCCATTTCTTAAATGTAAGGTATGGCTTCATACAAATATAAACAAATATAAAATCAGGTCTGGTCTTTTGGAGCCAGAAGCATGTACTTGGTACTTTTTTCTTGTTCGTCTAAGAATTCCTTGAAGAATTTCAGGTAGGTATCTCATTAAACTCTTCCAAGGACATTTATAATGTCACTAGGTAGCAAAGCACATGTGAAGTTTACATTAAAAACTGTAATTGAAACACAGTTATTTCTCGAGAACTGAATTTAGTAACATATGAAGAACTAAAATGAATGACTACATTTAGGATATTCAAAGAAAACCTAATAACTACATGGAAACAGCTTTAAATTGTTCTGTGGATGCTTACTGAAGATATATTTTACTTTTGAAGGCCAGTGTGAAGAGAGGAATTTCCTTTCTTCAGTGAGCTATAGCCCATGCTGCTCTAAGTGTTTCTAGGCTTGCCATTTCATTACTGACTAAACAGTTTCAAAATCACTATGTAAAGCCCTATATAAGAAGAAGTCCAGTAGCAGTCAGAATTCAGGGGCAATTCCAAACTTACTTTTTTAGATCAACACTAAGTTTGCAAATATCTGAAAAAATTCCAGGTAAGACTATAATGTATAGGATAAGTGCCAAGAATTTATATAAGGCCTATATATTAAGAACTATAGTTAGAAATATGTATTTTTAAAAATCTCTCCAATGAAGAAGTTACATGAATGTATCTGCTGGAATTCAAAGGAAATTTCAATTAGAAATTTTAAAAAGGCTGGGTGCAGTGGCTCACGTCTGTAATCCCACAGTTTTGGGAGGCCTAGGTAAAAGAATCACTTGAGGCCAGGAGTTTGAGACTAGCCTGGACAACATAGTGAGAGCATGTCTCTACAAAAAAATTTTAAAAATTAGCTAGCTGTGGCGACATACATCTGTAGTCCTAGCTACTCAGCAGGCTGAGGTGGGAGGATCACCTGAGTTGGGAGGCAGAGGTTGCAGTGAGCTGAGATCGCACCACTGTACTCCAGCCTGGGCAACAGAGACACTGACTCAAAAACATATATATAAATAAAGTTAAAAGTATGGTTTCCTCTGGGTGCATCCTATTAAAAAGTCGTTAAATTCATAATAAAATGTTAACAAAAAGTACAGGCAGAGATCATTCTTAAAATCAGCCTTCAAGTATGTAAGATGTATCTTATAGAGATTGGCAAACACTAGAATAAAGTAGACAAAAGAAAAAGAAGACATAGGCTTAAACTGCAGTATAAGAACTCAAAAAGATAAGCAAAAACCCCATAGAATGGCTACCAACCATGAGATAAGTTAAAAAGGGAATTTCAGAATGTTTTTCTCAGGTATGATTTTATTTATTTATTTATTTTCGTTGAGACGGAGTTTCATTCTTGTTGCCTAGGCTGGAGTGCAATGGCATGATTCCAGCTCACTGCAACCTCCACCTCCCAGGTTCAAGCGATTCTCCTGACTCAGCCTCCAGAGTAGCCGGGATTACAGGTGTATGCCACCACGCCTGGCTAATTTTTGTATTTTTAGTAGAGACGAGGTTTCAGCATGTTGGCCAGGCTGGTCTAGAACTCCTGACCTCAGGCGATCCACCCACCTCGGCCTCCCAAAGTGTTGGGATTACAGGCGTGAGCCACCGCTCCCAGCTGACTTTATTTTTAACTTTTTATTATGAAAAACTTCACAAGTACACAAAAGGTGAGAACCTTATTCGCCTACTTTAAAATTTATCAACATTCTGCTATTCCAATTTCATTTATCCTCATTCCTCACCTTTTATTTTTTTTTTTTCTGGAATATTTTAAAGCAATTCTCAGGCAGATTTTTGTTTTGTTTTTTTTGGTGTGGGGGGAATAAATCAGTGTGTATTTCTAAATGGCAGTATCTTTAAAAAAACAGTAAAGCCATGAAATCACTATCTCATAATGTCTATAAATTCTTTTATTTCCCTCCAATCAACAGGTAGAACTTAGTTCTTCTTCTCTCTTGAACGGGGGTTGGACTTAATGACTACCTTCTAATGAGCGGAATATGGTGGATGTAATGGCATGTGGCTTCCAAGACTAAGTCATAGAAGGCACCGAGGCTTCCTCCTTGCTAGCGCTCTTGGATCCCTCACTCTGGGGAAGCCAGCTGCCTTGGTGTAAGGACACGCAAAGCCCCTTAAGAAGAGGCCCACTCACAAGGAGCTGAGGCTTTCTACCAAAAACCATATGAGTGAGCCATCTTAGAAGCAGATCCTTCTGCCCTAGTAAAGTCTTGAAATCACTGATGATCTTTGCCTAGAACTATTAATTCATCAGAAGTTGTACGAGGATTTTCCAGTTCTATCATTCTGTGATTCTTCTATTTATGAACTGTGATTCTGCTATGAAGTATTTTCCAACATTATCTCTTTGGTACAAATAAATTACATTTCATACAACAAAGGCAAGATAAATCCTTGATTTTTTAATTTATTGATTTGGCGAATAAATTTACTCTCGTAACCTCTACAGCATTTCATAAGGTTTTTTTTTTCCCCAAACAAGCAAAGTAAATTGGAAAGTCTTTATACTGATGTGCTCTAACCTGCTATGATAATTACTTTCACCATTCTGTCTAATCTTTGCTCAGTGAAAGCCCCGACAACTGGGCTCCTGTGTTCTTTTGATCAAACTTCAGTCATCCTAAATAGCTTCCCTGCTTTCAGGCAAGCTGCCCTGAGATCATCTTGTACATTTCCTGCCCCAGATCTGGGATCACCATTTCTTCAGCAAACTCTGGTTCCTTTGAGAGGGAAATGGTATTTAGAGATCACAATCTGAATGCTAGGGGTGTTGGTTACTACTTGTTATTGCTTTTAGGCATTTCCAGGAGAGAGTGCTAGAAAATATTTTTACTAAGGTAAAAAAATAAATTATGAGCCAGGAGTGGTGGTGGTGTAATCCCAGCACTTTGGGAGGCTGAGGCCAGTGGATCACCTGAGGTTGGAGTTCAAAACCAGCCTGACCAACATGGAGAAACCCTGTCTCTACTAAAAATACAAAATTAGCCGGGCATGGTGGCACACGCCTGTAATCCCAGCTACTCAGGAGGCTGAGACAGGAGAATCGCTTGAACTGGGGAGGTGGAGGTTGTGGTGGGCCGAGATCACGCCACTGCACTCCAGCCTGAGCAACAAGGGAGAGCCTCTGTCTCAAAAAATAAATAAATAAATAAATAAATAATTATTTCAAACTATATTTCCAAATTAAGTTACAAATTACAGGATTTTGCTGAGTGCAGTGGCTCACGCCTGTAATCACAGCACTTTGGGAGGCTAAGGTGGGTGGATCACCTGAGGTCAGGAGTTCGAGACCAGCCTGACCAACATGGAGAAACCTCATCTCTACTAAAAATACAAAATTAACCAGGTGTGGTGGCGCATCCTATAATCCCAGCTACTCATGAGGTTGAGGCAGGAGAATCGCCTGAACTCAGGAGGTGGAGGCTGTGGTGAGCCAAGATCATGCCACTGCACTCCAGCCTGGGCAATGAGAGCGAAACTCCATCTCAAAAAAAAAAAAAAAAATTACAGGATTTTTACTTAAAATCTTTGATTTTGTTTGTATCACTTTCCTCTTCTGCTTAAAATCTTGGTTCCCATGACAGTAACATTAATCACAGAATAACAACGCCATATAACACTAATGAATGCAGTGTAAAATTTGTCCATGGGTTTTTGTTTTTATCCTTAGCAATATATCCCATGAAGAATATACAGTCAAAATCCCATGTTTTAAAGTTACTTAAATTAAGTTAGGTTTTTTCCTTCAGTTTATTTTCAGTTGTTAGAGGCTGCTTTGTTATTGCATTTTTATTTTTGTTTTTAAATTGTTTAAAATAGTACATGGTTCCAAAGTCAAAGGTATGAACAAAATTCATTCAAGGGCATCTAACTTCCACCCCTTTTGCCTTTCCCAATCTCTCCCTCATCCTTAAAGTCACTAGTTTTATTAGTTTTTTATTTATTCTTCCATTATTTCCTTTTGAATCCCCATACCTTTTCCTACAGAAAAAATACACACCATACAAACTCATTTGCTGCACTGTGATTTTTTTTTCCATTTAATGGTATATTCTGGAGATCACACCATAGCAAAATACATAAAGAGCTTTTTTGTTCCTTTTTACAAGTATGTTATATCTAGCTCCACTGGAAAAATATTTTCATTGTTTCCAGTTTTTCTGTTAAAAATTGTGTCACAATACACAGTCTTGTGTGTACATTATATCATATGCAGCTTATTTTAGGGACAGATTCCTAGAAATGTGATTTCTTGGCCAAAGTGGAAAATGCATTCACAGTTTTTCTAAACACTACCAAACTCCCCTCAACATGGATTGTAACACTTTTTATTCCACCAGAAAAATATGGGAATGCCTGTATCCCCAAAGTATAACCAAATGAGCATCTTATCCATCTCTGTTTTTCTGAATTTGACTTAGATCTGATTTCCCCAATGCAGGACTTTCTAATATCTCTGTGACATATGATCCTTTTCACTGTTGCCAAGTCATATTAAATATACGCAGGATAGACAAACAGCTCTTCAAAAAAATCAGTTTTTAGTGTCAATTAATTCATCAAAACAAAGTACCAAAGAGCATTCAGCCTGGTATCTTGCCTTTAACAATGAAGCAGCAATGTTGCCAGTCTTTTACTTCTTTGCTTTCTTTCCTTGATGAAATGATTGTCTTAAGGATTCAGTTAAGGGCTCTACAGAACTCCAACCCAAGTTCAAGTCTCATATTATCACTAGTAGTTTGATTTCTTAATATTTTTCTGCCACTTCTAATTAGTTAATTGTCTCAGTCACCCAGGGCAGACCCTCCAATTATCTCTCCTCTTCTCTATATGTGTTACCTAAGCAATCATCAAGATGTATTCCAGATTTTTCATTAAAGGAGTTCTTGTACATTGCTCATTTTTAAACCCTATTTCTACCCTAGTCCCCATACTCATTATCTAATGCCAGGGCTATTGGACTATTCCCTTAACAAGTCTCCCAGTCTCTCCTCTGCTGTGCCCACCATAAATTACACACTGTCAGTTTCACATCTTGCTCAAATGCCACTAAGGCCCACACGCTACCCATGAAGATGCTTTTCAACCTGTGCTCCAAGGAGATACTTCACTGTTATACCAATAAAGCAGCTCCATTTAAATTTTTTTCACATATTACATTTCCATAAGATTTCTTTTGTGTTTTCTTTTTTTTTTTTTTTTTCGAGACAGAGTCTTGCTCTGTTGCCCAGGCTGGAGTGCAATGGTGCGATCTTGGCTCACCTGCAACCTCCGACTCCTGGATTCAAGTGATTCTCTTGCTCCAGCCTCCCGAGTAGCTGGGACTACAGGCATGCACCATTATGCCTGGCTAATTTTTCTATTTTTAGTAAAGACGGGGTTTCACCATTTTGGCCAGGCTGGTCTTGAACTCCTGGCCTCAAGTGATCCGCCCACCTCAGCCTCCCAAAGTGCTGGGATTACAGGCGTAGCTACCATATCTGCTCTCTGTAAGATTTCAATTGGGAAAAAAGTGTTCCGCTGCGAAAACAAAGCAGGAGTACAAAAGCCACAGGTCTACAGAATATAATCTGGCTTTGTTGTGCCAACTCAATTTTCTCTTGCTTCTCTTTATTAATGGGTTCATATATTTAGTAATACTTTAAAACCTAGTATTTGCCAGTTTTAAAGTAATAAAATAATACCTTAAAACCAGTATATTGCCACTGTTCGCCAATAAAAAAAGACATAAGTCTGCACCTTCAGAAAATCTACAGCCTACTGTAAGACAGATTAGCAATTACAATGAAATGTGCTATATACTCCCAAGGGGGGAAAAAAAAGAAAGAAAGAGAGAAAAAAAAAACTCTGTATGTAACCAGGGAAGTAAGAACATTCTCCAAACCAGAGGTTCATAAAGTGTAAAGAATAATAAGCCTCCAGTTGAGAGGGCTATAGGCAAAGCAGCCTCTGGGGAAAAAATGTTTTAATTAAAGGAAGAATGTAGAAGAAATATGAAAAAGGTGCAGGATAAAGAGCAGTCCGTTAATGGTGGGCAGAATTATATAGGACACAGTGATATGGTCTGGGAGGAAAACGAATGGTATAAAGTTAGGATGGAGAGAGAAAGCACACTCAATATAAGGGACCTTAGAGCTTTTATCTTGAGTAGTGACCAAGATCTCTCTCTTTCTTTTCTTACACAGACATGTGAGGTATTATCAGTTTAACCAGTTACAAGGTTACAAGCAAATTAGTTGGGGAAGGAGGGCAATCCATTCAGGATTCATCTGTGGCAGAGATAGATGACTTTTCTGATAGAATTTCTGGTGGATAAGAAGACTTTTGTTTCCCTGTAAGTAGCCATCTGTGACCTGGATTAATCTCTTGGGTTCTAGGGGAAAATTCCATGCCTGCAGCTTTAGTCATAGAGGTGCTAGATGCTGAGACCCTCTGTGTCCATGGGTTCCCCAAGGGTAAGCAATAGGATGTCCCTCTCTCTTTTTTTTTTTTTTTTTTGAGATGAAGTCTCGCTCTGTCGCCCAGGCTGGAGTGCAGTGCTGCTGATCTCAGCTCACTGCAACCTCTGCCTCCCGGGTTCAAGCAATTCTCCTGCCTCAGCCTCCCGAGTAGCTGGGACTACAGGCGCCCACCATCATGCCCGGCTAATTTTTTGTAGTTTTAGTAGAGACGGGGTTTCACCGTTTTAGCCAGGATGGTCTCGATCTCCTGACCTTGTGATCCACCTGCCTCAGCCTCCCAAAGTGCTAGGATTACAGGCGTGAGCCACCGTGCCCGGCTTAGGATATCTTTTTGGTATCCCATTCAGAGGCCTACAAGTTACTATGTACACAGTATATATTTAATGTTTCTGAATACAAAAGTGAATATTCTTCATGATACTGATTTAAAGTCTGTAAAGTTTCCCAAATTAACCTGAAGGATCAATTAAAAAATTTTTTAATAGGGTCTCGCTCTGTCACCCAGCCTGGAGTGCAATGGCATGATGACAGCTCACTGCAGCCTTGAACTACTGACCTCAAGCTATCCTCTCGCCTCAGCCTCCTGAGTAGCTGGGACTACAGGTGCACGCCACCATGCCCAGCTAATCTTTAAATTTTTGTAGAGATGAGGTTGCCCAGGCTGGTCTCAAAACTCCTGGCCTGAAGTGATCCTCCTGCCTTGGCCTCCCAAAGTGTTTCGATTACAGGTGTGAGCCACTGTGCCCAGCCCATTGACAGATAAATTTATATAGAAGTCAGACTGCTTGAATTTAACTTCCACATCTGCCCTTTACTATCTGTATGTGGTCCTGGGCAAATTAATGAACCTGTGTTTTATTTCCTTATCTATAAAAATAGTGATAACAACAATACCCACCTCACGAAGTTGTCAGGATCGAATGAATTAAAACACATGAAGTACTTAAAACAATGCCTAGTAGACAGTAAGCACCTTCCTGCGGCATTATTTTCACAGAGCATAAGATCTTTTAAAGTCCTGCACTGCTATACAGTGCAATGAATACATTAATTTACTTCTTCAAACTTCAACAATCACTTCATAGCTGGCCTATGAAGTTGTTTCTTACCTGGATCAAAATTATCACCAAATATTCTCTTGGCAGGAATCTTCAGGGCCATAGCAGGAAACTGTTTTTTTAACTAAAATTTTTAAAAATAACATTATATGAACTAATTTTATAAGTCTTCTAGTTATGCACACATCAAAGCCAAATACAATCTTATTTTAAAGAAAATCCATCATAAGACATACTTTTGAATTTATGATCATCCAAAGTATAACATAAATTATACCAATAAAATGTCACAAACTAATCGTCTTTTTTAGTCCCAATAAAATACCTAGTATCGTGTGACCTAGGATAAAATACTCAACATCTGCGTCTCATTTTCCTGCCTATAAAATGAGGATAATTTTAACAATGACCTTACAGATTTGCTGTGAGTTTTAAAGGAGATCATGTATGGCAAGTGCTAAGGCTAGAACGTGCTGTTACAGTTCCAAATACATATTACTCATTTATTATCTTAGGAGAAGATATGATCTTGGTGTTTTCTCTACATGAATAGATTGACAATAAATTTCTAAGAAAGCAGATGAATTTTGCTTTCAATACCCTATCTGCTCTAACCTTCCCCTTATTGATATTCTAATAAGTGAAACTTCGTCTCTAAAAAATAAAATAAAAAAAAAAGCCAGGCATGGTGGCATATGCCTGTGGTCCCAGCTACTCCTAAGGCTGAGGTGGGAGGATTGCTTGAGCCTGGAAGGTTGGGGCTGCAGGGAGCCATGATTATGCCACTGCACTCCAGCCTGGGCAACAGACACCATGTCTCAAAAAAAATAATTATATATATATTCTAATACATTTGTTTATCAGATATGCTTGTCTTCAGAGAAGGAAAACTCGGCCCTGAAGAAATTAAATTTGGGGCAGTTAAGTCATAAAAATGAGTTATATTTTCATTATAAGTTTGATGTCAAAAATACACACACACATGTAAAAACTGTATCTTAGCTGAGCACAGTAGCTCACTGAGGCCTGTAATCCCAGCACTTTGGGAGGCTGAGGTGGGAGGATCACTTGAGCCAGGGAGGTCAAGGTTGCAGTGTGCCGTGATTACGCCACTGCACTCCAGCCTGGGTGACAGAGCAACAACCTGTCTCACCAAAAACAAACAAACAAAAACACCCAAAAACAACACCTCTAACTGCCAACTGATAGGAAATACAAAGAACAGAGGAATGTACTAATCACTTTACAGCATGGGGCACGCTGTCAGTAAAATGCAGACTGAAAAATACGTAAACAAATGACCTTGTTGTTTTTCATACACACACACAAAAAATGTGTAAAGGAAAGAAAAGAAAGGCAGAGGGGGAACCTAGTGATTAAATGACACTTAACAGACTTATCAATCAGTCACATAAACCTTAATTGGATATCCAATATTAAGGCACTGCTGTTCATTTATTTTTAGATGTGGTAATGATATTGTGTATATGTTTTGTTTTTAAGAATCTTTATCTTTTAAAGATGTATACTAAAATATTTACAGATGAAACGATATGATGTCTGAAATTTGTGTCAAAATTATGGTGGGCTGGTGGGCTGGCTAGGGATAGAGATGAACCAGGAATGGCCACGTATCAGTAATTATTGAAGCTGGATGGTAACATAATGTTATTTTCTGAATTGGTACTAGTATGTCACTTCTGTATGTGTTTGATAATTAACCTTCCTTCCTTCCTTCCTCCTTCTTCCTTCCTACCTGCCTTCCTTCCTTCCTTCGCCCCCTCCCCTTCCCTCCCCATCCCCTTCTCCCTCTCTCTTTCTTTCTTTTTTCCCTTAAGATAGTGTCTTGCTCTATCACCCAGGCTGGAATGCAGTGCTGACCTCCTGGGCTCAAGTGATCCTCCCCTCAGCCCCCTGAGTAGCTGGGACCACAGGCACACACCACCACACCTAGCAAGTTGTCTTATTTTTTGTAGAGACAGTCTCATTATGTCATTGCCCGGGCTGGTCTTGAACTCCTGAGCTCAAGCAATCCTCCTGCCTCAGTCTTGCAAAGTGCTGGGATACTAGTTGTGAGCCACTGTTCCTGGCCTGTGTTTGACAATTTCTATAATAAAAAGTTTAAAATATAAACTAGTCATAAAGGACACATTGAAGTTGACAATTAAAATGCCTAGAGATTTTTTTCTTTTCTTTTATTCTAAAAGGACAGAAAAATAATTTGTGTTTTTGAACTTAGGGAAATCCAGACCAGGTTCAACCTGATTTCTGTAGTTTCAAAGAATCCAACCAATAACTATTTTCCTATTTTTTTCTTTGCCCCTCACCACAGGAGGCAGAATTAGAAGGAGGTACATAAAAAGAGAGAGACATAGAAAGTGATGAAATAAGAACAATGAAAAAAGGGTGAAAAGAAATACAAAAGAAATTAGGGAGATGAATGATAAAAACTGAACTACAAGTTAAGGAAACTCTTCTACAAAAAATCCAAAGATGGAATGTTTCACAGAAGAGAGAATGAAAGTAATCATGGATGGAGGTACCCCAAACAAGTTTTCCTATTTTATTTTTATGCTTACAGATACTCAAATATTAACAATTTAATTAATCACCAGCTATTAAAATCATGAAAACATCATGAACACACACTACCGGTGTGGATCTCCACAGTGCTGAGTTTTTAGATGACATTCCCTACACCCCTTCCTCTATGAAGAGTTTCACAAAAGACGTCTTTAGAAGGTAAATCTAGCCTATGAAATATTTTAAGCAAAAGACAGAAAGAAGTCTCAAATGTATGTGGTGTATGTGGGGTGTGTGTGTGTGTGAGAGAGAGAGAGAAAGAGAGAGGGAAAGAAAGACACAGAGACAGAGACAGACAGACACTACAGTCATGTCATTTTTACCCGAGCATAACCCAGGCATCCTGGTGGGTACAGTTGGATTTACACACTCCTCAAAGACATGCTGAACATGCAAATAATGGGTATTCAAGAGTTTCAAAATGAGCTAACATTGCAACCCAAACTCAGCCTCCAAAATAAGCCATTTTTTAAAAAATCACTAAAAACTTATGAA
The DNA here is from genome assembly GCF_000001405.40 of Homo sapiens. NCBI lineage: Eukaryota > Metazoa > Chordata > Mammalia > Primates > Hominidae > Homo > Homo sapiens. Next base: position 66,801,420 of record NC_000008.11, on the reverse strand, counting down.
AGATATTTCCATGTACAAACTCTCATTGGCTGTTGTTTCAACAGTGTAACCTTAATTACAGAAAAAAAACCTATCTCAATATCCTTTGATTAAGCAAATATCTAAAACTATACAGGTTGAATATCACAAATCTGAAAATCTGAAATGCTCCAAAACCAATAACTTTTTGAGTGCTCAAAGGAAATGCTCACTGGGGCGTTTCAGATTTCAGATTTTCAGATTTGGGATGGTTAACTGATAAGTATAACTCAAATATTCCAAAATTTGAAAAAATTTGAAATCCAAATCACTTCTGGTTCCAAGTATTTCAGATAAGGGATACTCAACCTGTATTTAGTAAGTGCAGTTGCGTGTGCATTAAAGAAAAGCTAAAGAACAGAAGAAAACAGTAAAATGTTAACAGTTATTTCTGAGTAGCAACATTATAGGTGTTTTGTTCTTGTTTTTGTTTTGAGACAGGGTCTCAAGGGTGTAGTGGCATGGTCATGGCTCATTGCAGCCTCAACCGCCCAGGCTCAAGTGATCCTCCTACCACAGCCTCCAAAGTAGCCAGAACTATAAGGCATGTGCCACTACACCCAGCTAACTTTTTATTTTTATTTTTTTTGTAGAGATGGAGTCTCCCTATTAATTTTACATAGGCAAAAATAAATATTTTTAAATTGTAGTATTATCTTCAGAAATTCAATTTCAAGTAGCAAGTGATTTGAATATTAGGAACAAATACATACATAGTGAAATGCTAAATAAAGATGAATCAGAAATCTAATTTTCATGACTTAACAAAACACAGGAAGTGGTACAGCTAGACATTGTTTGATTTATTCTGACCCATTTAGGAATTTATCTCTTAATTGATATATATGTGTAACTTTCCTCATATTCAAAAATATCTTACAAATAATAACCCACAGGCATATATTTATTCCTATGTTTAAAATCAAGAGACAAACATGGCACATGTATACATATGTAACAAACCTGCACGTTGTGCACATGTACCCTAAAACTTAAAGTATAATAAAAAAAAAAAAAAAAAAAGAAATGAAAAAACTCCCCCCCCGCCACTTTTTTTTTTTTGAGAGAGAGTCTCGCTCCGTCACCCAGGCTGGAGTGCAGTGGCACAATCTCGGCTCACTGCAACCTCTGCCTCCCGGGTTCACGCCATTCTCCTGCCTCAGCCTCCCAAGTAGCTGGGACTACAGGCGCCCACCACCACGCCTGGCTAATTTTTTGTATTTTTAGTAGAGACGGGGTTTCACCATGTTAGCCAGGATGGTCTCGATCTCCTGACCTTCTGATCCACTCGCCTCAGCCTCCCAAAGTGCTGGGATTACAGGTGTGAGCCACCGTGCCTGGCCCAAAATTCCCTTCTTAAATATATAACAAGAGTTTTTCCAGAGGATGCCTAGTAATCTACCATTCATTAAACAATGACACTGGGAGATCCCTATTTACTATTACATGAGAGCAGAGGAATTTCAATTTGGGATTTGAGGCCAAGGGCAGTGGCTCATGCCTGTAATCTTAGCACATTAGGAGGCCGAGGTGGGCGGATCACATGAGGCCAGGAGTTTGAGACCAGCCTCGCCAACATGGCAAAACCCCGTCTCTACTAAAACTACAAAAACACTAGCCAGGCGTGGTAGCTCACGCCTGTAATCCCAGCTACTTGAGAGACTGAGGCACGAGAATCACTTGAACATGGGAGGCAGAGGTTGCAGTGAGCCAAGATCGTGCCACTGCACTCCAGCCTGGGTGACAGCGCAAGACCCTCTCTCAAATAAATAAATAAATAAATACATTGGGGATTTGAGGCACAATTGCTTTTGTTCTTAACTGAAGCAAAGCTTTAAATCCAGGACTGTCTTAATGACCTGGAGTTCCATAATAGCTATTAGTAACTCAAGAGGCATGCTTTAGCTTCTACGTATGATCTTCAAGGCAACACTATCCACAAACACTGCTACCTGTGGAAGATATGGTATTATAGTGACTGTGGTGGTCTTGCTGCCTTTATTTTTTTAGATGGTGTCTTGCTATATTGCCCAGATGGCAGTGCAGTGGGGCAATCATGCTCACTGGTACCCTCTCAACTCCTAGGCTCAAATGTTCCTTCTGCCTCAGCCTCTCAAAGTGCTGGAATTACAGATGTGAACCATCGTGCCTGGCTCTTTGCTGCCTACTTTAGCAAGTATGTACTGTATGTACTGCCATCAGTAGATTATGAATTCTATTTAATATCTGAGTTATGAAAATATAAAAACAGGTTGTAGTAATTTAAATAGCTAATGGTCTCTTAGATCTTACCACCTAGGTAGCTGTCAGAACTCTAAAAGTCAACACTCATTTCAATTGTGTTAGCTACTTAAAATCTGGAACCTAAGACATATCTCTAAGAATGGAAACAAAGTATGGAAGGGAGATAGGTTCATGACAGACTTTCAAACATAAAGCTTACAGTAGGCAATTTAACCAGAAATACCATGATGATTAACAATTATCAGAGAGGTAGGTAGAAAGAACTGACTTATAATTTTCTATGACATTAAAAGGTATTTTATCTAGTTCTCATATTTTTAATGGTTTATTTGGAATTGTTCAGCAGTCCTCTCTCTACCCTTTCTTTGAAAGCATTCCAAAGTTAGGATGTTTTTGAAGAATCTCTTACCTTTGTCTGCCTGTCTGACATATTAACATATGAGTATCAATTTAATCATTCAAATACATCTCTCTTATTTTGGGTTTTCTCGGGTGCTTTCTTTTAATTAGAAATCTTGTAGACGATTACTTACAGTGTTATAAAGTTTATCAAACTCTGCATATCTCCTGAAGACAAACCATTCACTTCTTCCCACTGAAACCAGAACTTTATAAACCTGTGGAAATAAAAAATTACATAATATAACACAATTTAATTGCAAAAAACCCATTAGCTACTTAAATACATGAAACCTGTTTTAATTTTTTTTTTTTTTTGAGACAGTCTGGCTCTTTCACCAAGGCTGATGTTTTCATATTCCGAAACTGATATTAACATTTTTATATGATTCTCTAAGATACATAAACATACCAATTAAAGCACTTATTGAATCTTGTCAAATGGTATTCTTGGCTGGGTTCAGTGGGTCATGCCTGTAATCTCAGCACTTTCTGGGGCTGAGGTGGGAGGATTACTTGAGCATAGGAGCTGGAGACCAGCCTGGGCAACATAGGGAGACCCCGTCTCTACAAAAAATTTAAAAATTAGCTGGGCATGGTGTACACGCCTGTAGTCCCAGCTACTCAGGAGGCTGAAGTAAGAGGATTGCTTGAGCCCAGGTAAGTCGACGCTGTAGTGAGCTGAGATCACACCACTGTACTCCAGCCTGAGTGTCAAAGCGAGATCATGACTTGGAAAAAAAAAAAAAGTGGTTTCTTGTGATGGGAAGAAAATGAGGTCAGAAAAAAATAGGTGATATTTTATTTTTCAAATGTTACAAAATATTTCTGTAATTTTCAGGGAATAACATAGTCAACACTCATGTGCTCATTATTTGGATCTATTGAATTCTAACATGTTGCCATTCTTGCTTCAGATTTTTTTTGCCAAAGAATAAAATACGATAGATTCAACTGTTGCCACTTTCCTCTCTTCTTCCCTAGCAGTAATTACTACCTGGAACTTACAAAGTATTTTCAAAAGTGATACTTGCTACATAAAAAACCTTCAATTGTTAGTTCTCTTCCTTCTAGGTCATCTTTCACATAGTAGTTTTCAAACTATTAATAAGAATTTATCCTCAGATTTCCTAGTATTATCTTCCATGTTCAATATTTTCAAATATACATAACCTCATATAATCATAATCAACAACCCTATGAAGTAAGCAGAACAAATATTACAACCCCCCACTATACATGAGACACCCTACATGAGCTGCAGGATGGTAATCTGGCCCTTTTGGTCTTAACCGAGAAGGAATCTGGTTGTCTCAGAGGAAGCTATTATGTGTAAGATGTTAGAATTAATTTGATACCTCCCACATGGACAGCATGCAGAAGTAGAGGGCAAAAAACCTAGCCAAGGTGCCAGCGACGCTGAATAAGACTAGACAAGAGATTATCTCACACGGCACTGGGATCAGACAAGCCTAGAAGCAGAACTGCTGTAAGAGAATAAAACACTTAGGTTTATATGATTGTGAGTTTCTTGAATTATCTGTGCTGACTCGGTGAGAAGAATGGATCTTAGAAAGTTCAGGTGGCCTCCCCTGGCTACCCAAATACAGCCAAGACCAGGAGCAAGTCTACGTTACAAGCTGGAGAAGCTCTGCAGCAAATATATTTACAGAAGACAAATAAAGCCTTGTAAAATTATGAATTAACAGCATGATTTATAAACAAGTGCTTATTAAATATGTACTAATAAAACAGTAGACAAAAACAAAAAACTATTCAAATCCTTAAAAATATTTCCATTGGTAAAAAAAAAAAAAACAAGATTAGATTTCCTGTGAAATCCTTAGATTTCACAGGAAACAGTACAATACTTAATACAATATGACATTATCTTATTTGCATATTTCCTTATTGTCTGTCTTGTCCCTGTATAATGAAAGTTCCTTGAGAGCTAGGGTTAACGTCACTCTTGTTCCACTGTATCTGCAGTGCCTAGAACATAACATAGAAACTCACAATTTGTCAAGTGGATAAATAAAAATATAATTTAGACTTGGTTTAAGTCAAGACACCTAGAATGCAACACATTTCCCTGTTAGAAGCTTCATGGTATAGAACTACATAAACTACCTATGAAAACTAGAGTATAAAAATATTATCAAGGCTGGGTGTGGTGGCTCATTCCTGTAATCCCAGCACTTCGGGAGGCTGAGGCAGGAGAATCACTTGAGCCCAGGAGTTCGAGACCAACCTACTCAACATACCAAGACCCTGTTTCTATTAAATTTAAATTCAGGCTGGGTGTGGTGGCTCATGCCTATAATCCCAGCACTTTGGGAGGCCGAGGTGGGCGGATCACGAGGTCAAGAGATAGACTTTGCCAACATGGTGAAACCCAGTCCCTTCTAAAAAAAAAAAAAAAAAAAAAAAAAAAAAAATACAAAAAATACAAAAAATTAGCTGGGCGTGGTGGCATGCATCTGTAGTCCCAGCTACTTGGGAGGCTGAGGCAGGACAATAGCCTGAACCCAGGAGGTGGAGGTTGCAGTGAGCCAAGACTGCACCACTGCACTCCAGCCTGGCGACAGAGCGAGATTCTGTCTCAAAAAAATAAATAAAATAAATAAAAATATTATCGATAACATGAGTACCCAGGCTGAACACAGCATCTGTGTTGGGTGGGATGGGGTCTATCTGCACTGACAGAATCAAATTTCTTGAGGATTGAGGACTGCACTGTAGTGACCAGCAAATAACAGATGAACAATTCAACAAATACTTATTTGAATTCCTACTATCTTTGTTCTAGGGCTGGTGAAACAATAGTGAAGAAGTTCTTGCTTCAAAGAACCTTGCATTCTACTCAAAGAAGGCACATATAAACAAACATAAAATGTGGCAGGAGGGAAAGCAGGATAGAGAGTGAGAGGGGTAGGGTGGGGTGTGAAGGTGCTATTTTTTATAGGGTGGTCAAAATATGCCTCTCTAATAAGGCAATATTTGAGAATTTGAAGGAAGTAAACGAATAAGGTGATTTAGATAGGGCCTTTGAGAACTCAGTGCACAGCCTAAGAACAGCTGGGTAAGAGAAATGCTACAGGTCTCCTCGACCATCCCACAGAAGACATGGAAATAACCTCCAGCCTGGAAAATCAAAGGACACGAGATAACTGCTGCTGACATTTGCTATGTGTGAACTTCCATCAAACTTGGCAGGAGGTATCCCCTCGAGAAAAGAATGGCCCAAAGGCAAAAATAAGGAGAGGGAAGGAAGGAAGAAAAACTTTCACACACTCTACCATTTTATTCAAGGTATATCAACCTTTGTTTACCTTCAATGTGATACTGCTAAAAATTTGCTTATACAAATGTGCAACAAATGCCTACTGTTGAAGATATTCCTGCAATATAGAGGCTGAGAAGGGGTCAATGGTCAGACGCACATTGCAATTTCTCTGCTCTGGGATGTGGTACCAAGTGTGGCAGGTGTGTCTGTTAAGGAAGAGAGGACAGAGGGACTGCTTTCCCTGCTTCTTGTCTGGGACCTTGAGAGAAAACCATCATTTTCCGGCACTCAGCCCCACCTAGTTAAGAAGGCAGAGAGATTTCCTCAACTGCCCTGTGACAGGGATTCTGAATTGAAAGTCACCTGTCATGGGACTCAACTGGCAGTGACCAGGTAACCCCCTTTTTAGAGGCTGGGGTGGATCACTGAGCCAGGAGCAGGTGAAGGACATGTCAGAGCCTCAGGGGGCTCTACAGCTATCAAGGGCCAAGGTACTGAGTCAGTGGTGAGTTGCCGCAAGACCCTGGTCAAGCCAACAAAGAGATCACAGGTTAGTTCATCAACTGCAGGTGTCAGCAATGGATGCCAGCAAAATGCCCAGGTTACCAGGTCAGTCATAGCAGGCTATTTGCCAGACCAGCCACTTTATAGCTCAAATGGCAAAGATCTAGAGGGACGACAAGAACTCAAGAGGCTTCACCAGGCTACCATGAGGTCATTCACCAACTCAACAATACTGTGAAAGGGGACACCTCTCCTCCCATAAACCATGATGCCAACCTGAGGAGGATGCGTGTTCAAGTAAGAGAAAGAAAGTAGAAGTAAGAGAGGCTAAGCATTTTATCCTGAGACCTGGTTAAATTATTAGATAGACTAAGTATTAAACAGAATTGGGCTAAATGAATTTCTTCATATTACTCAGTAGGTGAGGGGGGTGGGGAGTTACAAGGAAGAGCAGATCAGTAATAGACACAATAAGTGGCTTTTTTTTTTTCAGGGGGAGGAGGGCACAAGACCTCTGTATATACTAATAGGACTACTGAAACTAAATACAATATTGTATGTTTCAGCACACTAATTAGAAAAGTGACTATTCTCCAATAATAAAAACTGATACACAGATTGAGCAAATATTCATTGTGCTTACTCTTTATAAAGCCCTATAGTAGATACTACAGTGATAAACGATAAAATTAGAAATGGCTTAGCCTTTAAGGTGAAAAAAATAAAATACTGAATTAAATATTTTAAAACTGAGAGATACTATAAACATTTCAGGACAGTAGTTCTTAATATGGAATCGATGACTTCAGGAGTCCATTAATTCCTGACAGTGCACACAAAATTATAAGTGTGTGCATAGATCCATGTGTATGCACATGCACATTTTCTGTTAAGAAGATTAATTAGATAGTTTCATACAATTCTCCAAGAAGATAAGTAAAGAGACACTAAAAAAGGAAAATTTATTCCATTACGGTAGCCACAGAAGACTTTGTGGAGAACAGATCATGTGAAAGAAGTAAAATCTAGGTATGTGGAGATGGGGAAGGGGGTGTTCTAGGTTGGAGAAGAAAAGCAGAAATGAAAATATTCTCTACATTCAACTTTTTTCCCACATGCTTTATGTTAAATACTTACAGTAAACCTCTTCTTTTTCTCTCTGTGTTCATCGGAGCTGGGAATGCTTACACTTGGGCAGCTTTCCTTGTAGTCCATGGTGTGATCTCTTTGCATTTAATCCCTCAAGAGCACACCAAAAAATGCATCCGAAGAAACAGTCAGCAGAGGACAAACCCAATTAACTAATCCAAAATACAAAACCTCTTGAAGTAATGTTCAAATTCCATCATGCAACCTTAACCAACAGAAAAAAAAAAAAGTGATTAGCAAAACAACTTTAAAATACTATGACTGTCATTCTTTAAGCATGGGACTAATTTTCGTTTATTCTGATAGGAACCTACTTTTGCTCATCAGTCTCAGCCCAGGTTAGAGATTTAGTTTGTTATGTTCCTACTACAAGCCACAAATATCTGCAGCCCATCTACCTTTCTTACTATTAGGAAATTCTAGGAACTTACACACCTCAGTTCACGTAGGCTAGGGACTAACTCTCACCTAGAAAAGATCTAGTTGGAGGTAACCAAAGTGTGGTTTTCAGACTTCTTGTATCAGGATGAACTGGTCAAGTGTGCTGAACAATTCAGATTACAATCCTGTATAGTACATAACTATTTACTCATTTTACAAATGAGGCAACTGAAACACAGAGAGGTGAAATAATTCGTACATCCCGGATTTGAACCCAGGCCATCTGACTCCAGAGTTCCAACTCTTAACCACTGTACTATGCTGCATTATAACTGTGGATGATTCTTTTGTACTGAACCTCTGGTCAGAGACACTACAGTAGATCTTCCTACAAAATAAATGTAGTATGTTAATATCATCCCACCCCATGAACAAAGGGCTAGAGATGTCACACTGATGTCACCTTTGCTACACACAGCAGCCCATACTCTGACACCACATGACACCAAATAATACCTTTCTTTTAGAGACAGGGTGTTGCTATGTTGCCCAGGCTAGAATGCAGTGGCTATTCACAGGTGCAATCATGCTGCACTGCAGCCTCAAACTCCTAGGCTCAAGAGCACACCAAAAAATGTTCCTGCTTGAGCCTTCCAAGTAGCTGCGACTATAGGCACAGACCATCACACCTGGCTCAAACAATACTTTTTTTTTGTTTTTTTCTTAAGAGACAGGGTCTCATTACATTGCCCAGGCTGGTCTTGAACTCCTGGGCTCAAGCATTCCTCCCAACTTGATCTCCCAAAGTGCTAGGATTACAGGCATGAGCCACCGCACCCAGACTAAATAATACTTTTTAAAGTGTCAGTTTGCTTGGATAATTGCCCTGGATGTTTAGTTTCAGGAAGTCACTGTAACAGATCTGATCACTATAAATAAATTATATTCAGGTAATGATTTAAAATATATATCAGCAGGCATTGAATATTCAGGTATAATGAGTTTTAACTGATTATAAGAATGCTTCCTTTGAGATGATTCAAAGCTTCCCTTGTTGGATTTGCTGCTGGAAATGCAGTCAAAAAGATTTCTTTTTTTTTTTTTTTTTTTGAGATGGAGTTTTGCTCTTGTCACCCAGGCTGGAGTGCAATGGCACAATCTCAGCTCACCACAACCTCCGCCTCTTGGGTTCAAGCAATTCTCCTGCCTCAGCCTCCCAAGTAGCTGGAATTACGGGCACGTGCCACCACGCCCAACTAATTTTGTATTTTTAGTAGAGATGGGGTTTCTCCATGTTGGTCAGGCTGGTCTCAAACTCCTGACCTTAGGTGATCCACCTGCCTCGGCCTTCCAAAGTGCTGGGATTACAGGCGTGAACCACTGCGCCCAGCAGTCAGAAAGATTTCTACGTAGCTGAATTAGTTGTTAGAACATACAGACATGTAATTGGTCTCTCCTCAACAAAGAGTACAACATCTGTCTGTAAATTATAGCATTCTAAAGCCCCATAATAGTAGCTGCTTTGCCCCAGTAAGACCAGGGAAGCACCTGACCAGAGCCTGGCCCACCTGTCACAGCAATCTACTGTCTAAGCATGAGAGCAGGTGGAACCTATTGTACTTCTAAGGCAGACTGGCCCTGTCCTGGAACCTCAGAAGCCACATTAACCCATGCTTCTCCTCCTACAGCAGAGACATTCAGAAGGTGAAGGTTATGAGCTACACTTTCCACACCTCTCCCTTGAGAACGTGGGGCTCAGGGTGGCAGGTCCTGCTGGTACTTTATCTGTTTGTGCCTTGCTGTGCTATAGCCCACAGAAGCAGAATTCCTCAGGTCCTCCTTTTGGAAGGGACAGTAAGATAGCACATTAAATGGCATCAGGAATAAAGGAGAAGGAAAGAGATGGTAGGCAGGACAACTTGTCTCCTGTAAGGTACCCCGGGGACATCTAAGAGAACAGGTACAGCTGGGAGTTAAGTGTAGAAGTCTACACTCAAGAAGCACACTCAAACCTGAGCCAAAGGTTCCAGTTTGGCAATTGCACTTGACAGTCTCCATCTGCCCTTCCAGACCCAAACGCCACTCTTTCTCCACCCAGCCACATGTCCAGAAGTCTGAGCTCTATGGACTGCACACTAAAGTAGCACACTTTGCTTTTGTCCTCTGGCTGGGTTCAGCCATGAGAGTCACTAACAAATTAGAGGGTAAGAGGAGCAAGGCGCTAAGGTATTTGTTCCCCTGGTCCCTTTCTGACATCAGTGGTTTATCTACCTAAGCCCACAGTTCCTAGCAGGCAGCCCCTCTTCCACAGCTACAGTTGAAGGGCCTGGGAATAATAACAGCTTCCTGACTTTGCTAGTAAAGAGGTGCTTCAACATGCCATGCTGGTTCCTCTAATCCTGCCCACAACATCTTAGTTAACAGTCCCTTTGTTAAACTCCCTTCAACTACTTTTGAGCATGTCATGTAACTGATGCAGTTAACTGGTACCAAGAATGACCCCAGGAAACACAGCCTCAAAAATGGAATGTGTATTTGACAAGTGTCCTGAAAACCTTCCTGTGGAGGGTGGGGATGGCACACAGTGACATTATGATTGCTCAACTACCTGTGCATGGTGTCACAGGATGGAGTGCAGGTGGAGAGTGCTCATAGTCCAAGCAGCTGATAAAAACACTGACTTCAGAGACTGCAATGTGGGCTGGGGCTGCTTCCGGCTGTTCTTGAGAATGTGCACAAAGCAAATGACAAAGTTAAAGCTGTGAATTCCCAAAGAGATGGGTAGAAAATCCATGGCTGTTTTATTCGAGCCCTTCATCTCTTACAGTTGCCAAGCTGAGAAGACTAAAGATCAAGCCCAGGGTTTGATGTCTAGGGTTGCAGAGCCAATTCAATATATAATCCTGCAAAGTCTCATGTGTTAACATACGGCACTGGCTGGAAAGGACAATGACTTGAATCCTACATGTAGGTACTTGGGTAGGCATAGATGAGGCTAAGAATGCTGAACCCCAAATTCAGCTGAACTTCCTTGCTGAAAGCAGCTGCCTGTATCTCTCAGAAGACCCTGCATCCCAACGCCTCCTCCTCAATAAAACTCTTTTCAAGTTGTTTCACAAGGGATGCTAATTCTCTTCACTATCTACTCCCACCATCTTTCATTGTCTCATAACCCAAAAGACCCCAGAAAGAAGTTCCAAGTCTACTCTGGGAGAAAACTGCCTTTATGACAAAATATTTTAGGATCTCAACAATTTATTTACCAGTGGGAGTGTGGAGAGCACATATAGGAATATATTCAAAGGATCTTAGATCAAGGAAGACTAATAAGATTATTGTGACCTATTTTTTTTCTTTTTTTTGAGATGGGGTCTCACTCTGTTGCCTAGGCTGCAGTGCAGTGGCGCAATCTTGGCTCACTGTAACCTCCACCTCCAGGGTTCAAGCAATCCTCTCACCTCAGCCTCCCAAGTAGCTGGGACCACAGGCATGTGCTACCATGCCTGGCTAATTTTTCTATTTTTGGTAGAGATGGGGTTTCGTCATGATGACCAGGCTGGTCTCGAACTTCTGAGCTCAAGCAAACTGCCCATATCAGTCTCCCAAAGTGCTGGGATTGTAGGCATAAGCCACCACACCCAGCATATTGTGACCCTTTAAACGGCCACAGGCATATACTGTTGATCTTTCTCCAGGCCTTTCCTGAGAAGGACCTGCAGCAATTTTCCAGGATGATTGTCCACTACAGAAATAGGAATATATAATCCTCCCAAGCGTTACTGGATACTAGCTCTGAAATACCACTAATCTCCTAGAGACCCAAAACATGGTCTACAAGTCAAAGTGGGACTTCCAGAGGTAATGTCAGGGAATAAGTCTATCTCACAGTGGGTCCAATAGGACCATAGGCCCATCCTGTGCTTATTTCCCTAGTAATAGAATTATAGTGGAAACAGATATACTTAGTAACTGGCTAAATTCCCATATTGGTTCCCTGTCCCATGTCATAAAAGCTATAATGGGAGAAAAGGCCATGAAGAAGACTCTGGAACTGTCTCCCCTTTTCCTACTAAGAAAGTAACCAAAAACTATACCACTTCCATGGGAGAAGCTCAGAAATCAGTACCACTATCAAAAACAGAAAGGATGCAGGGGTGTTAAAACTTTTTATATCCCCATTTAACTTGGCCATTTACCTAGATCAAAGCTGGAAAGAACTTGGAACATGACTATGGATTACCATAAATTTAATCAGATGGTGATACCAATTACAAATGAGATTCTGAGATTCTAAATGTAGTGTTTTTTTTTTTTTTCTGAATAAAATTAGCATAATCCCGGACATCTGGTATGACTACTGACCTGGCAAATGCCTTCTTTTCTATCACCATCAGTAAGGACAATGAGATGCAAATTGCATGAAGTGGCAGAAAGGCAGTATACCTTCATTGTCTCACCTGAGGGCTATGTCTGAATTGCCATAATATAGTCTGGAGAGTCCTTGATCATCTTGACAGCCCACAGATCACCACACTGGTCCATCACATGGATACCATTATCTTAACTGGACCTGGTGAACAAAAACTAGCAAGCACCTTGGACACCTGTGTAAGACACATACACAAGCCAGAGGATGGAAAAAAACTCATGAAAGTTCAGGGATTCACTACACTGATGGCTTCTAGGATTTCCCTGGTCTGACCCAGGATATCCCACCTCAAGTGAGAGAAATAACTACACCTTGCACCACTTCCACTGAGAAAGAGGTAAAACAAATAGTGAGTTTCAATACTTGGATATGCTGTTCTGACCCATTTACTGGGTAACCTATGAGCCTGCCAGTTTTTACTGAAGCCCATTCCAAGAGAAGGTTCTAGAGCAATGAAAGCTGCCCTAACCCTTGAGCCTATGCCTCAGCACACCCAGTAGTACTGGAAATGACATGGCAAACAGGAATGAATTAAGGACCCCTCTCTCTAACAAGCACCAAGAAAAGGGTAAGAGTTTCAGACCCTTAGGGTTTGCCAGCAATCACTGTCTGTGGTTCCTGGCTTGTTACTAGGCCCAGGAAGAGATGCAATGACCGCCTATGGAAAACCAAGAGACTATGTAAAAACAACAGCCCATCGTGAACAGAGTATTGTCTGGTTCACTGAATCATAAAACTGGACATGTACAGCAGTAATCCACTTGGTACAGTAAAAGCAAGACTGGGCTTAAGCAGGTCTGGACGGCACAAGTAAACTGCAGGGATTAACAGCCCAGACTCCCCTACTGCTTGTTCCTCCTTCTTGTAAGTTTTCTAGACCCACATTTAAGGCCTCATAGGGAGGATCCTAAGGCCAGTTAGCAGGACAGGAAAAAGGCACGCTTGTTTATGGATGGACATGCACAGTGTGCTGGCACCGGCCAGAAGTGAGAAAAGGCAGCCCCACTCAGGGATGGCCTGAAAGAGAGGGGTGAAGGGAAATCTTCCCAGTGGGCAGAACTCTGAGCAGTACACGTGGTGGTTTACCTGTAAGGAGGAGTGCCAAAGGGACGTATCTATGATGATCCTTGGGCAGTGGCTAATGGATGGCCTGCTGGTCAGTGACTTGGAAAGAACAAGATTGGAAAATTATATATTTTTTAAAGGGAGGTGTGCAGAAATATGTATATGAACCTTTCACTACAGCACAGAATGTGAACATATTTGTGTCTCACATAAATGCCCACTACAGACAGGCTCTCAATAATCATGTGGTCAAGATGACTTGTCTTACGGATGTCAGTCAGCCTCTTTCCCAATCGTCCCATTGCTTGCTCAATGGACCGATGACAAAGTGGCCAAAGCAGTAGGTGTGGAGGCTATATAGAGACTCAACAATTTGGCCTTCCCCTCACCAAGACTGATTTAGTGTTGCCAGTGCTGACAGCCCAACCCCAACAGAAAAGACCAACACTAAGGCCCACTATCCCACCATCCCACAGGGGGGATTAGACAGCCCTTAGGGAAGGATCTGTCTTCACAGAAGCAAGACTGACTTCATATGGTTGCTTTAAGGATTTGAGATAGCGTAAAAGACCTAGCACTGTAAAAGTAACCAATAAATCAGATCTAAAGTATAACAATTTGTTTTGAATTTATTTTTATTCCTTAATTCAATGAACACTTATTGAGTGCTCATCATGCACTAGGCAATAAAAAGACAAAGTGAAGGCTGGGCACAGTGGTTCACGCCTGTAATCCCAGCACTTTCGGAGGCTGAGGAGGGCAGGTCATGAGGTCAGGAGTTCAAGACCAGCCTGGCTAACATGGTGAAACCCCGTCTCTACTAAAAATACAAAAATTAGCTGGGCATGGTGGCACATGCCTGTAATCCCAGCTACTCGGAGGGCTGAGGGAGGAGAATTGCTTGAACTGGGACACAAGAGGTGAAGGTTGCAGTGAGCCAAGATGGTGCTACTGCACTCCAGCCTGGGTTACAGAGTGACACTCCATCTCAAAAAAAAAAAAAAAAAAAAAAAAAAAAAAGACAGAGAAAATCCTACCCTCACAGAACTTACCTAACAGGGAAGACTGACAAGCAACATAAAAATTTGTTAAGTATGATGTTATGTGTACACATGGTATACTGAGAGGGTACAGAGAAGGGACACAGCCGCAGACTGTACAGCTTAGCTAAAAATAAAGCCAGGCAGGTATGGAAGCAGATGTTTGAAAGAGATTCCACCCACTTGCCTCAATTGTATCTGGAAAGAGAAGCCAAAATTATATATTGGGAATAAAGATGTTGCTCTGAAGAAAAACATAAAGCGGTTAAATCACTTGCCCAAGTTAATATGCAACTAACAGGCAATAGAGCTAGAATTCAAACGCAAATTTGTCCAACTCCAAAATCTCTATGTGCATGTTTGCTGTACCACATCAACTCTCCTTAAGTAAGATTTTCCTCTCCTTCAAGCTAAATTGAACTGGCAACCTAATAATACTTAGTGGCTAAGCTTATTATAAGCCAGACTGTGCTTTACATGTGCCAATCTGGTTGCTCCTCACAATAGCCCTAACTAGAAGAAATTGAGGAGAAACTGAAGCATGAAAGGATGAAGGACCCTGCCCCAGATGGCAGAAGCAGGATTTGAACCCAGGTGGTCTGACTTCAGGGCTTCTATCCATTATACTACCCTGCCTCCACCACATGTACATGCTTTACAGAGTCCTCTGGCAACCAATTTGGGAAGAAAGTTCATAAATTTTTTTAAGTGATTAAAAGTAAAATGAAAAAGCAACCCTGCTATTACTATACATGTAGTACATATTTATTCTATAAAACTGAAGCAATTAAAATTCTGCAAAATCATCTTCTGGCCAGGCAGCTAAATAAAACAGAGTAAGAAGGGGATTGACATAAAAACCCACAACTAAGAAAGAATAGAACAAAAAGCTATGTCATTCATGGGGATTAAAACTGGGACTTTTTGGGAGATTCATATATATGTAGAGCTTTTCAAAAGAGGAACAGGAAAAGGATCTGCCTTCACTCTGCTAGACAGTCAGAAGATAATTTTGTAGTCTGGTGCTCAGGGGCAGCTGGCTTGCCAGGGGTAGGTGACAGCTCTTCCAAAGAGGCTTAAGTTCGTTAGAATGGAAGAACTAGACTTACTCTTCAACTCATGAATCAACTCAGACAAGTCCAACAAGACAGAAAGAAATGGGTCAGATGACGGCAACACTTTTCAAGGCCAGCCAAATCTTAGGAGGAACGGTGAATCTGCAAGGGTAATATAACAGCTAGTAAAGATTATACAGTGGTTCTCATCGGGGGCCAATTTTGCCTAGAGGATATTTGGCAATGTCGGGAGACATTTTTGGTTGTCACAACTTGTGGGGTGGGGGAGTGGCGGGCGGTGGTCGTCAGGGATGATGTTAAGCATCTACAATATGCACAGGACTGCCCGACAACAAAAAATGATTTGACCCAAAACGTCAACAGGGCTGAAGGTTGAGAAATAAATATTTACTGAGCACTAATGCCAGGGCTGTTTTAAGCGCTCACATCTAACACATCAATGAGTCCTCATAGCAACCTCTGAGGTAAATATCATTATCCTCATTTTACAGATGAAGAAGAAACCTCAGCTACGAAGAGTAGTTCCACATGGTCACGTGGCTGTGGGTGAAAGCACTCTCATGTGAGCCCAGCTCACATACCGTAGCCCTCAACTTCTTATGTTGTTACATGCATCCTTTTCTAAATCATCTTTGCAGATACAGAGTTGAAGAGAAGAGAGCACCAGGGATCCACCAGGCAACTGCGTTACAGAAAGAAAGTCACGCACAGGAAAAGCAGATTTCTGATTCTGCCACCAGGAAGGGTCAAAGTCTGGACAGCACTTGGTCAGGAGCCTGGCTTCCCTTTCTTGAAAAACATCACATGTAAACATCTAACTGAGAGCTTGGTACACAGCAGGCTCTGAGTGTTGGCCCCATCACGATGACAACCAAGGGCTAATTATGAAATAAGGAGGACACAAGAAAAGACACTATCAAGGATACAGTTTTTTTAAAAAGGTGGGGGAAAGTTCATCTTTTTTTAAAAAAGCATCCATAGACTTAAAATTTTTTTGTTTGGGGTCTGTAAAAAAATAGCAATATGGGTGAAACGCTATGATAAAAAATTGCCCAAATTCTTGTTATGTTAAAATGTTACTGATCCAAATATTGCTTAAAATAGATGAACATTAAAGCTTTTCCTAAAAAGGATTTTTTCCTTCATCATTGTATCCATTTTTTTTGTCTATTATATGCTACTTACTGTCCTTGGGTATTGCCTGTCTTTGTTTCAGGGCAGTCAAAAAAAATTTTTTTATATAAAAAAAGTCAAAAGATTCTTCTGCTTTTACCTCTAAAAAATAAACAGAATTTCTGAACCCTACTTCCTTAACCCATCATAAAGATTGTTTGATATTGACTAGAGGACCCTACTCAGATTAGAAGGTAGATACACTCATAAGTATCACTTCCCATTCTTACCCAATACAGCAGGGAGGGTGAGTTGGTGATTCACACCAAGGCATAAAGGGAAATAAAAACAAACGTGTCCCAAAAGGAAGGAATTTGGCTTGTGAAGAGCTACAAGTTTTCCTCAGCAGGGGAACAGGGTACTGGGTGTTCAGAAACAATGGCACCTAAAGGAGGGCACTAACAGGGCTGGTCAAGGAAGATACAAAAGAAAATCCATGCACATAAATTGCAAAAGTAGGCCGGGTGATGGTTGACACCTGTAATCCCAGCACTTTGAGAGGCTAAGGCGGAAGGATCCCTTGAGCCCAGGAGTTCGGTATCAGCCTGGGAAATATAGTGAGAGCCTGTCTCCACAAAAAAAAGTTTAAAAATTAGCCGGGCATGGTGGCACGTACCTGTAGTCCTGGCTACTTGAGAGGCTGAGACCAGAGGATCACTTGAGCCCAAGAGGCAGAGGTGGAGATTACAGCTAGCCTTGAGATTGCACCACTGCACTCCAGCCTGGGCAACAGAGCAAGACTGTGTCTCAAAAAACAAACAAACAAACAACGACAACAAAAAACAAAACTATAAAATTCCTAGAATATAATGTACCAGAAAATCTAGAAAATGGCCAGGCACTATGCTTCGGCCTTTAATCCCCTCACTTGGGGTGTCTGAGATGGGAGGACTGCTTGAGTCCAAGAGTTCAAGACCAGCCTGGGCAATATGCGAGACCTCATCTCTACCAAAAAAATAAAGAAATAAAAAATTAGCAAAGCATGATGGTATGCACCTGTAATCTCAGCTACTCGGGAGGCTGAGGCGGGAGAATAGCTTGAGCCCAGGAGGTGAAGGTTGCAGTGAGCCAAGATCGCATCACTGTACTCCAGGCCGGGTGCCAGAGCACCCTATCTTAAAAAACAAAAATAAAAATAAAAATAAACCACACACACACACAAAAATTAGATGACCACAAGCATGGCAATGATTTTGCAAATGCTACACCAAAGGCATAATCCATGAAAGAACATGAAGAGAATGAGAAGACAAACCACAGACTGGAAGAAAACATTTGCAGAAGATACAGCCAATAAAGGACTGTTATCTAAAATACACAAAAAACTCTTTAAACAACAAGAAAACAATCTGATTAAAACATGAACCAAATACCTTAACAGACACCTCACCAAAGAAGACATACAGATGGCAAATGCAAAGAAGCATATTCCACATCATGTCACCAGGAAATGCAAATTAAAATGAGATACCATTACATACTTTTCAGAAATGGTCAGAATCCAGAACACTGACAACACCAAATGCTGGTGAGGATAGGGAATAGCAGGAACTCTCATTCTCTGTTGGTAGGAATGCAAAATGGTACAGCCACTCTGGCAGTTTGGCAGTTTCTTACAAAACTAAACATATTCTTACTATACAATCCAGAAGTTGCACTCCTTGGTATTTACCCAAAGAAGCTAAAAACTACGTGCACACAAAAACCTGTAAATGGATGTCTCTAGCAACTTTATTCATAATTGCCAAAACTTGGAAACAACCAAGATGCCCTACTATAGGTGAATAGATTAATACACTGTAGTACATCCAGACAATGAAATACTTTTCAGTGCTAAAAAGAAATAAGCTATCCAGCCATAACAAGACATGGAGAAACCTTAAATGCATATCACTATGTGAAAGAAGCCAATCTGAAAAGGCTACATACTGCAAGATTCCAATTATATGACATTCTAGAAAAGGCAAAACTAGGAAAACAGTAAAAAGATCAGCAGCTGCCAGGGGCTGGGGCACAGGGTGAAACGATGACTAGGCAGAGGATTTTTAAGGCAGTGAAAATACTCTGTGACACTATAATGATGGACACATGTCATTATACATTTGTCCAAACCCACAGAATGTACAACACCAGGAGTGAACCCTAATGGAATCTATGGATTTTGGGTTACTACGATGTGTTAACATAGGTTCACCGATTGTAACATATGTACCACTCTGGTGGGGGATATTGACAATGGGGAGTGCTGGACATGTGTGGCAGCACAGATATATGGGGAACTCTGTACTTTCCTAATTTAGCTATGAAAAAAAAAAGTCTAAAAAAAAAAAGCCATACACATACCCTGGGCATACATATGTGGCAAGGGGAAATGACCTAGTAAATAAGAAAAGGAATTGGGATGGGGACAATTTCTGAGAAGAGAATAGACCCTATGAATAGGTTTCGTTTTAAGTTACATTAAAAGCACCTTCCCAGCAAATTCTAACCCCAAACTGGTTACTTTACTGAAAGTCTACTGTAAGAGTATATATAATCTGTATCTGTTTATTTCTGCCTCTCAGGATACTAGCTCCAAATACATCCCAAATGTTTCAACAGAAACAAAGGACATCTTTGTCACATCTGTAAATTAAATTCACTGCAGAACAGATTTTAAAACAAAACAGGCTCTGCCAATGAAAGATACATAGTAGCCTTCTCCCCTCCCCTCACACATCACATGATGAATCAGTTACAACTTTTTCCTGTTTTCCTTCCTTACTGATACATCCTTCCTCTAATTCCCACTCCACCCCCATCTTTGATTTTTCCATCATTCTGTAATCACAAAGCTGTCCCAGTTTTTCCTAGGTTTACTACATCTCTATTTAAGCACCTTTTACTTATCCGATTCTTGATAAAAGTGATATATGAATTAAAAATAAAGTACAGGCAAAATAGCCAATGTTGGCACTAAAACAATATTGAAGAAGAGTGTTGTGCACCAACAACTTGAGAAGAGTGTCCAAGAACCTCAACTAAAGTCACATGAGCCAGCTCCATTTTATTACAGACATTTAGAGAAGGGCCTCGGTGAGGAAGTGGAAGTAACCACTGACAGCCCTTTGTTTTCTCCACACTGGGATAAAACTGCTAAAATAAACCAGGCATGGTGGCTCATGCTTCTAATCTCAACTACTCGGGAGGCTGAGGCCGGAGGACAGCTTGAGGCCAGGAGTTTGAGGCTGCAGTGAGCTATGATTGCACCAATGTACTCCCATCCTGAGTGACAGAGCTAGACCCCGTCTCTTTAAAAACAAAAAAACAAAATACTACTAGGATAAGGAGGAAGGCCCTAAATTTACTTCAACCATGTCATGTCCCTCCACTTGGTCCAGAACCGACTGGTAGAGATGGTAGCAGTGGCAGCAAGGCTGTCCTAGCCTTCTCAGCCTCCCAAGGTCACTATCTTGGGTTCCCAACCACCAGAATGCCTGCTGTATTCCAAAACTCCCAAGCTTTTCCATTTGTAGGCACACTCCAAGCATATCTTACAGGCAGATGTGAACATACAACACGCCCAAGGCCAATTCCTAGAGGGCTGTGGTGACTGGCAGATGGATGGGGCCTGCGGTCAAGCTGGTTCTGAACTGAAGAGGTTGGCAGAATTCAGATTGTCCAGGCCCAACAAAACAAAACAAAACAAAACCCACAAAGACAAAAATCACCATCATGTCTCATAGAGTCTCTTGGGAGAACCTCCAACCTGCTCTCTGCTTCCATTCTAAACTCCCTCCAATCCATTTTTTCCCCAGTAGCCAGACCAATTTATTTTTATCACTGTAAATCTGATAATTTCACTCCTTGCTTAACCCCCTTTCCACGGCTTCCCATCACTCTTAGAATAAAATCCAAACTGTGGATTATTGCTGACAGTCTACAGTCCCCCACAGGGCCTAATGTTATTCTGCATAACTCTCCAGCTGCACCCACCAGGGCCTCTCGCCTCTGTGTTCACTAGACTCATACCAGAACAAACTCCTTCCTATTTCGCACACCTTCCAAGCCCTCTCCCATCTCGTCTATTGTACCAGTGGCCCCTCTGTCTGGGACACTCTCATCAGCTCTTAACACCAAGGCCTTGTTCAAAAGTCACTTCTTCCAACAAACTTCATGGCCACCTTAATGTGCTCCCTCCCCAACTTAATCCTCCCTCATCATGTTGTTTATTTCCATTTCAGCATTTATGGATTGCAACTAGGATTTCAGTTGCTTGCTTATTGAGAGCCTCCCTGACTAGGGTGTGGGAACTGTGACTTATTGACTGCCATGCACTTAGAAGGCCCTAATAAAACCTTTCATTGACTTATTCAACAGGTGGAGAGAGACGTTTAGAAATTCCAACTTGCCAAAGTGTGCTAGTGAGATGTTCAGTGACCAATGCCTCATTATTCCTTCATCAGTCTCCTGAATCATCAATTTCTGCCTCTTCACTGGATCACTCCAAGTACTATATGTACTAATATGCTATGGTATCTTAATAAAATCCTCCCTAAAAATATAGATTTACTTATTTAATGATACTTATGTAGTGTTTACCATGTGCTGGGAGTATATCAGCATGTGTACCCTCATTTTTTATTATTTTTATGAATGATTCTATCTGATAACACACTTAACTAAGGCTTTATAAAATCAAGGAGAACTCAGGATAAACACAGATGCTTATGCAGTGTGATAAAGGAAACTTTACTCTCAAGTAAATATTTGCTTTCAAAATTCTCCTGACACTAAAACTATTATCACATTAGTAAAAATTTCCCAAAGCACAAAAATTACAACCAATTACATATTTAAATTATAATACTTATTTAAATTATACTACTTAATTTCAAATCCTGACCTTACAGTGGCTATGTTATTAGTAAAGACAACATGCAGAATTTTACCTTAATATTTTAACATTTCAAAAATTAGGGTATATATATATATGCCCTAATTTTATACATATATATGTATAAAATGTATATATGTGTATATGTATAAAACGTATATATATAAAAAATGTGTTTTATATATATATATATATATATATATATATATATATATATATTCACACACATACATATACATATATATATATCTCCCCCCTACCTAACAATAGAAACTGCTGCTTCATTCTAGGAACGGTAAAATAAATTTAGACCTACATCTATAAGCACCTAAAATCAAAAACAACAAAAATAAGTTAATGTATGCCCTAGAATGGAAAAACTTCAGTTGAGGTTTGGAAGGCCACAGGAGAAAAGATAAAATTAAGTGACAGAAACATTTACACAAGCTCGAGTCAAGTTTTAATCTGAGTCACAAGTAAAATAAAATCATTGACTCAACTGGAATATGTGAAAGGATATGCTTGTAATATAAAATTCAGCAAAATGTGTTAAATGCTGATATCAAACTTAGTAAAACTATAAACTTCAACAATAGTAAATTCAAGTATCTCATATCTACCACCTTTTTCTGAAGGACTAAAAACTTCTGGCATATATACCTTTCTCCACACATCCAGGACAATCAGGAAAAAGGTATGAAGTTTTTTTTAAGATTAAACAATGAAAGGAAAGAAAGTAAATTACTTTCTGCAGACCAGAGAGAAAGAGAATCTTCAGTCCTATCCAGTATAGAAACAAAGCAAAGAAACAGTATTCCATGTGTCTAGAAATACAAAAACAAAATATATTTTAGGAATAATACTCCACAAAATCCTAAGCTGCAGATATTGCTCAATAAAGTTGTCTTCTCCTGATGGTTTCCTGAATTTACTGCGTACTTTTAAAAACATCTGCCTATCCATCTACATGCGTATTGGACATGCTGCTCTCCCTACACCCACTCCCCTCTATAAATCCAGACCTCAGTGTCTTCATTTGTATCTTTTTACTTGGTACTGACTTTTTCCTTGTCATCTTCTTCATTTGTCTATACTGTAGAAATAATTGTTGAAGCTCAATATTTAACGATTTAAAGGTCTGTTTGATATAATTTTAAGTTCATGTTTGTTTAAAAAACAGTTAAGTGGCTGGGCACGGTGGCTCACGCCTGTAATCCTGGCACTTGGGGAGGCCGAGGCGGGCGATCATGAGGTCAGGAGATCGAGACCATCCTGGCTAACACGGTGAAACCCCGTCTCTACTAAAAATACAAAAAATTAGCCGAGCGTGGTGGCGGGCGCCTGTAGTCCCAGCTACTCCGGATTCTGAGGCAGGAGAATGGCGTGAACCCGGGAGGCGGAGCTTGCCAAGTGCCGAGATCGCGCCACCACTTCACTCCAGCCTGGGCAACAAAGCGAGACTCCATAACAAAAGAAAAAAAGAAAAAGAAGCAGATAAGCAGATGTGGGTCTTATTTTTCCTTTAAAAGAAACTGAAATGTGTGTGTGCATGCTTCTTGTTCTCCAGGACATGAAGCACTGAAGAAAAGACCAATGCCCGAAGCTTTCAAATTCAAAGTAGACTGTGCTAAATTCTCTATGATAGTCACCAGCATTCAGAGAAAGAAAAAACCACTTCCAACTGAACTTACCTAGATATTTGGTAGGGAACGGCAGGGGCCGCATGTGAGGGGGGGTTTGCAGAATGGGAACTCAAAACAGAAAGGGCAGCAGAAGTCCTCACTAGAAACAGGCAACAGCCACTAGTCCACTATGTCTAAATCCCTGCCCACATCGGAGAAAAAGATTAACTCATCAATAAAAACAGAAAGAGAAACTGTCATGAAGCAACACTCATTTTGGGATTTTATAGGACATCACCATTAAAGCCTTAATTCTACTGTCATATTTACAAACCTAAACTGGAACTCATCTCTTCATCTATAGGAGATACAGACTGTAAAAGTGGGCTTTAAATCATGTTGTAGGGAATTCTGAATGTCAGGCTTTTCACTCTGGATTTCATTCTGCAGGTAAGGATGTGAAGTCACTTGAAAAGGGAACTGCAGGGCTGTAAGTGTCAAATTAAAATGAAGGGAATGAAGAAATGGGCTTGGCAACAACAGGAGAGGCAGGTTTGCAACAAAAATGACAGATGAAATAACGTGGTAGCTATTTGCATGTGGGGTACAAAGGTAGAAGAAAGAATTAACATTGCCTCAAGATTTTATTCCTGGGTAACTAGGAATAAATAAAATGGAGGGAGGGGAAAATAGGGCAAAATGACAGTGAATTGGCGTAAATAATTACTAGTCTTGTTGGAAATGTCTGCATCAGATCCATGAATTCGGTACCTCCTGTGTGCCAGGCACTATTTCCAAGCACTTAGGATACAACAGTGAACACAACTGGCAAACAACTTTACCCACATGGAACTTACGCTCTCATGTCAGACAACAGATAATGAATAAGTCAATCAATAGGTCAATATATAAGTGTGGTGTTGTATGCAATTTTAAATAGGAAGGTAACATCTAAACAAACACCCAGAGGTGAAGGAGTGAGCTATACAAAAAGTTGGGGAAGAGTCAGCAACTAACAAAACAGTAGCTCAAAATAATTTCACTCCACAATGCTTTTGAACTTAGCAGCCACATTGTGACATTATCTCTTTGGGACCCAGTCCTACTTCCTTGGGTGAGCATTCAGGGTTCCACTTCCTGACTCCTACCCAATCAAGAAAACTTCGCCAATAAAACAGCGATAAAAAAACTGCCTAGTAGGTCAATTTGTTTATACTGGCTGTTTACATTCCCTACCTGGGAGAAGAGGGCTGCATTTTAAAAGGACAAAACCAAAGCACATTAGAACATGTTTGTACAAAGCTTAAGAAGACAATCATCTTGTTCTCAAAGCAATAATTAATGTAGCAACTTTGAGACTTGTGATTTAAATCAAAGGTACTACTGAAGAATGATTATGAATCATGCAATTAAGCTACCAAGCAGGATAGTGCTGGAAAGGAAAGCCATTCACAGAACCATAAAACTGTCAAAGATAAAGATAGTAACTATCATCAAAACTAGAAATAACATCATCATTTGATTTTATACTTTGTTGATCAGCAGAGCTGAATTCTAGCCTAAGCTCTGCCATTTATTGATTCTGAGTCTTTGGCCTCATCCTTATCTGTAAAGACCAGCTGGTCTGATTTTTCAGATTCCTTTCAATTCTGAGATTCCCTGCAGCAAGCTATGGTTCCTATGATGTTTATTTATGTATTGGGGGTGCTCTGGTTTACTTAGTTTTGCAATAATAGTACAAATAAGCATCCACCCAAAATAGCACAACTTAAAAGTTCTGTATAAAGCGATATAAACTGCTTTTAAACAAACCCGCCTGAACTTGGTGCTTAAAATGAGGCTACATTCACCTTAAAGGCGCTGCCTCTTTTTTGATCCCTGTTTTGGAACAGCCTTCGAGACTGAAGTTTCTGTGGATGGGATTTGGAACAAGGTGGATGATCACATCAGGTAACACCCCTAGTGAAAGAAAAGTAAGAGACCTTTTCTTGTGGAACTCGGTCTAAGAAAACTGTTCCAAAGGAATCCCCAAGCATTTCTAGCAACAGCTCTGAGGAAAGAATATACGTAGGTTTTCCGGTGATGACAATTCTTGAGATTAATGCCCATCTGAATGCATAACAAAGAAAACAGCCAAAGTTTATTGTGGACTATGAGCCAGGTATTAACTCATTTAATCTTCAAAAACTGCTGTATGGTTAGAACTATCATTATCCCCATTTTACATACGCTAAAACTAAGGCATAGAAAAGTTAGGCAAATTGCCCAAGTTTTCGCAGTTAATAAGTAGATTCAAAACCATGATTTTAGCTCCGAAGTCTGCGTGCTTCATCTCCAAGATACACTCCCTACGTAACCCCTGCTGTCCATGTTTAAGTAACAGTCCCGTTTCTACTACACCTTTCTTACAAACTGAATAACACAAAGTAAAAGTAAAGCCCCACCGCAAGCTCACTATCGGGTTTCTCCTCCTGTCCTGAACCACAAACTATATTTTAAAGGATATACAAACTTGACAGTACCTGGGGCTTCTCGACATTTAGAGGGGGTGTGTGTGGAACAACTCAAACGTTTTCTGTCTCGGACCAAGTGCAGTGAATGAGTGCCGCGAAGTCGCAGCACGCCCGGGTGTGGAGCCCGCCTCTCCTCTCAGGGGTTCACAGGAGGGGCCGCCCGCGCGCCCCGCCCCGCGCTCGTGATGGGCGCGGAAATGGCACCGGGGCCCGTCACACCACACCTGCCTCCCGCGCCCCCGGGGTCCCTCCACCTGGCCCGCGCAGTGCCGGGGCTGTTCTCCGCCAAGGGTTCCTCGCGCAAGCTCGATGAGCCACACGCTTACCTTCGGGCACCCACCCCCGGCGCATGGCGAATGGGAAGCGCCGCCACTGCTGCGCCACACTCGGCCGGGACCTGCGCCGCGCCACCAGCTCCCAGCGGCGCCAGCTGCGCTCCCTGCGGGGGCCAAACCTGCAGGCCCCGCCCCCTGCGGCAGGCCCCGCCCTCACCAATCACCACCGGCCACGCCCGAATATGGCTCGGTCAGCCCCGCCCTCGGAGCTCTTCGGCCACACCCCCGAAGGAGCTGCCGGTGGGGTGCAGCCCCAGGGCCTTAATTAAGTAAATAAGCGGGGGAGGAAAGGCGGGAAGCCAGCATTTGGGAGACAGAAAACGAGAGGACCCCCGCGGGGAAGGTGAAGAGAGCCTTGGGCGGGGGCAAGGAATGAGAAGGCACTCTCCCCAGGTTCCCGCTAAAGTGTAGATCTCAAAACAACCGCGCTCATTCAAGACACTGGCATAATCTCATTTTCCTCGGGCGGGGTAGGAGTCACACACGAATTCAGGGCTCCAGGCGTGAGACGTCATTAGGAATGGGATTCAGAGGAGCAAAGAAACGAAGCAATTCCTTTACTAGTCTCCACCACACATCCTTTACTTCAAAAATTGGGGAGTCGGCTCCCAGTAAGAATCCTCACCCCGAGCTTAAATTGTTAATCAATCTCGTTCCCTTCAAACAGCTCAGGCGCATCACGAGAGAGCAGACGCGGCCGGGTTTGGCATGAATGTCCGTAGTGTGCTACTCTAAGGTTTGCGTCTGCGTGTACAGATAAAGGAAAACCAGAATCCTCGAAACGACTTGTTTTAACTATTAATGCATCTGAGTCTGGACAGTGAAAAACGGCTGGAAGCATCAAGCCAATAACCGAGTAGGGCGCAGTTCCTACAGTCCCAGCTACTCCATGGGCTGAGTCAGGAAGATCACTTGAGCCCAGGAGTTCCAGGCCAGCCTGGACCTCATAGCAAGACCCTGTTTCTAAAATAAAAATAATGTAACTAATGAATATGGCAGGGAAACAAAGGGCTCACTTTGCCAGCAAGCAGGATTGACATACGGTAACCTTTATTACAAAAATTTCAGAAAATAATGCCAAGAGGCCAGCCTAGCTCTGTAGCCTTAAGGGAAGTCACAATATCTGAAGTCCTCAATTTGCTTATCAGTAAAACGAGGGGATTTAGCCTGGTGACCTCATGGGCTCTAAATGCCCTCTCATACTCTAAAGTTTGTCCTGCCAGGCTCAACTCATAGGAGAGGGGAAAGGATGCAGGGAAGTATTGTCTAGTCAGGAGCCACTCAGAGAAATTGGGAATTTTTAGAAAAAGCTTCAGGGATCTCCGGCATCACTCATTCAACCTCTCCCTTACAACTTTCCTGTTTGTAATAATAATAGTACACCAGTCCCCGACACATACCCTTATCAACAGTTTCCCTTTTCTTTTTTTGACCAACAGTCTGAAAAAATTAAATGGAAAATTCTAGAAATAAACGAGTTTTAAATGGTGTGCTGTTCTGAGCAGTGTGATAAAATCTCACGCTATCCCACTCCATCTACCCTCAATGTGAAGCCTCCCTCTGTCCAGTTTGTCCATGCTGCAGATGCTACCCACCCGCTAGTCTCTTAGTAGGCATCTCCATTATCACGTCAGCTGTAGAGGTGTCACAGTGCTTGTGTTCAAGGAACCCTTATTTTACTTCATGATAGCCCCAAAGTGCAAGAGTCGTGATGCTGACATATTGTTATAATTGTTGTATTTTATTAATAGTTATGGTAGTTAATCTCTTACTGTGCCTAATTTAGAGAGTAAATGTTATTGTAGGCATGTATATATAGGAAAAAACATAGTTTAGATGGGGTCCAGTACTATCTGCAGTTTCAGGGAACCACTGGGAGTTTTAGAAGGTATCCCCTTGGATAAGGGGGTAATACTGTATCATTCTTGCCCTAACTCAAAACCTTTGACTCTTCCCTCTCAGTCCTCACGTTTGGTCACCAGGTCCTTGGCTTTCTCCTTTAGAGTCTTCAATGACTCTTCCATTTTCACTGCCATCTCTGTATAAAGAACAGATTCAAAGAACTCAGGGTGTTTGATCTGATCCTAACCTACATTTCCCACCTAATCTCCAACTCACTCTCTTGTGTACTCATCTGTTGGACAGACTGTCTCCTCAATGTACAGAATCCACAACTTACAACTAACATCCCTCCCACTGTACATGCAAACCCACTGCCTCCTAGCTGGAATACCCTCTTCTCAGTCCTAGCTACCGGTCTTGACTACAGTAGCCCAGCTCAGGGATGTCTGTATGCAATAAAATGCTATAATACTTAGGATCTGCACCACTCACGTTACCATGTAGCAGGGCTACTTTGTTTTGTTTTCTGCTATTTAGAATCTTTATCTCAGGCCAGTTATGGTGGCTCACACCTGTAATCCCAGCACTTTGGGAGGCCGAGGCAGGCAGATCACTTGAGCTCAAGAGTGGAGTTTGAGACCAGCCTGGGCAATGTGGTGAAACCCCATCTCTACAAAAAAATTAAAAAAATTAGCCAGGTGAACATGGTGGAACCCTGTCTCTACTAAAAATACAAAAGAATTAGCCAGGCGTGGTGGCAGGCACCTGTAGTCCCAGCTACTCAGGAGGCTGAGGCAGGAGAATGGCGTGAACCCGGGAGGCAGAGCTTGCAGTGAGCCGAGATTGCACCACTGCACTCCAACCTGGGCGACAGAGCGAGACTCTGTCTCAAAAAAAAAAAAAAAAAATAGCCAGGTGTAGTGGTGCGCGCCTGTAGTCCCAGCTACTTGGGAGGCTGAGGTAGGAGGATCACTTGAGCCTGGAAGGTACAGGCTGCAATGAGCCAAGATTATGCCACTGCACTCCAGCCTGGGTGACAGAGAGAGACCCTGCCTCAAAAAAAAAAAAAGAATATTTATCTTGCTGGGCACAGTGGCTCATGCCTATAATCCCAGCATTTTGGGAGGCTAAGACAGGAGGATTTCTTGAGCCTTGGTGTTCGAGAGCAGCCGCAGCAATACAGAGAGACTCCGTCTCTATAAAAAAATTAACCAGACATGGTCCCTGGCTAATTAGTCCCAGCTACTTAGAAGGTTTAAGTGAGAGGATCACTTGAGCCCAGGTGGTCAAGGCTACAGTGAGTCATGATTGCACCACTGCACTCCAGCCTGGGCGACAGAGCGAGACTCCCATCTCAAAAAAAAAAAAAAAAAAATTCAGTATCTTAAGAAGGCTAAAAGAAATTATAGATTCATCCATAATTAGGCTGTTCAGATTACCTATAACAGCAAGATTCTATTTTTATCTGAAATATTATGATACTGAAGTAACACCAGTTACTTCATGATAACCAAATGCTTTGACTGGCAGTTACATATGACTGATTCATAAAAATGGAGAAGTAAATTATTATTAAGTAAGACTTTTTTGGAAGACTAAGTCTTTGAGATTCATGGAGGTAAATAAAAAGTAATCTACCTATTCTTCTTCACCTCATTGCCCAAACAAGTGGTATACCCATAGTAAATGCTTAAAAATATATTAATCAGTCCATGATTATTTTCAACTTTCCTTAAGCCCTCTCTCTCCTTCGCTAAATACTAAAATACTGGTCTTTTCTTTTTCATGGAAATAAGATAGGGAGAGCTTCCTCTTTTAATTTCAAAGAAATCCTCAAGAATAAGTGAAAAAGAATCACACAGCATTTCTTGGAGTTGGACTAGAAAGGTTTTCAGTGTTCTAGAAATAAACCCTTGAATCACAGTAAATTCCCTATGTTAGCAAGCTCTATGTCCTATTAAGGTCTTTAGAGAGTAAATTTTCCTTAACTGCAACCTTAACCAGATGGCACAATACAAACAGAACCAAGTTTGCAAAATGACTACCAAGTAAGAGTGAAAACTGATTTGCAATCTATCAATGGCCCCTTGTGTTTTGAAAATGTCAATAGTACATTTCAGGGAGGCCCCAGAGTTCTGAAGTCTGTCCCAAACAATCTATAAATCACTAGTCACGGCAAACCTTTATAATGTTCTAGAGATTTAAGAAGCATTAAATAGACTAAATAACAATCACACTTCATTTATAGAGTGGGTTGTACCAGAGGCTATTGGTAATAGACTGTTGAAACTTTTCTCTACCTCTCCTCAAAATGTGAAGTGACTATTAAGAGTGGGGCCTTAGGGGACTTCTGAATCCAGCCAACATGGAGTAACAAGGACCAAATTGACCCTCCCACCTGAACCAACCAAAAGGAAAAACGAAAAAGAGACAGAAAAAATATATAAAACATCTGTTTTCAAGATACTGGGTATCAGGCTGTGAAAGAAAATGATTCCTAAGCACACAAAATTTACCCGCAGCTTACTAC
Source organism: Homo sapiens (assembly GCF_000001405.40). NCBI lineage: Eukaryota > Metazoa > Chordata > Mammalia > Primates > Hominidae > Homo > Homo sapiens. The sequence continues at coordinate 66,770,938 of NC_000008.11, read as the reverse complement.
TTTCAGATACCTTACACACCATGATACAGGGAGTGGAATGAAGGAGAGCCCAGCAGACTACCTGAGTTGAGAGGATGGGGCTATGAATCCAGGGAGAACAAGATGGTTAGAGTTCACAAGACAGTATACAAGAGGAAGTTAAGTGCACAGAGAACCCTAGAGACCTGCAGAAGGTTCTCCCTGAGAATTTGACAACGCAGATCAGTGCATGCATGTGAAGAAACTATAAAAAGTACAGCAAAGAAAAAAACATATGAAAGCATTAGACAGAATAGCACTGGCAACTCACAGAGGGCCAGGAATAGTGGCTGTTCCATCAGGTAGACTACAAACGTTCCCAACTCAATGCAGGTAGAATACTAAGAAGAGTCTTACCTTACTTAGACTGGGGAGGAATTAGCCCTAGAATAAATACTGCTTGGGTCCTGCCAAACAAACAAACAAAAAACAGAAAAAAACACATGGAAGTAAAATCTGAAAGGATTGAACTATTTCCAAGTAATTTAACTCTATCTCAAATCAAAATCCAGGCATAATTGTAAGAATAGAAAAATATCCAGCATTCAGCAAGGAAAAAAATCACAATGTCTGACATTCAATATTGAATATGTGGCATTCAGTATTACAAGGCATGCAAAGAAACAGAAAAATATGACCAATAATGAGATAAAAAGTAATCACTAGGGGCCGGGCACGGTGGCTCACGCCTGTAATCCCAGCACTTTGGGAGGCCGAGGCAGGCGGATCACGAGGTCACGAGATCAAGACCATCCTGGCAAACACGGGGAAACTCCATCTCTACTAAAAATACAAAAAAATTAGCCGGGTGTGGTGGCGCACGCCTGTAGTCCCAGCTACTCGGGAGGCTGAGGCAGGAGAATGGCATGAACCCGGGAGGTGGAGCTTGCAGTGAGCGGAGATTGCGCCACTGCACTCCAGCCTGGGCAACAGAGCGAGGCTCCGTCTCAAAAACAAACAAAAAAAGTAATCACTAAAACTGACCTGCAACTGACATAGATGTTAGAATTAGCTGACTAGGACATTAAAACAGTTATTATAATGGTAATGTAGGCAGGTCTTGGTGGCTCACGCCTGTAATCCCACTTTGAGAGGCCAAGGTAAGAGGATTCCTTCATTTCAGGAGTTCAAGACCAGCTTGGGCAACATAGGGAGACCCCATCTCTACAAAATAATAATAATAATAATAACAATAGTAATATACTCAAAAAGTTAAGTAGAGACAAAGAAAGCATAAAATTTCTAAATCCAACTTTTAGAGATGAAAACAATAATCTCTAAAGTGGAAAATACACCAGATAGGATTAACAGAAGATTAGACATTACAGAAGAAAAGATTAGTAAACTTGAAGACTGCAGTAGAAACTTTCTAAAATATAGACAGAAAAAAGAATTAAGGCCGGGTGCGGTGACCCGCACCTATAATCCCAGCATTTTGAGAGGCTGAGGCGAGTGGATCATTTGAGGTCTGGAGTTCAAGACCAGCCTGGCCAACATGGCAAAATCCCGTCTCTACCAAAAATACAAAAATTAGCTGGGCATGGTGGCGCACATCTGTAGTCCCAGCTACTTGGGAGTCTGAGGCATGAGAATCACCTGAACCCAGGAGGTAGAGGTTTCAGTGAGCTGAGATTGTGCCACTGCACTCTAGCTTGGGCAACAGAGTGAGACTCTGTTTCAAAAAAAAAAGAGAAAGGTAAAGAGAATCGATGAGCTGTGGACAACTTTAAGCAGCCTAATATACTTGCAATTAGATTCCCTGAAGGAGAAGATAAAGATGGTGTTGGAGGATGGGATAGGAAAATACATTTGTAGAAATCATGGCTGACATATTCCCAAATTAGATGAAAACTATAAACTCACAGATCTGACAAGTGCAATGAATTGAAACACTAGAAACATGAAGAAAATTACACCAAGGCACATCACAATAAAAGTACTAAAAACCAGTGATAAAGTCTTAACAGCAGCCAGAAGAAAAGACATGTTATATATGGAGGAACAAAGGTAAAAATGTCAGCATATTTCTCATCAGAAATAGTACAAGTGGCTGGGCACAGTGGCTCATGTCTGTAATCTCAACACTTGTAGGAGGCTGAGGAGGGCAACGGGCAGATCACTTGAGGTCAGGAGTTCGAGACGAGCCTGGTAAATATGGTGAAACCCTGACTCTACTAAAAATACAAAAATTAGCCGGGTGTGGTGGCACACGCCAGTAATTCCAGCTACTCAGGAGGCTGAGGCAGGAGAATCACTTGAACCTGGGGGGCAGAGGTTGCAGTGAGCTGAGATGGCACCACTGCACTCCAGACTGGGTGACAGAGCAAGATTCCATCTCAAAATAAATAAATAAATAAATAGTACAAGAAGTGGAGCAACATCTATAATGTACTGAATAAAAAAATCTGTCAACCTAAAATTATTTACCTACCAAAAATATCCTTCAAAATCAAAGATATGTAAAGCTATATAAAGATTTTTTCAGACTGAAAAAAAAAAAAGCTGAAAAATTCATAACCAGTAGACTCATACAACAAGAAACATTCAAGGAAGCCCTTCAGACATAGAAAAGTTATTCCAGATTTCTGGAAATAAAGATCTACTAAGAAATGAAGAGCACTTGAAATAGTAACAACAGAACTAAACATATTTTGATTTTTTAATAATTTAAATCTCTAAAAGTTAACAAACAAGAATAGTAATAACTTATGGTGGGTTTATATCTAATGTATCAGTAAAATATATGACAACAGTATTATAAAAGCTAGCATTAGAGACATGGAAGTATACCATTGTAAGATATATCCTATAAGTGTAAGTATTCTATAAGTGATGTGGTATAATTCAAATGAAGATAGACTGTAATAAATTAAAGATATATACTTAAATCTGGTTGAGAGCGGCAATAATCCAGAATGGCTACTCTGATCTATGTTGATAAGGAAAACGAAGAACCAGGCATCCTTGTGGCTACAAAGGATGGGCTGAAGCTGGGGTCTGGACCTTCAATCAAAGCCTTAGATGGGAGATCTCAAGTTTCAATATCATGTTTTGGCAAAACATTCGATGCTCCCACATCCTTACCTAAAGCTACCAGAAAGGCTTTGGGAACTGTCAACAGAGCTACAGAAAAGTCAGTAAAGACCAATGGACCCCTCAAACAAAAACAGCCAAGCTTTTCTGCCAAAAAGATGACTGAGAAGACTGTTAAAGCAAAAAACTCTGTTCCTGCCTCAGATGATGGCTATCCAGAAATAGAAAAATTATTTCCCTTCAATCCTCTAGGCTTCGAGAGTTTTGACCTGCCTGAAGAGCACCAGATTGCACATCTCCCCTTGAGTGAAGTGCCTCTCATGATACTTGATGAGGAGAGAGAGCTTGAAAAGCTGTTTCAGCTGGGCCCCCCTTCACCTTTGAAGATGCCCTCTCCACCATGGAAATCCAATCTGTTGCAGTCTCCTTTAAGCATTCTGTTGACCCTGGATGTTGAATTGCCACCTGTTTGCTCTGACATAGATATTTAAATTTCTTAGTGCTTTAGAGTTTGTGTATATTTCTATTAATAAAGCATTATTTGTTTAACAGAAAAAAAGATATATACTTAAATCCTAAAATAAAATAACCATTAAAAGGAAAAACAGGAGTTATAACTAATAAGGGAACAAAGGACATAAAATGGGATAATAATGCTTAATCCAAAATAAAGCAGAAAATGAAGAAAAATGAAATGAAGAACAGATAAATAGAAAACAAATAGCAATATGAAAGACAAACTTGACCGGGTGTGGTGGCTGATGCCTGTAATCCCAGCACTGTGGGAGGCTGAGGCAGGCGGATCACCTGAGGTCGGGAGTTTGAGACCAGCCTGACCAACATGGAGAAATCCTGTCTCTACTAAAAATACAATAGCCAGGTGTGGTGGTGCATGCTTGTAATCCCAGCAGCTCAGGAGGGTGAGGCAGAATTGCTTGAACCCGGGAGGCAGAGATTGCGGTGGGCGGAGATCGCGCCACTGCACTCCAGCCTAGGCAACAAGAGCAAAACTCCATCTCAAAAAAAAGAAAGCTAGAGCAGCTATATGAATATATCAAGAACGTTTCAAAGCAAATAATATTACCGTGGAAAGAGAAGGTCATTTAATAATGGTAAAGGGGCCAATTTATCAAGAGGACACAACAATTCTAAATGTTTACGTACCTAATAACAGAGCTTCAAAATATATGAACAAAAACTGAAAATATTTCAAGAAGAAATAGACACACCCACAATTATAGTTAGAAGTTTCAAAACCCCTTTCATAATAACACAAGTAGAGAGAAAATCAGCAAGTATATAGAAGACCTAAACAACACTATTAACCATCTTGAGATTTTATTTATTTATTTATTTATTTATATTTTGAGACAGTCTTGCTCTGTCGCCCAGGCTGAAATGCAGTTGCAATCTCGGCTCACTGCAACCTCTCTGCCTCCTAGGTTCAAGCAATTCTCCAGCTTCAGCCTCTCGAGTAGCTGAGACTACAGGCACACGCCACCAGACCCAGCTAATTTTTGTATCTTTAGTAGAGACAGGGTTTTGCCATGTTAGCCAGGCTGGTCTCAAACTCCTGGCCTCAAGTGATCCACCCACATCAGCCTTCCAAAGCGCTGGGATTACAGGTGTGAGCCACCACACCCGGCCAACTTAATTGATATTTGTAGAACACCCCAAAATAGAATATATATACTTTCCATGTGTACACAAGATATTCACCAAGGCAGACCATATTCTGAGCCATAAAATCAATAAATTTAAAACAATTCAAATCACACAAAGTATGTTCTCTAACTATAATAAAATTAAATTAGGAATCAATAACAGCAAGACATTTGGAAAAATCCAATTTTTTTTTTTTTTTTGACGGAGTATTGCTGTGTCACCCAGGATGGAGTGCAGTGACACCATCTCGGCTCACTGAAAGCTCTGCCTCCCAGGTTCATGCCATTCTCCTGCCTCAGCCTCCTGAGTAGCTGGGATTACAGGTGCCCGCCATGGCGCCCGGCTAATTTTTTGTATTTTTAGTAGAGACAGAGTTTCACCGTGTTAGTCAGGCTGGTCTCAAACTCCTGACCTCAGGTGATCCACCCACCTCGGCCTCCCAAAGTGCTAGGATTACAGGCGTGAGCCACCATGCCTGGCCAAAATCCAAATATTTTGAATCCAAATATACAGCCCTAATAACCCATGGGTCAAAGAAGAAATTGAAAGGAAAATTAGAACATATTTTGCACTGAATGAAAATGAAAATAACATATCGAACGTTGTGGAGTGCACTAAACTAGGACTTAGAAGGTATTGCCCATATTGGAAAAGAAAAAAAATCTCAAATCAATGACCTCAACTTTCAACTCACCAACAACAAAAATAAGAGCAAATTGAACAATACTGAGAGAAAATATTTGCAAATCACATTATCTCATAAGAGTCTAGCATCCAGAATACATAAAAAACTTGTTTGACTCAACAGAAAAGACAAAGAATCCAATTTAAAGTGGTCAAAAGACTTAAGTAGACATTTCTGCAAAGAAAATATACAAATGGCCACAGGCACATGAAGAGTTGCTCAACAACATTAGTCATTAGGGAAACGCAAATCAAAATCACAATGAGATACCAATTCACACTCACTAGGATGGCAATAATCAAAAAAGTGAAAACTAAGTGTTGGTGAGGATGTGGAGAAGTTGAAGCCTTGTACATTGGTGGTGAAAATGTAAAATGGTGTGGCTGCTGTGGAAAACAATTTTGAGGTTTCTCAAAAAGTTTAACACAGTATTTCTGTATGACCCAGCAATTCTACTTCTAGATATATACCCCCAAAAAACTGAAAATAGGTATTCAAACAAATACTTACTTGCACATGTTTGTTCACAGCAGCACTGTTCACAATACTCAAGAGGTGAAAATAACCCATGTGTCCATCAGCCAATGAATGGATAAACTGTGGTATATACATTCAATGGAATATTACCCGGCCATAAAAAGGAATGAAGTACTGATACATGCTACAAAATGAATGAACCTTGAAAACATTATGCTATATTTATATTTATATTCCACATAAATGGAATCATACAGTTCTTACCTCTGGTGTCTGGTTTATTTCATTTAGCATAATGTTACAGACACTTAGCTCCATAGAAACGGGAAACAGATTGGTAGTTGCCAAGGGCTGTGGATTGCCTGAGACCAGCCTGGACAACATGGTGAAACCCCATCTCTACTGACAAAATTAACAAAAAAAAATTAGCCAGGCGTAGTGGAGCATGCCTGTAGTCCCAGCTACAGGAGGCTGAGGTGGGAGGATCACCTGAACCCAGGAGGTTGAGGCTGTAGTGAGTCAAGAGCAGACCAATACACTCCAGCCTGGGCAACTGGAGTGAGGCCCTTTCTCAAAAAACAAAACAAAAACAAAAGATAATGTACAAATTAAATTCAGAAAAGGTACAATATAATTTTATTATTTAGAGATGTGGAGGGAAATATAATAAGGACTAAAAGCAGAAACATTTAACATGGTTCCTTCCCAAAATTAAATAAATTGACCTAACTGATAAGGGGAATTCCTTCAAATAACTTCAAAATAAAGGATATCTTTCCCTAGTGGAATAAACTCAAAGGACAAAAGAACTGTAAAAAAAAAATTATAAAAAAATCTTAAACTCTATTCAGGTAATCATTATATGAGATCATGTTCATGTTGTAAAATAAAGAAAATGGGTCAGGTGTGGTGGTGCATGCCTGTAATCCCAGCACTCTGGGGGGCCAAGGTGGGCAGATCGCTTGAGCCCAGGAGTTCCAGACCAGCCTAGGCAACACAGTAAAATCCTGTCTCTATAAAAATTAGCCGGGTGTGGTGGCACATGCCTGTAGTTCCAGCTACTCGGGAGGCTGAGAGATAGGAGGATCACTTGAGCCCTGATGGTTGAGGCCGCAGTGAGCTAAGATCGTGCCACTGCACTCCAGTCTGGGCAACAGAGCAAGACCCTGCCTCAAATAATAATAACAGTAATAATAACTTTTTAAAAAGGAAGAAAATTAGTAATTATGTTCCTATCCTTAAGAACCAGGAATTCTGATGTAGGAGAAAGGAGATACAGATGAACTTGGGTTTAAAAAAACCAAAAAAACCTGTAGTACTGAATTTCAATTGGAAGTATCAGTATGAATATATGTTGTATTTTATCTTTAAAATATACATATGTATATTTTATGTGTACATAAATATATGTATATTCATATAAATACACATATATATTTATATGTATGTATTTCCTAGCTCTAGCATGGAAAAAGCTAAAATCAGTGACCAATCTAGGGAAATGAACACCCCTAGTACCAAGATTATGGTCCCTAAATATTTCCCACTAATATGAACTAGGGCTCCTTGGAGAACTGGCTGATTGCAGACCTGCAGCAGAAAATGTACAAGATGAGCCTGGAATGTCCTAACTTCCTTACTTTCCAGTATGATATCAATGACTACCAGAGTCATGTGAAAAACCTCAGAAACTAATTCAAAGATGGCAAAATCGATCATAAAAAAGAATCACCATTATGAATTGAAATATATCGAACATGTAAATCCAGGAATTTACAAAGATACTAAAAAATAGAAAACAAACCTCATGGTTTACCTTTCGATAACCATAAGGAACTAACTCATTATTTTGAAAACTGGTAAATAAAAGATAAGAATCAAGCCTATATCCTGCCTTCCAATATAAACTGCACTCCAGGTAACCAAATAGTCAATGAGGAGAAGTTTCTTGTTACAGAAGAATTCCAGGTAATGCATAAAGGCAGAATGCTGCCATTTTGCAATGAATTAATTAATGAATTAATGCACGTAGGCAATGATGATCAATGGCTGCTTATCTCATAAAAAGAGCACTAACCAAACATTTTATGCCTCCTGATGGAAAAACACATCACTATGCAGTATTCTTGCCAAAATACTTGAATCTAAATCTCATTAAGTTTCTAGCTCTAACTTCCAATTTATAGGGACTGCAGGGGTCAGAAGTACATGTCAAATGACATCATAGGGATGCAATCAGTAAACTTTAGTGGGAGATCCTACAGGCTAAATGACCTGGTTTCTTTATTACATAAATTATAAGGGAAAAAAGAAAGGCAGCAGATATACAGAATAAAAGACTTAAAATGAGATATCAATTACCAATTGTATGGATCTTATTTAGATCTTGATTAGACTAAACAACTAAAAAAATTATGAGGCAATTTGAGAATTCAAACATGACTAGATAGCCAATAATAAGAAATCATAAAAATAAAAAGAAAAAAATCAGTGGGTTTTTTTTAAGTGTGATGATGTTATATTTTTGTTTTTGGTTTTGTTTTTTGAGACGCGGTCTCACTCCATCGCCAGGCTGGAGTGCAGTGGCGCGATCTTGGCTCACTGTAACCTCCAACTCCCTGGTTCAAGCAATTCTCCTGCCTCAGCCTCCCGAGTACCTGGGATTAAAGGCACATGCCACCACACCCAGCTAATTTGTATTTTTAGTAGAGATGGGATTTCACCATGTTGGTTTGTATGGTCTCGATCTCCTGACGTCCAGCTGATGTTATGTTTTTTAAAAGTCTGTTATAGGCCGGGCGCGGTGGCTCACGTCTGTAATCTCAACACTTGGGGAGGCCAAGGTGGGTGGATCACGTGAGGTCAGGAGTTCACAACCAGCCTGGCCAACATGGTGAAACCCTGTCTCTACTAAAAATACAAAAGTTAGCCGGGCATGGTAGCAGGCGCCTGTGGCAGAGGTTGCAGTGAGCTGAGATTGCACCACTGCACTGGGGGACAAGAGCGAGACTTCGTCTCAAAAAAAAAGAGTCTAAAAAGTCTATGTTATAGAGCTAATACTTAAATATTTAGAGATGAAACAATCTGATGTTTGGGATTTGATTCAAAATTATGTGTGTGTAGGGGCAGGGGAGTGCAATAAGATTTAGCCATAATTAGCTAACTGTTGAAACGGGGCAGTAGGCTTATGAAGGCTAATTATACTATTCAGATGACTTTTTTATGTTTGAAATTTTATATAATAAAAAGGTGGGTTTTTTTCTTTTAAAACATTTATTATTTATTTTTTTTTTAGAGAGAGTCTCACTCTGTTACCCAGGCTGAAGTGCAGAGATGCAATCTCAGCTCACTGTTACCTCCGCCAACTGGGTTCAAGTGATTCTCCTGCCTCAGCCTCCCAAATAGCTGGGATTACAAGTATGCATCACCACACTCAGCTAACTTGTGTATTTTTAGTAGAGACGGGGTTTTGCCATTTTGGCTAGGGTGGTCTCAAACACCTAGCCTCTTGTGATCTGACCGCCTCAGCCTCTCAAAGTGCTGGGGCGTGAGCCACCATGCCCAGCCCAAACTATTTTTATAATAACACAAAGATGTTATTTGCCTTTTTCTCTGTGTTGACATTTGCACTGATGGTACAAAAACAATAGTGACTAGAACTACTGGTGACTTGGCAGGAATCCAGGCAGTGAAACCACATTTCTTGTAGTCATTGTATTCTTCACCATCACTTGTAGTTAAAAAACAAAAAAACCCAAAAATCAGGTTCACTTAAGAATGTCTAGCTGGGCATGGTGGCATGCACCTGTAGTCCCAGCTGTTCAGGAGGCTGAAACCTGAAGCAGGAGGATTGCTTGAGGCCAGGAGTTTGAAGTTATAGTGAGCTATGATGGTACTACTATACTCCAGCCTGGGCAACAGAGTAAGACCCTGTCTCTAAAAATTAAATAAAAATTTAAAAGGAATGTCCTTGATAAAGCAGTAAAGATTACTAATTTTATTCAATCTTGACCTTTGAGTACATTTCCTTTTTTTTTTTTTTTGAGACAGAGTTTCACTGTTGTTGCCCAGGATGGAGTGCAATGGTGAGATCTTGGCTCACTGCAACCTCTGCCTCCCTGGTTCAAGCGATTCTCCTGCCTCAGCCTCCCAAGTAGCTGGGATTACAGGCATGCACCACTACGCCCGGCTTAGTACATTTCTTTATAATGTCCTGTGTGACAAAACAGAAAGTATACATAAAGCACTTCTGCTATATATCAAAATCTTATGATTAGAAGAAAAGCCCTTGTGTGATTGTTTGAGATGCAATCTAAACTAGCTGCTTTTTCATAGAATCTCATTTTTACTTGAAATGATGACGGACAAATGATGGTATTTGCCAAACTTAAGTATTTGGCAGACACTTTCTTGAAAATGAACAAAGTGGCCGGGCACAGTGACTCACGCCTGTAATCCCAGCACTTTGGGAGGCCGAGGCGGACGGATCATGAGGTCAGAAGATCAAGACCATCCTGGCTAACATGGTGAAACCCTGTCTCTACTAAAAATACAAAAAGTTAGCCGGGTGTGGTGGCGGGCACCTGTAGTCCCAGCTACTCAGGAGGCTGAGGTAGGAGAATGGTGTGAACCCGGGAGGCAGAGCTTGCAGTGAGCCAAGATAGTGCCACTGTACTCCAGCCTGGGTGACAGGGCAAGACTCCGTCTCAAAAAAAAAAAAAAAAAAAAAAGAAAAAAGAAAATGAACAAAGTAAGCCTGTCACATCAAGGAAAACAACTCAATGTATTTGTTGGCAGTGATAAAATTCAAGCTTTCAAGCCAAATGTAGAGCTTTGGAAAATTAGTTTCTGCCACCATGACCTCGTCTGCTCTCCTCCACTGAGAAATTTTTCTGAGGCACTCACTTAGTGATACTAACAAATGTGATTTTTATAATATTGTTACATGAAATGTGAATATTTGGAAGGTCTGCATAAATCAGTGAACCAATATTTTCCAAATGACTAATTAAAGAAATTACAAAGCCTTGCATGCATCAAAAATCCACTCAAAATGTAAGCGGTTGTAGTAGATTGAATGGTGGCCAACAAAAAGGATCTTGAGAGGAGATCTTCCCAGATTATCCAGGTAAACCCTAAACCCAATGACAAGGGTCCTTTTAAGAGACAGAAGAGGGGCTGGGCGTGGTGGCTCATGCCTGTAATCTCAGCACTTTGGGAGGCCGAGGCGGGTGGATCACGAGGTCAGGAGATTAAAACCATCCTGGTTACTCGGGAGGCTGAGACAGGAGAATGGTGTGAACCCAGGAGGCGGAGCTTGCAGTGAGCTGAGATCACACCACTGCACTCCAGCCTGGGCAACACAGCGAGACTCCATCTCAAACAAACAAACAAACAAACAAACAAACAAAAACCATCCTGGCCAAAATGGTGAAACAACGTCTCTACTAAAAATACGAAAATTAGCTAGGTGTGGTGGTGCACCCCTGTAGTCCCAGCTACTTGGGAGGCTGAGGCAGGAGAATTGCTTGAACCCGGGAGGTAGAGGTTGCAGTGAGCCAAGATCATGCCAGTGCACTCCAGGCTGGGTGACACAGCCAGACTCTGTCTCAAAAAAAAAAAGAGAGACAGAAGAGAAGACACAGAGACACGTGGAAGAGAATGCCTTATTGGCCCAGCACAGTGGCTCACGCCTGGCCTGTAATCCCAGCACTTTGGGAGGGCGAGGTGGGCGGATCGCGTGAGGTCAGGAGTTCGAGACCAGCCTGGCCAACATAGTGAAACCCCATCTCTACTAAAAATAAAAAATTAGCTGGGTATGGTGGCACACACCTGTAGTCCCAGCTACTTGGGAGGCTGAGGCAGGAGAATCACTTGAACCCAGGAGGCGGAGGTTGCAGTGAGCTGAGATCGTGCTACTGCACTCCAGCCTGGGAGACAGGGAGACAGAGTGAGACTCTGTCTCAAAAAAAAAAAAAAAGAAGAAAAGAAAAAAGAAAAAAGAAGGCCTTATTAAGACAGAGGCAGAGGGCCACTGATGCTAGGAAAACATAAGGAACCCATTGTTTCCTAGAGTCTTTGGAGGGAGTGCAGCCTTTGATTTCCAGCCTCCAGAACTGTAACAGAATAAATTTTTGTTGCTTTAAGCTGGTGTAAATCTGTTATGTCTGTACAGCAGTCCTAGGAAACTAATACAATGACAAATGCATGTTAATGTAATTGAGCATAAAAATGTATTGATATGGAGCCCTTAGTGGTGGTGCATGCTGGTAGTTCCAGCTACTTGGGAGGCTGAGGCAGGAGGACTGCTTGAGCCCGGGAGTTTGAGACCAGCCTGGACAATATAGCAAGACTCCATCTCAAAAAAAGTGCATTAATATGGATTCAGGATCCACATTGTATCTAATATCTAAGAAGCTACTACTTAGCCAAGATTTTTGAAAAGGCTTTAAAAATACCCTGTTTTTTTCCAACTACATATCTCTGTAAGACCTGATTTATATATCTATATATAGATATAGAGAGATATTTCACTTAAAACAACATATTGTAACAGTTTGAATGCAGAAACAGGTTTAAAGATTCAGTGGTCACTTACTAAGCCAGATATTAAAGAGATTTGCAAACAAATAATATAATGCTAATTACTAATTTTTTCAGCTTTGGAAAAGGTTATTTTTTATAAAAATACTTTTTTGTTTGTTTTTGAGACAGAGTCTCACTCTGTTGCCCAGGCTGCAGTGCAATGGCGCGATCTCGGCTCACTGCAACCTCCGCCTCCCAGGTTCAAGCTATTCTCATGTCTCAGCCTCCCAAGTAGCTGAGATCACAGGCACCCACCACCACACCTGGCTAATTTTTGTATTTTTAGTAGAGACAGGGTTTCGCCATGTTGGTCAGGTTGGTCTTGAACTCCTGACCTCAGGTGATCCACCCGCCTTGGCCTCCCAAAGTGCTGGGATTACAGGTGTGAGCCACCTTGCCCGGCCTTAAAAATATGTTTTTAATGTTAACATGTAAAGGGTGTGTGTGTGTGTGTGTGTGTGTGTAGTGTGTGTGTGTATATATATACATATAGTGTGTGTGTATATATATAGTGTGTGTATATATATATATGTATATATATATATATACACTTTTTTTTTTAAGCTGGAGTCTTACTCTGTTTCCCAGGCTGGAGTGCAGTGGCGTGATCTCAGCTCACTACAACCTCCACCTTCTGGGCTCAAGCGATTCTCCTGCCTCAACCTCCCAAATAGCTGGGATTACAGGTGCCCGCCACCATGCCCAGCTAATTTTTGTAGTTTTAGTAGAGACGAGGTTTCACCATGTTGGCCAGGCTGGTCTCAAACTCCTGACCTCAAGTGATCTCTCCACCTCAGCCCCCCAAAGTGCTGGGATTACAGGTGTGAGCCACTGCACCTGGCCATATTTTTTTATTTAATTTTTTTTTTAAAATTTATCAGTTTTAACTTCTAGTACAAATAGATAGCCCATATAAATACAAACTCCTTGGGGTACTCAGTAATTTTTAGGAGTGTAAGGAGTTCTGTGAGACCAAAATGTTTGAGAAACACTGGCCCATACAACCATTGAAAGAGGAAAGACAAATGGGGACTGAGGGCCAGGCACAGTGGCTCATGCCTGTAATCCCAGCCCTTCGAGAGGCCTAGGCAGGAGAATCACTTGACCCCAGGAGTTCGAGACCAGCTTGGGTAACATGGTGAGAACTTTTTGAGTCTCTACAAAAAAAATACAAAAATTAGCTAGGTGTGGTGGTACATGCCTGTAGTCCCAGCTACTCAGGAGGCTAAGGGAGGAGGATCACTTGAGCCAAGGAGGTTGAAGCTGCAGTGAGCCATGATCATGCCACTGCATTCCAGCCTGGGCAACAGAGCGAGACCCTGTCTCAAAAAAAAAAAAAAAAAAAATAGGGCCTGAGTAGTTAGGAAAGGGATCACGTAGGTAGGATTCCTGCCCTTTTGCACTATGCATTGAATCTTCAGGGGCAGAAAGGTAGAAAAACATCCTTCTAGGCAAAGAACCTCAGAAGTATATAATAAACTTAGAAGCAGATCTATACGTGATAAGGTTAAGGGAGACTGGGTCATCAATAAATACATAAATCTTACATGTCCAGATTATTATCTTTTTAAAAATAGTTGATGCTGGCCTGGCACAGTGGCTCACGCCTGTAATCCCAGCACTTTGGGAGGCCGAGGCAGGCAGACTGCTTGAGCTTAGGAGTTCAAGACCAGCCTGGGCAACAGGGAGACCCTGCCAAACCCCGTCTCTACTAAAACATACAAAAATTGGCCAGGTATGGTGTGGCATGTGCCTATAGTCCCAGCTACTTGGGGGGCTGAGACAGGAGAATCACTTGAGCCCAGGAGATTGAGGCTGCAGTGAGCTATATTCGCACCACTGCACTCCAGCATGAGTGACAATGTGAGACCCTGTCTCAAAAAAAAAAAAAAAAAAAAAAAAAAAAGTAGATGCATGCCTCAATTTCAAGATTCTTGGTTTGTCTTTTGTAAGCCCATAACTTAAAAGGATTTGGGGTTTTGTAAATGTGGATACCATGGTTTTCCTCCCCTTATTCCTGTGCTCCTCATAGATGGAGTGAGTCCTTGTAAGTACTAAACCAGCCCACATAACCCTCCTCTGAGTCTTCATACATTTTTTTTTACTCCATCTGGAACACACATCTCTATTTTTTGTTTGGTATATAGTTTGCTTGGACTGTCATAAACAAGTACCTCAGACTGGGTGGTTTAAACAACAGAAATGCATTGTCTCACAATTCTGGAGGCACAAGTCTGAGATCAATGTGCCACCAGAGCTGGTCTCTCCTGAGCCTCCTCTCCTTGGCTTGTAGACGGCTGCCTTCTCCCTGTGTCCTCACAGCATCTTCCTTGTGTACGTAGCTAAGTCCAAATTTCCTCTTCTTATAAGAACAATGGTCATACTGAATTAGGGCCCACCCATAGGACCTCATGTTAACTTTATTACCTCTTTAAAGATCCTGTCTCCAAATACAGTCACAGTCTGAGATACTGGGGGCTAGAACATCAACATATGAATTTGAGGGGACACAATTCAGGCTATCACACTTTGGCTAACTCCTTCTCGCTCTCTGTGAATCAGCCTAAATTGGACTTTCTCAGGGAAGCTTTCCTTGACCCCTGACTTAAGTGAAGGTCCCTGTTATACTCACATAGGAGCCTACACTTACCCTGTTAATACATATCATTTAGCATACAAATGAAAGTAAATAGTCATTTAACTGTTTTATAACTGTTTCACCTACCAAACCCTAAGAGCCATGAGGGCAGGGACTGCGTCTGTCATGTTCACCACTGGGCCTACAGGGTTTAGAATAGTGCCTGACATACTGGGGTCACTCAATGAGTACGGGAGTGCTGTATGGTGTTACAAAATGGGGGAGTTTCAGAGATGAAAACAAGATCTGCAAGACCACCAGGAAGGATTCTGAGACCAGCAGCAACCATCTGGAAGAGGTGTACAGGCTAAGCATCCCTAACTCAAAAAATCTAAAATGTTTCAAAATCCAAAACTTTCTGAGTGTCTACATGATGCCACAAGTGGAATATTCCACACCTGACATCATGCGACAGGTTGCAGTTAAAACGCAGGTGCACAACACAGTTTTATCAGTTTTACTTAACATCCCCAAGGGGGTTATTGTACAACAATCTTTTAATCAAAACACAGCATCACAGGCAGAGACTGACAGCCTGTTGTTATTTGTTGTTGCTGTTTTTCGTTTTTTTTTTTTTTTGAGATGGAGTCTCACTCTGTCCCCCGGACTGGAGTGCAGTGGTGTGATCTCGGCTCACTGCAACCTCCGCCTCCTGGGTTCAGATGATTCTCCTGCCTCAGCCTGCCCAGCAGCTGGGATTATAGGAGTGCTGCACCACACCCAGCTAATTTTTGTATTTTTAGTAGAGACGAGGTTTCACCATGTTGGTCAGGGTGGTCTTGAACTCCTGACCTCAGGTGATCCACCCGCTTCCGCCTCCCAAAGTGCTGGGATTACAGGCATGACCCACCACGCCTGGCCTTGTTGCTGTTGTTAAACAGCTGATGCAGGTATTCTGGGGATGCTACTGTGCTGCCTAGTTACCCTAAACACATTATTTTCTCACTGTATTAATGGTGTGTCATATTGGTAACTGTTAAGTGTTAATGTGTGTATAAGCAGGAGAAAATGATTGCTTATCACTAGCATATAAATTCAGAGTCAGAAATGATGGTGATGCCAAACAAGTACAGATCGACCACATAGGTGATGAGATTGTCCACGTGGGCGATGAGATAGTGACACCTTTGCTTTCTGATAGTTCAATGCATACAAATTTTGTTCCATGTACAGAATTACTTAAAATATTGTATAAAATGACCTTCAGACTGTGTGCATAAGGTGTATATGAAACATAAATGGGAATTTCGTCTTTAGACTTTATTCGTATCCCCAAGAGATCTCATCATGTATATGCAGATATTCCAAAATCTGTAAATACCCGAAATCCAAAACACTTCCTGTTCCAAGCATTTTGGATAAAAGATACTCAACCTGTCCCAGCAAATCAGTAATCTTGGTGGTCAAGCCTCACTGACTTTTAATCCCACTGCAGTACTGAATTAAGCGGGTAGAGTCTTAAGTCCAGTCCTGTCTCAATCATTAATTAGCAACGTAAAAATGGTGCAATGTTCCTTAGTTTTTGCATTATCTCTCATTCCTCATTTGCAAATGCAGGAAATTATCTAAAGCCAACATTGGTCACAATTTAAACAGAAAAGCCCTGATCTGTGAATATCCCAAACTCTACCCCATGCTGCCAAGACCCTTGTGTGCCTTTGATGGGAGTGTTAATCCCAACCTTTCCTTTAACAACCAATTCTGCTGAAGCTTATGTGAGTCCCACCTCCAGGCCTCTAAAGTTTTCTCCCATGCTGCAAAAGGGGGTTACAAATCAAACAAAGCTCCAAAGAGCCTCCAGCACTGCCAAAAGACTCAGGGGCCTAGAGGGCAATTGGAGTTCAGAGGTCATAAGGGCATTTAAAGTCTATTAACAATCTTGTGATTTGGTTAGGAGTTAAGAAGTGATATCCATGACTTCTAGGAGAACGTGGATTGGAATTCAAATGAGTGGCTAGAATATTTTGGAGGTATGGAGAGGGGGAGATCATATTCTTTTCTTTTCTTTTCTTTTTTTTGAGAGGGAGTTTCGCTCTTGCTGCCCAAGCTGGAGTGCAATGGCACGATCTTGGCTCACTGCAACCTCCGCTCCCAGGTTCGAGTGATTCTCCTGCCTCAGCCTCCTGAGTAGCTGGGAATACAGGCACCACCACGCCCAGCTAATTTTGTATTTTTAGTAGAGACGGGGTTTCTCCATGTTGGTCAAGCTGGTCTCAAACTCCTGACCTCAGGTGATCAACCCTCCTGGGCCTCCCAAAGTGCTGGGATTACAGGTGTGAGCCACCGTGCCTGGCCCATATTCTTTTTTAAAATAGTTTTTGCAAGCTGGGAAAGTATATAATACAGAGAAAAGCAAAGTCTCAGCAATTTACGAGTATCTTCCCCTAGTCCTCTCCTATGCATTTGCCTAACTGTATATCTTGACTACCTATGTGATTTGGGACAAGCTTCTACCTTGGTTCATCTAGGAATAATACTAGCACAAGAGGTGGTTGTGAGTATCACATAAGGTCACATATGGAAATGCATTAAATGCAGAGGTTGTAGGCTTCATGGAAGCTACAGAATTCTGGCTGCCACCTCTTAGGAACTGTGTAACCTTGGGCATGTTTTAACTTTTTTTGCCTAGTTTTTCTCATCTGCAAAATGGAAATAATAATGGTACCTATCTCGTGATTGTTGTGATAATTAAATATAATAATGTTGTTGTACCTGAAACAAGCATCCAATAAGTGTTAGCTATTTATTTTAATGTTTGTAATATTCAGAGCTTTTTCACCTAATATGCTCTCATTTGATTACCTCAGAAATCTGTAACTTCTGGCCAGGCATGGTGGCTCACACCTATAATCCCAACACTCTGGGAGGCTGAAGTGGGAGGCTGAGGCTTGAGCCCAGGAGTTTGAGGTTATAGTGAGCCATGATCATGCCACTGTACTCCAGTCTGGACAACAGAGTGAGACCCTGTCTCTAAAAAAATAAAGAAACCTGTGACTTCCCACTCCCTTCAAACTCCCCACTTCCCTTTACTCTCCCTTCTCCCCAAGCAATGTCCTTGTCTCGCCGAAAACATCAGGCTTAATCTCCCTCAGCATCCCCTACATCCTCAAACCACTGTGGATAAGCACCTGGCCCCCTTTAGCTACTTCCTCTTCTCTTTCTGGAAAAAAACAGCTTGCATTTCTCTAAAAACCACATGCAGCACACTTTTCTGCCTGAAATGCTCTGTCTCCCCCACCCCCCCAGTTTTTCACAGGGTAACTCCTACTCCTTTCTCTGGATTCATTTCAACTATATCACCTTCTCCCTGAAGCCTTCTCTGACCATCTTCTGCTACATAGGGGGTATTCCCATAGCCCCCTAAATTTAATGCTATCTTAAATTATCATCCTACATAATAATTCTCTTTTTGCATGTTTATTTCCTTTACATCCTTAGAACCTAGCATAATATCTGCCCTGTAGGTGACCAATTGCCCCAGATTGCCCCAGACTTTTGGTTTTAACATTGCCAAGTCATGCATTCCAGGAAACTACCGCAGTCAAGGGTGGTTGGTCACCATACTACACATACAGTAAGTTTTACTGAATGAACAGAGTCCACACCTGCTGTCTTGTCTTCCCCCTCTACTACGCACTCTTCAACGAAACGTCATCAGCTTCCACCCTGACATCCCATTTTGTTGGCACATGGCACAATGCTCTCCTTGTGGCCAAAATCTATTGGTCACATTATAGTCCTTCAAAGATTGACCTTTCAATAAATGATTTTTAGGCCAGGCTTGGGGGCTCATGCCTGTAATCCCAGCACTTTGGGAGGCCGAGGTGGGCGAATCACCTGAGATCGAGAGTTCGAGACCAGCCTGACCAACATGGAGAAACCCCATCTCTACTAAAAATACAAAATTAGCCGGCTGTGGTGGCTTATGCCTCCAATCCCAGTTACTCGGGAGGCTGAGGCAGGAGAACTGCTTGAACCCGGGAGTCGGAGGTTGCGGTGAGCCGAGATCGCGCCACTGCACTCCAGCCTGGGCAACAGGAGTGAAGCTCTGTCTCAAAATAAATAAATAAATAAATAAATAAATAAATAAATAAAATGAATGATTTTTAATAATCAGAGATTATTCCTATTGTGTACCTATTCTTTCTTATAGTGAAGCAAGATAGTATTACAATATCCACATTTATTAAGTGTAGATAGATTCAAGAAATCCATGTATTGTTTTAAATAATTCAAAATAATTCAAAATGTCATACCATATTTATAATTCATTAACATAATTATAAGATGTGCTCAATGACAGCTAAGTATTTTCTGAATAAGAACTTTCCAGAAGTGATGACTCATGATATTAAAAAAGTACTTAAGGCAATGAGAAAAGAGTTCTCCTTTTTCATGAAGTACAAATAAGAAAATAGAATGGTATTTTAAGAAGCTCATAACAAATGAGTTTTCTTTTTCATTTAAGCTCTGAAAATATATGTACAGAAATGCCCTATAAAAATGAATATGTAAACCAGTACTTAAATTTAATGAGCATTTTTAAGCCAAAGAACAGATTTTCTTAATATCCGAAAAGCAGACGCTTTCCCACAACTCCTCTCATTTCTTTTTTTCACGCCATTCTCCTGCCTCAGCCTCCTGAGTAGCTGGGACTACAGGCGCCCGCCACCACGCCCGGCTAATTTTTTTGTATTTTTAGTAGAGACAGGGTTTCACCGTGTGTTAGCTAGGATGGTCTCGATCTCCTGACCTCGTGATCCGCCCACCTCAGCCTCCCAAAGTGCTGGGATTACAGGCGTAAGCCACCGCGCCTGGCCTTTTTTTTTTTGAGACAGGATCTCACTGTATCACCCAGGCTGGAGTGCAGTGGCGCGATCTTGGCTCACGGAAACCTCTGCCTCCTGGGCTCAAGCAATCCTCCCACCTCAGCCTCCCAAGCAGTTGAGACTATAGGTGCACCATCACCATGCCTGGCTAATTTTTATATTTTTTGGTAGAGATGGGGTTTTGCCATGTTGTCCAGGTTGGTCTCAAACTCCTGGGCTCAAGAAATCCACCTGCCTCGGCCTCCCAAAGTGCTGGGATTACAGGTGTGAGCTACCACACCCAGCACCTCATATTTCTTTTCTTTCTTTCTTTTTTTTTTGAGATGGAATCTCACTCTGTTGCCCAGGCTGGAGTGCAGTGGCGTGATCTCAACTCACTGCAACCTCTGCCTCCCAGGTTCAAGTGATTCTCATTGCCTTAGCCTCCCGAGTAGCTGGGACTACAGGCACGTGCCACCATGCCTGGCTATCACATTTCTTAAGACTAAATACGAACCAATCCTCATCAAAGAATAATGCCTAGCAATTGCCTGTTTACATATTCTTCTATCCCACTAAACTCTACATTCTTTGAGGGCAGGATTGGATAGTATCTCTAGCACCTAGACAAATAGGTGCCTGGCTCAGGCTGGGGCAAAATAAATGTCTTAAGCAGAGAACTAGGAAGGAAGGGAGGACATTTTTAAAGTGAGCGATGTTAGATTGTTATAAGAATTTTCCAGAAAGGAAGGCATTATATCAGAAATGTACATACATTTTATTTGTAAAACATTTCCAGATATGTACAAAGGACAGCATTGGCAATAAACACTAATCGCAAAGTTGACTATCATGATAGCCATTATTGACTCATCTCTTCCTTGAATTTGAAGAATTTCAAATGTCACAGTAAAAACTGATTCAGCATGTTACTTCCATATAGTAGAAGATGCACTGGGAATCAAGGCAGGCTGAATGTATAGAAAAGAATTCCTTATTTATCCAAACCCAAGAAATCTGAAGGTAATTTTTTCACCTCTCATATTTAGAGATTTACACACATACACACACACACACACACACACACACACACACACCCTAGAAACTATTTCCAGGCAGAGGCTGATACTCAGTTGCCATGTACCAAGGCAGTCATTCTATTTTTTACATACTTAATATAATTTGGCCATTATTATTATTGTATTCCAACTCTTGAAACCATGTCTCATATCTTTATATTTCTGCATCTATATATAAACATATCTAAATTATCTCAAATTCCTCACTTGCTGGCCTTTCTGAATAAATCAATCGTCTCTAATTTCAAAAGGAAACTATTCTTCCTAGAAAAATTGCTAAAATTGATATAACATTATCAAACCACTGATTTGAACCAAATTATCTCAATCTCAAATCCTCCTTAAATTCAAAGAAAAGCAAATCACGTTTCATATGAAATTCAGAAATTAAGCAACTGGTCTAGCAATTCCATTCTTGCTCACATTCACCAATAGATGTGTGCCAGAAGTCAATGTTCGTACTAGCGAAAAACTAGCAACAACCCAAGTGTCCATCAAGAGAACAGGAAACTGAATAGCTGGGTTTTTACTGTTATTCTTCGTTTTTGTTTTTGTTTTTTGAGACAGGGTCTCACTCTGTAGCTCAGACTGGAGTGTAGTGGGTAGAGATGGAGTTTCACCATTTTGGCCAGGCTGGTCTCGAACTCCGGGCCTCGTGATCCGCCCGCCTCGGCCTCCCAAAGTGCTGGGATTACAGGTGTGAGCCACCGCACCCAGCCAAAAATAACTTTTCTATAAGATGAAACAAGTCCAATTTTGCCCATTTTGACGTATATTGACTGAATAACTTTCTGAATAATACAATATGGGTCCATCCCTTCCACTCTCGTATTTTCTTAACCATATTTTCTCTCATAAGCATTCATTCATTTAGAATATCTAGAGATTTAGCCGGGCGTGGTGATGCACGCCTGTAGTCCCAGAGCTACTCAAGCGGCTGAGATGGGAGGATCGCTTGAGCCTGGGAGGCAGAGGTTGCAGTGGGTCAAGATAGTGTCACTGCACTCCAGCCTGGGCAACAGAGAGAGACCTTGTCTAAAATAAATAAATAAATAAATAAATAAAATCTAGTGAGAATTTTACAGGAAATAATTTAATATCAAAATCAGAAGTCCCTAATGGCCAACTCTGACATGACAAGTTTCAAATTGATGAGTCCACCATCTTTTTAAAAGTAACTCAAAGTGATGACAACAGTATGTAGGCAATTTTCAAAATTAAAATTGATGAGCCTACTCCTTCTACTTGTCAGGGTAGAGAGTTTATTGATCTCTAAATCAGTGGTGTTAGAAGGAAATGTGAATCCAAGGCACTGCTGGCCTGGTCCTGTGGGTTCCTCGCCAGCAAATGAGCACGAGGTCAGGTCCAGGAGGATCGAGATGCTGGTGATGTCGGTAACAGCAGGGATGACACATGGCCCACAGGCAGGATGAGCCCAGCATATTAATAGTGCATTAACATAAGAAGGAAAAATCTATCAAGGCTTGACATATTTATAAATTCCCCTAGGTAATACCCAAAACTCGAGTAGCTTAGCAAACAAATTATTTCAAAAATGTGGAGTTCCCTCCAGCAACTCACTGTTGTTTTTATAGGTTGCCAGTTCAGCACAGTCAGGGATCAATTCTTTAGAAACCTTCGAGCATAAATAAATACTACTTTAGTGGCAGTATTTTTTAAATTTACCAAAACGATCTCCAAATTAAATCTTCTAAGAATGAGAAGAAAGGATTTATATTATATAATTTTCTACTGCTAGCTTTGACTCAGCAGAACATCCTGAGTAAGTAGGAGGCAGAGTAGGAGGAAAAGGCAGTGTGTTAGATGCTTCACATACCTCAATAACAAGAGCTGAGCCTGGTGCTGAGGCCTTTACAAGCATTACCTCATGTAATCCCAATAAGGAAAACCTTATGAACTCTCCATTGGACAGATGTGGAAAGTGAAACATTAAGTAACTCACTGAGATTCACAGTTAGTGATCCACAGTGCGAGAATCCAAGCCCAGGCCTGTCCAACACTAACGCTTGTGTTCTGTCTGCTGTGCTACACAGCAAAGCACATTGCATCATTTTTAATAGAGACTTAACAAATCAAATAGACTTTTAAAAAATGAAATTACTAAGTGGCTAAAAGTTTAAAAGATAAGGAAGATTTTTAGCTTTATATTAAAGTGGTACAAAACGGCAGCATAATGGGACCTTGTCTCTACAAAAAAATTAAAAATTAGCCAGGCGTGGTGGCACACACCTGTAGTCCCAGCTACTCAGGAGGCTGGGATGGGAGGATCACTTGAGCCCAGGAGGTCAAGGCTGCAGTGAGCTGAGATCACATCACTGCACTCTCGCCTGAGTGGCAAAGTGAGAACCTGTCTCAAAAAAAAAATGGCAAAAGAAAAGTCAAAGAAGTCTAAATGATCACACATAGGACCATTCTTTCATAATATGGCACCATACCAGATCTTGGTCTCCTTTAGTTCTCCTGCAAGTCTAGCCCTGGACTTTCTAAAACAGGCATTCTGTACCATATATTCAGAAAACTGTGTGGCTGTTTAAACTACTTGAAGATAGTCTTTTATTCTAAGTAATTACTTGGTAAGAAATTTGACACAAGTTTCTGAGATGGAAAAACCATGGTTCTATGCTCAAAAACAACAACAACAACAAAACCATTAAAATGAGGTTAGGGAATAAAAGTCTATTTTAAAAATAAACCTCACACCTTAATACCATGAGAACAACTTTCAGAAAGCTACATTCAGCATGCTTTGAATTATGAATCTTCTCCTGATGTCATACTCTGGATATTTGAATTGGCCATGAAAGATGAACAAACACTAGCCTGTCAAAATCTAAAATTACCATGGGGAAAAAAAACCCTTTTTTTTTTGAAATGAGAAATTCTAAAAGGCAATTTAAAATCTATATAATAGATTTTATTTCTATACCCTCTGGAAAACAGTATGCCAGTGAATACTTCCATCAGGATTTCATCTTTGTAAATACATTAACGTTGACTAATTAGGTGTCAACAGCCCTGAGTAGAAGAAACATTAGCATAGTCTCTCCATTTAAAAAATATATATTTTTTAGGCCCACATGATGGCTTACACCTGTAATCCCAGTAACTTTCGAGACAAAGGTGGGAGGATCACTTGAGGCCAGGAGTTCAAAACTAGCCTGGGCAACATAGCGAGACCTGGTCTCTAAAAAAAAAAATTAAGAAAAATTAGCCAGGTGTAGTATGGCGTGTGCCTATAGTCCCAGTCACTCAGGAAGCTGAGGTGGGAAGATCTCTTGAGCCCAAGAGTTCAGAGCTGCAGTGAACTATGATTATGCTACTGCACTCCACTCTGGGTGACAGAATGAGATTTTGCCTTTAAAAAAAAAAATGTAGAGACAGGATCTTGCTCTGTTGCCAGGCTGTTCTCAAACTCCTGGCCTCAAGCAAAACTCCCATTTCACCACCCACCTCCCCTCCCTGAGTAACTGGGACTACAGGTGTGAGCTACCATGCCCAGCTCTCTCCATTTTAAATGATGTAGACAGAGAAACTGGTCAGTTGAAAGGTTCAGGAAATGACTTGTTTTGAAATGTTGGCAAAAAGATGTTTCATCTTTTCTCTCAGAATTCCCCTCAAAACAAGAGGGAAAATGCAAAAGAAAAGAGAAAGCCCACACTATCTGAAGACAGAAAGCCAATGGAAGAGTGGAGAACAGGCAGAGGTTGGAGGGCGAAACCTAAGAGCCTGCAGAGAACACCAGACAGGAATGAGCTAACCTAATCTGCAGAATCGGAGAAAAGGCCCAGAATTTGATGCAATGGGCAAGAGATAAGAGGCTGCTTTTCTAGAAAACCTGAATAGTTCTGGAGAAAATAGCTGCTGCTGCTATAATCTATGGTGGTCCCTATCAAAAAAGCTGGCTCAGCTTTAATAAATCTGCTATGGCTTGAACGTTTTGTCCCCTCCAAACTCAAGTTGAAACTTAATCCCCTAAGCACAGGTGTTGGGAGGTGGGCTCTTTTGGGAGGTGTTTAGGACTACTGCCACTAAAAAAAGGGCTTGTAGGAGAGGGTTTACTGTCCTCCACTCACTCTTTTGCCATATGAGGACACAGTATTCTTCCCTTCTGGAGAATGCAGCATTCAGAGTGGCATCTTGGAAGCAGAGACCAGACACCAAACCTGCTGGCACATGGTTCTTGGACTTCCCAGCCTCCAGAACTGTGAGAAATAAATTTCTGTTCCTTATAAATTACCCAGTCTCAGGCATTCTGCTATAGCAGCAGCACAAATGGACTAAGACAAAGTCCCACCCAGATACACAAAACTTTTACTCAGTTTTTGTTGTTTTTTTGTTTTGTTTTGTTTTTGTTTTTTGAGACAGTCTCTCTCTGTTGCCCAGGCTGGAGTGCAGTGGCGTGGTCTCGGCTCACTACAAGCTCCTCCTCCCGGGTTCATGCCATTCTGCTGCCTCAGCCTCCCGAGTAGCTGGGACTACAGGCGCCCGCCACCACACCTGGCTAATTTTTGTTGTATTTTTTAGTAGAGACGGGGTTTCACCAAGTTAGCCAGGATGGTCTCGATCTCCTGACCTCGTGATCCACCTGCCTCAGCCTCCCAAAGTGCTGGGATTACAGGTGTGAGCCACTGTGCCTGGCCAACTTTTACTCAGTTTCTAACATATTCTTTTAATGTCTCATTCCTAAATAATCATCAGGCACTTGAGGAAAACCTCTAACATAAAGGATCAAAGTGAAAACAAACAAACAAAACAATGAAACAAAAAAACTAGAATAAATAAAATCAGGAAATAGAATGCTAGGAATAGACAAATGGGTTTTGTCTATTAAAAGAAAAACCAATTTTCATAGAGATAGAAGGTATATGTATGAAACACGAACAAGAAACTTTAAAAAAATAAAAGACTAAAAAAGCACAGAGAACAAGAAAGACTTCTTAGAAACTAAAAATTACAGTTAGAACAAAAACTTCAATAGTAATGTTGGCAAGTAAAATTGACAAAGACTTACAGAAAACAGACAAAAAATGCCAAGGTTGGCAAGAGGAAAAAAACTAAGAAAATTGAAGGACCAATCCAAAAGGTCCCACACACAACTAATCAAAAATCTAGAAAAAAAAAAAAGGCTAGGCATGGTGGCTCATGCCTGTAATCCCAGCACACTGCGAGGCCAAGGCGGGTGGATCATTTAAGGTCAGGGGTACAAGACCAGCCTGGCCAACATGGTGAAACCCCATCTCCACTAAAATAACAAAAATTAGTCAGGCATAGTGGCATGCCTATAATCCCAGCTGCTTGGGAGGCTGAGGCAGAAGAATTGCTTGAACCCGGGAGGCAGAGGTTGCAGTGAGCTCCAGCCTTTGCAACAGAGTGAGACTCCATCTAAAAAAAAAAAAAAAAAAAAAAAAAATATATATATATATATATATATATATATATATATATACACACACACACATATATGCATATATATTTGATAATTTCACCAAATAACAGAAATAATAAGAAATTTCCCAAGAAATTCCAGATTTAAAAGGTCCATTGAGTACACAGCACAATAGAAAAATAAAATATATAAAAAAGAAGATATTAGAAGCTTCCAGAGAGGCAGCAACAGGTCACATACAAAAGTTCAGGAATAAGAATGGCATGGCCTTTTAACAGCAACAGTGGAAACTAGAAGACAAGGGAGCAATGCCTCTAAAAGTCTAAAGGAAAACAATTTTCAGCCAGAGTTCTATAACCAGCCAAACTATCGGTCAATTGTGAAGGGAGACTACAGATACTTTCAAATAGTATAAGGTTAAAAAAATTACCTCCCATGCACGCTGTCTCAGTAAGCTATTAGACTATGTGATCTACCACAAGTACAGAATAAGCCAAAAAAAGAAGCAGCAAAGGATCCAGCCCAGGTAAGAGGCAAAGAGCATTTCCAGGATGACAACTGTGCAGCAGCATCCCAGATTGGAACAAAAGGACAGAGGACTCCTGGAGGAAGGTTCCAGCAGGGAAATGGAGCTGAAAGATTCCAGTCTGCTAGATTTGACTGTGGAAAATTGTATGGCAAGGCTGCTACAGGGCTTAGGAAGAATTAGAGACAAGTACAAAAAAAATTAGCTCTCGGAGCGGTAGCTCACGCCTGTAATCTCAGCACTTTGGGAGGCCGAGGTGAGTGAGATCCGGAGTTCGAGACCAGCCTGGCCAATAGGGTGAAACCCTGTATCTACTAAAAACACAAAAATTAGCTGGGCATGGTGGCACTTGCCTGTAATCCCAGCTACTCAGCAGGCTGAGGCAGGAGAATCATTTGAACCTGGGAGGCAGAAGTTGCAGTGAGCTGAGATCACGCCATTGCCTGGGCAAAAAGAGCAAAACTCCATCTCAAACAAAAACAAAAATAACATTAGCACTTAACAATGAACATAGTGGACAAAGGAGCACCCTAGTTACTATATGAAGTGGGGAGGGTGGAATATTTACAGCCTGAGTGAGAAGTCCCTGTCCTTAAGTAATATATAACGTAATTGCAGAGCTAATCCATAGATAGGATATGGACTGGTACTTTTCAAATTATTTGACCAAGACCCACAGTATGAAATACATTTTACATTATAAGCCAGAAGCATTTTACATGGTGAGCCAGAAGTGCAACAAAAGTGCCATGAAACAATATTATCTCTTTTTTATATACATTTTGATATTTTCAAGTTTCTTTTATTCCAGGCTTTTAAATGCTGCTAACAACCCACTAAATTGACTTCATGAGTCACTAATGGGTTGCAACCCACAGTTTTAAAAACACTGCAAAAAACTATGGTCTCTTCTATTAAAAAGAAAAAATAAAACACTTCTGGAGTAGAGAATTGGTGGAGGCAGGGAGGATGGCAAGAAAATTACAGACTTAATAGAATTACAGACTGACAGGCAGTGAATGGGAAAAAGGCTGTTACAGGTGAAAGGAAGGTAAGTAAAGGCTCAAAAGCAGGAAAACAAAGTGTGCGCTAAAGGCATAGCAGAGAAAATGGCAAGTCTGAATGAAGGAGAGGAGTGGAAAATGGAGACAGAAAGGCATGATTGGAGACTAACCATGAAAGGTCATAGACTTGACCAATATGCTGAGTCTGATCTTACTCCAACAGCAATGGAGATACAAAAAATGTGGGGCAGTGGTATGCCAGCAAACTGCAGTGATGTCTACATCATCTCATAAAGACTGACTTATTAATTTTATATGCATAAAAATTACATAAATTAAAAATATAGAGCCAGGCATGGTGGCTCATGCCCATAATTCCAGTGCTTTGGGAGGCTGAGGTGGGAGGGTCACTTACAGCCAAGAATTCAAGATCAGCCTGGGCAACACAGTGAGACCTCATCTTTACAAAAAATATCAAAATCAGCCAGACATGGTGGCATACATCTGTAGTCCCAGCTATTCAGGAGGGTGAGGTGGGAGGATCCCTTGGGGCCAAGAGTTTGGGGCACAGTGAGCCATGACCATGCCACTGCACTCCAGCCTGTGCAACAGAGTGAGACCCTGTCTCTAAAAAACAAACAGACAAAAAATTAATGGAGAAATATATAACATGTGACTAGAAATGAAGATAGGTGTTCAGTGAACCAAATGAAGTTCATTTTATTCATTTTGATTTTTTTTCTCCTAAACCTTCATAAAAAAAATGATTTGAACAGTTTAGGCCCTGAGGAAAAGAGCAAGCAAGTCTCTGATATGAAAAAGAGATATCCTTTCTTTCATTTCATGATCTATTACAGTAATACAGATAGCTCTTTGTACCTAAGATTCAGCCTTAAGAAACTTTGCCCACTTTTTTAAGCATCTGGGGCTCTTTTCCCACTAGGCTTTTGTACTTGATGTTCCTTTGACTTGTAATGTACTTCCCAAGGACTGACATCAAACTAGACGTCACTGTGTTTGAGAAACCTGATCCCAAAGCTAGATCAGATGCCCTTGCTAAGGGGCCCTGGGGCACTGCCCCCATCCTAGCACCTTTTACCTTAGATTATAATTGTTTATTTACCTGTACAATTAGACCGTAACTTCCTTGAGGACAGAGGCTATGTTGATCTTGATTATTACCAAAGCCCCATCTACTGGTACTGTGCCTATCCCTTGGGGGACACTCAATAAATATTTGGTGAATACAAAGCTTTTGTTTAGTGCACCAACATATAATTTTCTTTTTTTCTTATTTTTTTGAATTTTTAATAGAGACAGGGTCTCACTATGTTGTCCAGGCTGGTCTCAAACTCCTAGGCTCAAGCAATCTGCCTGCTTCGGTCTCCCAAACTGCTGGGATTACAGGTATGAGCCACTGTACCCAGCCCCACCAACATATAATTATTATTATTATTATTTTTTGAGATGGAGTCTTGCTCTGTCGTCCAGGCTGGAGTGCAGCGGTGCGATCTCAGCTCACTGCAACCTCCACCTCCCAGGTTCAAGCAATTCTCATGCCTCAGAGGCCTCCCGAGTAGCTGGGATTATAGATGCCCACCAACACATGCAGCTTTTTGTATTTTTGGTAGAGACAGGGTTTCACTATGTTGGTCAGGCTGGTCTCAAACTCCTGACCTCAAATGATCCGCCCACCTAGGCCTCCCAAAGTGTTGCAATTACAGGCGTGAGCCACCGTGCCTGGCCCCAACATATAATTTTAAAGTCTATACTCTGAGACTAAAGCTTAGACTTGAAAAGTCAAAATCTGCTCTAAGAAAGAGCAACCAATTTGTACTCCCTGCCTACTCTGCCTATTAAGTAAACTGATCAAACTGTCCAGACTTACTCTGTAGAAAGTCTACCCAAAATTAAGTTAAACAAGTAAGGCAAGGTTAGGAGTTTAGACTTGAACTAATAAAGAGCTATTGTGGGTTAAGAAAGGTAGGCATGCAATTAAAACAGGGCTTTAAGAAGATTAGTCTCTTCTGGTATGCAGGATGGAATGGGGGAAATTTTTTCCTCCATTGTTCTTCAGCCTACTTTTTTTTTTTTTTTTTTTTTTTTTGAGACAGAGTCTCACCCTGCCGCCCAGGCTGGAGTGCAGTGGCGCAATCTCGGCTCACCGCATCCTCCATCTCCCAGGTTCGAGTGATTCTTTCGTCTCATCCTCCTGAGTAGCTGGGACTACGGGCGTGCACCACCACACCTGGCTAATTTTTATATTTTCAGTAGAGACAGGGTTTCGCCATGTTGGCCAGGCTGGTCTTGACCTCCTGACCTCAGGTGATCCACCCACCTCGGCCTCCCGAAGTGCTGGGATTACAGGTGTAAGCCACTGTGCCCGGCCTCAGCCTACTTTTTAAGGTGTGAGCAGATGACCATACTAAGATGAGCAATCAAGCACAAAGGCTGAGTTTGCATGAACAGAGCTTAGTATTCATTAGCTCAACAAATATATTTGAGGTGTTACTATGTTCCATGAACTGCACTATATTATAATAAAAAATCATAAACTATAAGCTGACATATAATGAAATGGATAAAAATTGCTGAGACTCAAGCTACATTAATGTGTCTGGTATAGTAAAGGAAGTCAATGATGCTTAAGTACAAATGAGAAAGAAACCATATAAAATGATGGAACTTAACATTATTTTCATAGAACCAAATCACATTTTTCTTATTCTTTTTTAAATTTGTTAATGTTTCTGTATCAATAAGTAATTTTAATGACAACTATGACTCCCACCTCTAGAGATGAGCTGAAGCCTGCTGAATGTGTCTTAGGGAGTTGCAGACTTCCTTATGGACTACAGAAGTACAGAGAATGAAATCTGGAAGAGATAATTCTGGTACAAAAATGTGTGCTATTGTTTCTATGAGGTTTGTCCCTGCCAAAATTTATATGGAAATTTAACTGTCAGTGTAACTGATATGGTTTGGCCATGTCCCCACCCAAATCTCATCTTGAATTGTAGTTCCCATAATCCCCACATGTTGTGGGAGGGACCCAGTGGTAGGTAATTGAATCATGGGGGCAGTTTCCCACATGCTGTTCTCATGATAGTAAGTAAGTAGATAAGTTCTCATGAGATCTGATGGTTTTATAAGGGGCTTCCCCCTTCACTCAGTTCTCATTCTTCTCTCCCCTGATGCCATGTGAAGAAGGACATGTTTGCTTTCCCTTCCACCATGATTGTAAGGTTCCTGAGGCCTCCCAGCCATGCTGAACTGTGAGTCAATTAAACCTCTTTCCTTTATAAATTACCCAGTGTCGGCTGGGTACTGTGGCTCATGCCTGTAATCCCAGCACTTTGGGAGGCTGAGGCAGGCAGATTACCTGAGGTCAGAAGTTTAAGACCAGCCTGGCCAACATGGTGAAACCCCGTCTTTACTAAAAATACAAAAAATTATCTGGGCCTGGTGGCAGGCACCTGTAATTCCAGCTACTTGAGAGGCTGAGGCAGGAGAATTGCTTGAACCCAGGAGGCAGAGGTTGCAGTGAGCTGAGATTGTGCCATTGCATTCCAGCCTGGGTAACAAGAGTGAAACTCTGTCTCAAAAAATAAATAAATAAATAAATAAATAAATTTGTGTGGTATTGAGTGAGTTCTTGCTCTCACAAGACTGGATTAATTCTCTTGGGAATGGATTACTTCCCACAAGAGCAGGTTGTTATAAAGTAAGGACATCCTTCATATTTGGCTCCTTTTCACATGTCTGCTTCCCCTTCGACCTTCCACCATGTTATAATGCAGCAAGAAAACTCTTGTCAGAATCCAGCGCCATGTCCTTGAACTTCCCAGCCTTCAGAACAATGGGCCAAATCAAATAAAGAGGTTTCTCTTTTCTTTATAAATTACCCAGCCTCAAGCATTCTGTTACAGCAACGCAAAATGAACTACAGTAATCTGTTAAGATAGATGTATCCAGAGGTGGGACAGTGGGAACACAGGGGAAAGGCAAGCATTTCAGTTTTGGGAGGCAGCGTATGAAGGGTAAAAATGGTTACAGGAAAGATGTCCTAAAGAAAGTGACTCTAGGCTGGGCGCAGTGACTCACGCCTGTAATCCCAGCACTGTGGGAGGCCAAGGCAGGCAGATCACGAGGCCAGAAGATTGAGACCATCCTGGCTAACATGGTGAAACCCCGTCTCTACTAAAAATACAAAAAAAAATTAGCCAGGTGTGGTGGCAGGTGCCTGTAGTCCCAGCTACTCGGGAGGCTGAGGCAGGAGAATGGTGTGAACCCGGGAGGCGGAGCTTGCAGTGAGCTGAGATCACACCACTGAACTCCAGCTTGGGTGACAGAGCAAGACTCCGTCTCAAAAAAAAAAAAAGAAAGTGGATCTTGAGCCAGTTCTGCCTAGTGAACAACAGAAGGACAGTATTCCAAGCACAAGTGGGGTTCATTAGAATAGTCTGTGCAGAAGTAACTACCATTGTTGGAGCTGATAGCCGGGGAATGCCAGTAGATAAGCAGAAGTCAGAGGATCACAATGTGGCTAACGAGCCATGCTAAGGACCTTGGACTTGATCTTGCAGGAAATGAAGATGGTATTTATGCATAGGAATGACAACGGTCACATCTGCACTTTAGAGCACTTTTAAAGCAATATGGAGAATGGGGGGTGTCACAATTAAGTATAGAGATATCATTTAAGAGGGGGCCACTGAAAGAAGCAGAACATCATGAGGGTTTCAAAATACTATGGTAGAAATGGTACAGATGGGATAGACTTGAGAAATATTTACCAAGTAAAATCAAGAGAGCTTTGTAAATGATGAAATACAGGCAGTAAAGGAGACCAAGAAGTCTAGAATGCCTCTCAGGTTTCTGGGTGGATGATGAGACCATAAATTGAAGAGGGACAGTAAAAGGAAAATGAAATTGGTGAAAATGTGGGGGTGGGACATCAGGAGAATAGTAGAGACAATATATTTTGTTTTATAAATGTTGAATTTGAACTACCTGCAGGGTAGAACTATATTAAGGTAGCTATCTAGTATTAGACAAATAGACATACCACTCTGAAGGATAAAACATAAAGGTCCGGGGCTGGGTGCGGTGGCTCATGCCTATAATTCCAGCACTTTGGGAGGCCAAGGTGGGCGGATGGCCAGAGGTCAGGAGCTCAAGACCAGCTTGGGCAACATGATGAAACCTCATCTCTACTAAAACACAAAAAATTAGCCGGGCATGGCAGCGTGTGCCTGTAGTCCCAGCTACTCTGGAGGCTGAGGCAAGGGAATCACTTGAACCTGGGAGGTGGAGTCTGCAGTGAGCCGAGATCATGCCACTTCACTCCAGCCTGGGCAACAGAGCGAGACTCTGTCAAAAAAAAAAAAAAAAAAGATAAAGGGGTCTGGGTCCGGGTAGGAGCCATGCATCTGCTAATCCACACAAGATGCATATAATACAGCCTGAAGAGTAGCCTTAATCATTCAAAGAGAGCTAGTGTAGGCCAAAGAAAGGGCAATAGGCTAAAGTCAGATACCTGAGGTTCAATGTTGGGGGAATGGGCTTATCACCTAATATCAGGAGTCATCTTTAAAGAATTTTCCTCTGCTATTATCCAGAACTCTTCCTTATTGCTTCTCAGAATTTTTTTTTTTTTAAGAGATGAGGTCTCACCATGTTGCCCAAGCTGGTCTTGAACTCCTGAGCTTAGGCGATCCTCCTGCTTCAGCCTCCCAAAGTGCTGGGATTATAGGCATAAACCACCACACCTGGCCGGCTTCTTAGGCTTTAATGAAGAAAAAGTTGTGTTACATATCTTCCTTTGAAGTAATTAACAGAGAAACAAAGTCAAGGCAATAAAATTTTATCTATTAAGAATATCGGGCCAGGTGTGGTGGCTCACGCCTGTAAAAAAAAAAAAAAGGAATATTATTGGTTGGGCACAGTGGCTCTTGCCTGTAATCCCAATACTTTGGGAGGCCAAAACAAGAGGAGCCCTTGAACCCAGGGGTTCAAGATCAGCCTGGGGAACATAGCAAGGCCTCTTCTCTACTAAATATTTTTTTAAAAATTTTTTAAAAAGTAGCTGGGTGGGCCGGGCACGGTGGCTCATGCCTGTAATCCCAGCACTTTGGGAGGCTGAGATGGGTGGATCACCTGAGGTCGGGAGTTCAAGACCAGCCTGACCAACATGGAGAAACCCTGTCTCTACTAAAAATACAAAATTAGCTGGGCATGGTGGCACACACCTATAATCCCAGTCACTCGGTAGGCTGAAGCAGTAGAATCACTTGAACCTTGGAGGCAGAGGTTGTGGTGAGCTGAGATTGCGCCATTGCACTCCAGCCTTGGCAATAAGAGTGAAACTCAGTCTCAAAAAAAAAAAAAAGGCTGGGCATGGTGGCATGTGCCTGTAGTTCCAGCTACTGGGGAGGCTAACGAAGGAGGATTGCTTGAGCCCAGGAGTTCAAGGCTGCAGTGGGCTATGATGGCAACGCTGTACTCCAGCCTGGGCAACAGAGCAAGACCTTGTCTCAAAAAATATATATATATTATTAATTACTGACATTTATTGAGCACCAACTTTGTTACAAAAATAAAACAGTATTTGCATATAACCTATGCACATCCTCCTGTATACTTTAAATCATATCTAGATGACTTAAAATACCTAATACAATGTATATGTTATGTAAGTAATTGCTGTACTACATTTATTTGTATTATTTTTATTGTTATATTAATTTTTAAAAATATTTTTAATCTGCATATGCAGAATCCTCAGATATAGAGGGCCAACTGTATTCTAAGCTTAATAACAATCCTGTGAGGTATGTCACATTACTATGCCTATTCTATAGTTGAAGAAACTCATGATAGATGAACCACCATTCGACCTATAATCTGGGTAAGTCCACAGCCCCCATTCTTAACTACTGTTAAATATAATCCCCCACAGCAGCTAAAAATAGATAATGAGTCACTGAAGCCAACTTGCTACTTCTACACATAACAATGGCTGCATCAATGACGTTCATTCCATTTGTTACCATCTTATAACATGTAAATTTTAAAGACAGTATTCTGTTTTTCATATTATTACACCAACATTTGGATAGATCTATTGAGTGCCACTGTTCAAAGATTCATCATTCTTTAATCACAGAAAGAAACATCTAAATTGAAACCTGAGAAGTAAAATTTAATGATATTTTGGATGTAATTCTGAAGGGTTAAGAAAAAAAAGAAAATAAGAAAACACAATTCAATGACATTTGAAAAAAATGGCTTTTTAATGTGAAAATGTCAAGTCTGTAGCTAACTACCTCAGGTGAAATGGGAAAGTGCTTCTTGCTTTTTCATCTATAAAAATAAGTCTGAAACTCTATTTAATACTGTCTATTAAAAAAGGGCTATATCTGGTAGGTCCTAGAAAGGCTTAGGGGCAAATGCCACATAGGGTAGTACAGAATTGCCCAACAGATACATAGGCTCAGCACAATCACTTACCCAGAAACCTTCTCCAGGGGACCCAAGCTTTATAATTTAACCATTAAAAGCGCATGAGAAGAGACTTCCGCTAAATATATACAACATCCTTTTCATTAAGGATTTGGGAAATCTGTCATTTTAAGAGAGCTATACGCCTGATAGATTCTTCTACTTCTGTACAAACTTACACAATCAACAATAATGATTCGTAACCACAATTCACTACCTAATTTTGTGTTTTGCAACTTGTTTTCCACTTTTCCTTCCTTTTAAAACTGAACTATACATATCAACAGTCTACACTATTGGCCACTTATCCTCAGGATACATTCCAAGATCGCCAGTGGATGCCTGAAACCACAGATAGTACCAAACCCTACATAGACTATGTTTTTTCCTATATATACATACCTATGGATAAAGTTTAATTTATAAATCTGGCACAGTAAAAGATTAACAATAACTGATAATAAAGAGAAAAATTATAACATCATACAGTAAAAAAAGTTATGTGAATGTGGTCTCTTTCAAAACATCTTATTGTACTGTACATATCTACTTTTTTTTTTTTTTTTGAGATGGAGCCTTGCTCTGCTGCCCAGGCTGGAGTGCAATGACAGTCTCGGCTCACTGCAACCTCCACCTCCTGGGTTCAAGCGATTCTCCTGCCTCAGCCTCCTGAGTAGCTGGGATTACAGGTGTGCGCCACCACGCCCAGCTAATTTTTACATTTTTAGTAAAGACAGGATTTCACCATGTTGGCCAGGATGGTCCCGAACTCCTGACCTCAAGTGATCTGCCCACCTCAGCCTCCCAAAGTGCTGGGATTACAGGTGTGAGCCACTATGCCTGGCCCTGCACCTACTTTTGACAACAGTTGACCTCCAGTAACTGAACTGCAGAAAGCAACACTATGGATAAGGGGGAGTACTGTGTATAGAATTATGATAAACGAACTTTAATAGCAAGAATTTAAAATTTTTTTAGAAAACCCACAGTACCTTTGGATGGTTTGCCTCCTACTTTTCCCAGGAAACCTCAAATGAATGTGTAAAGAGTTGGAAAGAAAATTTTAATAGAAGTGGAAAGAAAATTTATTTTGGTTTTCACAATTTTAACAATTTTTACAATTTTTAAGCAAGGTATACCACATAAATAAAATTCCACATAGCATTATTTGAAGCCAAGCACTGGCTTCCTTTAAAAACCAAGATGACCAATCATGCTGATCCATCTCTAACAATCACACCATACATCATTTCAAAATGGTAAAAAAAAAAAAAAAAAAAAAGAAAGAAAAAGAAAAAAAAGCATTAATAAATTTATGTTACTATCAATTTTTACCAGAAATCACACAGATCCAGAAAGTAATACAACAAAAAGCAGCGATAGTTTCTCCAACAGCTTTGCATGATCTGAGCCACATTTCCAAACTGCTTTTCACTGTGATTCCTGCAACAAATCCATCAGTACATTTTAGAACTTTTGCAAATTAAATTAGATGTACTTGTTCACCTCAATTCATCCCTGGTGAATGGCTGTGTGGAACTCTAAATTTAAGTACAACTGCATTACTGTTCTCTGGTTCATGTAGAATAATTCTTGGATTCATAGCAATGCCAAGCTAAATGACACTGCAAAGAAACCCTTTGTTTTCAAATAAATCAGTGCTTGGATTTAGATAATGCTATAAAGAATCTTATTCATGCAGTGTACCCTAGTTAAAATTGAAAAAGTTGGGAACAAAAACTTCCACCTCTATTAAAATAATAATCTTTAAAGTTTTTTTCTACATGAGTTTAATAGAACCATAGAATTTTAGAGGTAGAAGGAACTTTGAGTAATTTAAAATCTAAGAAAATAAAATCACTTACTAAGAGTTACTGAAATTAGTGAATCTAATGGTAGAACCCAAGCCTTCCAGATTCCCTACAGCTATTAAATATGATGAACAGATTAATATCAGCCAACATTTATTTATCAAATGGCTACTTTGTGCCCTTCATTATGTCAAGCATTTTTACACCCATTATTTCTTTCCTAAATCGTTTCACAGGATTAGAAAAGACTTACTAAAACAATCACATTTACTCCTTTGGACATTCAGTGTTGCTAACAGGGGTGACTGCCACATGATCAAAATGGAAAGAGATAATTCAATTACAATAATAACTATACTACTGAAGAAGATGTATTTCAACAACACTTCATTCTCAGAAATTTCCCTCCCAGAAGTAGAAATAGATTTAGAAGGCCTAGGAATGCATTTCTGGGCACCAGCCTCTTTGCCAAGACCTGCAAAGCCTACTGCAGCTTCCTCCTCCTTCATCCACTTCTATACTTTTTCCCACTATCACATTCTTGCTGGATTCTTCTGTTTGTTATCCAATCTATACTTTCTCCTGAATTGCTATCCCCTCCAATAATACCGAAATGATTCGGCTTTTCTGGCTATATGTACCATGCACACTTCGTAGAATTTTTCCTCTGCATTCTGACTGATACCCTCTACCAGCCTAGGCTGAATGGCCTTCCAATATGGTCATTATTATACAATAGGATTAATTAAATAAGAGATCACTCTAACTACAAGTGCAGTTTGAAAAATCACTGCAATGTGTATATTTGCTTTTTTATAATATCAAAACAATAATTTTTTTTTTTAATAAAATTTATGTGGTCTCTCTCAGTCTGTTGCCCACGCTGGAGTGCAGTGGCACCATCTCGGCTCACTGCAACCTCCGCCTCCCAGGTTCAAGCAATTCTCCTGCCTCAGCCTCCTGAGTAGCTGGGATTACAGGTGTGTACCACCATGCCCAGCTAATTTTTGTATTTTTAGTAGAGAGGAGGTTTTGCCATGTTGGCCAGGCTGGTCTTGAACTCCTGACCTCAGGTGATCCACCCACCTCGGCCTCCCGAAGTGCTGGGAACACAGGCATGAGCCACCGTGCCCAGACAACAATTTATTTTTAAAATACAAAATAATTTTTATATGTGCTACAAGGCAAAGTTAAATTTTTTTTTTTTTTTTGGAGACAGAGTCTCGTACTGTCACCCAGGCTGGAGTGGAGTGGCACAATCTTGGCACACTGCAACCTCTGCCTCCTGGGTTCAAGTGATTCTCCTGCTTCAGCCTCCCAAGTAGCTGAGATTACAGGTACACACCAGCATGCCCAG
This sequence comes from Homo sapiens, assembly GCF_000001405.40. Lineage (NCBI taxonomy): Eukaryota > Metazoa > Chordata > Mammalia > Primates > Hominidae > Homo > Homo sapiens. The sequence goes on along the minus strand of NC_000008.11, from coordinate 66,732,342 downwards.
CTAAGCAAAGTTAAATTATATCATTTTCACAAACTCATGGTTGATGGCACTAAAATGTCCAAATATTTTTAGTTGAGGAAAAGAATTTACCGGTGTTTATATGTTGAAACATTTTTAATTGCCTCCACCAACTAGATCTCACATGGCCTTTCTACCACTGCAAATTTTGACATGTCTATTTCATATAATTCTTGTAGGTGCAAATTAAATACTGTTCCAATGAAAAACAAGAAAATTTAACTGTTTACCTTTTCTAATTGTCGTGAAGATGGAGCACATTCTGTCACATTTTTTTTGAGATGTCCTCTCAACCATGTTAGCAAGTAAACTTTTAATTCCTAATAAATAAGGTTCTCAAAATATGAATGCTAGTTTGAGATGGGTGGCAATAATGTTTGAAAAAAATATTCCAGCACATTCTACTAGTAAATCCTAATACACAGACACAAAAGAATCACAGACTTGAGAAAATACCACTAAACATAAGTTACATTTAAATGTTAATACCCGGCCGGGTGCGGTGGCTCACGCCTGTAATCCCAGCACTTTGGGAGGCCAAAGCAGGCGGATCACGAGGTCAGGAGATCGAGACCATCCTGGCTAACATGGTGAAACCCTGTCTCTACTAAAAATACAAAAAATTAGCCAGGTGTGGTGGCATGCGCCTGTAGTCCCAGCTACTCGGGAGGCTGAGGCAGGAGAATGGCATGAACCCAGGAGGCAGAGCTTGCAGTGAGCTGAGATCGAGCCACTGCACTCCAGTCTGGGCAACAGAGCAAGACTCCGTCTCAAACAAACAAACAAACAAAATAAATAAATAAATAAATGTTAATATCCAAAGGTAAAGAAAGTAAATAATTTTCAAATTTAATTTGGTTTGAATAGCCCACTAAAATAACACGTTTCCATTTGAGCCTTTTATCTTGGTAACGAATTTTCATATTTATTCTAATATGAAACATTAAAATAGTGCTTTGAAAAGTATTTAGGAGAATAACTAGACAGAAGATCAACAAGGAAAAAGATATGAACAACACTATAAACCAACTAAACCTAATAGACATCTATAGAACATTCCACCTAAAGCAGCAGAATACATATTCTTCTAACATACACATGAAACATTCTCCAAGATAGTCCACATATTATCCCATAAGAAGTCCTCAGAAGTCCTCATTAAATTAAAAAGTACAAAAATCATACAAAGTGTGTTCTCTGACAAAAATGTAATTAAATTAGAAAGCGGATAACAAAGGAAATCTGGTAAATTCACAAATATGTGGAAATTAAACAATATACTTTTAAGTAATCAATGGGTTAATGAGGAAATCACAAAGAAAATTAAAAAATACTTTTGGCCAGGTGTGGTGGCTCACGCCTGTAACCCCAGCACTTTGGGAGACTGGGGCGGGCAGATCACCTGAGGTCAGGAGTTGGAGACCAGCCTGGCCAATATGGCAAAACCCCATCTCTACCAAAAATACAAAAAAAAAAAAAATTAGCCAGGCTTGGTGGTGGGCACCTGCAATCCCAGCTACTCTAGAGGCTGAGGCAGGAGAATTGCTTGAACATGGGAGGGGGAGGCTGCAGTGAGCTGAGACCGCACCACTGCACTCCAGAGCGAGACTGTCTCAAAACAAACAAACAAACAAAAAACAGTGCTGAGACAACTGGATATACACATGCAAAAGAATGAAGTTGGACCCCTACCTCACACCATAAACAAAAATTAACTCAAAACAGATCACAGATCTAAAAGAAAGACCTAGAACTATGAAGCTCTTAGAAGACAGCATAGGAGTAAATTTCTGTGACCTTGAGTTAATAATTTCTTAGATGATGTGACACCAAAAGCACAAGCAACAAAGAAAAAAACCGAGTAAATGGGTTTCATTAAAAATTAAAACTTTTGTGCTCCAAGGAAATCAAGAAAGTGAAAGGAAAACCCATAGAATAAAAAAAATTTGTAAATTATATCTCTCATAAGGGACATATATTCAGAATATGTAAATAATTCATATAATTCAATAAAAGAACCAAATTTTTTTTAATAAGGAAAGAATCTGAATAGACATTTCTGTAGAGAAGATACACAGTTGGCCAATGGGTACCTGAAAACATGCTCAACATCAATAGACTTTCAGAAAATGCAAATCAAAACTACAATGAAATATCATTTTACATGCACTGAAATGGCTAAAATAGAAAGAAAGAAAAGTGTTGGTGAGGATGTAGAGAAATGTGAAACTTCATACATTACTGGTGAGATTGTAAAATAAGGTAGGGCTGGGCACGGTGGCTCACGCAAAGTGCTGGGTGGCTGGTGTAATCCTAACACTTAGAGAGGTCAAGGCAGGTGGATCACCTGAGGTCGAGAGTTTGAAGACTGGCCAACATGGTGAAACCCCATCTCCACTAAAAATATAAAAAATTAGCTGGGTGTGGTGGTGCACACCAGTAATCCCAGCTACTCAGAAGGCCGAGGCAGAAGAATCACTTGAATCCGGGAGGTGGAAGTTGCAGTGAGCCAAGATCGCGCCACTGTACTCCAGCCTGGGTGACAGGAGTGAAACTCTGTCTCAATAAATAAATAAATAAATAAATAAAAATAAATAAATAAATGTAGGCATTCTAGAAAACAGTCTGGCAACTCCTCAAAAAGTTAAACAAGAGTTACCATATGACCCAGCACTTCTGCTCCTAGGTATACATCTAAGGGAAATTAAAACATATATGTTCATATAAATACTCAAAAATATTCATAGCAGTATTATATGTAATAGCCAAAAGGTGAAAACAACCCAAACATCAATCAATAGATGAATGAATAAGCAAAATATGGTATATTCATACAACAGGATTTTTTTTTTTCTTTTTTCTTTTCTTTGAGATGGAGTCTCGCTCTGTCGCCCAGACTGGAGTGCAGTGGCGCGATCTCGGCTCACTGCAAGCTCCACCTCCCTGGTTCACGCCATTCTCGTGCCTCAGCCTCCCGAGTAGCTGGGACTACAGGCGCCCGCCACCACGCCTGGCTAATTTTTTGTATTTTTAGTAGAGACAGGGTTTCACCGTGTTAGCCAGGATGGTCTCGATCTCCTGACCTCGTGATCCGCCTGCCTCGGCCTCCCAAAGTGCTGGGATTACAGGCGTGAGAGGAGTGCAGAGGCGCGATCTCGGCTCACTGCAAGCTCCGCCTCCTGGGTTCATTCCATTCTCCTGCCTCAGCCTCCCAAGTAGCTGGGACTACAGGTGCCCACCACCACGCCCAGCTAATTTTTTGTATTTTTAGTACAGACAGGGTTTCACTGTCTTAGCCAGGATGGTCTCCATCTCCTGACCTTGTGATCCGCCCGCCTCAGCCTCCCAAAGTGCTGGGATTACAGGCATGAGCCACCCGTGCCCAGTCCAGATTTTTTTTTTTTTTTAAGAGGCAGAGTTTCGCTCTGTTGCCCAGGCTGGAGTGCAGTGGTGTGATCATAGTTCACTGGGTGAACTCCTAGACCCAAGCAATCCTCCCACTTCAGCCTCCTGAGTAGCTAGGACTATAGGTACACACCACCACACCCAGCTATTTATTTATTTATTGTTGCTGTTCTTGTTGTTGTTGAGGTGGGGTCTCACTCTATTGCCCAGGCTTGTCTTGAACAGCTAGCCTCAAGCAATCCTCCCACCTTGGCATCCCAACAGCAGGATATTTTTCACCAATATAAAGAAATGGCTGGGAGCAGTGGCTCACACCTGTAATCCCAGCACTTTTGGAGGCCAAGGTGGACGGATCATCTGAGGTCAGGAGTTCGAGACCAACCTGGCCAACATGGTGAAACCCTGTCTCTACTAAAAATACAAAAATTAGCTGGGCGTGATGGTGGGTACCTATAATCCCAGTGACTTGGAAGGCTGAGGCAGGAGAAATGCTTGAACCCGGGAGGTGGAGATTGTAGTGAGCTGAGATTTCGCCATTGCACTCCAGCCTGGGTGACAAAAGTGAAACTCCATCTTGGAAAAAAAAAAAAAAGAAATGAAGTACCACATGCTACAACATGGATAAGCATTGAAAACATTATACTAAGTGAAAGAAGCCACTCACAAAAGATCATATATTGTATGATCACATTTTTTAAATAAAATGTCCAGACTAGGTGAATCTGCAGAGAAAGAAAGTAATTTGTCATTACTTGGGGCTGGCTGGAAGGAGAGATGGGAGTCACTGGACAGTGGGTCCAGAGTTTCTTTTGGGGATGATGAAAGTTCTGGAATTAGATAGTGGTGATGGCTGCATAGCTCTGTGACTAAACCACTGAATTGTGGTTTAAAAAGCAACTTTAATGGTATATGAATTATATCTCAATAAAGCTGTTATTTTTAAGTGTTAAGTGTAAATTACTCTAGTGTATGCTGTGGGTTTATTCTGTCTTCTCCATTTACTATTTGTGACTTTTTACTTCTTTTTAAACTTTTCCAGTCATTTGAATTTTCTCAGCGTCTTTCTCACCATCTGTCTTAGTCCATTTGTGCTGCTATAACAGAATACCTGACACTGGGTAATTTATAAAGAACAGAAATTTATGTCTCACAGTTCTAGAGGCTGGAAAGTCCAAGATCAAGGTGTCAGCACCTGTTGAGGGCCTCTTGCTGTGTCCTTGAATGGAGGAAGGTAGAAAGGGCAAAAAGGACAAACTCTGTGTCCTCATACGGCAGAAAGCAAGAGAGGACAAAACCACTCCCACTTTCATGACAGCATTCATCCATTTACGAAGGCAGAGCCCTGGTGAGCTAAACACCTCCCAAAAGGCCCCACCTCCCAATGCTGTTGTATTGGGGATTAAGTTTCCAACACATGCACTGTGGGAGACACATCCAGACCATACCACCATCTTTGCCCAGGATCATGATACTTTTTATTAAATAAGAGAATCATAGGATAATGTAGTATACAAGAATTCAGACCTGGCTCATGGTGGCTCATGCCTAGAATCCCAGCACTTTGGGAGGCCAAGGTGGGTGGATCACTTGGGCCCAGGAATTCAAGACCAGCCTGAGTAACACAGCAAAACCCTGTGTCTACAAAAAATACAAAAATTAGCCAGGTGGTGTGCACCTGTAGTCCCAGCTACTCCGGAGGCTTAGGTGGGAGGGTCACTTGAGCCTAGGAGATCGAGGCTGCAGTGAGCTGAGATTGAACCACTGCACTCCATCCTGGGCAACAGAGGAAGACCCTGTCTCAAAAAAAACAAAAAGGAATTCAGATCTAACATGTTCTATCATCTTTACTTGGTTAATAGGAACTTAGCTAACATGCAACAAAAATCAACAAAATTATTGCTCTATTTCCATGGATTAATATAAGTGGTACTGGTTATCATTGTTAGGTTTTAGAATATGACAACAGTACTTGTTATCACTGGTAAAGTTCACTGGACATTGGTTACTAATAGCAAGAGTTTGACAGTTCTGCAGATAACAGCATAAGATATTCAAATTCTATAGGTTCAGGATTTAACACAATCAGCTTTTAAATCTTTTTTTTTTTTTTTTTTTTTTACAGACAGGGTCTTGCTCTGTCATTCAGGCTGGAGTGCAGCAGAGCAATCATGGCTCACTGTAACCTCAAACTCCTGAGCTCAAGCGATCCTCCCGCCTCAGCTTTCCAAATTGTTGGGGCTACAGTCACATGTCACCACACCCAGCTAAATGTAAAATATTTAGTCTTTTTCTATTAGGTATAAAATACATATTTAAAACATTTTAATCAGCTTTCTTCTTGAAATCTGGCACAAGTTTCTAGATTAAAACATTAATATGATTTCACAATGATAAAGTAAAAATGAAAGCCCATTTTCAAGCTCATTTAACCACTGCCTCATCAGCAGATGGTACTATGGGTTATTTGTTAATAAATTCTGCCTGTTCTTTCGGATGAGGGGCTTTGAGAGGAGTCAGCTTTTACCCCCTTATCAGTTAACACCGGGGAACCTCATGGTAAAGCCAGAGAGACCTATTCAGGTCAGCTCTGCCTCGTGTTGCCACAAACAGCAACCTTGGAAACCTCACTATGCTCAAGTGACTCATCTACAAAATAAAACGACCTACCCATCCCACAGCGTTATTATGAGTATTTAAGAAAATAATGTCTCTAAAGCACCCAGCATACGGAAGAAACTCAATAAATATTAGTGTCTTTTTCTTTGTTCTCTGAGAGGTAAAATACAGGTCATACATGATAAAAACTACAAAAATCCTGATGAAAGAAAATATTTGGCTTAGCGTGTACAACTTGAAAAGGGCGCAATTATCTAAATACTAAAAGTAAACCAACCTTTATTTTCTAAAAGCACCAAACTCATATCATCTTAAGTAGGTAAATTATAACCATGATGATAAGATACAAGATATCATGGGGAGAAGATAAACTGATGTTGCAGTAATTGCAATGGTATTATCTAAGAGTTTTTATTAGGAAACAACTGAGTATCCAGTTGGCAAAATACCGCAGATAACTTCAATTAAATGGTTCTTCCAATAAGCCAGCAATAATTTAAGGTTTGGCTGTATTTGCAGTATGAGAATTTCCTAATGGAAGGCTTCATAATGAATCTTAGTCACAGCATTTGAGAGTGCTGAAGGAGAACAAAGCCATGGCAAGGCACCTGCAAATTACTACTGGTCCTTTGAGACTAGACTATACATGCATTCTTAAAAAAAAAAAATTAAAACACAACTTTACTAATGACTTTATATGGAAAAAGAACGCTAGATATATATAGATCTATTTTTTAAGTCAGGAAACTCCGGGACATGATTTTAAACATTATTTTAACAATGGGTTACATATTCACAGGGTTAAAAAAAAAAATAGTGAGAAGTCGGCTTCCCACCCATCCCTATCCACCCAGTTCTCATCCCCTACCCCAAAGAGATAAACACTGTCTTTTTTTTTTTTCTGAGACACTCTTACTCTGTCACCCAAGGCTAGGGTGCAGTGGCACCATCTCGGCTCACTACAACCTCCATCTCCTGGGATCAAGCAATTCTCCCTGCCTCAGCCTCCCAAGTAGCTGGGATTACAGGCGCCCACCACTGTGCCCAGTTAATTTTTTTGTTTTGTTTTGTTTTTGAGACGGAGTCTCACTCTGTCGCCCAGGCTGGAGTGCAGTGTCACGATCTCGGCTCACTGCAAGCTCCGCCTCCTGGGTTCACGCCATTCTCCTGCCTCACCCTCCTGAGTAGCTGGGACTACATACAGATGCCCGCCACCACACCCAGCTAATTTTTGTATTTTTAGTAGAGATGGGGTTTCACCATGTTAGCCAGGATGGTCTCGATCTCCTGACCTTGTGATCCGCCCGCCTCGGCCTCCCAAAGTGCTAGGATTACAGGTGTGAGCCACCGTGCCCAGCCAATTTTTGTATTTTTAGTAGAGACGGGGTTTCGTCATATTGGCCAGGCTGGACTCGAACCTCTGACTTCAGGTGATCCACCTGCCTTGGCCTCCCAGGCGTGAGCCACCATGCCAAACCAAAATGCCAATTTCTTATGTGTCCTTCCAGAGTCCCTTTACATGTAGTCAAGCAAAACATAATCTTATTTTTTCCTGGTCTTTCTACACAAAAGGTAGCATTTTATACACAATGTTCTGCATCTCACAGGCAAATTTTTAATCCTAACATGTCCAGTGAAAGCAATAAATAATTTCAGTGGGACAAAGACTTTAGTTTACACTTCAGTGGACTTTATTTTTATTTTTTATTAGTTTTTATTTATTTTCTTGAGACAGAGTATTGCTCTGTCACCCAGGCTGGAATGCAGTGGTGCGATCTCAGCTCACTGCAACCTCCACCTTCCAGGTTCAAGCAATTTTCCTGCCTCAGCCTCCCAAGTAGCTGGGACTACAGGTGTCCGCCACCACACCTGGCTAATTTTTGTATTTTTAGTAGAGACGAGGTTTTACCATATTGGCCAGGCTGGTCTCAAACTCCTGACCTTATGATCAGCCTCCCAAAGTGCTGGGATTACAGGCGTGAGCCGCCGCGCCCAGCCTTAGTGGACTTTTAAAAGGAGAAATAGGCTGGGTATGGAGGCTCACGCCTGTAATCCCAGTGTTTTGGGAAGCTGAGGCAGGAGGATAGCTTGAGGCCAGGAGTTTGAGACTAGCCTGGGCAACAGGATCCTCACTAGACCCTGTCTCTAGAAAAAATATTTAAAAATAGCTGGGCATGGTGGCATGAGCCTGTAGTCCTAATAAAAAAATTAAAAGGAAGACTAGAAATAAATTATGTTAATGTTAGCAAAAGTCAGAAATAATAGAAATATAAAGGGAAGACAAAGTTCAAAGGGAAAAGGGGGTGCAGTCTAATAAATCTTAAAAACTTTTCTCTGCTAAAACATTGGACTATCTTGTCTTTCATCAGTAAAAAAATCTCCTTACAGATACACAAAAAATTAAACCAAATATTGGTGAGAAGAGAGAGGGGGATAAAAAGAGATCAATTAGAAATGAGAGAAAGGTACTTGTGTCAGAATGGACTAAATTGTCAACTGTGTACAACTACAGACATGTAGAATTACAAAACATGAGAGCTATTTTTAACAAATTATAACAGTTGGGCAAAGTGGTTCATGCCTATAATCCCAGCACATTGGGTGGCTAAGGATGTGGGTACACTTGAGCCCAGGAGTTTGAGAGCAGCCTGGGCAACATGGTGAGATCCCATCTCTACAAAAAATAAACAAAATTAGCTGGATGTGGTGGTACATGCCTGTATTCCCAGCTACTTGGGAGGCTGGGGTGGGAGGATTGCTTGAGCCTGGGAGGTTGAGGCTGCAGTGTGTTAAGATTGCACCACTGCACTCCAGCTTACGTGACAGAGGAAGACCTTTTTTCTTTTTTCTTTTCTTTCTGAGACGGAGTTTCACTCTTGTTGCCCAGGCTGGAGTGCAATGGCGTGATCTTGGCTCACCACAACCTCTGCCTCCCGGGTTCAAGCGATTCTCCTGCCTCAACCTCCTGAGTAGCTGGGATTACAGGCATGAGCCACCATGCCTGGCTAAATTTTTTTGTATTTTTAGTAGAGACAGCATTTCACCTGTCAGGCTGGTCTCGAACTCCCAACCTCAGGTGATCCACCCGCCTCAGCCTCCCAAAGTGCTGGGATTACAGGCGTAAGTCGCTGTGCCCAGCCGACCCTTTTACAAAAAAAAAAAAAAAAAAAAATATATATATATATATATATATATATATATATATATATATATGAACAAAATCTTACTTCTGAATGTTTATTAACAATGGTACCTGATATAGTTTGGATATTTGTTTCTGCCCAAATCTCATGTTGAACTGTAATCTCCAATGGTGGAGATGGAGTCTGGTGAAAGGTGTTTGGATCATGGGGCAGATCCCTCATGGCTTGGTGCTGTCTTCACCACAGTGAATTATTTAAAAGTGTGTGGCACCTTCACCTCACCACTCTTGCTCTTGCTCCTGTTTTCGCCACGTGATGTCCCTATTCCCCCTTCATGTTCTGCAATGATTGCAAGCTTCCTGGGGCCTCCCCAGAAGCAGATGCTTCCTGTACAGCCTGCAGAACCATGGGCCAATTAAACCTCTTTTCTTATAAATTACTCAGTCTCAGGTATTTTTTTATAGCAATGCAAGAACGACCTAATACAGTACCAGTTTAAATAGGTAAATGATATAGCACTTTCGCGTCTAAGCCATCATCAATTTTAGCACCATGTTGTTGGGAGGCTGAATAAAAACATCTTTGCAGAGGCTGGGCACGGCGGCTCACGCCTGTAATCCCAGCAATTTGGGAGGCCAAGGTGGGCGGATCACGAGGTCAGCAGATCGAGACCATCCTGGTGAAACCCCATCTCTACTAAAAATACAAAAATTAGCCAGGCGTGGTGGCAAATGCCTGTAGTCCCAGCTACCTGGGAGGCTAAGGCAGGAGAACCGCTTGAACTTGGGAGGTAGAGGTTGCAGTGAGCCAAGATCGCGCCGCTGCACTCCAGCCTCTGTGACAGAGTGAGACTTCATCTCAAGAAAACAAAAAACAAGAAAAACAAAAACAAAAACATCCTTACAAAAGCTTTTCCAATAATGTTTATGAGAAAATAAGCCTTTACTCTCAGTGCAGCTTAAGTAGCTATTGTCTCGGCGCAGAGCTTCCTATACCATCTGGCCCACGCACCTTTACAGGCGAGCTGAAGTTGGTATGCAGTCAGTTTCCAGGGCCTGATCCTCTATCCCTAACTCTTGTAAGAGTCTCCAGCAGGGACCTAGCATTCCTGAACCAGTATTGCTTCTTCTGTAAGTCCCAAGGATCTGATCCAAGCTTTCACCAGTGTATATCTCTACTGATACAAATCTGGAAGGAAGTGGTTGGGAATCCTGACATACCACTTCTCAAAGATTGCTAACCTTTGGCCCAAGATACCCTTCTTAGTCTTTAACTTACTTGAAAACAAAAAGGTTATTTTAAAGCCTGATAGAACTTTGCATATATTTTCTAAAAGGAACAGTGGTCATATCTGAGAGTTAGCTTTCAAGACCAAAACATTCTATTCAACCCATAACATGACTGTCATCTTTAACTGGGAAAAAAAAATAGCACAAAACAATGCTGTTGCAATGACATGAGCAAAAAAAAAAAAATTATAAATAGCTTTAAATTTTATAGTTCATGCCAATGCTTAAGGAAAAAGAGCTTATTTAGAGAAGAGGAGGTGGGTGTGGACTTCTGTGGATATTTTGAAAGGAATTACTAGGTATTCTCAAGGGCTTCAAAGGTTGAAACCACTAGTTCTTTATAATGTCTATGTTTCTTCCCAAACTAAAAGCTTTCCTTTTCCTTCTTAAAGGCCTGCTCTTAAATGTATTACCATGATTAGTATCCATTTTGCTTAAGACCAACATGAAGAGAGTGGGATAGAGAAAAGACAGAACTTTTCTTAATGCAAGAGGTGGAAGAAGAGAAAAAAAGAACAAGGTTTATAAAGGAGAGCAAACTCTCAGAGAGCAGGGGAGGCCACAAAGGGTGCAGGAGCCCACACCTGCTATACACTGTGTGTTGTAGATTGTGTACTCACACCTTGGGGGAAGAAAAGGGGATGGATGGAGAGATGTCAGCACAGACCGATGCTATCTGGAAAGACTGGTGGCTTTAGTATGTGAAGAGGGAGCTGTGTGCATGAAATTATACTAAGTCAAGTGTTACTGACTCTGAGACAGCCTATGATAGGATCACAAGAAACTTCAAGGTCACCTATTCCCACCATTGGTGGCGGTGCTGTTTAAACCAATTATACTGTAAACAATGTACTCATTATTAGACGAGTATTTCAAAACATCTCCAGTTCAACTGTTCTAATTTCTTTTTTGTTTGTTTTGTTTGTGAGACAGGGTCTCACTCTGTCACCCAAGCTGGAGTGCAGTGACATGATCCCAGCTCACTGAAACCTCCGCCTCTGCAGCTCAAGCAATCCTCCCACCTTAGCCTTCCCAGTAGCTGGGGCCACAGGTGTGTGCCACCACACCTGGCTAATTATATATATATATAATTTTTTTTTTGAGACAGAGTTTTGCTCTTGTCACCCAGGCTGGAGTGCAGTGGTGCGATCTTGGCTCACTGCAACCTCCACCTCCCGGGTTCAAGCAATTCTCTTGCCTCAGCCTCCCAAGAAGCTGGGATTACAGGCACCCACCACTATGTCCAGCTAATTTTTATATTTTTAGTAGAGAAAGGGTTTCACCATGTTGGCCAGGCTGGTCTCAAACTCCTAACCTCAGGTGATCCACCCGCCTTGGCCTCCCAAAATGCTGGGATTACAGGCGTGAGCCACTGCGCCTGGCCCAATTTTTTATATTTTTTGTAGAGACTAGGTTTCACCATGTTGCCCAGGTCAGTCTCAAACTCCTGAGCTCAAGCGATCTGCCCACCTCAACCTCTAAAAGTGCTGGGGTTACGGGCATGAGCTACCATGCCAGCTGTTCTAATTCCTAACTGAAATTTAGAACAGCCACTTTTTCCTTGGTTCAAGTCAATTATTTCTGCTTCTCCTTTAGTGATTACAATCAATTACATGTGAACATCCTATCATTTCTCTTCTTAAATATCTTGTATCTTAGATGAACTTATAATACGAATATTGACGGACTCTCATTAGAAGAACATGCGCTTTATGTTAATTTGGATGGATTTGTCAGTCTATCCACACACCCTCATTCCCTTTATGAGCGGTAGTATAAATTTCCAAGAGTGTTAGCCAGGGCTGGGGCATGGCAGGTGGCCAGGAAACAGTAAAATAACTGGTTCAAAGGTGCATGGAATCTGTGACGTTGGCTGGCTACGTAAGTGTGATTCTCTAACCAACAAAGCAAGCCTGTATAAGAGAAACTTTTAAAAATGGCATTGAAGATATGCACATGCACACACAAATAAAAGCCTAGAAGGATATACTCCAAAATGCTAATAGCCGCTTGCCAATGAGCGATAGATTTACTGGTAATTCTTATTTTCTCTATTTCTTCTTTTATTTGTCCAAAAAAGTATTACTTTGGTGATTTAAATATATTTTAAAAGACTCAAAATGGTATATATGTCAGCAACAGAAATAACAGAAAATTGATAATCAATTATAAAGCGGAATACTATGCAGCTATCAAAACTAACGATATAGATCTATAGATGTCTATATATAGTGTTAAATAAGAAACAGGATGGGCACAGCACAGTGGCTGACATCTGCAATTCCAGCACTTTGGGAGGCAGAGGCAGGAGGATTACTTGAGTCCAGGGGTTCGAGACCAGTCTGGGCAATATAGTAAGACCTTGTCTCTATTAAAAATTAAAAAGAATTAGCTGGGTATGGTGGCACATACCAGTACTCAGGAGGCCAAGGCAGGAGGATTGCTTGAACCCTAGAGGTCGAAACTGCAGTGAGTCACAGTCGTGCCACTGCATTCCAGCCTGGGAGATAGACTAAAACCCTGTCACAAGATAAACAAACAAACAAACAAACAAATAAAAGAAAAAACAAAACAACAAATTGTGTAAAACAATCCCCATTTAAAAAAAAAAACTCTTGTGTACATATATAGATACACAAATTTATGTAAGCATGAAAAAAGTTTAGAAGGGTATAAAAACAGCAGCAGTAGCAGTAATCTCTGTAGATAAAATTAGAGTGGAGAGGATGTATTTTTTTATTACATATGCTTCTCAATTGCTTGAATTTAAGAGCATACATACTTTTTTATTGGGGGGGATAGGGTCTCAATCTGTCACCTAGGCTGGAGTGCAGTGGCACAATCATAGCTCACTGTAACACTGAATTCCTGTGCTCAAGCAATCCTCCCACCTCAGCCTTGTATACCTTTACAATTTAAAATTTAGAAAATGGAAGACAAAACTAAAATTAAAACGGGGGGGAAAGATGCATGCATTTTCTCGGAAAACTAAGAATATGATTCCAAAATTCTCTTTGAGCTGGTCATATATAAAACATACATGTGGCCGGGCACGGTGGCACACACCTGTAATTCCAGCACTTTGGGAAGCTGAGGTGGGCGGATTATCTGAGGTCGGGAGTTTGAGACCATCCTGACCAACCTGGAGAAACCCTGTCTCAACTAAAAATACAAAATTAGCTGGGCGTGGTGGCACACATCTGTAATCCCAGCTACTCAGGAGGCTGAGGGAGGAGAATCACTTGAACCTGGGAGGCAGAGGTTGCAGTGAGCCAAAATCGTGCCACTGCACTCCAGTGGGAGCAACACAGTGAGAGTTTGTCTCAAAAAAAACAAACGAAACAAAACAAAAACTACATACGTGTGCATTAGATTCTATAGACTATATACTGGTCATACACACACACACACACACACACACATAATATATATATGTGTGTATATATATACACATATATATATTTATCTGCATGTATAGATGCTGAGTTGGAAATTGAATCTTTTTAAGTTAACCTCTATCTATTTTTGGTTAGAAAATAGGGAGGTAGGCTGGGAGCGGTGAGTCATGCCTGTAATCCCAGCACTTTGGGAGGCCGATGTGGGCAGATCACTTGAGGTCAGGAGTTTGAGACCAGCCTGGCCAACATGGTGAAACCCTGTTTCTACTAAAAATACAAAATTAGCCAGATATGGTGGTAGGCGCCTGTAGTCCCAGCTACTTCGGAGGCTGAGGCAGGAGAATCGCTTGAACCCCAAAGGCGGAGGTTGTAGTGAGCCGAGATCATGCCATTGCACTCCAGCCTGGGTGACAGACTGAGACTCCATGTCAAAAAAAAAGAAAAAAAAAATAGGGAGGTAAATAACTAGAGTAGGCCGGGCGCAGTGGCTCACGCCTGTAATCCCAGCACTTTGGGAGGCCAAGGCGGGTGGATAACTGAGGCCAGGAGTTCGAGACCTGCCTGGCCAATACAGTGAAACCCATCTCTACCAAAAATACAAAATCAGCTGGGCATGGTGGTGCACAACTGTAGACCCAGCTTCTCAGAAGGCTGAAGCACGAGAATCGCTTGAACCTGGGAGGTGGAAGTTGCAGTGAGCTGAGATCATGCCACTGCACTCCAGCCCGGGCAAGACAGCGAGATTCTGTCTCAAATAATAATAATAATAATAATTAATTAAAAACAGAACTAGAATAGTAAAGTTCCTTCTCATTTTCAAACTTATGAAGCACCACTGTCCTTGAATACGTTTCATTCAGCAGTCTGTAGACTGGCTAATCAGTGAGTCCTACTTTTGTATATGAATATATTACATATGAAATCCAGTTTTCTTTTCTTTTTTTTTGAGAAGGAGTCTCACTCTGTTGCCCAGTCTGGAGCACAGTGGTGCGATCTCGCTCACTGCAACCTCTGCCTCCTGGGTTCAAGCCATTCTCCTGCCTCAGCCTCCCCAGTAGCTGGGATTACAGGCATGCGCCACCATCCCCAGCTAATTTTGTATTTTTAGTAGAGATGGGGTTTCTCCATGTTGGCTAGGCTGGTCTCAAACTCCTGACCTCAGGTGATCCACCAGCCTCAGCCTCCCAAAATGCTGGGATTATAGGCGTGAGCCACCAAGCCCAGCGTTTTTTTTTTGTTTTTTTTGTTTTTTTTGTTTTTTTTTTTCAGATAAAGAGTTTCACTCTTGTTGCCCAGGCTAGAGTGCAATGGCACGATCTTGGCTCACTGAAACCTCTACCTCCTGAGTTCAAGAGGTTCTCCTGCCTCAGCCTCCCAAGTAGCTGGGCTTACAGGCATGCACCACCATGCCCAGCTAATTTATGTATTTTTTTTTTTTTTAGTAGAGACAGGGTTTCGCCGTGTTGGCCAGGCTGGTCTCGAACTCCTGAACTCAGGTGATCTGCCCACCTTGGCCTCCCAAAGTGCTGGGATTACTCGTGTGAGCCACCGTGCCTGGCCTCTACATTTTAATTATCTGCCAACAAGCTCGCTTAGTGGCTTGAAGAAAGCTACCTACAAGAACACTTCTGCACTTGATGGTACAAAGTAACTCTGCCCACCAATATCACATCATGCCAAGAGATGTTTCTAGTTCTTCTCAAACTTTCATTTCATATAGGTCTTTCCTATATGTATGGCCCTGTTAGGAGAAGCACAGCTGCACTGCACAGGAATCCTCTGCCACAAGACCTCACTAACATCACTTACTTCACACACATCTCCATTTTCCGTCTTACATATTATCAGTCCCTCATCCTCTAACAATTCCCCTTGTATCTTCATGTTTCTTTCAGTCACCCCCAACCCCCCCGCCCAAAGAAAGCAGATTTTGCTTTAGCGTAATAGAAGAACAGTGGCCACCAGGAGGTGAACTTAGGCAGGTTTTCAGGACTTTGTCCAATTTCTCAAGTCCTTTACTATTTCTCCAAAGGCAAGGATACTGCACACTGCCCTAATTCCCTTTGAAAACCCTCTAGCTCAGCTTCAGACAGCCAATACAATTTTACTGGGTGACGCTTTGAATTGGCCTTCAACATCTGATTTCCACATTGTCTTCCTCGGCAATGACAACTGAAAGTTAGCATTGAGTTAAAACTACTTTGACGTGAACTACAAGATGCGGAAGTAGCACCTCTTAGATTTACCACTTTTCTCCATGATACTGGGCAGGGGAGAGTGAAATGAGAGCAAAGTCTCCACCATGAGAAATGGAAAAGGTAAAGGAAAACAGAGACACTGAGTCGCTTAAAATAATATGGGAGCTGTTACATCTGTCAGGAATAACATGTTACATAAGTTGAGTTTCATGAATCAGCAGTTTAGTCAGTAATTTACATTAATTTTTTTCAAAAAGAGAAAACATGAGAACTGGAAAAGGTAAAGTGGTTTCTGAAACAAGACAGGTTTCAAAGGTATTTTATTCCACTCCCACACAGAAGAACGTTGACAGGCAGATGACTCAGTCTGGCTTCATTAAGGGTTTCTTACTGCCTAATACACCTCATGGGAAAGGCCATCCCATCTCTCATATCTCCCTGATAACTCTTCTCAATTCCTCCTGCCAGGTAATGGCCATATTATCCCCTCTAATTGAAGGTTATCCACCTGGAAATCACATACTTTAGGTACCAAGGGCTATACTTAAAGCATATAAATAGTTGAGGAATTTTGTGTGTGTTTTTAAAGACCCTTTATGCTAAATTCATTGCAACATTTCAATAAAACACATAGTTTTATTTCAAAAATATTTACAATACCTATGATCATTGAGTTTGAACTTGATCATAAATCTAAGTAGTTTAGAAAGATAAGAAAGCTGTGGCCAGGCACGGTGGCTCACGCCTGTAATCCCAACACTTTGGGAGGCCAAGGCAGGCTGATCATGTCAGGGGTTTGATAATAGCCTGGCCAACATGGTGAAACCCTGTCTCTACTAAAAACACAAAAATTAGCCAGGTATGGGGGCATGCACCTGTAGCCCCAGCTACTCGGGAGGCTGAGGCAGGAGAATCGCTTGAACCCGGGAGGCGGAGGTTGCAGTGAGCCTAGGCTGCGCCATTGCACTCCAGCCTGGGCAACAGAGCAAGACTCTGTCTCAAAAAAAAAACAAAGAAAGAAAGAAAGAAAGCAAGCTGTCAACATAAACATAAATACCATGTGTCCGTTCTAAACTCTCAAAACTAGAGAAAAAAGGTAGGATGAAAAAAATACCCAACCTATTTTCTTTTTCAAAAACCAGAGGTGGCAAATCTTAAGAAATAAGTCCAAAGGGATTCCCATCCTTTTTGTAGAAAATGTGCTGTATTAGATACTGTCTGAAATGAGAGAGGCATTGGATTAGGCCTGGAAATCTCTCAGGCATAAATCAATTACTACGGTATTTTGAGAGACATGTTTTGAAAGAGCAAGATATCTGAAGCCATTTGGAGTCATTCATTCCACAGATGTTTATTACAGGCCTGCACGTGCCAGGCACTGTCCACACACCTGCCCTCCATTCAAGCTCTGCCTCTCACCTGCTGTGCAATCCAGGCTAAAGCACTTTAACATTTCCATGCCTCAGTTTCTTCATCTGTAAAAACAGGTAATAAAAAGTAATTAAGAGATCAACCATACAAGATCTCTCTGAAAGGTAAAGGAGTATGTCTGGAAGCACTTTGTAAGCCATGAAAATGCTAGGGGTCATCCGACTAAACTGAATTCACAAATGACACTAATGCCTGTTGTGTCATAAATTATTAATATATCAGAGGAACATGAGCCTTCTTGCTTCAAGAGACACTTCATAATCCTATTAAATAAGGCTTATCGGCTCACTTAATCATCTCTCTGAAAAGTTAAATATATGAGAGAGAGATAAGGGAGGGGGGCACAGAAAGGGAGTGAGGGAGTCAGAAAGCTAGTCTGATGTGCAGATTTTGACATTACATTCATAGTCACAATAACAAGAATCATGTCTATCTTAGTCACCACATTGGGTCTCTAATGGTGCACATTTGAAGAGGGCATGTTATTCTGAAAAAATATTCTCTGCATATCTGCAAATCACAAAAGGTACACCTATGAGGCTGACCTACCAATTCAATGTTTCCAAGAGCAAATAGCAGTAAAATTACAAAACGTTATTTGTTATGTTGATGTGTGCAAACAAAAATGTTCTATTTTATAGTACATTTCAAGTTCAATCTGACCCTCATATCTAAACTATGTCATATAAATAATGTCATATAAACAGTGTCGAACAGATCAGGAACAAAGCTCTTTTCAAAAACAAAAGTAGGCTCCATGCAGTGGCAGTTAAAGAAGGGGAAGTTCTGGTGTCTCCAGAGTTAGCCGATGGGCACAACGGCAGTTGAAAGAGACCATGTTACACAAGTCATTCAGGTTCTGGCCAACATCTGCTTTGAACAGGTCGCATTCCCAGGAGCTCCAGGCTCCCTTACCCCAGGGAAATGCTGGGGTGGTGGCTTGTCTTACAGAAGTGGTAGCCAAGGGGACCAGAAGGCACACCCGGTGCTAAAACATGCCTAAAACTTCCTCTAATGTTTACAGCTCTTCCAATGACATTTGGGGAACTAAAGTATGGATAGCCTCTTCATTGCTAGAACCGCTATAATATGATAAGTTAAGAATTTGATTTAATATTTATAAAGAACTTAGAAAGAGCCCAGCGCATAGTAAGGGCTATGTAAGTGTTTGGTAAATAAAAAAAGGCACCTCCCAGATTGGCTGGGTGAAGTCTCAATCTGGTGAGAAGGGAGAGAATCAAAATACACAACAGTCTATTTTTCACTTTGACAAAAGATTTAGAAATTACAGTGCTCTGTATTTATTTTGCACCCAAGTGCACACTAAGTAGTCTCTGGTGCAGGACTGAAATTCTACTCATGGTTCAGAAGTCACTGTGCACAACTCAATGAAAGCGTTTTAAGTTTCAAGAGATGATTCCTTTCTCTTTTCTCTTTCCAAGTAACGATGACTAAAAATGACAGAATCTAAAAATCTCAAAGCACTTCTTGTGGGTACATTCCAAAGCTAAAACTGTGAGAATTAATAGGGCCAGATTCACTTGAAGAGACGTAAGGGTTCAAATTACAGAGAACTTAAAAGACGCAACGTATTAAGGTCTTTTACTACAGATCCGCTGACAACAGGTTAAACGATTCCATCCACCCCACTCTGGCGGCTGCCCCCTCCCCGACCCTCGCAGGTGACCTGCACCCACTTTCGACCTCAGATAGGGTCTCCCTGCTCGGCGTTCCCAGTTCCTCCAGGCTCGGCGGCTGCGTGGGGGTTAACAAGGTCCAGCCACCGACGCCCCTTGGGCGTTTAGGAATCTCGAGGCAGGATCTGAATTCACCTCGTGGAAACAAAGACCACAAACTCTCCGGGAGCCGGGGGCTGGGCGGAGGTACGGCTTTTTCCGAGGACAGGCAGCGGCCGAGGCCCGGGCAGCCCTCGCCCCGCCCCGTCTCCTCCCGCCCCGGGCCGCCGTCGGAGTCCCGGGCGCGCGGACCCTCCCGCCGGCCCCGCACCTACCTGGCCCCGCGGTGCTGCTCCCGGCGCGGCGGGCGCGGAGCCGAACGCACTGCGCTTCCTCCTTCCCGGCAGGGCCGCCGGGCGCCGGCGTTTCCTCCTTGACGCGTCACGGCCGCTGGCGGCTCCTCCCGCGGAGCGCGCGGGAGGCCGAGGACAGCCGGGGAAGGCGCCGGATCCCAGCAGAGCGGCGCGAGCGGCGGGCCGGGGGCAGCCCGTGCGGGGAGGGGCTGCAGGCTGCGTCCCGCTCAGGCCTCCGAGGAAACCCGCGCTCCTCTCTCTTCCCCGAGGACCCCCGCGAAAGGCCGGGCCACGGTGCACCGTCTGCCCCCGTCACGCGCTGTGCAAAGTTCAAGAGGACACAGTGGGTCCTGTCTGGAGTCACAGACTCTGGTGTTTCCCTCTGCTCCGCCCGCAGTGGCCGCTACCCTGGGGCCCAAGACCGGCGCGGGCCAGAGCGCCGGGGCCCAACAGAGATGACCTGGTGTGTGCAGGGATCAGGACCCCCCGGGTGGGCCCGTGGTGTTGGGGGGGTTGGCTTGGTGTAAACTGGAAACTCAGAGGAGTGAATTAAATATCCAAATAATTGAGAACAACTGTGATTCATTTAGCATTATTTGGACAGTTTTCCACTTTTGTCATTAGCAGAGTTACGGCCCTTGTGTTTATAAACAGTCGAGAACTTTCACAAATTGGCAGATCCTGTGTGCAGAGAAATTTCCTTTCCACACATCTTTTTAGATCTACTGACTCTTTTTTTTATTCCCATTAATCTCCAAGTCAGCTGAGTGCACACTTTACAGCTCCTTATTACTCATTCTTGAATTACAGAAGCTGCGTTTTAGATCTGTTTATCTCTTTTAACAGATAGAGAAGCTGAGTGGAGAACTAAGAATTACATGGTTCAATGGATGTGGAGTCAAGTGGTTAAGATTTTGAAGTAGAGTGGGTTGTTTTCTTCGTCCCACAACACTACTGTAATTTAGGTCTTATCAGATATCACTTGAAGATAGACTCAGACAAGTACTTAAAGATTCCCATGTGCATATCATGCCTTAGATTTTGAGACAATGATTTGTACTTTAGATCATATGATTCCAGAGAATTTGCCACAAATCTATGAACAAATAAACTGCCAAAGGTTATTAGAGGAACTGGGATCTATGTGTGACTTCCCTAAATTCAGAAGACATTTCCTCATGTTTTAAAATGATATTCAAAGATTTAGCCCCACAAGTATGGGTTAGGACATTCATTTTTAATGTCAATAACCACAATGTGGCCTCTCTTTAAAAAGTGGATTGTGAATCCAAATACTTTTTGTACTTCAGTAATCCTACAGAACTTTCTAAACAGTAGTTTTCAGAAATGAATATAAGAATGCAGTAGATACAAAACAATACATTGCCGGTGGTCCTTTATATGTTTTACTGTGGTCCACAAAGCAATCCACATACATTAGAGGAGTTCTTCCCTTGTAACAAAATCAACAAGTGATGAGTGTATCTCTTAATTAAAGCCATATTCACAGTGCTGAAGATTTCTCAGACAAAAGGAAGTTCTGTGTCAATAAACTCCAAGTGGAATAACATCATTCTCACTTTAGAGACAAATACCTGGCTATCACCACATCTTGACTTTTTAAAAAAATAAACATCTGGGAACCATTACATTTCTAGATAAATTTGTCCTATTGTGAAGAACACACACACACACACACACACACACACACACACACACACACACAGAGATCACCTCCCACAAACATTTTATGTATTTTCTTTTTTTTTTTGAGACGAGACGGTCTCACTGTGTTGCCCAGGCTGGGTTCATTTGATCAACAGACAACATGTTAGGCATTTTGCCTTTACAATCTGAGAGCTGCAATTTAATAGCTAGATTTTGCAAAAAGCTAGAGGAGGTAAATATATTCACAAACTACTAAGGACTTTTTCACTGTAATTAAATTAGTTTTTTTTTTTTTTTTTTTTTTTGAGATGGAGTCTCACTTTTGTTGCCCAGGCTGGAGTGCAATGGCACAATCTCAGGTCATTCCAACCTCCTCCAACTTCCGGTTTCAAGCGATTCTCCTGCGTCAGCCTCCCGAGTAGCTGTGATTACAGGTGCCTGCCACCACGCCCAGCTAATGTTTTGTATCTTTAGTAGAGACAGATTTTCGCCATGTTGGCCAGGATGGTCTTGAACGCCTGACCTCAGGTGAGCCACCCGCCTTGGCCTCCCAAAGTGCTGGGATTACAGGCGTGAGCCACCATGCCCAGTCTAAAATTGGTTTTAAGGGCAAATTTTAAGGCTGATCACTTTGTTGTTGTTGTTGTTGTTGTTTTGGTTTTTTTTTTTTTTTTTGAGACAGGGTCTCACTCTGTCACCCAGACTGGAGTGCAGTGGCGTGATCTCGGCTGACCGCAACCTCTGCCTCCCAGGCTCAAGCAATTCTCCTGCCTCAGCCTCCCCAGTAGCTGGGATTACAAGTGTGCGCCACCACGCCCGGCTAATTTTTGTATTTTTAGTAGAGACAGGGTTTCACCATGTTGGCCAGGCTGGTCTTGAACTCCTGACCTCAAATGATCCACCTGCTTCAGCCTCCCAAAGTGCTGGGATTACAGGCTTCAGCCACCGCACCTGGCTAAGGCTGATCACTTTGATTAATTGTGTTCACCTATTGATAGAGATATAGGTTATATCCCCATTTTCTGTTATGTTTCCAAGTTTAGACTGTAAAAAAAAAAGTTGTTGAATGTTCAGCTAAATGTCTAGCTGATGTTTATACCTTTATGAAATATTTCATGTAAATAAATTTTAAAAATAGAGCTTTTTATCAGACTATGGGTCCCAATACTTTCTTTGAAAATATGATTCTGTTCATTCAGATAGAGCAAATATTTTGTTCATCTGTTTTATCTATAGTGTAGAGATTTTGAACACAAGCTTTGGAATTGGACAGACCCAGGTTTAACTCCTGGTTTGCCACTTCCTACTTTGGGCAAATTGTTTCACTTCTCTGAGCACCGGTTTCATCAGTAACCTGGGGATAATAGTGCTTTTTCCTCTTCAGTAAAACGGAGATAATAGTGCTAATCTCATGAAATTGCTATGAGGATCAAATGAATTTAGTAGAATGCCTGGAACATAATACCAAGTGACTGCTATCTTCATCATTATTAGCTCTAAAACATATATTAAAATGCCAATATTATATATGTTTTATTTGTAATAGTATTAAAATGGCCAGATTTTAGAAATTTTGGCGGTGGCTCACGCCTGTAATCCCAGCACTTTGGGAGGTCAAGCCGGATGGATCACGAGGTCAGGAGTTTGAGATCAGCCTGGCCAACATAATGAAACCCCGTGTCTACTAAAAATACAAAAAATTAGCCAGGTGTGGTGGTGGGCACCTGTAATCCCAGCTACTTGGGAGGCTGAGGCAGGAGAATCACTTGAACCTGGGAGGTGGAGGTAGCAGTGAGCTGAGATCACGCCATTGCACTCCAGCCCCGGGCGACAGTGTGAGATTCCGTCTCAAAAAACAAACAAAAAAACCCCAACTACCCAGCCACATAATGTGGTTATTACGATTATTTTAGATCATATATTCCAATGAAATGAATGCTTGGTTTTCATCCTCCACTATTCAAAATGGGAAACCTTTTCTCTAAAATGGTGCCTTATGTGGAAGCATTATTACTTTTTTATATCATAATAAAGCCCTCTATTATTTGTAGTTCTTTTATCAGAACCTTGGAAGAAGTGAGGGGCATAAAAATACAAGAAATACCACTTCCATTAGTGAGGGCTGGTATTCATTAGAATGCTTGTTTTTTGCCAGGCACCGTGGCTCATGCCTGTAATCCCAGCACTTTGGGAGGCTGAGGCAGGCAGATCACCTGAGGTCAGGAGTTCAAGACCAGCCCTGCCAACATGGTGAAATCTTGTAGCTACTAAAATACAAAATTAGCCAGATGTGGTGGTGGGTGCCTGTAACCCCAGCTACTCAGGAGGCTGAGGCAGGAGAATCGCTTGAACCCGGGAGGCGGAGGTTGCAGTGAGCCGAGATCTCACCACTGCACTCCAGCCTGGGCAACAAAGCGAAACTCCAGCAAAAAAAAAAAAAAAAAAAAGGAATACTTGTTTTATAGCAGATAAAATATTAAGTCTAGAGAGGTAAGAATAATCCTACCAACTATATGCTTACAAAAGCAAAATACTTTTTTTGGTTTGTTTTGTTTTTTGAGACAGGATTTCATTCTGTCACCCACCAGGCTGGAGTGCAGTGGCGTGAGCTCGGCTCACTGCAGCCTCGACTCCCTGCTTTCAAGCCATCCTCCCACCTCCTGAGTTGTTGGAACTACAGGCTTGCGCCACCACCTCAACAAATTTTTAAAATTTTTTGGAGTCAGGGTCCCACTATATTGCCCAGGCTGGTCTTGAACTCCTGGCATCAAGTGATCTTCCTATCTCGGCCTTGAAAAATGCTAGGATTACAGGTGTGAGCCACCTCGCCCAGCCTCGCAAAGGATGGTTTTGATTCATATTATTTGCATTGCTTTTAGGGTATCTTTTCCCTCATTCTGCTGAAGACTCACATGCTTAAGTGGGTCAGACACCATAAGTTGTTGCTATAGTTTCTAGCTATGTTTATCAGCTGACATTCTAATCACAACATCCCACAGTATCAAATAAAAGAAAACCATTTTTGTGGAGAAGATAGTTAAAAACATAATCCTAACTATGAATTGGCTCAGATTGTAATAATTAAAAGGAAAACCTTGCTGTAAAAATGGGTAAAAATATGGGGAAACAAAAGTGACTAATTTATTAAATTTTCTTTTTTTTTTTTTTTTGAGATGGAATTTTGCTGTGTCACCCAGGCTGGAGTGCAGTGGTGTGATCTCGGCTCACTGCAGCCTCCATCTCCTGGATTCAAGCAATTCTCCTGCCTCAGCCTCCCAGGTAGCTGGGACTACAAGCACACACCACCACACCTGGCTAATTTTTGTATTTTTAGTGGAGACAGGATTTCACCATATTGGCCAGGCTGATCTTGAACTCCTGACCTCAACTCATCCGCCCACCTCAGCTTCCTGAAGTGTTGAGATTACAGGTGTGAGCCACCGAGCCTGGCCTAAATTTTCTTTTTTTTTTTTTTAAATTTCTCTCTCTCTCTCTCTTTTTTTTTTTTTTTTTTGACTGGGTCTCACTTTTTTTTTTAGAGACAGGGTCTCACTCTGTTGCGCAGGTTGGAGTGCAGTGACACAACCATGGCTCACTGCAGCCTCAACCTCCAAGGCTCAAGCACTCCTCCCACCTCAGCCTCCCAAGTAGCACCACAGGTGCACACCAACACGCCTGGCTAATTTTTTATTTTTGTAGAGACAGGGTCTCCCTATGTTGCCCAGGCTGGTCTCAAACCGCTGGCCTCAAGTCATCCTCCTACCTTTGCCTCCCAAAGTGCTGGGATTACTGGTGTGTGCCACCATGCCCAGCTGACTAATTTATTAAATTTTCTGAGCAAAACAATTTAATAAAACATAAAGCAACCCAAGATACAGTTAGAAAAACTCAGGCCAGTAGTGGTGGCTTACGCCTATAATCCCAGCAGTTTGGGAGGCCGACATGGGAGGATCCATTAATCCTAGGAGTTTGAGACCATCCTGGGTACCAAAGTGAGACCCCTCCCCTTGTCTCTATAAAAAAAAATTAGCTGAGTATGGTGGTGCACACCTGTAGTCCCAACTACTTGGGAGGCTGAGGTGGGAGGATCACTTAAGCTTAGGAGGTCAAGCCTGTAGTGAGCTATGATTGCCCCACTGCAGTCCAGCATGGGCAACAGAGGGAGACCCTCTGTTTAAAAACAACTGGCCGGGCACGGTGGCTCACGCCTTAATCCCAGCACTGTGGGAGGCCTAGGTGGGCGGATCACGAGGTCAGGAGATTGAGACCATCCTGGCTAACATGGTGAAACCCCGTCTCTACTAAAAATACAAAAAAATTAGCCGGGTGTGGTGGCGGGCACCTGTAGTTCCAGCTACTCTTGAGGCTGAGGCAGGAGAATGGCGTGAACCTGGGAGGTGGAGCTTGCAGTAAGCCAAGATCGTGCCACTGCACTCCAGCCTGGGCAACAGAGCGAGACTCCATCTCAAAACAAAAAACAAAACAAAAAAAAACAACCAAAAAAACCCTCAGTGGCCGAGCACGCTGGCTTACACCTGTAATCCCAGCACTTTGGGAGGTCATGGCAGGCGGATCACCTGAGGTCAGGAGTTTGAGACCAGCCTGACCAATATGATGAAACCCCGTCTCTACTAAAAATACAAAAATTAGGCTGGGCGTGGTGGCTCACGCCTCTAATCCCAGCACTTTGGGAGGCCAAGGCAGGTGGATCACAAGGTCAGGAGATCGAGACCACGGTGAAACCCCGTCTCTACTAAAAAATACAAAAAAATTAGTCGGGCGCCGTGGCAGGCGCCTGTAGTCCCAGCTACTCGGGAGGCTGAGGCAGGAGAATGGCGTGAACCCGGGAGGTGGAGCTTGCAGTGAGCCGAGATTGCGCCACTGCACCCCAGCCTGGGAGACAAAGCAAGACTCCGTCTCAAAAAAAAAAAAAAAAAGTACAAAAATTAGTCGGCATGGTGGCATGTGCCTGTAATCCCAGCTACTTGGGAGGCTGAGACAGGAAAATCGCTTGAACCCGGGAGGCGGAGGTTGCAGTGAGCTGAGATTGAGCCATTGCACTCCAGCCTGGGCAACAAGAGCAAAACTCCGTCTGAAAAACAAAAACAAAAAAACCCCTCAGTTGGCCAGGTGCAGTGGCTCATACCTGTAATCCCAGCACTTTGGGAGGCCAAGGCGAGAGGATCACTTGAGGTCAGGAGTTCGAGACCAGCCTGGCCAACATAGTGAAACCCTGTCTCTACTAAAAATACAAAAATTAGCTGAGCGTGATGGTGCACCTGTAATCCCAGCTACTTGGGAGGCTAAGGCAAGAGAATCACTTGAACCCGGGAGGGGGCGGTTGCAGTGAGTCAAGATTGCGCCACTGCACTCCAACTTGGGGGACAGAGCAAGCCTCTGTCTCAAAAAAAAAAAAAAAAAAAAAAAAAAAAGGGCCGGGCGCGGTGGCTCACGCCTGTAATCCCAGCACTTTGGGAGGCTGAGGCGGGCAGATCACGAGGTCAGGAGATCAAGACCATCCTGGCCAACACAGTGAAACCCCGTCTCTACTAAAAATACAAAAATTAGCCAGGCACGGTGGCTCATGCCTGTAATCCCAGCACTTTGGGAGGCCGAGGCGGGCGGATCACGAGGTCAGGAGATCAAGACCATCCTGGCTAACACAGTGAAACCCCGTCTTTACTAAAAATACAAAAATTAGCCGGGCGTGGTGGCAGGCGCCTGTAGTCCCAGGTACTTGGGAGGCTGAGCCAGGAGAATGGTGTGAACTCGGGAGGTGGAGCTTGCAGTGAGCTGAGATCGCGCCACTGCACTCCAGCCTGGGTGACAGAGTGAGACTCCTTCTCAAAAAAAAAAAAAAAAACCCTCAGATACACATGGGAACTGAAATTGAGAGCAATTAACGCCTCTTTAGCACAGAGCAGAATTAACTTGTTTCTATGATTTGAAAAGGGTTCAGCATGTGTTCATTTTGTGGGGTAGGGTATAGGTGGGAGGCCCAAAGCTGAACGTCATTTCTTGGGCCAAATTAGCCAATTCAAACTCAAAACTGAAATGCTTGAAGTTCAAGTATGTTTCATAACAGGTAGGAAACTCTATTTTAAAACAAGACTACATTAGGATCAAATATAAGGCTTTTCAGATCACAGGACTTTCTCATTTTCTGTATTAGACTCATGAGAAAAATCAAGGGGAAGTGTTAGGAGATCAGAACACTTAAACTGCTAGCATCAGCTTTTTGATAAAAAGTAGCTAGAAATTATTTTAAATTTCCCTAAGACCATTAATTATCTAAAATAATATTATTATACTTTCCTATTAGGGAAATCTCATTGTCTTCCAATCTTGTTTTTATGAATGTCAAGAATAAAATATAAATCATTCATTTTTCTCTTTTTTTCTGTATCTCATTTAGTCTATTATGTACATAAAATAAAAGTCTGTTAATAGTTGACAATAATTTATTTACATAAGTCGTGTCAGCAGTTTCTACGTCCAGGGGATCATATTAGGGTAGGTGGACTAAACCTGCTAGGTGGACTTTGAAGATAACTATTATTTTAGTTGCTTATCAGTGGGGAATAATAGCTTTTCTTAAACACTGTTCATTTGGTGACTCAGTTATTTACTTCTATTATGTGCAATTAATGATTGAACCTATTTCAAATGCAAGGGCTTAATAGCTTCTGGCATAAAGAGGTGCATTGCTGTTATTTCCTTAACAAATTCTCTAAGGAATCTGTGTCTGGCCCAGCCAGATGTGTCAAAGACTTAAGTAGACCTTAAGGAATTATAACTCTTCATACGCAAGAAGACTCTTAAATTCCCCTGAGTTTTCTAAGATAAACAACCCCAGCTCTTTTAACTTTTTCTGTCATTTTAAAAAATATTTTATGACTCTCATAGGAGTTTTTCCCAAATTCTCCATGTTTTCTTTAGATTTTAGAGGAGATGCCCAGTATGAGACATGGAACTCTATAAAGGATCAAGTGAGTCCTTAGTATCATGGAGTGCAGTGGTGCGATCTCAGCTCACTTCAACCTCCACCTCCTGGGTTCAAGCAATTCTCCTGCCTCAGCCTCGCAAGTAGCTGGGAATACAGGCACCTGCCACCATATCCAGCTAATTTTTGTATTTTTAATAGACGCAGGGTTTCACTATGGTGGCCAGGCTGGCCTCAAACTCCTGACCTCAGGTGATCCGCCTACCTTGGCCTCCCAAAATGCTGGGGGTACAGACGTGAGCCACCGCACCTGGCCAGTTGACACTCTTTTTTTTTTTTTTTTTTTTTTGAGACGGAGTCTCGCTCTGTCGCCCAGGCCGGACTGCGGACTGCAGTGGCGCAATCTCGGCTCACTGCAAGCTCCGCTTCCCGGATTCACGCCATTCTCCTGCCTCAGCCTCCCGAGTAGCTGGGACTACAGGCGCCCGCCACCGCGCCCGGCTAATTTTTTGTATTTTTAGTAGAGACGGGGTTTCACCTTGTTAGCCAGGATGGTCTCGATCTCCTGACCTCATGATCCACCCGCCTCGGCCTCCCAAAGTGCTGGGATTACAGGCGTGAGCCACCGCGCCCGGCCGACACTCTTATAATGCAGCCTTGTATTAATCTTACGTTTAAAATTACACTTCAAAAAAATCACATTTCATTATTATCAGATTTTAAAATCTAAACTCAGCCTCCTTTTATTTCTCAAATTATATTTAAGAAGTTGTTTTGATTATCCTATGTAATTCCTCTGCATTTGTTTTACTGAAACTGTATTTCTCCTGGATAATTTTAAATTTCTTCATATTTGCTAAGGCGAATGGTATTGAAAGTGGAGACTGGACATCCAAAGGGTCCTCAAGGCAATCTACTACAAGTTCAGAAAGAACAGAAAGAAAATATTACAACATCCATTTGTTTTCTCTAAAAAGTAAGAAACAGACCAGGTTGGCTCATGCCTGAAATCCCAGCACTTTGGGAGGCTAAGGCGGGTGGATCACTTGAGCTCAGGAGTTCAAGACCAACTTGGGCAACATGATGATACACCGTCTCTACAAAAATATAAAACTTAGCTGGGCATGGTGGTGTGCATCTGTAATCCCAGCTACTCGGAATGCTGAGGTGGGAAGATAGCTTGAGTCTGGGAAACGGAGGTTGCAGTGGGCCAAGATCGCACCATTGCACTCCAGCCTGGGTGACAGAGTGAAACCCTGTCTAAAAAGAAAGAAAGAAAGAAATTAAGCTTTATTATTTAACATAAATGTGACACTGGCATGCTCATACAGTCCTTTGTCAGTCATGTCAGAGGTGTGCTGTGTGAGGTAACCTGAGAAGGACAGACTTTTCACAATTAAAAGGGTTGACTGGGTGCCCTAGTTCATCCACAATCAGTCTATTGAAGTTGTATGTAGTATAGGACATCATTGATGTGGTCGATTTTGTAAAACTAAATCCCTTCAATAGAATCTACATAATACCTTATACTGAGATGGGGAGTGATTGTGAAAACTTTTTATTTTCTAGCAAAGTATTCAACATACTCGAGGTCAAAAGCACAGATCCTGGACACACACTGCCTAGGTTCTGACCACAGTTCTCCCATCACCAGCCATGTAATCCCAGGAAGATCATTTAACTCTCTGAGGTTCAGTTTCTTCATCTGTGAAATGGAGATAATAGTATCTACTGCATTGAGTTGTTCTGGGGATGAAGTGAGTTGATACATATGTATATAAAAATCTCTTAGTATAATATCTACTACCAAAATCAGCTTTACACAAGCTCTGGTTGTTATTACTTAAAAGAGTATTTGACTATGAAGAAGAATTATGCATTTTCGCTGACAAAAAATACAAGTGATTCAGATTTCTTTACCTTTTCTGTGATAATCCCTGTGGGTTGTATTCTATGTAGAGGATATTAAACATACATATTTTCTTTTTCTTTTTCTTTTTTGAGACAGAGTTTTGCTCCTGTTGCCCAGGCTGGAGTGCAATGGCGTGATCTTGGCTCACTGCAACCTCTGCCTCCTGGGTTCAAGTGATTCTCCTGCCCTCAGCCTCCCAAGTAGCTAAGATTACAGGCATGCGCTACCCTGCCTGGCTTATTTAGTGTTTTTAATAGAGATAGTGTTTCCCCATGTTGGCCAGGCTGGTCTCGAACTCCTGACCTCAGGTGATCTGCCCGCCTCAGCCTCCCAAAGTGCTGGGATTACAGATGTGAGCCACCGTGCTCGGCTGCACATTTTCTTTTAAGGTAAAGTTTTAGCAATGAGTGAGAGATTAACTTCCTTCCTTCCCACTCCCTTTAGTGTAGATGGGTTTTGAAATAAACAGTTTGGAGAGAGTGTCTTGGAAATATTTCCATCAGTATGTGACTTTGTTGCATGGGAAACTGTGTGTGTGTGTGTGTTCGTGTCCTATTAAAACTCTATCTAATATATATATTGCACTGGAATTTTTGAAACACAATTTTCTACTTGTTTAAACATTTTCCAGTTAATGCATTTCAGTGGGTCTTAAAATTTATTTGATGAAAAAATAAAAGGCAGTGTCTTTAAATTCGTTTGCAAGAATTACTGACTGAGGCTGGGCACAGTGGCTCATGCCTGTAATCCCAGCACTTTGGGAGGCTGAGTAGTGGGGGATCACTTGAGCGCAGGAGTTTGAGACCAGCCTGGGCAACACAGCGAGACCCCGTCTCTATTAAAGAGAAAGAAAGAGACAGATTGAGAGAGGAAGGAGGGAGGGAAGGAGGGAGGGAGGGAGGGAAGGAGGGAAGGAAGGAAGGAGGGAAGGAAGGAAGGAAAGAAGGAAGGAAGGAAGGAATTACTGACTGACAGCAGAGAGAATGGAAATTTACTAGTCAAACTTCGACAAAAACCTTTACAGAACTGGATGATGGGACTGAAAAAGAAAATGAGTACTTTAATAGATATAGCCAATAACAATGCATCTCTTCCATTTAAATCTAAATATCTTTATGAAATATCTCTTCAAAATATCTTCTCACCTGTGACAGCCATTAAAGTGAAGTATTAGAATAACTAAACTTAAAATTAGACTTTCTAATGACTGCATCACAAAGTGTTAAATCAAGATTTTTTTTTTTTTTGAGATGGAGTCTTGCTCTGTCATCCAGGCTGGAGTGCAGTGGCGCGATCTCGGCTCACTGCAAGCTCCGCCTTCCGGGTTCACGCCATTCTCCTGCCTCAGCCTCCTGAGTAGCTGGGACTACAGGCGCCCACCACCAGGCCCAGCTAATTTTTTGTATTTTTAGTAGAGACGGGGTTTCACCGTGTTAGCCAGGATGGTCTCGATCTCTTGACCTCGTGATCCACTGCCTCGGCCTCCCAAAGTGCTGGGATATACAGGCCTGAGCCACGGTGCCTGGCCAAAAAGTCTTTTCTACTATTAATAAAATACTATTGGGCTGGGCGCAGTGACTCATGCCTGTAATCCCAGCACTTTAGGAGGCCAAGGTGGGCGGATCACGAGGTCAGGAGTTCAAGACCAGCCTGGTCAGCATGGTGAAACCCCGTCTCTACTAAAAATACAAAAATTAGCCGGGCGTGGTGACAGGTGCCTGTAATCCCAGCTACTTGGGAGGCTGAGGCAGGAGAATCGCTTGAACCCAGGAGGCAGAGGTTACATTGAGGTGTGATCACACCATTGCACTTCAGCCTGGGTGACAGAGCGAGACTGCATCTCAAAAAAAAAAAAAATACTATTAAGGCCAGGTGCAGCGACGCACACCTGTAATCCCAGCACTTTGGGAGGCTGTGGTGGGCAGATTGCTTGAGACCAGGAGTTCAAGACCAGCCTGGGCAACACATCAAAACTCCATTTCTACCAAAAAAAAAAAAAAAAAAAATGGCTGGAGCTGGGTGTGGTGGCTCACACCTATAATCCCAGCCCTTTGGGAGGCCAAGGCAGGTGGATCACTTGAGCTTAGGAGTTCGAGACCAGCCTAGGCAACATGGTGAAATTCTGTCTTGACCAAAAATAGAAAACATTAGCCAGGTGTGGTGACACATGCCTGTAGTCCCAGGTACTTGGGAGTCTGAGGCGGGAGGATCACTTGAACCCGGAGGCAGAGGTTGCAGTGAGCTGAGATCACACTGCACTCCACCCTGAGTGACAGAGTGAGACCCTGTCTCAATAAAGAAAAAAAAGAATTGGCCAGCTGTGGTGGTGCAGGCCTGTAGTCCTAGCTACCCAGGAGGCTAAGGCAGGAGGATCATTTGAGCCCAGGAGTTTAAGGCTGGAGTGAAGTGAGCTATGATGGCACGACGGCACTCCAGCCTGTGTGACAGAGTAAGACCTCATCTCTAAAATTAAAAATTAAGGTGGAAGAAGGAGGTGATAGAATAGAGTCAGGGAAAGAGATGTAACTATGGAAGAATGGTCAGAGAGATGCAACACTGCAGGCTTTGAAGGTGGAGAGCACATCAACAGAATGAGATCCTGTCTCTACAAAAAATTTTTTAAGCCGGGCGCAGTGGCTCACGCCTGTAATCCCAGCACTTTGGGAGGCTGGGGCAGGCGGATTACCTGAGGTCCGGAGTTCGAGACCAGCCTGGCCAACATGGTGAAACCACATCTCTACTAAAAATACAAAAATTAGTCGGGCGTGGTGGCACACGCCTGTAATCCCAGCTACTTGGGAGAATGAGGCAGGAGAATTGCTTGAACCTGGGAGATGGAGGTTGCAGTGAGCCAAGATTGCACCACTGCACTCCAGCCTGGCTGACAGAAAATTAAATACCATTAAATTACTTTAAATATATTGGTTATTTTATATTTTAAAATTTGGGGTTTATATTTTACAATACATACAATGTATTAATATAAGAGGTCACAAATACATAGTTTAGGCCTGGCGTGTAATCCCAGCACTTTGGGAGGCCAAGGCAGTTTGGGAGGTTGCAGTGAGCCGAGATCGCACCCCTGCCACTCCAGCCTGGGTGACAGAGGAAGACTCCATCTCAAAACACACAACACACACACACACACATCCAAATACATAGTTTACATGTGAGTGTACATGTTTCAACATTTATATGAATGGAATGCATAAAAAAGCAAAATGGGATAATGTGACTGGGCAAGGTGGCTCATGTCTGTAATCCCAGCACTTTGGGAGGCCGAGGTGGGAGGATTGCTTTACCCCTGGAGTTCCAGACCAGCCTGGGTAACATGGCAAGACATCATATCTATTAAAAAAAAAGAATAGAAATATTAGGTAGGAGTGGTGGCGCTCACCTGTGGTCACAGCTACTCAGGAGGCTGAGGTGGGAGGATCACTTGAGTTAGTTAGGTCAAGGCTGCGGTGAGCTGTGATTGCACCACTGCACTCCAGCCTAGACCACAAAGTGAGACCTTGTCTCAAAACAAACAAAAAATGCATAATGTTAGTTACCTTCTACATCCCTATTCCTTGGTTTGATATCATCTAAGAATGTAACGTCTAGGCCATGCGCCATGGCTCACGCCTGTAATCCCAGCACTTTGGGAGGCTGAGGCGGGTATATCACGAGGTCAGGAGATCGAGACCATCCTGGCTAACACGGTGAAACCCCATCTCTACTAAAAATACAAAAAATTAGCCGGGCGTGGTGGTGGGCGCCTGTAGTCCCAGCTACTCGGGAGCCTGAGGCAGGAGAATGGCATAAACTTGGGAGGCGGAGCTTGCAGTAAGCCGAGATCACACCACTGCACTCCAGCCTGGGTGACAGACCGAGACTCTGTCTCAAAAAAATATATTTATTTTTTTTTATAAAATAAGTGTATATATAATATATATACACTTATATATAATATAATATATATATTATATATATATATATTCCTTCATCCAATAACTATTTGTTCAGTACCTAGTGTGTGCCAGGTACTGTGCTAGGCTCAGAGAGGTAAAATATTAAAATATCATCACCATGCTCAAATGGCACTTTATAAATTGTTGGGTACTGGGGTTTAATACCTGGGTCATGAAATAATCTATACAACAAACCTCCATGACATGAGTTTATCTATGTAACAAACCTTCGCATGTACCTCCTTCCCCTGACTCCACTCCCAGGCTTTTTTTTTTTTTTTTTTTTTTTTTTTTGATACAGGGTCTCAAGGCTGTGTCTCCCAGGCTGGAGTGCAGTGGCATGATCTTGGCTCACTGCAGCCTCAGTTTCCTGGGCTCAAGTAATCTGTCCACCTCAGTCTCCTGGGTAGCTGGGACTACAGGTGTACACCACAACACCCAGCTAATCCAGGCCTTTAAATAGCTAATAATGTGCTAGGGATTGGAATTTGAATCTGAATCTGGCCATCTGAACAGCCACTTAGTTTTTGTATAGTTTAAATGAGCCATTTGTGATGTCTCTTCTAGATATCTGCAAGGTGCTTTTATGACAGTCAAGTGCATATAAATGTTACTGATTCAACAAACATTTCCTCTGCAAAGCACTGTGTTAAGACATAAGGTACAAGGCACAAAGATGCACTGTGTTTGCAGGGGATTTTATTTTATTTTATTTTTATTTATTTATTTAGTTTTTGAGACAGAGTTTCGCTCTTGTTGCCCAGACTGAGTGCAATGGCGCGATCTCAGCTCACCACGACCTCTGCCTCCCAGGTTCAAGCAATTCTCCCACCTCAGCCTCCCGAGTAGCTGGGATTGCAGGCATGCGCCACCATGTCCAGCTAATTTTGTATTTTTATTAAAGACAGGGTTTCTCCATATTGGTCAGGCTGGTCTTGAGCTCCCGACTTCGGGTGATCCGCCTGCCCTGGCCTCCCAAAGTGCTGGGATGACAGGCGTGAGCCACCGCGCCCGGCCTTGCAGGGGATTTTAAATCCTTGGTATAAAACAATGAAAAATGAAAAAAGCACCTTAATTTTTTCCTTGTACTATGTGGATTGCTTCCACTGTTGAATGTATTCCTCAGTATATTACATTTCTGTTGCACCATTTCTGCTTTGTGCTGTTTCTTTATGCCTGGTACCATACTGTTTGAAAGTTTTACAGGCGTTTTATTTGGCTGCAACCACCTCTCAGATTTCATCTCATTACTTGCTATTTCAACACCTGATTGGGATAGATTGCTACTATCTATCTGCTGAGATAAATCATTTCCTTGCTACTTATTGCACTGAAAAACAATCATCTGAAAAACAGGTAGAGGAAAATACTGCAGACAACTAAGATCAGGGAAATGAAAATTCTCTATGCCTAAAATGGAATCCTCTACCTCTCCCTAAATAGCAATGAAAAAATGGTGATTTGAGGTATTCAAGGGAAGAGACTGGACCACATGACTTCCTGGGGTCATGTTTACTTTTAAACTCTGCAAATAAGCAAACTCGAAACTCACAGTCCTAGGAAGAACTTACACCCATTTGGTTTTTTTCTTTTTCTTCCTTTTTTTTTTTTTTTTTTTTTTTTTTTGAGATGGAGTTTTCGCTCTTGTTGCCCAGGCTGGAGTGCAATGGCACGATCTCAGCTCGCAGCAACCTCCGCCTCCTGGGTTCAAGCGATTCTCCTGCTTCAGCCTCCCGAGTAGCTGGGATTGCAGGTGTGCACCACTACGCCCGGCTAATGTTGTATTTTTAGTAGAGACGGGGTTTCTACATGTTGGTCAGGCTGGTCTCAAACTCCCGACCTCAGGTGATCCACCCGCCTCGGCCTCCCAAAGTGCTGGGATTACAGGCGTGAGCCACCGTGCCCGGCCAGCGTTTGGTTTCTTAAAAGCAAGCAGTACTAACAGTTTAGAAATGTAGGGCATGGGATAAAAAGTAAAAAACAGTTACCAAAAGTCTGTGATCATATAAAATTCAATTCAAAAAAATATAAGCTGCACATTAAGGCAATTTTGTTATTCAGAAAGACAATATGTTTATTTAAATTTTAACTGATTCACAGTCCTTGAACTATTCTTCCGACAAAAACAGAATCCAATTTTCGTTATAATAATCTTTTTTCTTGGAAAATAGAAAAATACAATTTGAACCAATTTCAGCATAGCATAGTGATGAAGAATATGGCTTTAAACAGCCCTGGGTTCAAATCTCATTCTGCTGCTTACCAGCCCTCCCCCAGATACATTTCCTAACTTTCTTTTTTTTTTTTTTTTTTTTTTTGAGATGGAGTCTCATTTTGTTGCCCAGGCTGGAGTGCAGTGGCGCGATCTCCGCTCACTGCAACGTCTGCCTGCCGGGTTCAAGCCACTCTCGTGCCTCCCGCTCCCGAGTAGCCTGGATTACAGACGCATGCCAGCAAACCTGGTTAATTTTTGTATTTTTAGTATAGACAGGGTTTTGCCATGTTAGCCAGGCTGGTCTTGAACTCCTGACCTCAGGTGATTTGGCCTCCCAAGGTGTTGGGATTACAGGGGTGAGCCGCCGCGCCTGGCCTCATTTCCTAACGTTCTTAGCCTTAGTTTTCTCATTTGTAAACGTAGCTCTTACTTCATAGGGTTGTGAGGTTTAAGTGAGATAAAACCATAGTAAGAAAATAATTCATGGTAAAATTTAAAATTTTATACCAACTACTGTATAAGATATATTATACGTAGTTCCCCTTATCTGCGATTTCACTTTCCACAGTTTCAGTTACCCATGGTCAGCTGTGGTCCAAAAATATTAAATGGAACATTTCAGAAATAAACCCTTCATAAGTTTTAAATTGCACACCATTCTGAGTAGTGTGATGAAATCTTGTGCCATCCCACTCTGTCCTGCCCTGAATGTGAATCATGCCTTTGTCCAGTGTATTCATGCTATATACACTGCCTGCCCTATACAATGTGATTGTATGGGAGAATACATAGTATATGTAGGGGGTTTGGTACTATCTGCAGCTTCAGGCATCCACTAGGGGTCTTGGGATGTATCTCCTGCAGATAAGGGGAACTGTTATGTAAATGACATATATAAAATATATACCCATTATTATAGGCAGATTGATGGCTTCCTGAAGATGTCCATGTTCTCATTCCCAGAACTTGTGAATGCGTTACATTACATAGCAAAGAATAAAGGTTGCAGAATTGAGTTTTCTAATCAGCTAACCTTAAGATAGAATATCCTTGGTGGGTTGAATGTAATCACAAGGTCCTTAAAAGTGGAAGAGGGGTTCGTGCCTGTAGTCCCAGCTGCTAGGAAGATCGCCTGAGCTCAGGAGTTTGAAGCTGCAACGAGATATGATTGTGATACTGCACTCCAGCCTGGGCAACACAGCGAAATCCTGTCTCTTTTTTTTTTTTTTTTTCTGAGACGGACTCTCACTCTGTCGCCAGGCTGGAGTGCAGTGGCGTGATCTTGGCTCACTGCAACCTCCGCCTCCCAGGTTCAAGCAATTCTCCTGCCTCAGCCTCCCGAGTAGCTGGGACTACAGGTGTGCGCCACCATGCCCAGCTAAGTTTTGTATTTTTAGTAGAGACGGG
Source organism: Homo sapiens (assembly GCF_000001405.40). Taxonomy (NCBI): domain Eukaryota; kingdom Metazoa; phylum Chordata; class Mammalia; order Primates; family Hominidae; genus Homo; species Homo sapiens. The sequence continues at coordinate 66,694,717 of NC_000008.11, read as the reverse complement.
GTTTCACTATGTTGGCCAGGATGTTCTCCATCTCTTGACCTTGTGATCTGCCCTCCTCGGCCTCCCAAAGTGCTGGGATTACAGGCGTGAACCACTGCGCCTGGCCGATCCTGTCTCTTAAAACAAACAAACAAACAAAAAAACACCAAAACACAAAGACGTGCATGGTGGCTCATGCTTGCAATACCAGCACTTTGGGAGGCTGAGGCAGACGGATCACCAGAGGTCAGGAGTTCAAGACCAGCCTGACTAACATGGTGAAACCCCGTCTCTACTAAAAATACAAAATTAGCTGGGAGTGGTGGTGCATCCCTGTAATCTCAGCTACTAGGGAGGCTGAGGCAGGACAATTGCTTGAACCTGGGAGGCAGAAGTTGCAGTGAGCTGAGATCAGGCCATTGCACTCCAGCCTGGGCAACAAGAGTGAAATTCTGTCTCAAAAAAAAAAAAAATAGTGGGCCAGGTGCCGTGGCTTATGCCTGTAATCCCAGCACTTTGGGAGGCCAAGGCTGACGGAACGCTTGAGCTCAGGTGTCCCAGACCAGCCTGGGCAACATGGCAAAACCCCATCTCTAAAAAAATTACAAAAAAATTAGCTGGGCTTTGTGACATCCGTGCCTGTAGTCCCAGCTACTCAGGGGGCTGAGGTGAGAGGATGACCTGAGCCCGAGGAGGTTGAGGCTGCAGCAAGCCACGATCAGGTCACTGCACTCCAGCCTGGGCAAAGTGGAAGAGGGAGGCAATAATAGAAGAGTCAGAGAAAGAGATGTGACTATGAAAGAATAGTCAGCGAGATGCAACATTGCTAGGTTTGAACGTGGACAACAGGGCCACAGTCAAGGAATGCAGGTGGCTTCTAGAAGCTGGAAAAAGCAAAGAAATGGATTCATTCCTAGAGCCTCCAAAAGACGAGCACAGTCCTGCCAAGTCCAGTGAAACCCATGTCAGACTTCTAACCTACAGAACTGTATAGTAATAAATTTCTGTTGTTTTAAGCCTCTGAGTTTGTGGTAATTTATTATGGCAGCAAATAGAAAACAAATTAGGGCCAGGCATGGTGGCTCATGCCTGTAATCCTAGCACTTTGATAGGCCGAGGCGGGCACATCACCTGAGGTCAGGAGTTCGTGACCAGCCTCACCAACATGGAGAAACTCCATCTCTACTAAAAATACAAAATTAGCCGGGCGTGGTGGCACATGCCTGTAATACCAGCCACTCAGGAGGCTGAGGCAGTAGAATTGCTTGAACCTGGGAGGCGGAGGTTGCTGTGAGCTGAGATCACGCCATGCACTCCAGCCTGGGCAACAAGAACGAAACTCTGTCTCAAAAAACAAAAATATACCCCAAAAAATCTTATACACGTTTGAAGTAGAAAGCTCTGATTTGAGAAACAGAAATAATTGGAAGGAAGAAACACTGAAGGATGAGTCCAGGTGGGAGACTGTGAGTTGTATACAGGGCGTCATCTTCACCATCGTGGTTTTTCTCCGGCAAAGCTCTGCAGCCCTGATATAGCCATGGAGGAGGCAGACAGCTGGATTGAACCTGGCTTACGAAGGTTTAAGAAAAGGACAATGGAGTAAAGGAAGAGAGCCCAAGTGGGGACCGTGCCATTTACACTTCCTAGGAAAGGAGGAGGTAACAGACAGAAAGGAAAGGCCAAGGGCATGGGGGACTTGCACAGGTAAAGAGTGAAGTTAACAAAAACTTATTATACACAATCACACCATTACCAATATTTTACATTTTAAAGTACGCTGCAAGTTTCAAAGATAGACTATTTTTAAAGACTTTTTAAAAGCAGTTTTAGCTTTACAGTAAAACTGAGAAGGTACAGAAATTCCCCACTTACTCCTTGCCCCCACACATGCACAGCCTCCCCCATTATCAACATCTGCACCCAAGTGGTACATTTGTTGCAACTGATGAACCTACATTGAAACATCTTTATCACCCAAAGTCCATAGTTTACAGTATGGTTCTCGCTTGGTGTTGTACATTCTATGGGTTTTAACAAGTGTATAATGATGTATCTGTTATTATAGTATCATACAGAATAGTTTCACTTTGTGTGTGTGTATATGTGAGACAGCGTCTCCCTCTGTCTCTCAAGTGCTGTGGCTCAATCACAGCTCACTGCAGCCTTGATCTCCTGGGCTCAAGCAATCCTCCCACCTCAGCCTCCCAAGTAGCTGGGACTACAGGTGCATGCTGCCATGCCCGGCTAATTTTTATATTTTTTGTAGAGAGGAGGTTTCGCCCTGTTTCCCTGGGCTGGTCTCCAACTTCTCAGCTCAAGCAATCCACCTGCCTCAGCTACTAAAGTGTTGGGATTACAGATGTGAGCCACCATGTCTGGCTTAGTTTTGCTATCTTAAAAATCCTGTATCTTTCACCTATTCATCCCTCCCTACCACCAACCTCTGTTCTTTTTATTGTCTCCATAGTTTTGCCTTTTTCATAATGTCATGTAGTTAGAATCATACAGTATGTAGCCTTTTCAGATTGGTCTCTTTCACTTAGCAACATCCATTTAAGTTGTCCCCCTGCATCTTATCATGGCTTGCTAGTTCATTTCTTTTTAGCGCCAAAAATATTTCATTGTATGGATGTACCACAGTTTATTTATCTATTCACCTAGGGTAGGACATCTTGGTTGCTGCCAATTTGGCTATTATAAATAAAGAAACTGCTATAAACTTTCATGGGTAGGTTTTTTGCAGACAAACCGTTTTTGAATACATAGTCTGAATATAGACACAAATTTTCTCGATCAAATCCTAACAAGCCAAGTATAGCACACTGAATCAAAGTGTGTATCAATATGACCAGAATAATAAAGCAATAAAAACTGTAATATGTTAGGAATAAAAAGCTCTTTAAATTGATTATCTCAACAACTGTTTTGAGGAATTAAACTGTTTGATCATTTCCCTTATCTTCTCTTTGCCCCATCCATTCCTAGCCCTTAACACAGTCAGCATGATACAGTGGGTCAATAGACTCTGTAGCAATGTTGTTTGTATTTCTTTGTTGTTGTTGTTGTTGAGATGGAGTCTCGCTCTGTTGCCCAGGCTGGAGTGCAGTGGCATGATCTCGGCTCACTGCAACCTCCGCCTCCCAGGTTCAAGCAATTCTCGTGCTTCAGCCTCCTGAGTAGCTGGGATTACAGGCACATGCCACCATGCCCGGCTAATTTTTTTTTTTTTTTTTTTTTTGAGACGGAGTCTCGCTCTATGGCCCAGCCTGGAGTGCAGTGGCGCGATCTCAGCTCACTGCAACCTCCGCCTCCCGGGTTCAAGCGATTCTCCTGCCTCAGCCTCCCGAGTAGCTGGGACTACAGGCGTGTGCCACCACACCCGCTAATTTTTTTTGTATTTTTAGTAGAGACCGGGTTTCACCGTGTTAGCCAGGATGGTCTCGATCTCATGACCTCATGATCCGCCTGCCTCGACTTCCCAAAGTGCTGGGATTACAGGTGTGAGCCACCACACCCGGCCTAATTTTTGTATTTTTACTAGAGATGGGGTTTCACCATGTTGGCCAGGCTGGTCTCGAACTCCTCACCTCAGGTGATCTGCCCACCTCGGCCTCCCAAAGTGCTGGGATTACAGGCATAAGCCATTGTGCCCACTGTTTGTATTTGTTTCTGTTTGAATAATGGGGCTCTGACACTTAAAAACTGCCTGATTTGGGCAAGTTACTTAACATCTTTGTGCATCTTCTTCCCCATCTATAAAACAGGGAGTTTTAATAGTACTTACTTCATGGATAGAATGAGTTTATATCTATAAACTCTTAGAATAATACCTGGAACACATGTTTGTTAAATAAAATGTATAATATGTATGTGGATCACGTGTGTGAATGCTGGTTCTTGAAGGACTATATGCATTCTGTTAAAGTCTTGCTGAGTCAAACTGTCAGGTCTGTGATTTGATTTTATGCTACTTACAGGTCAAAAAGCTAGCCGTTCCTGGTTTGTGAATGCTGGAGGAAGACAGGAGACATCTACGCCAGAGAAAAAGAAGTTTATTATTCACAGTACAGGAAAAAAAAAAAAGCCATGCCCATCAGAATGTTTGTATCAGTTTCTCTTGCTCCCAAGTCCCCAGTTCCACAGGAGCGACATGCATGGGCCTAGAGAGTGGGTTTGCATTGCAGCTGACGAACAACAATAATCTTGGGGAACCCACTGCTATTATAACAAGCAGTGAGATTGCTTTTTGTCCCAGAGGGAGATGTTACCTCATTCCTCAAGATTGCTCACTGCAAACACAACCATAGGAAATGGCTTGGATCAAGCATAGTGTGGCTGAAAGCCTGTAAGGTGGCCCTTAATGGTTCTTGCCTCCTGTAATTCCTCCAGTTGACTGTGGGCTAAGTTTATTGACTCACTTCTAATTAACTGAATATGACACAAGAGATGAGAAGTTGCTTTAGAGATGAGGTTATAAAGACTGTGGCTTCTGTGTTGGGCATCATCTCATCAGCTGCCATGTTGCAAGCTGCCTTATGGATGGACCTGCATGTCTAGCCGACAGTCAGTGAGGACCTGTGGCCCACCAACAGCCACATGAGTGATTATCTCAAGCCTTGAGGTGACAGCAGCTCCAGCCCACACCCTGACTGTATCTTGTGAGAGACCCTGAGCCAGAGGCACCCAGCTAAACTACATCCAGATTCCTGACCCACAGAAACTGTCAGAAAATAAATGTTGTTTTAAGCCCCTATGTTTTAGGGTAATTTGTTATGCAGTAATAGATAATAAAAGGAGTCAGGGCTTGCATTCTTGACATTCTAAGGCCAGACAAGCAGGGACACAGAGAACCATAGATAACCATCTCCCAGCAACAGGGTAAAACTAGAACCTTAGAGCTCAGCAATGCCGTCTTCCTAGAAGAGGGCCGAAAAGCTTAGGGCCCACCATCTAGGGAGGAGGCAGATACAGAGCCTGGAAACTGGAATTTAGAAGAAAGCTGGAACTGGTCTTACCAATCTTGGAGCTGGCTTTTGAAGAATTTAGCTTGCTTGAGGACATTATGCAGTTTAGGAAAAGGTGGCTTCTGTTTTGTGCAGGTAGTAGGAAGCAAGGTAAAGAGGAATCCTTTTACAGTGTCAAGTGCTGAAATGTCTACCCTGCATTTAGTGAACCGAATTATCTAGTTGTATATTAGTTCCTGTACTCTTTGCATTCTGTTTGCCTGGAGCCCTTTGTAAAGTTTTTATTTTTATATTTTTGTTTTGAGACAGAGTCTCACTCTGTTGCCCAGGCTGGAGTGCAGTGGCGTGACCTCAGCTCACTGCAACCTCCGCCCACTGGGCTCAAGCAATTCTCCTGCCTCAGCCTCCGGAGTAGCTGGGATTACAGGCATGCGCTACCACGCCCGGCTAATTTTTGTATTTTTAGTAGAGATGGGGTTTCACCATGTTGGCCAGGCTGGTCTCAAACTTCTGACCTCAAGTGATCCACCTGCCTCGGCCTCACAAAGTGCTGGGATTACAGGCATGAGCCACCCAGCCCGGCCTGTTAAAGTTTTTAAAAGTTTTGCTTGTTTCATCTGTACTTCAGGAAATGAGTCAAATGCTTGAGCCTCAATAATAAAGGGGAAACAGTGCCCCCTGGAGGTCATAGTGGCAATGCCCAGGGACCCCAAGAGATGGGAAGCCAGTGTAGGCATGGGAGATGGCAGGCAGCAGAGTTCTTACAAATGCTGAGAAAATATTTCATAAAACTGAAAATCTTTTTTATTTAAAGCCTTTAATAAAATGGTGTAGGAATTTTAATAAATTAGTGTGGAAGTTTTCTTTCTTAACACAATAAAGAGCTTTTTGTTTTCCCCACAGAGACTTGACTTTACACTTGAGGACCAGACAGCATGATAATGAAGAACATGGGCTTTGGAATTTGACAGGTCTTCCTTTTGTTAATAGCATGTCTTTGGGCAAGTTGGTAAATCTGTCTGCGACTACTTCTTTATCTGTAAAATGAGGATATCTTATTGGGTCACAGAGGATTAAATGAGATATAGCACCTGAAAGCACTCAGTGTTTGAGAGCTGTTATTATTATTTACTATTACTACTACTATAACACTAACAAGATAAGGATGTTCCATATAACAACAAATACTTAATATACTGTAGTATGTGCTGGCAGTAGAATTTTCAGATAAGAAGTTGTTACAGAAGATGTAAGTTAGAATAATTAGAGGAAAGGAGGAATTGGTGAGCAAGAAGACCCAAGGCTATTTAAGAAGATATGAGGAAAAACAGAATCCTTAAAAACTTTCTATCCAATATGTAAACTGCATTCTTACAAATACATAATTAACACCATTAGTCTATTGGACAAGTGGCCAAAGGAGATGAAAAAGCAGTTTAAAAAGTATGTTATCAGACAGCCTACTGATTAGTTAAGGAATGCAGCCAGGCGCAGTAGCTCATGCCTGTAATCCCAGCACTGTAGGAGGCCAAGGTGGTGGATCACCTGAGGTCAGGAGTTCGAGACCAGCATGACCAACATGGTGAAACCCTGTCTCTACTACAAATACAAAAATTAGCCGGTGTGGTGGTGGGCACCTGTAGTCCAAGCTACTCGGGAGGTTGAGGCAGGAGAATCACTTGAACCCAGGAGGCGGAGGTTGCAGTGAGCCAAGATTGCAACATGGCACTTAAGCCTGGGCAACAAGAGGGAAACTCTTTGTTTAAAAAAAAAAAGAAAGAAAAATAATGCAATATAAAGTCTTATGTCTCACGTAACTTTTAAAGTTTCAAAATGCAATGAAAAATGAAAATAGGCCAGGAGCAGTGGCTCATGCCTGTAATCCCAGCACTTTGGGAGGCCGAGGTGGGCGGATCACCTGAGGTTAGGAGTTCAAGCCCAGCCTGACCAACATGGAGGAACTCTATCACTACTAAAAATACAAAATTAGCTGGGGTGGTGGCACATGCCTGTAACCCCCGGAGGCTGAGGCAGGAGAATCGCTTGAACCCGGGAGGCGGAGGTTGCAGTGAGCCGAGATCGCGCCATTGCACTCCAGCCTAGGCAATGAGCGAAACTCCGTCTCAAAAACAAAAAAAAAAAAAGAAAAAAAAAGAAAATAATTGGTATCAGGGAAGACACAGGAAGAGGCATTGGCCTTGGAACATGACACATTTGACTGCCTCTTACCAGTTGTGAGAGCCAGTGTAAGTTACCTCCCCTCTCTGTGCCTCAGTTTCCTTATCTGTATACATGAGAAAGTTTAAAAATATGTTTAAAATCCCATTTATAATAATCACAACTATAAAATACCCTGAAACAAAATTAATAAGAAATGTTAAAACCCATTTAAAAAGGGAAGTATCAGCCGGGTGCTGTGGCTCACACCTGTAATCCCAACACTTTGGGAGGCCAAGGCAGGTGGATCACCTGAGGTTGGGAGTTCGAGACCACACTGACCAACATGGAGAAACCACGTCTCTACTAAAAATACAAAAATTAGCTAGGTGTGGTGGCACATGCCTGTAATCCCAGCTGCTTGGGAGGCTAAGGCAGGAGAATTGCTTGAACCCAGGAGGCAGAGGTTGCAGTGAGCCAGAGATCACGCCATTGCACTCCAGCCTGGGCAACAAGAGCGAAACTCCGTCTCAAAAAAATAAATAAATAAAAATAAAAAGGGAAGTATCTTCACATCAACCTATAAATTATATGCCATTTTTATTAAAATCCAAATGGCAATTTTTTAAAGTTGATTCTCTAGTTTATTTGGAAGACAAATGTTTGAAAATAGCCGGCCAGGCACAGTGGCTCACGCTGTAATACCAGCACTTTGGGAGGCCGAGGCAGGCGGATCACGAGGTCAGGAGATCGAGACCATCCTGGCTAACACGGTGAAACCCCATCTCTACTAAAAATACAAAAAATTAGCCAGGTGTGGTGGTGGGCCCCTGTAGTCCCAGCCACTCAGGAGGCTGAGGCAGGAGAATGGTGTGAACTCGGGAGGTGGAGCTTGCAGTGAGCCGAGATCACGCCACTGCACTCCAGCCTGGGCGACAGAGTGAGGCTCCATCTCAAAAAAAAAAAAGAAAGAAAGAAAGATAGAAAGAAAGAAAATAGCCAAGAAAGTTTGAAAAACAACTGTGGCAAAATAAGACTTGGCTTATGAGATATTAAAAAGAACTATGAGACTACGTTGTAAGCAGGGCAGAATGGTACTGACAAGGAAAAGACAAGTGGAGCCGTGGGGTGAAACAGAATCCACAAAATAACTCAAGTTCATACATTTAAGATTTCATACATGTTCAAAGTAGCACTTTAGATCAGTGGGGAAAGACTGGCTTATTTAATAAACAGCACCAGGATAACTGGCTATGATGTTTTCTGGCTCTGAGTGCCAATTCAATTAAATGAAACACTTACCTAGTTCTTACTACATTAAAAGTTCTATGCTAAGCACAGGAAGTTAGAAAGATAAACAATGTGATCCCTACTCAACATACGTATATTTTAGTGGAAGGTATATATTTGTATACAAGCAAATATAATACAAGGCAGGATATGATGAATCCAAAGAGCTATGGGAACACTAATTATGGGAGTGACTAATTATCAGTGAAGATGTGGGGAGGTCATCCACTCAATTCATCCCAGACACTACGTCAAGGTTCTGGATGTATTGATGGCCAGTGTCTGTCCAGCCTGGTCCTCTAAACACTTATCTGTTATAGGGATCAAGGAGGAGTGGCTGAAGCCACAGTAACTGGCTGTTTGACAATTCAAGGATCCTGGCTCCTAAACCCTCTTTCATCTCAAAGTAACTAATGTGTCTCTGTAAAATGCCTCCTAGTTTAAGGCCTGATCCAATAAACACACCCAGAATTACCCAAGCTAAATTTTTAATCTACTGTCTCAAACACAAAGAAATGATAAATGCTTTAGGTGATAGATACTCCATTTACTGTGATGTGATTATTACACATTGGATACTATGGCTCAGAAAAGTTAAATGATTTCTCTAGTGTCATAGAGCTGGCAAGTGGTAGAATCAGTATTAAGCCCAGAATGTATGAGCACAAATTCAATGGGAGACAAAATCTCCATTTTCTGTAAACATACACTGGCTTTGAATCATCAAATCAGTAAATAATTCAAAACGATTAACATTAGATGGATATTTTTAAATCATTTTATTTTGTAATAATATTCATACACTACAACCCATTGAAGAAACAAAGCCAAAAAACGCAGTGATGTAATTCTAGTTCCCGCATGTAGCAAGACTCTCTCTACTCCATTAGCAACAGTGGCCAATTACAGCCAATCAAAGTCGTCCTTCTTGGTGAAGACAGACACTGGGTGGAAGAATACATGTGTTATTTGGTCATGGCTCCTTCTATATATCCTCAAAGTGCAAACAAACTTGGTTTTTACTGATGCTACCTTCATTTCAGCTATTTTTAGTTTTCTAATTTCTGAAGTGAAGACTGAGGTTAGCAAACTGAAGCATCATCTTAATGGTTTTTAAAAATGTCTGAGAAACTGTTTGCTATTTTTAGATTCTGTTAACTTAGTAACAGTTGACAAATCACAGTAAGCAGGTCAAGCACCTGAGAAGACTGGATGATAAATTAAAACACTAAGCATGGCCGGGTGTGGTGGCTCATGCCTGTAATCCCAGCACTTTGGGAGGCCTAGATGGGTGGATTGCCTGAGATAAGGAGTTCGAGACCAGGCTGGCCAACATGGTGAAACCCCGTCTCTACTAAAAATACAAAAATTAGCTGGACATGGTGGTGTGTGCCTGTAATCCCAGCTACTTGGGAGGCTGGGGCAGGAGAATTGCTTGAACCCAGGAGGCAGAGGTTGCAGTGAGCTGTGATCGCACCATTGCACTCTAGCCTGGGTGACAAGAGCAAAGCTATATCTCCAAACAAACAAACAAAAAACACTAAGCACAAGCCTTCTTATTAATGTGCAATAAGCATTCTTATTAAACAACGTGCAATATGTGTGCCAAGTAGGAAGTTTTTATGGTTCACTGGACTGGACTGTATGCCAGATACTTCAAAGAACATTCCAATACCAAAGTGATAATCTGACTTGCTGAAGTTTAAAGTTAAGCCTCAAACACCAGGGTTAGTCCTTTTTTTTAATTTAATAATTTTTGTTATTTATAATAGTATTGAGACTTTTAAAGGACAATTAATTCAGTTTCTATGAGTCAATGAGATACATTTTCTAAAGAGAGTGAAAGTAAAAAGGAGGGGAAAAAAGCAGTGTCCTGGATTAAAAGAGAACTAAAAGATCTAACAACCAAATGCATTGTGTGGACCTTAGTCAGATCCTGATTCAAACGAACCAACTGTAAAAAGATATTTTTGACATAATCAGGGATATCTGGTTATGGAATTCATATTAGATATCACCAATAAATTATTAGTTTCATGAACATGGCTTTGTAGTATGTAAGAAAATGTTCATCTTAGAGATGGATCCTTGATTAATGAAGGAACAAAATTACATATTATTTAGGATTTGCTTTAAAATATTACAGCAAAGAAAAAAAAGCCAGGTGATGTGAATATTGGCAAACAAGAATTATTGAATCAAATTCATGGATGTTTATTGTGCTATTCTCTTATGTAAGTTTGACTTTTTCAAAATGAAAAGTTTTTAACAAAATACTCAAAACATTCAAATAAGGGGAGGGAGTTATGGTTGTAACACTAGACCTTCCAGACTTATGAGGTGGCTATGGTGGTCACCATGAACTGTGTAAACAATTCTTTTTTTTTTTTTTTTTTGAGACGGAGTCTCACTTTGTCGCCCAGGCTAGAGTGCAGTGGTGTGATCTCAGCTCACTGCAACCTCTGCCTCCCAGGTTCAAGTGATTCTCCTGCCTCAGCTTCCTGAGTAGCTGGGACTACAGGTGAGTGTCACCACACAAGTTAATTTTTGCATTTTTAGTAGAGATGGGGTTTCACCATGTTGGCCAGGCTGGTCTTGAACTCCTGACCTCAAGTGATCCACCCACCTCAACCTCCCAAAATTCTGGGATTACAGGCGTGAGCCACCGCACCCGGCTCCTGCTTCCACTCTTGACCCTCTCTAGTCATTCTCTACCTACTAGCTACAGCTGCATTTAAGACCATAAATCCAGTCATCTCACTCTTTTCTTTTCTCTTTTTTTTTTTTTTTTTTTTTTTTGAGATGGAGTTTCACTCTTATTGCCCAGGCTGGAGTGCAATGGCACGATCTTGGCTCACTGCAACCTCTGCCTCCTGGGTTCAGGTGATCCTCCTGCCTCAGCCTCCCAAGTAGCTGGGATTACAGGCATGCACTACCATGCTTGGCTAGTTTTGTATTTTTTAGTAGAGACAGGGTTTCACCATGTTGGTCAAGCCGGTTTTGAACTCCCGACCTCAAGTGATCCACCCACCTCAGCCTCCCAAAGTGCTGGGATTACAGGTGTGAGCCACTGCACCTGGCCTCACTCTTTTCCTAAAACCTTTCAATGGATTCCCATCCCTAGAACACAATCCAAAACTCTCCTGTGGCCCTCTGGGAGCTAGCCCCTGTCTTTCGGACACCACCTGGTTGCATGTGCTCCAGCCTCGTGGCTTCTTTCAGAGCTTAGTGGCCAAGGTCTGCCCTGGTCCATGACCTTCCGAGAGCCAGATGTTCAATATTCAATATTCAATATTTATCTAATCAGTTAAAAAACATTTCTCTTCAAGCTTCTGGTCCCATAAGTATCAGGTGAATATTGAAATGTAGTTTTGAAATGTTAAAAACAGGGAATTTGGTGGCTACTATCCAAAAAATTGGACTAAACTTCTGAGGAATTAGTGTTGAGAGAACAGAAGAGGCATTTTGAGAGAAGAAATATCAGAGGGCAGCAAGTGATGATTGGACTGCAGTGCAAAAGCTTACAAAAGGGGAGATGGCAACGCCACTGTGATTCTCAGTCTGTTTGAATTCATTAATCTCTATGTCCCTGTGATGCCCTTTCTGCTCAGTCAGTGCCAAGACTTCTGTCTTAATTCTCTGTTGTGCAGTGAAGCACAGCCCTCACTTACAGGAAGGATCAGGGGACAGGATCCAGACGACTGGCCTGGACCTCTCTCACTCCCACGCCAGGGAGACAAAGTTGGTAGGAGACATGCAAAAATGTATATATCACAATCACAAGGAGGTTTTAATGAACTTATCTAAAGATTGAGAGCTCAAACATACAAAACATGAACAAGACAGTTAACAAATTTGAGCTATTGGATTTATATAAAACTGTACGTTCATATTATTATTTTAAAAATTTGACACTGCATGGTGCTCATGATGAAACAGGCACTGGTTGTAAGTGCTTTACACTTATTAACTCATTTAAAGAACTGAAGAGTGCACATTCTTTCTTATACAGAACATTTATAAAAGTGGTCATGTAATGGGTCAAAAAGCAAGTCTCAATAGATACCAAAAATCAGTATCTATAGATCTTATCATATGTAGTAAAAGGACAAAAACACATTAGAAAGCAGGTTCCTTGACAAAGGAAAAAACAGACAGGGAGAGCAGGAGATGGGTGAAGAGGTGAAGTTTTAGCTCTACCTAAAATGCTTTAGAAGGAAGGAAGGAGGGAGAGAGAGGAGGGGAGGGGAGAGGAGGGGAGGGGAGGGGAGGGGAGGGGAGGGGAGGGGAAGGGAGAGGAGAGGAGAGGAGAGGAGAGGAGAGGAGAGGAGAGGGAGGAAGGGAAGAAAAGAGAAGAAAAATCCAAATTGAAGGATATTCTGCAAAAGTAACTGGCCTGGGCCAGGTGCGGTGGCTCACGCCTGTAATCCCAGCACTTAGGGAGGCCCAGGTGGGCTGATTGTGTGAGCTCAGGAGGTCAAGACCACCCCTGGGCAACACAGTGAAACCCTGTCTCTACTAAAATACAAAAAATTAGCCAGGTGTGGTGTCAGGCACCTGTAGTCCCAGCTACTTGGGAGGCTGAGGCAGGAGAATTGCTTGAACTGGGGAGGCGGTGGTTGCAGGGAGCCAAGATCGCACCACTGCACTCCAGCCTGGTTAACAGACTGAGACTCCATCTCAAAAAGGAAAAAAAAACTGGCCTGTATTTTTATAAAACGTCAATGTTAGGAAAGATAAAGCCAGACTGAGGAAGTGTTCAGAATGAAGGAGACTAAAGATACACAACAGAGTGCAATGCATGATCCAGGATTTTCTTTTACTATAAATGAGATAGACATAATCCAGAAATAATTTTATTACATTATTAGGACAACTGGTGAAATCTGAATGAGGTATGTAGATTAAAGTATTGTATCAATGTTAGTTTCCAAGCTTTTGATAATTGTTCTGTGGTTGTGTAAGAGAATGTCCTTATTTTTAGAAAATAAGAACTGGAGTATTTAGGAGGAAACAGTCATCATGTATGCAAATTTCTCCTAAATGGTTCAGAAAAATATAACCAGCATATGTAATATCAAGAGACAAGGATAAAGCAAATGTGGGAAAATATTAACATTTGGGAAACTGTGGAAGGTATATGGGAATTCTTTGTAATATAAAGAATTTCTTTTCTTTTTTTTTGTTTTTTTGAAGGCAAGGTCTTCCTCTGTCACCCAGGCTTCAGCCCCAACTCCCCTGGGCTCAGGCTATCCTCTTGCCTCAGCTTCCCGAGTAGCTAGGACTACAGGCATGCACCACCATGGTTGGCTAATTTTTTTTTTAGTTTGTTTTCAGTAGAGACAAGGTCTCACTATGTTGCCCAGGCAAGTCTCGAACTGCTGGGTTCAAGTAATTTACCCACCTTGGCCTCCCAAAGTGCTGGGATTACAGGCATGAGCCATCACACCTGGCCAATTTTTCTAAAAGTCTGAAATTAAGTCAAAATTTTGAAAAAGTTATAGCAATTATGGCAATCTCAATTATGGGTAAATGTGTGTCACATTATCTCCTTTACATTTTAAGTATTTCATAATTAAAAAAAAAAAGCAGAGAAAATTGTTTATCAGAGGAAACCTCAGAAGAGATGAGGCAGTCGTCAGCAAGTAGAAGGCTCCCTTTCAGGAAACTGAAACCGGGTGCCAGGTGGCTGCAGAGCGGGTGAGAGCTTAGCCCCCACCTCTCCACTGGAACCTAGTGACCCCATGCAGATAACAACCTGCCCAACTCTTCAGCCCTGACCTGGCATCATATTTATCTATAACTGGCAGTTCTTCTCTGACAGGATAGATTAATAAACATTAAAACACATCTAAAATTTATTTACCTGTTGTTCATGCAGGTATGCTAGTGTTCAGTCAGCATTTGTAAGACATTCGTTGTAAACAAAGCACTGAATTAGACAGAATAGATGAACAGAAAGATAAACAAGACCTGGCCAAATGTTGCCCCAAATCCATACCTGATGGAGACAGGAAGGGCCTTTAGTGCTTGTGTGTCAGTGGTGATACTATTCACTTTCATTTTTTTTCTGCCACATTTCATTTTCATACCAATTCTGGTTAGTGGGTTTCATTTATTCTCATTTTACAGATGAGAACGACCAGAGATGTTAGCTTGCCCAAAATTACTCAAATACTAAATGACAAAGCTAAGAGTATCATGTCCGAGGTAACAGGTCTGACTCCAGAGTTCATGTTCTCTCCTTATCATCCTATTTTATAAGTCACAAAAACATGAATACAGCAAAATTTCACTTACTCAACACTCCCGGGGATGAGTCATGCTGGACAGATGAATAAGTGAAAGGCTATCCTCTGAGAAATATTGTTCAAAACCTTCCAAGGTTAGAGAACAGAAGACTCCAGAAGCCTTTGGACAGTCTTTTCCTCCCTGTGATTCTTTTCCTCTTGGGCTTCTGGGATTTCAAACTCGGTACATCTGGTCTCTTGGAGACACATCCTCCCTGGAAGCTCCAGCAGAAGATGGCCAAAGACCCCTTTTGCCTTTTCTGCTTCTCCAAAGCACAAATGAGAGACTGATAATTCAGAAATAATTCTAATACCTACAAAATGAGAACAAAACAGGAAATACTTAAAAGCAGTCAGGTTTTCAAAGCACAGCTTTCTGATACTCACCCAGTCCTCTATCTTAAAACACTACCCCTTGGTTCTAGAGGGTGTGATGGCTATGCAGGTCTGTTTCTCATTTGTCAGCATTTTGCTATCTCCTGGACAAGCAGCTTTCAGTATTTATCTTGTCTGTAGTCCTAGAAATGGGTCTAATGATTCATTCTACTTCCATACGTAACCTCCCTGAATTTTAGTTTTGTCATCTGTATAAAAAGGGAATAAAAACATCTAACTCATAAAGACAAATGGGGAAACCATGTATGCATATCACACACAGTAAGCACTCCTATTAGTTGTCCAAGTCCAAACAGCTGGTAAGTAAGAGCTGGGACTCCATCTAGCCAGATTGGCTCCAGAATCAGTGTTTCTAATCACCTGTGGTGAAAGTCAACCACTCACACCTGCACCCCACTCAGTTTGCCTTTCTAGTTCATCTCTATCCCCAACCAGGGCCCACAAGCTGATACCACAGCAAGAACAGAATTGAGGGAACAGAAAGAGCCTATGAATCTATCGTATCATATACAGAGGGTATAATTTATGACTAAAGATGCAGCTACTTTATAATCTTCTGTACAGTTTGAATTCTTAAGAGTAGGCATCTAATACTTCCATAAGCAATAAAAAACATATAAATTCATTTTAGGATAAAAAATTACCAAACCTAGGAACTTTGGAAAGGAAGGAATTGCATATAGTTTTCATGTGTTTAATGTCAGTTAAATTACTAGAAACTTATCAGTAAATAGTATTTTCCTGTATCATGACAGTGGCTAAGAATAAGGGTTAAGAGTAGACATGTGTTGAATTCCAGCAACACTACCTTACACTACCAACACTACCTTACTAGCTGAACTTTACCTAACTTAGAATTCTGAGGGTGTTCTCACCTATAAATGGGAATAATAATACCTATCGTATGGGGTATTGTTAGGCTTCAGACAGTATAAATGAGGTGCTTGGTATGGTGCCAGGTTCATCACAAGCACTCAATATTTTTCTTTCTACAATATCACTTCTATGGCTGAAGAGTATCCCATCTCATGGGGATGTGCCATGATTCACTTACCCAGTCTCATACTGTTATTGATATCTTCAATTTTGTCAATAATATAAACAACAGCAAATTTTTTTCACACATTTCTGTTTATTTCTTTAGGGTGAAACCCTATAAGTGAGATGCTGGATCAAAGGATATGAGCATTGTAAACTTTTGACACACATTATCTACCAAACATAGTTTTACTAAGTTAAACCTTCTCTATATTAAAGGTATTTATTCAGCTCTTACCAATACTGTATATTATTTTAAAGATCTATGCTAATTTTATAGGCCAAAAAAACACAAACAACTCATATTGTTATGTACACATTTATTAGACATTTCAGTTTCTTTTGTTATGTTATAAAGCTCTTGGGCTCCTTAAAGTATGACCTGGCACAAAAAGAGAAAAACAATTTGAGTATGTAAAATTTTTAACGTAGTGTATTACGGAGGTGGCATTTCAAGTCATTTATGAGAGGATGAATTTTTCCAATGGGTTTTTTTTTTATTTTTGAGACGAAGTCTCGCTCTGTTACCCAGGCTGGAGTGCAACGGCACGATCTCAGCTCACTGCAACCTCTGCCTCCCAGGTTCAAGTGATTCTCTTGCCCCAGCCTCCCAAGTAGCTGAGATTACAGGTATGCACCACCGCACCTGGCTAATTTTCGTATTTTTAGTAAAGATGGGGTTTCGCCATGTTGGCCAGGCTGGTTTCGAACTCCTGACCTCAGGTGATCTGCCTGCCTTGGCCTCCCAAAGTGCTGGGATTACAGGCATGAGCCACCGTGCCCGGCCTTTCCAGTGGTTTTCGAAGTGCTCCCGACAGCCTCCCATGAGGGAAAGTGTGGGAATGGGGATAGGGGGTGCTGGCTGGTTGAGATAACTCTCATTCTTCCTCATTTCAACTACGTTAATCTGTTCTACATACTGAATTTATTGGTAAGCTTTGATCTGAAGGGTTCCATACCTGAAAAGAAAAACAAAAACACATTTAACGCAAGGTTTGGAAATAACTGGCATTTTTCAATCAATAAATACATACACAAAATGAGTTGAATGTCTTTTACATCATATACAAAAATACATTTCAACTGGATTAAAACATTAAATGGAAAAAAGCCCACAGAAATGACAACATAAGGAAGCATTAACTGATCTTGGGGATAAAGAGGACCTTTTCCAACACACTGATAAAAGCAAAAACTGTAACAAGAGGCACTATTGTCTGTATTGGTTTTTCCTAAAGTGTGCGCCTCTGATACAGGTTCAAAATGGTTTCATGGCCATAGAAGTGTGAAAATGCTACATATCAATAATTGCGCAGAGAGGGCCAAGCGCGGTGGCTCACGCCTGTAATCCCAGCACTTAGGGAGGCTGAGGCAGGTGGATCATTTGACGTCAAGAGTTTGAGACCAGCCTGGTCAACATGGTGAAACTCGTCTCTACAAAAACTACAAAAATTAGCCGGGTGTTGTAGCAGGTGCCTGTAATTCCAGCTACTTGGGAGGCTGAGGTAGGAGAATCGCTTGAACCTGGGAGGCAGAGGTTGCTGTGGGCCAAGATTGCACCACTGCAATGCAGCCTGGGTGACAGAGCGAGACTCTGTCTCAAAAAATAAATAAATAAAAAAAATAGTGCAGAGGTGGCTTAGGGCACTAACATCCAATTATTTCTATCAGCATCCCAGATCACCACAAAATACACACTCGATATGAAACAATGTGCAGAAGGACATCTTCTAGTGTTGTGTGCCCCAAGCAGACTCCTGACATTAAGCCCTTCTTTTTCCTAGACATTCTAGAGCCATCACTGTTGCTCTCTGGAGAGTCACAATGTCCTTAGCAAAGAAAGGCTATGAGAAGACCTAAAGTGGAAAAAGAATAAAACTAATTTAGTCCGCATTTGACTACAGAACCCTTCCTTCAACATGATGCCTACTAATATCCACAGAATTCATGGCACATAACCTGCCAAATGCCAGGCTATGTGGAAATTAATGTTTGAACAGGAAAATGTTGTACCAGAGGTGTCCTTGTAAAGGATGTAGTCCATTTCTTGCGATTTTACTGATACTCAATTTGAGGCCCTCTTTGATGTAATCTGCGGACACCTAGTGCTGATGCTTTAATTTAAGTACATACACATAATTTCCTACAATAAACTGCTGCCCATCTACATAAAAAACCCTGCTTGCAGACTGCCTTATATTTAAATTCTTATACATCATCACAATGCACTTATATCTTGGAATAATACGAAAGGATTTATTTAAATGATCCACAGGGTTAAAAAAGAAGTATGCAGGCTTGTGCTTTTGCTCTTACCTATTAAAATGTCTTCCGCAACTACAGATGTAGAAAGTATGTCAGGTACTTCTTATTCTGATTTTTATGTCATACAAAAGGAACTGAATTAGACTGTGTTTAGGAGACAGAGTTAAATGGGTCAGAGAGAGGGATCAGGCCCTTCTACAAAAACTAGAATGTTACTAGAATGAAGATATAACAAGTGTTTCACTTAAGCAAATTCTTAAACTTTATATTCTTCCACCCTAAAAGCACCCTTCAGGTTCTAAATAAAGGGAAAATAAAGACAGGTAACAGGCAAAGGTAATAGAATTGCAGTGATAAGCATTCTTCTGCTCCAACAATATTGGTTGTTTGGTTTTGCCATTTAAAATTAATAGTAACTCGGCTGGGCGCGGTGGCTCACACCTGTAATCCCAGCACTTTGGGAGACTGAGGCAGGCGGATCACCTGAGGTCAGGAGTTCAAGACCAGCCTGGCCAACATGGCGAAACCCCGTTTCTACAAAAATAAAATAAAATAAAATACGAAAATTAGCTGGGTATGGTGGCACATGCCTGTAATCCTAGCTACTCAGGAGGCTGAGGCAGGAGAATCGCTTGAACCTGGGAGGCGGAGATTGCAGGGAGCCAAGATTGCACCACTCCATTCCAGCCTAGGCAACAGAGTGAGACTCTGTCTCAAATAAATAAATAAATAAATAAATTAAATAAAATAAAATCAATAGTAACTTGAATTGTAAAGTGTTAGCTTTATGAGCATTAAGATTCAACTTCTGATCTATTTCTACGTTAAATGTGTCTCTGTATGTTTATTTTTATTTTAGAGACAGCATCTCTCCCTGTCACCCAGGCTGGAGTGCAGTGGTACTATCATAGCTCACTGCAGCCTCAAACTCCTGGGCTCCATCAGTCCTCCTGTCTCAACCTCCTGAGTAGCTAGGACTACAGGCACACACCAGTACAGCTGGCTAACTTTTAAAAATTTTAAATTTATTACTTGTAGAGATGGGGTTGACCAAGTTGTTCTTGAACTCCTGGCCTTAGGTAATCCTCCAGTCTAAGCTTCCCAAAGTGCTGAGATTACAGGCATGAGTCACTGCTCCCAGGCCCTCTGTACATTTAATAATGTCAATGCAAAAACAGCTGTTTGCACA
Organism: Homo sapiens; assembly: GCF_000001405.40. Classification (NCBI taxonomy): domain Eukaryota; kingdom Metazoa; phylum Chordata; class Mammalia; order Primates; family Hominidae; genus Homo; species Homo sapiens. Next base: position 66,675,146 of record NC_000008.11, on the reverse strand, counting down.
AATACACTGCATTATTAACTTCCTGGTCTTCTGTTGCTAGTTTGAAATAATCAGATCTCAAATTTTAACAAAAATTCTGGCACTACAAAACCCTGGAAAGCCAGTTTTATTTGAATATCACTCGATTAGAGTCTACTCACTTTAAGATAAGGTTAGTATTTTTTCGACTATTTTAAATCTGAATTATATGGTATCTAATTTAAGCCTTCCTGGGAAATAAAAAAAAATTCCTCATTGTGTATTTACTACTTTACTTACAGTGACTAAGTTGTTGCAAATATATGTAAGTGCATGTGTGTTATGTGCAATTTCTATTTTTAGTAGGAACGTGGCACCAACAGTTACAGCACTGAGTTTGCCATGGGCTACTGTGTGACATGTGATGACTCAACTCTCCCACCTCTTTTCTCAAAATGATCGTGAAACCTTACACGTTTTGTCACAATGTTCATTGGCTTTCAACTGATAAAAACAAAATCCTAAACTTGGTGTGAATTCAGGCTCTCAAAACTTCATGTTTTAAGGTACTCATCTGGAAAAATCACAATATGACTTTGCTTTAGATTAGCATCAAAATGACAACATAAACATTTTTAAACTGCAACCAAATGGTGGATTCTCCAGGAACTTATGCTTGAATATCAGGCTGAAACACACTGCCATAGATGATAGCCATTAATTCATTCAACAATATCTATTCAGGCTATATATGCCTGGCACAGGGAATCCAACAATCAACAAACTGCCTGCCCTTATGAAAAGCCTTACTAAAGAGTCTAGTGGGGAAGGATGACAACAGACAAGTAATCATATAATTCCTGATGATTAGTGGTATAAAGAAAATGAGTGGGGGCCAGGCGCAGTGGCTCACGCCTATAATCCCAGCACTTTGGGAGGCCAAGGAGGGTGGATCACCTGAGGTCAGAAGTTCGAGACCAGCCTGACCAATATGGTGAAATCCCGTCCTACTAAAAATACAAAAATTAGCCGGGTGTGGTGGCAGGCGCCTGTAGTCCTAGCTACTTGGGAAGCTGAGACAGGCAAGTTGCTTGAACCCAGGAGGGGGAGGTTGCAGTGAGCCAAAATCATGCCACTGCACTCCAGCCTGGGTGACAGAGCCAAAAAAAAAGAAAAGAAAAGAAAATGAGTGGGATAGGGGAAGAGAGAAAAAGGATAGAGGTGTTGTTTTAGAGACACTGGTTAGAAAAGCCATCTCACTGGAACTGAGATTTGAGCTGACAACTATATAAATTCTACCTGGGAGTTTTCCAGGCAGAAGAGCAAGTGCCAAGGTCCTGAGACAGGAATGTACTTGGAATGTTTGAGGACCCACAAGGAGGCCAGTGTGGCTGAAGCACACAAGCCACGGAAATAATGTCAGAGAAGCCAGGTGCCTGATTACACAGGGTCCTTTATGTTGTAGTGATGACTTTGTTGGTCCTTAAAAAAGAAAAAGGATTGCAGGAGGCATGCTTCAGACAGACTGAGGATGGAACTTCTAGCTCTGGAACTCAATTTTTTTCTTTTACTTTTAAAAATCCACCTCACTGGGCCAGGTGCAGTGGCTCACACCTGTAATCCCAGCACTTTGGGAGCCCGAGGAGGATGGATCACCTGAGGACAGGAGTTCAAGACCAGCCTGGCCAACATGTGTTTTTTTGAGATGGAGTCTTGCTCTGTCGCCCAGGCTGGAGTGCAGTGGCACAATCTCGGCTCAATGCAAGCTCTGCCTCCCGGGTTCACGATATTCTCCTGCCTCAGCCTCCCGAGTAGCTGGGACTCCAGGCGCCCGCCACCACGCCCGGCTAATTTTTTTGCCCGCCACCACACCCGGCAAATTTTTTGTATTTTTAGTCGAGACGGAGTTTCACTGTGTTAGTCAGGATGGTCTCGATCTCCTGACCTTGTGATCCACCTGCCTCGGCCTTCTAAAGTAATGGGATTACAGCCGTGAGCCACCACGCACGGCCTATAATGTGTTTTTTAAAGAGGGGGGGATTATGAAGCAAATATGCAGAAAAATTAACTTTTGTTAAATCTAGTAGTGGGTGCATGAGTTTTTTTTTACATTATTTTTGCGTATATCTTTAAACGTTTCAAATATTTTAAGAGAAAAAAGCAGGCTTTCACTTAAAATGTTAAACAAGAGGCCGAGTGTGGTGGTACGTGCTGGAGGTCCCAGCTACTCAGGAGGCTGAGGTAGGAGGATAGCTTGAGCCCAAGAGTTCAACTCCAGCCTAGGCAACATAACAAGACCTTGTCTCTTAAACAAAAAATTACATAAAATTAAAAAATTAAATGTTAAACAAGAAATGTCTAATATCAAGATTGTTCATGATGTGATTATACAATACAGGTGAAAAACAATATGCACAGTAGAAGAGTCAGTATAGCAGAGTGGTTCTGGCACTAGATTGCTTTGGTTTTTTGTTTTCCTTTTTGTTTTTTGTTTTGAGGCAGAGTCTCACTCTGTCACCCAGACTGGAGGGCAGTGGCGTGATCTTGGCTCACTGCAACCTCCATCTACCACATTCAAGCAATTTTTCTGTCTCAGCTTCCCAAGCAGCTGGGACTACAGGCAGGCACCATGCCCGGCTGATTTTTGTATTTTTAACAGAGACAGGGTTTCACCATGTTGGCCAGGCTGGTCTCGAACTCCTGGCCTCAAGTGATCTACCTGTCCTGGCCTCCCAAAGAGCTGAGATTACAGGTGTTAGCCTGGCCTTGCTTTGGTTTTAATCCTGATTATGCTACCTACTAGCAATGAGACACTGAACAAGTTACTTAACCTTTCTGTGCCTCAAGTTCTTCATCTGAAAAATAAGAATGATAGTAATGGTACCTGCTTCATAAGGATATTAAAAGGATTAAGTAAATACTACATGTAAAGACCCTGGTGCACAATAGATGCTAAAAAGGTGTTAATAGCTATTATTATTATTATATAATTTTGGTTTCTTAAAAAAGTACATACTATACACACATAGAAAAAAGGAGCTTGAATGGTCCATTAAAAATGTTAGCAATTATAATCTCTGATAGATAATTTTAATTTTCTTTTTAACCTATTTCTGCACATTCTGACAAGCAATTCCTTTTGTATTATAAACAACAGAAACACAACAAGCCTTCCCCAAAAGTGCCCTACAAGTTTGGTAAGCAGTGATTCTCAAAGTGTGATCCTCGCAAGGACTGGCAGCATCTGCAACCAGAGAACTTGCTAGAAATGTAATTCTCAGGCTCCACCTCAGACACACTCATTCTAAGATGGAGCCCAGCAATCTGTGTTTTAGCAAGCCTTCCAGACTGTGATGCACATTAAAGCTTGAGGACTACTGTGCGAAGGAATGACTTGCAGCTCTGTACTCGGTCATTTGTCTCAAGGGGCCCTGGTGTAAGGTCTTAAAGAGTGGAATACTGGCCACTGCTCAAACACATTCACATTAGAAAAAAAAAAAGGCCGGGGACGGTGGCTCAAGCCTGTAATCCCAGCACTTAGGGAGGCCGAGGCAGGCAGATCACGAGGTCAGGAGATCAAGACCATCCTGGCTAACACGGTGAAACCCCATCTCTACTAAAAATACACACAAAAAAATTAGCCGGGCGTGGTGGCAGGCACCTGTAGTCCCAGCTACTCGGGAGGCGGAGGCAGGAGAATGGCGCGAACACGGGAGGCGGAGCTTGCAGTGAGCCGAGATCGCGCCACTGCACTCCAGCCTGGGAGACAGAGCGAGACTCCATCTCAAAAAAAATAAAGTTAAACTCCTGCTGACCCAACAAAACTACATCAAGCCAAGTTTGGCTACTGGTCACCAGTTTGTATTGACTTCTTGCCTAATTCTCTCTCAAATCAGTAAGCAGCTGTGATGTAGTGGAAAGAGTGAGTGCTGAACAAGGAAAACCTTGATTTGAAGCCCAGCTCTATTTCATAGCTGGTGGTAATAAAAACGATGTTAACCTTTTAGAGTTAAATCTTATCCGTATAAGGACAATACTGTATCACAGGAGTGTTTTAAAGATTAAGATGATATACTCAAAACACTGCCCTATAATAAATTGCCCTCAATTAAATTTTCATAGCATTTGTGATATTTCCTGTATTATTTTGATTACATGCTTTATTCTACTTATATTTATGAACAATTTAGTTTAGCCTCCCTCTTCTATTAAACTCTAAGCTTCTTTGAGACAGAGATGAAATTTTGCATCCCTTTAAATTCTTATAATACCTACTTCAATAATTAGTCCCTCCCAAATCCACTTTGAGCTTCAGTCGAAGCTTGTGACTGGAAGTCTGACTATACGTGGCACGGGTCTGGAAGAACACAGTCAATTCTTGGTAAAGATGTATAGTTTATATAGGCAGGTATGTGGCCAACTTACAGCAATCCCCAAAGTTATGATTCCCTTCCTTATATATATAAAATATAAAAGATCAAGAACAATGATGGTTGTTCTGTTGGTAAAAGTGGATGACTTCTGCATTTACATTTACCAAGTTTGTTAAAAGCAATATAGGGAGTTTACAAGTGCCATACTAGAAACTATGAAAAAGATGAATTTCTATTTTAACTGAATTTTGGCAATTTAGGTATTAGTGATGCTGGGGTGATGGTGGTAGAAGAGACGTGTATCAGCACAGCTAATGTCAGAGGCCCAGCTTATTCTTTTCATCTGGACTACTAAAAACAAGAACTATTATCTACCCCACAAAAATCCTGTGAAAGTTAATTAGGTAGTTAAGTTAATCTTCATTAGGCAAGATCATGGAATTTGGGAGGAAAAGAGGAAGGAAGCCTGCAGATCTTGCATAAGCAGGAGAGGCTTTCTACACTCCTCCGGTCTTATAAGAAACAGTATGTCCTATTTTTGACCTAACAATTTTTTTTCTTTGTAGGTATCCATGCCTTCTAAGTGCTAGTAATAAAGAATTAATTCACATATTAAACTTGACATGGTTAATTTCATTGCCCCTTTATGTTAGCTTTCTTTCTGAACTTTGAGTGCATCTACAAACTTATTAAATGATCTAGACAAGCCAGAAAAAGGCTTCTCATTTCTTCAGTGGGGTGGGAAGTGATTATTTTGTCATAGTATGGTTCAGAATGACATATTCAAATACAATTTTAAAAATCTACTTCACTATGTATATGTATCATCAATAAGAAAAATTTGGCCTGGTGTTGTTAAGATATAAAAGTACCTGACAGTGTTAGAATTGCAGACTGTTGTCATCTCATGTGCTACAAAGCTTTAATTCAATTATTTGGATTCTGTATGAGAAAAACTTTCACTGCAGGTGTAACATTTTCGTCACAGCATAAAATAATCTCCACTTAAAGGAGATACCCAATTTCTCTACTTATAAAGCATTCAACTGTTAATAAAAAATCAGTGCCAAAACCAATCTGTGTAGTTACCACCAAACTTGTTAGAATAAACAACTTTTCTTGCATGAATTCTCTGAGAAAAACTTTATTGAAAAATACCCCCTCCGGCCGGGCACGGTAGCTTGCGCCTGTAATCCCAGCACTTTGGGAGGCCGAGGCGGGCGGATCACCTGAGGTCAGGAGTTCAAGACCTGCCTGACCAACATGGAGAAACCCCGTCTCTACTAAAAATACAAAATTAGCTGGGCGTGGTGGCTCATGCCTGTAATCCCAGCTACTCGGCAGGCTGAGGCAAGAGAATGGTTTGAACCTGGGAGGCGGAGGTTGGGGTGAGCCAAGATGACGCCATTGCACTCCAGCCTGGGCAACAAGAGTGAAACTCTGTCTCAAAAAAAAAAAAAAAAAAAGAAAGAAAAATATCCCAAGATAGGAAAAATCACTTCTCTTGTAATTAAGGTCCATTATGGAGGATTTCTCTTTCAAATATTTATTTTCAAGAAAATTGTAGCAATTAGGTGCACATCAAAACTAATACCCTTTATGGGCCTCTATTTTGCAGATGGTTCATTTCAAAGCATCAAGTTCTACATACATACATACACACACACACACACACACACACACACACACACACACAACCTAATCAGGCGGTTTCCTGGGCAGCTACAGAAGACTCAAATGATCTCATGGACTTCACTAATGTTTCTAGTTGGTGCCAAATGTTTCAGAAATTTTGAGGTAGTCCACTTACCTAAGGTGATACTAAACTTCCAGAAAGCAAGAATTTCCGTAATAAGTGAAAGAGGATGAATGTACAAAAATAATACTAGCTTTCAATTAACATATGAATATTGTTCTGTATGAAGAGGCAGTTTCCTACCCAAGTGAAAAAAGAATAAAGCTGTTGCCTCCTTAACATTAAACATCCCTTCATCACTAAGAGGAGACTCTAAGGCCTAGCAAAAGATTTGAGCCTAACATTTTGGGTTTTTTTTTTTTTTTTGAGACGGAGTCTTGCTCTGTCGCCCAGGCTGGAGTGCAGTGGCGTGATCTCGGCTCACTGCAAGCTCCGCCTCCCGGGTTCACGCCATTCTCCTGCCTCGGCCTCCCAAGTAGCTGGGACTACAGGCGCCCGCCACTACGCCCGGCTAATTTTTTTGTATTTTTAGTAGAGACGGGGTTTCACCATGTTAGCCAGGATGGTCTCGATCTCCTGACTTCGTGATGCATCCGCCTCAGCGTCCCAAAGTGCTGGGACTACAGGCGTGAGCCACCGCGCCCGGCCGGGATTTTTTGGTAAGCAGCAGCGTAAAAATCACTCTCAAGGTTTGAGATTGGGATCCAGCATAACTGGTGACTTGACCTTGGGCAAGTCACTTAATTCCTTTTAGTCTCAGTTTCCCTGATTGTAAATGAAGTCAACACCACCTGGTAAAGGTATTACAGGACTGGTGTGAGGATGAGATGATACATGTGAACATATTATTAAATATGTAAACTATAAGGCAATAGTAAGCAAATGCTAGTTACTATTCTATGTAATACAGGCCTAACCTTTCCTGCCTATGTCCTGATCTGTAAAAAGAAGACAGGTTGAGATCTGAATGTCTATCCACTCACTTATCAGCTGCGTGAACTTTAGCAAGTCATTTCCTTTCTGGGCCTGTTTCCTAAGAAGGTTATTTTTTAAGATCAAATGATATCGTGTTATGCAAATGCTGTCCAGACACATATTAAGAACTTAACACATGATGGCTCTTATTATTCTCTGGGGAGTAGGGTGGTAAAGAGCAAATGAAATTAAACCTAGTTAAGAGAATTTGTATATGCACACAAAACTCTACAGACATCCAAGGTACCGTTATTTGCACTGTAAACTGCCAAAACATGCAGGAAACGAGAAATCAAATGGCGCCTCAGTGATTCGCACTAGAGAGGGGGAGAAGGCAGAGCTTCCGAGAATCAACTGTTTTCCCCCTTATGGCCTCCAGCCTAGATTAGACCATTTATTCAACTTCCCAGCCCCCAATATCCCTGGACATTTATTTACTGTACCTTTTTCACTGAGAGCCTTTCCACTCCCCTCCCCTTCTAGTAGTCGTGAACTTCAGACCCTCGCTTCGACTCCCACTGCCATAACTGTTTTTAACCAAGCTTCCCTGAATCCTCCCCTCCGCCTAAGGAGGAAGTGCAGCTAGACGCACCGCACGGCATCCTAGGAAATGTGGTCTCTCAGACTCTTTGCCTTGGGCTGCAGAGTGGGGAAGACGACGAAGGAGAGCCCAGTAAAACTACAACTACCGGCAGGCAACGCGAGTCACCATCTTTCTTTCGCCCCTTTTCCTGTTGCCGTCCTCTTCCTCCTCTCCTCTAGCGCTGAACCGCTTGGCCTCACGGTACTTGTAGTTCCTTCTGGACTCAAGATCCTAGGGCTTGATGGCCAGCACAGAGGCTGGAAGACTCTAATTCCCAGAGGGCAGAGCGGAAGCTGCGCCTGCGCACACTCAATGAGGGCGTGTATGTCTGTGTCTGAGGGAGAGAGAGCGAGAGTGAGTGAGTGTGAGTGCGGGGTGGGGTGGTGGCCGTTACGTTCGGGGCAACGGCTACGGCAGTGGAGAAGTAAGAAGAGAAACAACGTCCGGCGCTTCCGCCTTCGCTTAGGAGGAGGAAGAGCTGGTAGGGAAAGGAAAGTGCTTCGCCCTGGGCCTGGACTGGACCGAGTCGGGTTGGTGGGGGTCTGGGCTATGAGCTTTTGAGGGTCGCCTGGGACGCGGAGCGAGACACGAGAGCCAGGAGCTATGTCTCAGCCGCCGCCGCCGCCGCCTCCGTTGCCGCCGCCACCTCCTCCCCCTGAGGCTCCACAGACTCCGTCGTCCTTGGCGTCGGCGGCTGCTTCGGGGGGGCTTTTGAAGCGGAGAGACCGGAGAATCCTTTCCGGGAGCTGCCCGGATCCGAAGTGTCAGGCGCGTCTATTTTTCCCGGCCTCCGGTTCTGTCAGCATCGAGTGTACCGAGTGCGGCCAGCGGCACGAGCAGCAACAGCTGCTGGGGGTTGAGGAGGTGACCGACCCGGACGTAGTGCTACACAACCTGCTGCGGAACGCGCTGCTCGGGGTTACGGGGGCACCCAAGAAGAACACGGAACTGGTAAAGGTGATGGGCCTTTCCAACTATCACTGCAAATTGTTGTCGCCCATATTAGCTCGCTATGGAATGGACAAACAGACAGGCCGGGCCAAGCTTCTCCGGGACATGAACCAGGGCGAACTGTTCGATTGCGCCTTACTGGGTGACCGCGCCTTCCTCATAGAACCAGAGCATGTTAACACTGTGGGCTATGGCAAGGACCGCTCCGGAAGCCTCCTGTATTTGCATGACACTCTGGAGGACATTAAGCGGGCCAATAAAAGCCAGGAATGTCTCATTCCAGTGCATGTGGACGGGGATGGACACTGCTTGGTGCATGCTGTGTCTCGGGCTCTAGTAGGCCGAGAGCTCTTCTGGCATGCCTTAAGAGAGAATCTTAAACAGCACTTTCAGCAGCACCTGGCCCGATATCAAGCTCTGTTCCATGACTTCATTGATGCTGCTGAGTGGGAGGACATTATCAATGAGTGTGACCCTCTGTTTGTACCACCTGAGGGTGTTCCCTTGGGCCTGAGGAATATCCACATATTTGGTCTTGCCAATGTGCTACATCGTCCTATTATTCTGTTAGATTCCCTCAGTGGCATGAGAAGCTCTGGTGATTATTCAGCCACCTTTCTACCTGGGCTCATCCCTGCAGAGAAGTGCACTGGGAAAGATGGTCATTTGAACAAACCAATCTGTATTGCATGGAGCAGCTCCGGTAGAAACCATTATATCCCCTTGGTAGGCATAAAAGGGGCTGCTTTGCCCAAACTGCCTATGAATTTGCTTCCTAAAGCATGGGGTGTGCCTCAGGACCTTATTAAAAAGTACATAAAACTTGAAGAGGATGGTGGTTGTGTTATTGGAGGTGACAGAAGTTTGCAAGATAAATACTTACTTAGGCTTGTTGCTGCTATGGAAGAAGTCTTTATGGACAAACATGGTATCCATCCTAGTTTGGTTGCTGATGTCCATCAGTATTTCTACAGAAGGACTGGAGTGATAGGAGTTCAGCCTGAGGAAGTCACAGCAGCTGCTAAAAAAGCAGTAATGGATAATCGCCTTCACAAATGTTTGCTCTGTGGTGCCCTTTCTGAACTTCATGTTCCTCCAGAGTGGTTGGCTCCTGGAGGGAAATTGTATAACCTGGCAAAAAGTACTCATGGACAGCTGAGGACTGACAAAAATTACAGCTTTCCCTTGAACAATTTGGTTTGCTCATATGATTCAGTGAAAGATGTTCTGGTACCAGACTATGGAATGAGTAACCTAACAGCTTGTAATTGGTGCCATGGCACATCTGTGCGAAAGGTCAGAGGAGATGGGTCTATTGTGTATTTGGATGGAGACAGAACTAATTCTAGGTCCACTGGTGGCAAATGTGGTTGTGGATTCAAACACTTTTGGGATGGTAAGGAGTATGACAATCTACCAGAAGCTTTCCCTATTACTTTAGAATGGGGTGGAAGAGTGGTCAGAGAAACAGTATATTGGTTCCAGTATGAAAGTGATTCATCTTTGAATAGTAATGTTTACGATGTTGCAATGAAACTTGTTACCAAGCACTTTCCAGGTGAATTTGGGAGTGAAATCCTAGTTCAGAAAGTTGTCCACACTATATTGCATCAGACTGCCAAAAAGAATCCCGATGATTATACTCCTGTAAATATAGATGGTGCTCACGCCCAAAGAGTTGGAGATGTTCAAGGACAAGAATCAGAGTCTCAGCTCCCAACTAAAATTATTCTTACTGGACAGAAAACAAAAACTTTGCACAAGGAGGAGTTAAACATGAGTAAAACTGAAAGAACTATTCAACAGAATATTACGGAACAGGCTTCTGTAATGCAGAAACGGAAAACAGAGAAGTTAAAACAAGAACAAAAAGGGCAACCCAGGACTGTTTCTCCCAGTACCATTCGTGATGGTCCATCCTCTGCACCTGCTACACCTACCAAGGCTCCCTATTCACCGACAACTTCTAAGGAGAAGAAGATCCGAATCACAACTAATGATGGACGACAGTCCATGGTTACCCTTAAGTCTTCAACAACCTTTTTTGAACTTCAGGAAAGTATAGCCAGAGAATTCAACATTCCTCCATATTTACAGTGTATTCGATACGGGTTTCCTCCTAAAGAGTTAATGCCACCACAGGCAGGAATGGAAAAGGAACCAGTTCCTTTACAGCATGGCGACAGAATTACAATAGAAATTCTAAAAAGTAAAGCTGAAGGTGGTCAGTCTGCTGCAGCACACTCAGCCCACACTGTGAAACAAGAAGATATTGCTGTTACTGGTAAACTGTCATCTAAGGAACTTCAGGAGCAAGCTGAAAAAGAAATGTACTCCTTGTGTCTTTTAGCAACATTAATGGGTAAGATGAATTTAATTCTGATGGTATATCTTAATTGTAAATATAATACACTGAGTTTTCCTGTTATCTTTGGGGGAAAAGAAATCTGTAGCCATTGTAAGTTTTTAATTATATATTTCAGGAGAGAATTATTTTTAGTATTTTGAACAGTTGATAGATGTTAATAGGATTATTGAGTAACTATTAGGAAAATAGAAAGTTAAGGTAGTCCCTCAATAATAGTCAACAGATTATTTAAATATATCTTATTCTTGCAATTGCTTTTTAAAAAACAGACTTGTATTTATTTAAAGCGTTTTAAATTTTTTGGTAGGCTCTATTGATCCTGCCTACCTTGCCCCTTTTTCATTTATTTTTAATTTTTATTTTCCTGTATGTCATGTGATTTCAGCACTTCCTGTTTGATGAATTGCAGTTTCTGGTGTTTATATTCTCACTGCACTCCCACCTAGTAGTCTCTTACATTTCATTTTCTTCCTTTCCCAGTTCATCACATTTTTCTTTCTCATACACTAGGATTTGTATGTAAGTACACTAGGATTTGTATTTAAGTAATTTCACTACTCAAGTCTTTGCCATCAATTATAATGAACTGTTATAAGTTGTAGTTCATGAGAAACATAAACAGAGATGGATGGTAATGGTGTAAAGAAGTATTTGTTTTTAATCAGCATAAATTAAAGAAAAATATATTAACCAAATGTGTAATTTAAAGCTTTAGATGATTTGGGATACTGTTCAATGGTGTACTTTTTACAGTGTCTATATTTGCTTAGTCTTTGTTTTGAAATAACTTAGTATGCTTTACTAAGTCTTAAAGTATGAAGTAAAATTTAAATGTGTTAGTTACTGGAAGGGTTTTATTTTTGCTGAGATTAAAGCTTTCAACGAGAAAAGTCATCTGGGTTTTGATTCTGTTTTCTGATAGTACTATATGGCAGTGATTTGGGCCTTAATCTATCAAAATGAATACTACTCCTGGCTTATCTGGGGGAGTAGTAAATAGGGGATCTAAAAACCCTGCACAAATTTAGAACCCGGAATTGTTGATTTTAGTTTGCCAGACATAGTAATTGAATTGGGGAGTATGTCAGGAACTGTCCTACGCACTTTATATATTTCTTTTTTTTTTTTCTTTTTTTTTTGAGATGGAGTCTTGCTCTGTCTCCAGGCTGGAGTGCAGTGGCGCCATCTCGGCTCACTGCAAACTCCACCTCCCGGGTTCAAGCAATTCTCCTGCCTCAGCCTCCCAAGTAGCTGGGACTACAGGCCCACGCCTCCATGCCCAGCTAATTTTTGTATTTTTAGTAGAGACGGGGTTTCAACTTGTTGACCAGGATGGTCCTGATCTCCTGACCTTGTGATCAAGGTCACTTAAATACGAATGCTAGTGTACTTAAATACAAATCCTAGGTGGCCTGTGACTGTAATCCCAGATACTCTGGAGGCTGAGGCAGGAGAATCGCTTCAACCCCGGAGTTGGAGGTTGCGGTGAGCCTAGATCGCGCCACGGCACTCCAGCCTGGCGACAGAGCGAGACTCTGTCTCAAAAAATAAATAAATAAATGAATAAGTAAATAAATAAAAGACCTTCAATCTCCCAGGTCAAAAACAGGAAAGAGAAGATCTTCCTCAATAGAAGATGGACTCTTGAGAATGTGGCTCTTACCTTTATCCTTGTATGCACAGAACCTGATAATAGTGCTCAGCAGGTAGTATGCACTCTGAAATGTTTTTTAATTGAATTAAATAGATGACATTAACACAGCTAAAGAAAGGCTGTATCTGCAGAAATGGAATGGATGGTCAGTCAGCACTGAACATTGAAAAAAGTGAAAAGCAGAATTCGGCAATGTTCATATACTGCTGTACAAAGGAAAAAGGTACATCATCTGGGGTTCATGAAAATTCTGGTAACTAGAAAGGTAATCTCTGTCGAGGGGTAGGAATATTTGAACAATCCTGACTGTGGCCTGGCTGAAACATCTCTATCCCTTTGCCTGATTTCCATGTTCATCAGGCATCTATTCGTAACACTTATTTAGCTTCCTGATAACAAGTTTTGATGTACAGGTGACAGTGCAGATAAGGACGTGTTCACTTTGAAAGCTGTATTCTCCATTGTAGACTAATAAACGGACATGGGCAGGATTATGATCAGTAGTCTTAAAAATATGATCAGAGCCAGTCACGGTGGCTCATGCCTGTAATCCCAGCACTTTGGGAGGCTGAGGCGGGCAGATCACGAGGTCAGGAGTTCGAGACCATCCTGGCTAAGATGGTGAAACCCTGTTTCTACTAAAAATACAAAAAAAAAATAAGCCGGGTGTGGTGGCAGGAGCCTGTAGTCCCAGCTTGTCAGGAGGCTGAGGCAGGAGAATCTTGTGAACCGGGGAGGCAGAGGTTGCAGTGAGCCGAGATCGTGCCACTGCACTCCATCCTGGGCGACAGAACAAGACTGTATCTCAAAAAAAAAAAAAAAATCTGATCGGTATGATTATATATAGATTTTTGAGACAGAGTCTCACTCTGTCGCCCAGGCTGGAATGCAGTGGCGCGATCTCAGCTCATTGCAACCTCTGCTACCTGGGTTCAAATGATTCTCCTGCCTCAGCCTCCTGAGTAGCTGGGATTACAGGCATGTGCCACCACACCTGGCTAATTTTTTTGTATTTTTAGTAGAGACAGGGTTTCACCGTGTTAGCTGGGATGGTCTCAATCTTCTGATCTCATGAACCGCCCGCCTCGGCCTCCCAAAGTGCTGGGATTACAGGCGTGAGTCACTGTGCCTGGTTGATAATATATTTCATAATGAAAATTAATCAAATATAATTCTGGTGTATAAATACTTTCTGAGTTTGGTTGGAGGTTCTTGGACCTGAATATCTGAGAGAACCTAGAGTATGGACTGCAATGAGTTCACCAAGATAATGTCTTTCTATTCTGATCCCTTCCCTCTTCATATCCAGCATTTATGCCTGTATAAACCCACAAATTTCTTTAAAACTTCTTCCACTACCAACACAAAATTTGGGTGTAAAAGAGAGCATTGTGTTACTTTTGTAATGATATCACTTGAGATACTTTCTGCTTTAAATTGAAGTATTAAGTGCATAGCCTGTATTATATTAGTCCCTTATAAATCTTAGTTTTCTTCCTCTAGTTCGCTTATGACTGTATTTGAATTATGTAGAAGATTTTTTTTTTGAGACAGAGTCTCGCAGTGTCGCCAGGCTGGAGTGCAGTGGTGCGATCTCGGCTCACTGCAACCTCTGCCTCCTGGGTTCAAGCAATTGTCGTGCCTCAGCCTCCCAAGTAGCTGGGATTACAAGCACGTGCCACCACACCCAGCTAATTTTTGTATTTTAATAGAGAGAGAGTTTCTCCATGTTGGTCAGGCTGGTCTTGAACTCCCGACCTCAGGGGATCCGCCCTCCTCGGCCTCCCAAAGTGCTGGGATTACAGGCATGAGCCACTGCGCCTGGCCGAAGATATTCTTAATTTAAAAAAAAAGATGTTCCTACAAAATTCAGTTTGGGGATAAATACTAACCATATGTAAAGAGTACTGGGGAACTGTTGATGTTTAGATTGGAGAGGACTAGAAAATGACAGAGCTTGTTTAGAAGATTACAGATTTCAAAGTGCAGAAATTACTTTGTGAATTACCAAATGTGAGCTAAGCTGTGTTATGTTAGTTTAGAATATAGCTCATCAGACTTTATGCTGTTCAAATAGCTGGTTCTTTCTCGTTTAAGTTTAGGCTTAAATACCACCACCCTGTAAGGGTTTGAGAAAACTTTGCTGACCATTCTAAGTAGGTTCCCTCTATCAGTGTACCCTGTTGATGTCCCTCACGGCATCTATCACAATTTTTAATAATCTTATTTGTTGGTTTAATTATTTGTTTGCCTCCCCCACTATATTATAAAGTCCATCAAGACAGAGACTGAACCCTATTTTCTTCACTAATCAATACCTTATTTCCTAGTTCAGGGCCTGGCACATAGTAGGTACCAAGTAAATGCTTGTTGGATTAATGAATGCAATTATTTCAGCAAAATCAGTGTATACTATGAACTTGTATGTATGTTGAGTGTACAAAGATAAATGAAAGTCAGTGCTTGCCCTCCATTAACTTACCTGCAGGCTTTCAGCTGAAGGAGTTCCATACTTTTTAGCTTTCATCAGCAGATCTCCAGCTTTATTTTCTAAATACATAAAAATTATAAAATCCCCAAATAGGACCAACACAGCATTTTAGAACTTCTCATTTGATTAAGAATCAAATATATACATGGGGATTGTATATTTTCTTTCTTTTTTTTTTCTGGAGACAGATTGTCGCCCAGCCTGGAGTGCAGTGGTGTGATCCCAGCTCACTGCAACCTCTGCTTCCTGGGTCCAAGTGATTCTCAACCTCTCAAGTAGCTGGGACTACAGGTGCGCACCACCACGCCCAGCTAATTTTTTGTATTTTTAGTAGAGATGGGGTTTCGCCACGTTGCCCATGCTGGTCTCGAACTCCTGAGCTCAGACAATCCACCGCCTCGGCTTCCCAAAGTGCTAGGATTACAGGCGTGAGCCACTGCACCCGGCCTGTATGTTTTCACTAAATGGGCTGACTGCATGATAGCCAGGGACATGAGCTTTTTCTTTCATTTTTAAGTAGGATATTCATTGATTAGATCGTCTATTACTTATATTAATAAAACAATAAGTAGGTGTATTAGTCTTTGGCTTAGTACAAGTCATTCATGGAACCTAGTAACTTTGAATCTTAGGAACTATAAAATGGAATAACAATATTTTACCCATAATATTTTACATTTTTAATCTCTTTTATCCAGACCACAAAGTAATTGAACTTAATTTTTTGCAGACAGTCATCTTCATTATTTATATAATACTTAAAAGACTAACTCTGGCTTTGCAAAATATGTCATTCAGATTTCTTGTAGACCTGGTGCGGTTGCAGTGAGCCAAGATTGCGCCACTGCACTCCAGTCTGGGCAACAGAGCAACACTCTTTCCAAAAAAAAAAAAAAAATTTCTTGTAGATCAGTTATTTGTAGGTTTTCTTTCATGGTAGACAGGATAGGTGGTACATTATCCACCATAAATATTTGGGCTAATTTATTTTTTCTTAGTGTTATATTTCATTAAGTTTCTAGTTTTGTTTGTTTTTTTGTTTTCCTAGAGGTAAGGACAGATTTAGGTGAAGAACAGAATTTGTCAGTTTGGAGTTACTTAAATGAAATTAGGCTACATGACACTTCCTTGCTTTACTACAAAGTGTACCAACCTTTCAGGAGTTGAGAAACTTGTTTCATTTTGATATACTTTCTCTGTTCCTGAAAGAATTGTGTGGCTTTTTAACGTATATATATATTTAAAATACACAATATTTTGTAATTTCATAATACCTCTTGATGTCGTAAATGCCTTAGAATTTTCCAGAATCGGCTGGGTGCGGTGGCTCACGCATTTAATCCAGCATTTTGGGAGGCTGAGGCGGGTGGATCATGAGGTCAGGAGTTTGAGACCAGGCTGGCCAAGATGGTGAAACCCCGTCTCTACTAAAAATACAAAAATTAGCCGGGCATGATGGCGCTCGCCTGTAATCCCAGCTACTCAGGAGGTTGAGGCAGGAGAATCACTTGAACCCAGGAGGCGGAGGTTGTAGTGAGCCAAGATCATGCCATTGCACTCCAGCCTGGTGACAGAGTGAGACTCTGTCTCAAAAAAAGAAAAAAAGAATTTTCCAGAATCACGCTTGGGACTGAGACACTTATTTTTTAGGTGACAACTGAATATTATTATTGCACCTTTTTTTTTTTCAAATGTTGGGTAAAGGGCAGTTTCAAATCTAGATAGTACTTATGCATATTCTTCTTTTTTTTTTTTTTTTTCCCCAAGATGGAGCCTTGCTCTGTCGCTCAGGCTGGAGTGCAGTGGTGCAATCTCGGCTCACTGCAACCTCTGCCTCCCAGTTTCAAGCGATTCTCCTGCCTCAGCCTCCCGAGTAGCTGGAATTACAGGCGCCTGCCACAACACCTGGCTAATTTTTGTATTTTTAGTAGAGACGGGGTTTCACCATGTTGGCTGGGCTGGTCTCGAACTCCTGACCTCGTGATCCGCCCACCTGGGCCTCCCAAAGTGCTGGGATTACAGGCGTGAGCCACCGTGTCTGGCTGCATATTATTATTCTTTCTATGCCTTCTGATAGCCCTTCTGTTGATTTATATGTAGCATACTTGTAATGGGAGAGCAGTTATAAAGTTGAATAAAAAATAATGCATAGGTGTATCTTAAGATAAATGTATATATTGTAAATGGTGATTTTATATAATTATACTTTGAAAATTAAGTCAAATATTGATGTTATTCCTTTCTAGATAGAAAAGGAAATCTAGATAATAATAGATTCTGTTCCAACTACTTTGATCACTTTTATTTTAAATATTTTTTCAATTACAATATAATGTTTAAAATTCAAATAATTCAAGTACCTATAAAATATGGTAGTTCTTAACATTTGTACTCCCCAGATAAAATCATTATTAATAAATTGGGATGTGTCCTTTCAGACTCTGTACACATTTAAACACTGTTGAGTTTGTGTGCATGTCTGTGTATGATAAAAATATTCATTAATGCTGCTGGTGACACTAAAGTTGTGTGACTATATACCGTTAAGGGGACTGAATTTCAGGCAAGAAACAGATATGCCTTTTTTATAAACCATTTTGACTATCAATAGGGTAGATAAACTTTTAAACGTGAGGATTACGTCAGGAAGGGTAGAGAGATGCCAACAATTCTTTCAGCAAATGAATACCTTTACCTTTGGAATTCTGTCTAGTTGAAACAGTCCTGTGTTCCTACTTTATATTTGGAACCATTTATTCAAATTATTAAAAAATTTTGAATTGTTTCTTTAAATTTTAAATTTAAATAAACAAGTACTTCATTTTATGGTCATAAATAGTTGAGTTCAGAGTTCGTTTTGGGTGTTTCTTTTGGGGCTTTAAAAATACATTTTGGCTGGGCATGGTGGCTTACACTTGTAATCCCAGTACTTTGGGAGGCCGAGATGGACAAATTGTCTGAGATCAGGAGTTTGAGACTAGCCTGGCCAACATGGAGAAACCCTATCTCTACTAGAAATACAAAATTAGCCGGGAGTGGTGGCGCACACCTGTAATCCCAGCTACTCGGGAGGCTGAGGCACGAGAATTGCTTGAACCCGGGAAGTGGAGGTTTCAGTGAACAGAGATTGCGCCACTGCACTTCAGGCTGGGGGACAGAGCAAGATTCTGTCTCAAAAATTAAATAGGCTGGGTGCAGTGGCTCAAGCCTGTAATCCCAGGCCTACTTTGGTAGGCCGAGGGGGCGGATCGCCTGAGGTCAGGAGTTCAAGACCAGCCTGGCCAACATGGTGAAACCCTGTATCTACTAAAAATACAAAAGTTAGTTGGGCATGGTGGTTTGTGCCTGTAGTCCCAGCTACCCAGGAGGCTGAGGCAGGAGAATTGCTGGAACCTGGAAGATAGAGGCTGCAGTGAGCCAAGATCATGCCACTGCACTCCAGCCTGGGCGACAGAGCAAGACTCTGTCTCAAAAATAAATAAATAAATGAATAAATAAATAAAAATACATTTCATATAGGTATTAGATTTTTAAATTTACTGCTTTGCCTCATAAATTGCAAAGTAAAAAATTCAAATTGCCTTTTTAAATATTTAAAGTTAGAAGGCTAGGCACAGTAGCTCACACCTATAATCCCAGCACTTTGGGAGGCCAAGGCAGGAGGATGGCCTGAGACCAGGCATTCAAGACCAGCTTGGGCAACACAGGGAGACCCTGTCTCCAAAAAATAAATAAACTTAGCGGCTGTGGTGGCACACGCCTGTAGTCCTAGCTACTCAGGAAGCTGAGGTGAGAGGGTTGCTTGAGTTCAGGAGATCAAGGCTGCGGTGAACCATGATTGAGCCACTACTTTCCAGCCTGGGTGACAGAGCGAGACCCTATCTCAAAAAATAAATAAATACCTAAAATTTAAAAATTAGAATGGTGACCTCTTAAACTTTTTTTGATGTTGACTTTAAACTTTTAATTCCATAATTTTATTAGAAAAAAATTAGAAAAAATACATTTTAAAAAATGTATTTTAACATATTTTAAACAATTAAAAGTTATTCACATCAAATAGGAAAAAAATTGGATAAACCAAAAGAAAAAGCGTTCATAGTACCACTGCCATATATAGCTACTGTTTCAGGTAGAAGATTGAAGGTTATGAGGGGGGAAGGATTTGTGGAAGCAAGGCAGTAGTATAGATTTTTTTTCTACATTTATATATACACAGTACATTGGATAGAAGTATTTTTACTTTTGTAGTATGAAGAAACAGTTGAATTATAAAGTAAAAATAATTGGAGACTAACAAAAATATAAATTAACATAATTGTTAGAGGCTTTTCCAAACTGTTCCTATTCTCTAAAAGTTTGCTTTCGAATAAAATGGTAGAAAAACTATTTCCCTTTTTTTTTGCTATTATTTTGTTTTATTAGATTCTTGAAGAGAAAACAAGATTCAGGGAAAAGTCAGTAGCATATAATCATTAGTTGTATTTTATATATGTAACATTGAAGAATGGTTATCATCATGCTGCTTCGATTAAGTTTATTCTGGATTGCTTTAAGGCACTGTTTAAAAGGAAAAACCTCGTTTATAATATTCACTCCGCCAAGGGTGTCTAAGGTAGATAATACAGTTATGGGTTCTTAGCTTTTGTTTCTGGTTGGGCCAGTAGAGCCCTTTCCTCATCACGCTTTTCTGCTTATCACTAGAGACAGAAATTAAAACCGTAGCTTCAGGCTGCTAAAAGCCTAAAACAAAACAAAACAGGAAAACAACAAAATAAGGCTGGTTAGAAAAGCTTGCATCTATACATTCATTCAACCAATACTATGAGTGTTGCCATCTGTTCAGCACTGTGCGAGGCCCTGGGGGTAAAAAGTCAGATAGGCCACTGACCTTTCCCTGAATCTGAAAAGTATAAAAGGGAAACCTAGTCTAGAAGGTAAAACAGAAAAGTTAATTAACCTGAAGTGTGATAAGGGCTGTGGTATTCATATATGTAGGAGCATCAAACAAGGGTACCTACCTAACCAACACTCCAAAGAATCCTAAAGGAAGTGATACCTAGATTGAGTTTTAAATGATACGTAACAATTATTGGCCTTTAGGGAACAGGAACAGTTGTGTGGTGGTATAACATTGTAAAAATAAGGGTATGGTATGATGTCAGATGGGAAAGGCAAGGTCCAACTCTTAGAGTGCCTTGTATGCCATGGAAAAGGAACTTGGACTTTGCCATACGGCATTGGGGAACCATTATAGGTTTAACTCTGAATGCTGTATAGAGGAGGGATTTATGGGGGATAAGACTCAAGGGAAACCAGCTGTGAGGAAGTGGCAGTAATCCAGGCATTGAACCTGGGCGTTAGGAGGGTTGGAGAGAAATGCAGTGGAGAGCCATAGGAGAGTGGTGCAGGACTTGTGCAAAGTGTCAAAACCCTGCTTCCTGATCTCTAATCCTTTTCCTCATTTTGGTACCAACAAACATGACCTTCAGTGGAGATATTTGTTTAGCAAAAGAGATTACCTATTTTTTTCTCCAACCAGTTGTTGATGCCATGAATTTCTATTAAGAAAAGCCTGGATAGTTCTTTCAAATTTGCCGAAACACAACTTGACCTTTTTTTGTGTGTGCGCCTTGCTCTGTCAGCCAGGCTGGAGTGCTGTGGCACGACCTCGGCTCACTGCAACCTCTGTTTCCTGGGCTCAAGCAATTCTCCTGCCTCAGCCTCCAGAGTAGCTAGGATAACAGGCATGTGCCACCACGCCTGGCTAATTTTTGTATTTTTAGTAGAGACGGAGTTTCACCTTGTTGGCCAGGCTGGTCTTGAACTCCTGACGTCAGGTAATCTGCCTGCCTCGGCCTCCCAAAGTGTTGGGATTACAGGCGTGAGCCTGGCCAATTTGACCTTCAGTAGAGGTTTAATGTCAATGGAAAGGAGGGTATAAGCTTTGGACTGATACACAGGATTCAAATCCTGGCTCTCCCACTTACTAGCTGTGTGATCTTGGAAGAGTTATTTAAGCTCTCTGAGCTTGTTTCCTTGTCTGTAGAGCTTAGTTGTGATGAGTTAATGAAACTATGTGAAGAGCCTGCTCAGAGCTTGGTAGATAATAGAGGCTTACATGGTATTTCCCTTAAAGCAATGGAACAGTGGGGCCATATTGCTTTGAAGGGGGTAAAAATTTGTTCTTGGAGGAGGAAGGGTGAAAAAATCTTATGATTAATATATAAAACTAAGATGTATATACAGTACATAAGCAGATATAAGGTATATCTGTGTAATTCAAATATCATGAGGACATGGGGAGGACTAGGAAAATAATGCCTGTAAAGGCTCCTTAGGGGGAGATAATGAAAACAAGGTTGACAAACACTGCAGTAGAGTAAGTGATTTGCCTGTTTAAATTAGGAATAACTAGGTATGTAAAGTACCTAAGAGATGTGATTTTTCTTATTAATCAGTTGGTCAGTTCTGAGGAGTTCACCATTTTGGCACCTATTCATTCTTGTGGTTTTTGTTTGTTTGGACTAGTCAAGTGCAGGTAGTGAGAAGGGGAGAAATGGTAGAATAAGCAGTTCCAACTGTAACTGAACAGTCAGTTGAGATAACTCACTACCTTTAGACCAGCCCTGTTTGGATTCTTATCAAAAAAATTAAATACCACCCTATCTTTTTTTGATATGTCTTCCAAATAAATGCTATACTAGAATATTTTAGAAAATATTAAGTGCATTTAGGACAACATTGACAATAACGAAATGAAAGGTTATCATCATAGAAATAATTTATCCAAGTGAGGTTTAATAGTAAGCTCAGCAATCAGAGCCACCACTAGTGGTTATTAATATTTCTTTATTTGTGGACTCTTATTAATATTAAACTTCTGTGTGTCCATCCTTAAATATAGCTATTCTAGTAGTACTGCATCATTAGTAAATGTTTATAAGTAAATGTTTTGATTAACTGAAACTTTAATTGTCAAGTCTTCTAAAACTTGTCTACTTTAAGCTGGTATAGTGAAGGTAAGTTTAGCCAACTGCCACATAAAGTCATACCCTGTTTATGAATGTGAGGTGGGATTAGAACTCTGAGATGTTGTAAGTACATAGTGATTAATTAGCAGTGTCAGTCACAACTATTCAGAGCTCAGGTCCAACAATATAATCTTCATGTAGGGAAGACAAAAGTTAATTTTTTGTGTTAAAAATTAAAAACTTCCTGATTATAAAAGTAGTATGTATACATTAGCAGATTAGAATGTAAACTATAAAGCAAATAAAAACAGCCATAGTAACTGTTATGTTCCTGCCATTCTTTATTGATTTCTTCAACAGTGATGATCATTCTTTACTTTTTATTTGAAATTTCTTACTGAAATAAGTACTGAAATAGCCCCTTCTGTTTATTTCTTGGTTTTAATATAAATATAAAATTTATATTTACAATTTTGTATTTTACTTTCAAAAATATCTTTTTTTTTTTTTGAGATAGAGTTTTGCTCTTGTAGCACAGGCTAGAGTGCAATGGCACGATCTCAGCTCACTGCAACCTCCACTTTCTGGGTTCAAGCTATTCTCCTGCCTCAGCTTCCAAGTAGCTGGAACTACAGGTGCACGCCACCACGTTCAGCTAATTTTTGTATTTTTAATAGAGACAGGGTTTCACCATGTTGGCCAGGCTGGTCTCGAACTCCTGACCTCAGGTGATCTGCCTGCCTGGGCCTCCCAAAGTGCTGGGATTACAGGTGTGAGTGAGCCACCATGCCTGGCCCAAAAATATCTTTCAATAATCTTATCTGTTCTAGTACAGAGTTTACAGACTAGTTTCCTTTGAGCTGGATTGAGTCTTCAGATATATTTTGTTCATCATAATATTGACTATCTTGACTTGTGGTTTTTTCTTTTTTTGAAACAGGATCTCACTTTGTCACGCAGGGTAGAGTGCAGTGATGCAAACACTGCTCCCTGCAGCCTTCACCTCCCGTGCACAAGGGGTTCCCCCCAGCCACTCCACTGCTTCAGCCCTCTTAAGTAGCTGGGATGACAGGCACATGCCACCACGTCCAGCTATTTTTTTTTTTTTTTTTTGTAGAGATAGAGTTTCGCCATGTTGCCAAAGCTGGTATCGGAACTCCTGAACTCAGGCTATCCACAGACCCCCAAAGTACTGGGGTTACAGGCATGAGCCACCATGTTTGTTGACTCATGCAGTTCTAAAGATGCTTTTTAATTAGTTCCCACATTTTAAAATTGGGAGAATTCATATTAAAAACTTGAATTTTGGGCTTCTCTTGAAAAGCCACATGGTCTTGAGACACTAGGCGTGCACTCTTCCATGACAGCACTTGGCAGTGGCTGGCACATTTAGATAGGCCATGCATTTTCTAGTATGCCACAATCTGTCACTCAGTATCATCCCTCTATGGCGTGTCAGGCTGTTTCACTCATTTAGGAGCTCTGCCTTGATGTTTATTCTAGGCTAATCCTTACTAAAGCAGCCCTGGATGGAACTCTTTTGTTTGTTGCTAATACTATATCTGTTTTTGTCTTACAGGAGAAGATGTATGGTCTTATGCAAAGGGACTTCCTCACATGTTTCAGCAGGGTGGTGTATTCTACAGTATTATGAAGAAAACCATGGGTATAGTTAATTTGATTTTATTCTTAAATAATAGCTCTACTGAAGCTGTTTTAAGATTAAGAAAGTTCATATAGTTTTCTACTAAAATATTTTCAAAGTTAATTTTAGGTTTATATTCTTTTAGCAGTTTGCCTAATTAAAATGAATTATTACCCTGATATGGTCAGCTATGTTTTCTGCTAGTATTACTAAAAATCTATCACTTTGTTGCTATTCTTTTCTCACTTAAATTATGTGTATGGGTGTATGATTCTTTTTTTTTTTTTTTTTTTGAGATGGAATTTCGTTCTTGTTGCCCAGGCTGGAGTGCAATGGCGCGATCTCGGCTCACTGCAACCTCTGCCTCCTGGGTTCAAGCGATTCTCCTGCCTCAGCTTCTCGAGTAGCTAGGATTATAGGCATGTGCTACCATGCCCGGCTAATTTTGTATTTTTAGTAGAGATGGGGGTTTCTCCATGTTGATTAGGCTGGTCTTGAACTCCCGACCTCAGGTGATCTGCCCGCCTTGGCCTCCCAAAGTGTTGGGATTGCAGGCATGAGCCACTGTGCCCGGCCATGTGTATGATTCTTTTTTTTTTTTTTTTTTTTTTTTTTTTTGAGACGAAGTCTTGCTCTTGTCCCCCAGACTGGAGTGTGATGGCGCTATCTTGGCTCACTGCAACCTCCGCCTCTGGGTTCAAGCAATTCACCACGCCCGGCCATGTGTATGATTCCTAACAACTAAAGACAAATTGTGAAATCAGAAGCAGATTTGTTTATAATGCTAGTATTCCAGAACCAGATAATGTTTGTGTTGTTGTTGTTATGTTTGGCCATATTTAGCGTATATCTTATTGCTTTCTAAGTTCTAGGATACAGCTCATTATACATTTAGCTTCTTTCACATTGTGCATACATTGTTTGTAAAGATAGACTTGTGTACAAGTGTATGTCTGTATCTTCAGAGTGGTCTTAGGAGAGAGGTTGCCAGGCCATGTGTTTGGACTTCACACATTTTTTTCAAAGATTTTATGTTAATGCTTTCGGCCCCAGATTTACCGTTCTGGCTTATCTATTTCACCTACCTGGCCACTGTAGGCATTAATTGCATAATCTTGTTGTTTTCATCTCTTCCTCATACACTTTTTTTTCCTTCCAACTTGGTTGTTGTAGAAATATTCAAACATATACAAAAGTAGCAAGAGTAATGTAATGAATCCCCATTTACCTACTACCCAGCCTCAATAATGATTAGTACATCTCTGTCCCCTTTTTAATTGGACTATTTTAAAGTAAATCTCAGATATACTATAATTTCACCTGTAAGTACATTGGTACATATTTCCTTTTTTTCCTTCTCATTTTCTCCTTTGAATTTCAATATGTATTTCTAAAGATAAGGACTCTTTAAAAAAAAAAGTCATTATTACAACCTAAAAAAAGAACAGTATTTTTTATGTCACCAAATATCCAGTCAGTGTTTGAATTTTCTTGATAATTAACGTTGATAATTTTCTAAAAAATGTTTTCTTCTCTTGGTTTTTCTTTAATCAGAGACCAAAAAAAGCCTTGTTTTTTTTCTTTTAAGACAGGATTATTGAGGCATAATTTATAAACAGTAAAATTCACTCTTTTCAGACTTACAAGTATACGAATTTTGTATACTGTATATGAATTTTGACAAACATATATAGTCATGTAACCAACACCACCACCGTAATAAAAATATAGAATACTTTCATCACTCCAAAAAGTTTTCTTGTGCCTCTTTGTATTCAACTCTCCTCAATCCCAGGCCCTGACAACCATTGATTTGATTCTGCTCCTATATGTTTGCCTTTTTCATATTACCATGTGAATGGAATCCTATAGTGTGACCTTTTGTGTCCGGCATCTTTAATTTAGCACAGGAATTGGCAAACTGTGGCCTGTGGGGCCATCTCAAGTCTGCTGCCTGTTTTTTTGTTTTAGAGACAGGGTCTCACTCTATCTCCTGGGCTGGAGTGCTGTGGTGCAGTTATAGCTCACTGCAGCCTTGACCTGGGCTTAGGTGATCCTCCCAGCTCAGCCTCCCAAGTAGCTGGGACCACAGCCATGTGCCACCATGCCCAGCTAATTTTTTGTATTTTTAGTTGAGATGGGGTTTCGCCATGTTGCCCAGGCTGGTCTTGAACTCTTGAGCTCGAGCAATCCTCTCGCCTTGACCTCCCAAAGTGCTAGGATTACAAGCGACAGATTACAAGCATGAGCTACTGCACCCAGCCTGCTGCCTGTTTATATAATTTATTATTATTATTATTACTAGTTTTGAGACAGAGTCTTGCTCTGTTGCCCAGGCTGGAGTGCACTGGTATGATCGTGACTCACTGCAGCCTCTAGCGTCAATCCTCTGGGCTCAAGTGATCCTCATCCTTCACCCTACTGAGTAGCTGGGACTACAGGCATAAGCCACCATGCCCGACTAATTTTTTTTACATTTTTTGTAGAGACAAGGTCTCACTATGTTGCCTAGGCTTGTCTTGAATTCCTGAGCTCAGGTGATCTTCCTGCATCGGCCTCCCAAAGTGTGCGATTACACGTGTGAGCCACTGTGCCTGGCTGAATACTTAAAAGTTTTACTGGGGCTGAGCACAGTGGCTCACACCTGTAATTCCAGCACTTTGGGAGGCCGAGTTGGGCAGATCACTTGAGGCTAGGAGTGTGAGACCAGCCTGGCCAACATGGTAAAACCTCATCTCTTCAAAAAATACAAAAAAATTAGCCGGGTGTGGTGGTGCACGACTGTAGTCCCAGCTACTTGGGAGGCTGAGACCCGAGAATTGCTTGAACCCAGGAGGTGGAGGTAGTAGTGAGCCAAGATCATGCCACTGCACTCCAGCCTGGGTGACAGAGTGAGACTCAGATAGATAGATAGATAGATAGATAGATAGATAGATAGATAGATAGATAGATTAGATACATAGATGATACATTGGATAGATTAGATCAGATAGATGACAGATTAGGTAGATGGACGGATGGATGATAGATTAGATAGATTAGATAAATGATCAATTAGATAGATTAGATTAGATAGATAGACAGACAGACAGTTTTATTGGAGCACAGCCACACTCATGATTACATGTTGTCTATGGCTGCTTTCACATTACAGTGGCAGAGTTGAATACTTGTGAAAGAAACCATATGGTGCACAAATGTTGCCCTATACAGAAAAAATGTGCCTATTTGTTTTAATATGCTTTTGAGATCTGTCTTGTTGCATGTGTTAGTTTATTCCTTCGTTTTTTAAAAACACTTTGAATAACTAGAGTTTATTCCTTTTTATTGCTGAGTAGTATTCCATGATATAGATGTGTCACATTTTAAAAGACCTGTAACTGGCCAGGTACTGTGGCTCACACCTGTAATCCCAGCACTTTGGGAGGCCAAGGTGAGCGGATTGCTCAGGAGTTCAAGACCAGACTGGGCAACATGATGAAACCCCATCCCTACTAAAAATATAAAAAATATAAAATATAAAAAATATATAAAAAATAGTTGGGCTTGTGCCTGTGGTCCCAGCTACTCAGGAGGCTGAGGTGGGAGAATCAATTGTGTTTTTTTCTAGGAGTTTATAGTTTTAGGTTTTATATTTAGGTTTATGATCCATTTCAAGTTGATTTTTTAATATGTTGCAGGGTATGAGTTAAGGTTCATTTTTTAATGTATGGATGACCAGTTGTTCCAGCACCATTTGTTGAAAAGGCTTTATGTTATCCATTGAATTATTTTGGTATATTTGTCAAAAATCAGTTGACCATGAGTCATACACCTGAAAAGGATGAATTATGTGATATGCAAAATATACCTCAGTGAAGTTACTTTTTCTTAAATCAACTGACTATATGTGTGGTTCTATTAGTATTTGTAGAATCTCTTTTCTGTTTTGTTGATCTATATGTCTCTCCTTTCTCCAGTACAGTAATAATCCTGATTATTGTATCTTATAGTTATTCTTGAAATCAGTGTGAGTCCTCCATCTTTTTTTCTTTTTCAGAATTGTTTTGGGTGTTCTGAGTCCTTTGTTTATCCATATAAATTTTATTATTTTTATTTATTTATTTATTTACTTACTTATTTACTTACTTATGTTTTTGAGATGGAGTCTTACTCTGTTGCCCAGGCTGGAGTGCAGTGTCGCAGTCTTGGGTCACTGCAACCTCTGCCTCCCAGATTCAAGCCATTCTCCTGCCTCAGTCTCCCAAGTAGCTGGGATTACAGGCGCCTGCCACCGCGCCTGGCTAATTTTTGTAGTTTTAGTAGAGACAGGGTTTCACCATCTTGGCTAGGCTGGTCTTGAACTCCTGACCTTGTGGTCCATCCGCCTTGGCCTCCCAAAGTGCTGGAATTACAGGCGTGAGCCACCATGCCTGGCCTATTTATTTATTTAATTTACTTATTTATTTATTTTTGAGACAGAGTCTTGCTCTGTTGCCTAGGCTGGAGTGCAGTGGTGAGATATTGGCTCACTGCAACCTCTGCCTCCTGGGTTCAAGTGATTCTCCTGTCTCAGCTTCCTGAGTAGCTGGGATTACAGGTGCACACCACCACACCCGGCTAATTTTTTGTGTTTTTAGTAGAGACGGGGTTTCACCATGTTGCCCAGGCTGGTCTCGAACTTCTGTATTTATTTATTTTTTTGAGATGGAGTCTCACTCCGTCACCCAGGTTGGATGGAGTGCACGATCTTGGGTCACTGCAACCTCCATCTCCTGGGTTCAAGCAATTCTTTCCTGCCTCAGCTTCCTGAGTAGCTGGGATTACAGGCGTACACCACCACACCTGGCTAATTTTTGTAATTTTCGTAGAGACAAGGTTTCACTATGTTGGTCAGGCTGATCTCAAACTCCTGACCTCAAGTGATCTGCCTTCCTCAGCCTCCCAAAGTATTGGGATTACAGGCGTGAACCACCGCGCCTGGCCTATCCATATAAATTTTAGAATCAGCTTGATTTCTTCAAAAAGAGTCTGCCAGGATTTTTATTGTGATTGCATTGAATATACAGGCTGTGCCTGATTTAGGACTTTTTGACTTTATGATGGGTTTATCAGGGTATTAAATGCATTTTGGGCCAGGCACAGTGGCCTGTTATCCCAGCACTTTGGGAGGCCGAGGCAAGCGGATCACTTGAGGTCAAGAGTTTGAGACCAGCCTGGCCAACACTGTGAAACCCCGTCTCTACTAAAAATATAAAAATTAGTCAGGTGTGGTGGCATGCGCCCATAATCCCAGCTATTTGGGAGGCTGAGGCAGGAGAAGCCCTTGAACCCAGGAGGTGGAGGTTGCATTGAGCCGAGATCACACTGCTGGCACTCCGGCCTGGGTGACAGAGCAAGACTCTGTCTCAAAAAAAAAAAAAAAAATGCATTTTGACTTTGAGTTTATCTGGCTGTAACCCGTTGTAAGTTGAGGAGCATCTGTATAGATCAAATTGGGGACAGTTGATATCTTGACAACGAGTCTTTTGAATCATGAAGATGTTATATTTCTTGTTTTTGGTTTTATTGAGACAGGGTCCCACTTTGTTACCCGGGTTGGAGTGCAGTGACACAATCACAGTTTACTGCATCGTTGACCTACCTGGCTCAGTTGATCTCCCACCTTGGCCTTCTGAGTAGCAGGGACTACAGGTGCGCACCACCACGCCCTGCTAATTTTTTTTTTTTTTTTTTTTTTGTAGAGACAGGGTTTTGCCATATTGCTGCCCAGGCTAGTCTTGAACTCCTGGGCTCAAGCCATCTCCTGCCTCAGTCTCCCAAAGTTCTGAGATACAGGCGTGAGCCACTGTGCCTGACCAAAAATGTTATATTTCTTCATTAAGTCTTTAATATCTCTCATCAAAATTTTGTAGTTTACAGCAGATAGGTCTGACACATAGTTTGTTAGATTTATACTGTGAAATATTTGTTTTTTGGATGATACTGTAAAAGATGCTTCTACAAATTTCAATTTTCTTATTGTTCATTTCTAGTACATAGAAATAAAATTGGCTTTCTTTTTCTTTTGTTTTATTTTTTGAGATGGAGTCTTGCTCTGTTGCCCATTGCGCCAGTGCAGTGGTGCAATCTCAGCTCACCACAACCTCTGCCTCCTGAGTTCAAGCGATTCTCCTGTCTCAGCTTCCCGAGTAGCTGAGACTACAGGTGCACGCAACAATGCCCAGCTAATTTTTTTATTTTTAGTAGAGACGGGGTTTCACTATGTCGGCCAAGCTGGTCTCGAACTCCTGACTCGTGATCTGCCTGCCTCAGTCTCCCAAAGTGCTGGGATTACAGGCATGAGCCACCATGCCCGGCCTCTTTTTTTTTTTTTTTTTCTTGGATACAGGGTCTCACTCCATCACCCAGGCTGGAGTGCAGTGGCGCAATCTTAGCCCACTGCAACCCCCACCACCTGTGTCCCACCACCAACTGGGCTCAAGCGATTCTCCAGCCTCAGCCTCCCAAGTAGCTGGGACCACAGATGTGGGCCACCACACCCAGCTAATTTTTGTATTTTTTGTAGAGACGGGGTTTCACTGTATTGCCCAGGCTGGTCTCAAACTCCTGAGCTCAAAGTAATCCGCCCGCCTCAGCCTCCCAAAGTGCTAGGATTACAGGTGTGAACTACTGCACCTGGCCTAAAATTTTTTTTTTTTTTTTACATTGCCCTTGATTGCCCTTGTACCCCATGTGTGACCTTGCTAAACTCACATATTTTAGCAACTTTTAGCAGATCCTTGTCTATGTAGATCATCATGTGTTTTGGAAATAAAAGACAATTTTATTAGCAATGGCTAGGACCTTTAGTTCAGTGTTGAGTCGGAAAGGTGAGAGTAGACATTATTTCCTTTTTCCATATCTTGGAAGCATTCAGCTTGCAGGTTTTTCACAGATACCTTTTGTAAGATTGAGGATTGATTGAGGACATTTCTTTCTATTCCTGGGTTTGTTGAGAGTTTATATTATGAATGGAGGTTGAATTTTGTGAGATGCTCTTTTCCTACATGTATCAAGATGATCATATGGTTTTTCTCTTTTGGTTTGTTGATAGCGTGAATTACATTGATTTTTTTGAATGTTGAACGAACTTTACTTGCTGGATTTAATTTGCTAATATTTTGTTGAGTGTTTTTGTGATTGTGTTCAGGAAGGATAATTATCTAGTTTTCTTGTAATGACTGTTTAATCAGGGTAATGTTGGCTTCATAAAATAGCACTGAGAAGCATTGCCTCCTCTTTTCTTCTGTTTTTTGGTAGATTTTATAATAGTTTTAACTGGTAGAATTCACCAGTGAAACCATCTTTGCTTAGAGTTTTCTTTGCTGGGCAGTTTTTTAGCTACAAATTTAATTTCTTTAATAGAGTACTTTTAAAATTATCTGTTTCTTCTTGAGTAAGCTTTGTTAGTTTTGTCTTTTAAGAAATCTGCCCATTTCATCCAAGTTATCAACTGTATTGGCATAAAGTTGTTTCTAGTATTCCCCTATTGTCCTTTTAATGTCTGTAGAAATCTGTAGTTCTTTCATTTCTGATCTTGGCAACTTGTGCCTCTTTTTTTTTTTTTTTTTTTGGCTGTCCATTCTGGCTGTTGATCTTTTCAAAGAAACATTTGGATTCATAGGGTTTTTTTTGTTTGTTATTTTTCTGATTTCAGTTTCATTGATTTCTGCTTTTATGTTTATTTTTTCCTTCCTTATGCTTGCTTTAGGTTTAATTTGCTCTTTTTTTTCTTATTTCTTTATTTTACTTTTTGAGACAGAGTCTCAATCTCTTGCCTGGGCTGGAGTGCAGTGGTGCAATCTTGGCTTACTGCAACCTCCGCCTCCCGGATTCAAGCAATTCTCATGCCTCAGCCTCCCCGAGTAGCTGGGATTAGAGGTGTGCGTCACTATGCCCAACTAATTTTTGTATTTTTAGTAGAGACAGGGTTTCGCCATGTTAGCCAGGCCAGTCTTGAATTCCTGGCCTTAAGAGATCTACCCACCTTGGCCTTCCAAAGTGCTGAGATTACAGGCATGAGGCACCATGCCCAGCCTACAAATTTTTTTTTAATGTAGGCATTTAAAGCTATAAATTTCTCTCTAAGCATCCCTTCCCTTCCCTTTTTTTTAACATCTTTTTTTTTTCTTTCTGAGATGAAGTCTCACTCTATTGCCTAGGCTGGAGTGCAGTGCCGTGATCTCAGCTTACTTTAACCTCCACCTCCCGAGTTGACGTGATTCTCCTGCCTCAGCCTCCCAAGTAGCTGGGATTAAAGGCATGTGCCACCATGCCTGGCTAATTTTTGTATTTTTAGTAGACATGGGGTTTCGCCATGTTGGCCAGGCTGGTCTAGAACTCCTGACCTCAGGTGATCTGCACACCTCGGGCTCCCAAAGTGCTGAGATTACAGGTGTGAGCCACCATGCCTGGCCTTTTTACATCCCTTTTAAACTTTTTATCTTTCATTTCATTCTACTTTGTTTTATTTTCTTCTTTTTTTAAATTCTACTTTCTGAAATATATTGATACTAATTAGTGGTTTTTAGAAGTTAGTATTTAATTAGGATGGATTATGGGGATTCCAGTAATCTGGATCAATATGCACTATCTTCCATGCAACTGCAAATAATTTCCTTCAGTTGTGTTTTGTGTGTGGGAGGGGGTTGAAGGATAAGGGGGTGGCATGGGGATGGCTATCTTTACTATTTTCAAAATAGTTTTGTTTCTAGTTTGAAATTATTTTTTAAATGTTAACTGTGTTGCTGAGACAATTCAGCGGGGAAAGAATAGTCTTTTCAACAAGTGGTCCTCAGACAATTAGATATTAGCATGCAAAATATTGAAGTTTGATGTCTACCTCAGGTTTGACCTCTGCCTCACACCATATACAAAATTAATTCAAAATAGATCAAAGACCTAAGTTTACCTGCTAAAACTAGAAAACTCTTAGAAGAAAACATAAGCATAAACTGTATTGACCTTGGATTAGGCATAATCTTAGATACAAAAATAAAAGCATAAATAACAAGAGAAAAAAATAAAAAGCAAACTTCTGTGCTACAAATTATACTATCAAGAAAGTAAATACACAACCACAGAATGGGAGAAAATTTTTGCAAACATGTATCTGAGAATGGATTTGTATCTAGAATATAAAGAACTCTTACAACTAAACAAAAAAGACAAATAACAGTTAAAAATGGGCAAAAGATATGAATAAATTTCTCTCCAGAGAAAATATATAAATGGCCAATCACACGTGAAAAGATGCTAAACATCATTAGTCATCAGGGGAATGCAAATCAAAAGAAAAATGGGATGGTATAATACTTCATACTCACTAGCCTGGCTGTGGTCCAAAAGTCACATAATAAGAATTGTAGGCGAGAATGTAGAGAAATTGGAACCCTCATACATTGCTGGTAGGAATGTAAAAATGATGCAGCCACTTGGGAACTTTGGCAGTTCCTCAAAAGGTTAAATGTAGAGTTACTATATGATCCAGCAGTTCTACTCTTAGGTGTATACACAAGATAAATGGAAACATATGTCCACACAAAATTTGTACACAAATGTTCATAGGTGCATTATTCATCATAGCCTAAAATGGAAGTTACTAAAATGTCCATCAACTGATGATTGGATAAATAAAATGTGTTATAGCCATACAGTGAAATATTATTTGGCAATAAAAAGTAGTAAAGTATTGGTACTTGTTACATCATGGAAGAACCTTGAAAACATTATGCCATGTGAAAGAAGCCAGTCACAAAAGAGCATATAGTGAAATATCCAGAATAGGAACACTTAGAGAAACAGAGAGTGAATCTGTGGCTTCCCTAGGGCTGGGAATGAGGTAGAGGGAATGACTGCTAAGGTTCAGGGTTTCTTTTTGGGGTGATGAAACTGTTCTAAAAGTTCCACAACTTTGTGAATACGCTAAAAACTGGCTATGCACAGTAGCTCATGCCTGTAATCCCAGCACTGGGAGGCTGAGGTGGAAGGATCTGTTGAACCCAGATCGCAGTGAGCTATGATTGCACTACCACACTGCAGCCTGGGTGATAGAGGGAAACTCTGTCTCTAAAAAAAAAAACTATATATATATGTCCCAAACCATTTGTTTATACATTTAAAATGGGTGAATTGTATGTGAACTATATCTCAATAGAGTTGTCATATTTCCTAGAATGTTACATGTGGTATTTATCATTAAGAGGTAGTTTAGAGCTCTGGAGTTGAAACGGGATAGTTCCCTTGACCCCCGAGGGGCTTGTGAAGGGGTTGGCTTGCTTACTTAGCCCGCAGCTCTCAACCCTTCATGGGACAGGCAGCACACAGGTCAGCAGATACAGGGGCCGGGATGAGTGCTTCTGGGCACCAGCAGGAGTAGAACTCTGTGCGGCCCTGCAGCAGCATCTAGGGGGGTACCTGTGGCCCCCAGGGCCCCAGAGGGCATGTGTTAACAGTGTGCCCTTTTATCTTTCCCCTCCACAAATAGCTTAAGTGCTTAACAGCTCATTGAAGGGTCAGGGTGACAGCCTTTTGCACCCACCCTCTTGGTACCCAAGTTCTTCTCTGGCATCCAGGAAGAATCAGGTTGCACGAACAAATTGAAGGGTGGTGAATGTGGAGGATTTTTTTGAGTGGTGGAGGTGGCTCTCAGTGGGGTGGGGAGCTGGAAAGGGGATGGACTGGAAAGGTGGTCTTCCCCTGGAGTTCAGCTGTCCCCGGCCAAACTCTTCCCTGAAGTACCCCCCGTCAAGCCATCCCTTTGAAGTCAAGCTACTTTTCTCTGACATCCAGCTGTTTCTTCTCTTCTCTCGTTCTCTGCCACTCTGCCAGTCTGCTGGTCTGCCTGGGGTTTTTATGGGTACAGGATGGGGGGCAGGGCAGGCCAAAAAGCAACATTTGAGCGGAAAAACAGGAATACATGTTCTCACTTTGGGCCGCGGGTCCAGGCTTGAGGGTGGGCCTCCACTAGGGACCTTGCCCTTTTCTGCCTAGTATTTACCTGCCTCCTTTCTGTATCAGAGTCAGAACATTTGAGATCAAATTCTGGATGTATTACACTCTGACTTCTAAGTGTCAGTTTATTTGTAAAGTGGGTATGATAATGTCAGGGTGATTGTGAGGATCAAAGGAGATGGTGGATGTATAGCAGTTAGCAAATGATCTGGTACCTAATAAATACTTAGCAAATGTTTGTTGTTGTTATTAGAATTCTAGCTGTTCACAAAATTAAAATTCTGACTATAACACAGCCATTTGAAATGGATCATCCTCAGAAAAGTACCTTCCAAAATAGAATTTTTTTCTGATATTTGTGGTAAATTTTTCTCTATATTTTTATAACAGATTCATGTGGCAAATTATTACTATTATTTTTAAGTTCGGGGTACAAGTGCAGGTTTGTTACCTAGGTAAACTTGTGTCATGGGGATTTGTTGCACAGATTATTTCATCACCCAGATATTTAGCCTAGCACCCACCTGATCCTCCCTCCTCCCACCCTCTATGCTCCGAAAGGCCCAAGTGTGTGTTGTTCCCCTCTTTGTGTCCATATGTTCTCATCATGTAGCTCCCATTTATTATTATCATCATCATCATCATCCTGTGGTCAAAGAATCAAAACGTATCAAGCCCCTCTCAACCCCAGCCATTTACCTCCGTCTTCCAAAAACAGGAA
Organism: Homo sapiens; assembly: GCF_000001405.40. Taxonomy (NCBI): domain Eukaryota; kingdom Metazoa; phylum Chordata; class Mammalia; order Primates; family Hominidae; genus Homo; species Homo sapiens. Next base: position 66,639,783 of record NC_000008.11, on the reverse strand, counting down.
AGGAGCATACATAACTCTCTTATTTTATTCAAATCCACCTTAACATATAGATGGTTACATCTACATTTGAAAAACAGTATTGCCCATTATAACTAAACTATACTATTACTATTTCTGTTCTTCATTTTTGGAAAGGTATTCTAAAATTAATTGGCTCAGGCCAGGTACAGTGGTCCATGCCTATAATCCCAGTACTTTGCCCACCCTAGGTGGGCAGATCATTTAACATGGTGAAACCCTGTCTCTACAAAAAATGCAAAAATTTGTTGTGTATGGTGGCAGGCCCCTGTAATCCTAGCTACCCAGGAGGCTGAGGCATGAGAATCGCTTGAACCTGGGAGGAGGAGGCTGCAGTGAGCCGAGATCGCACCACTGCACTCCAGCCTAGGCAACAGAGCTGAGAGCAGACACCATTTCCCCCAACCCCAGCAACACCAAAAAAAAAAAAAAAAAAAAAAAAAAGAATAAAATTAATTGGCTTAAAATATAGTAAGTTTTCGGCCAGGTGTGGTGTCTCATGCCTGTATTCCCAGCATTGTGGGAGGCCAAGGCGGACAGATGGCTTGAGCCCAGGGGTTTGAGACGAGCCTGGGCAACATGATGAAACCCTGTCTCTACTAAAAATAGAAAAATTGGCCAGGTGTGGTGGCATGTGCCCGTAGTCTCAGCTACTGGTGAGGCTGACGTGGGAGGATCACTTGAGCCCAGGAGGCTGAGGCCATGGTGAGCCATGATCACACACCACTGTACTCCAGCCTGGTTGACAGAGTGAGACCCTGTCCCCCACAAAATATATGTATATATATATATATAGAGAGAGAGAGAGAGAGAGAGAGAGAGAGAGAGAAAGTTTTCTTGCAGGTTTTTGTACAGAGAAATGAAGAAATGAATGGCAAATTTAGTTTTAACTATATAATACTCAACTTTGCCTGTGTTTGAACTTTATAAAAATGGAATTATGCTGTATACCTTCTTCTATGATTTCTTTCTTTCTTTCTTTTTTTGAGACAGGAGTCTCGCTCTGTCGCCCAGGCTGGAGTGCAGTGGCGTGATCTCGGCTCACTGCAAACTCTGCCTCCTGGGTTCACACCATTCTCCTGCCTCAGCCTCCTGAGTAGCTGGGACTCCAGGCGCCCGCCACCACGCCTGGCTAATTTTTTGTGTTTTTAGTAGAGATGAGGTTTCACCGTGTTAGCCAGGATGGTCTTGATCTGCTGACCTCGTGATCCACCCGCCTTGGCCTCCCAAAGTGCTGGGATTACAGGCGTGAGCCACCGCGCCTGGCCTTTTTTTTTTTTTTTTTGAGATGGGGTTTTACTCTCAGGCTGGAGCGCAGTGGTATGATCACAACTTCCTGCAGCCTCAACCTCCCTGGCTCAAGTGATCCTTCTGCCTCAGTCTTCCAGGTTGCTGGGACTACAGGCATATGCCACTACACCCAGCTAATTTTTTAAATTTTTTGTAGAGGTGAGGTCTCCTTAGGTTGCCCAGGCTGGAACTCTTAGGCTCAAGTAGTCAATTTGCCTCTGCCTCCCCTAGTGCTGGGATTACAGGCATGAGCCCCAAACCTGGCTGACTTGTTTAGTTTAGCAACACTTTTTCAGATACATCTGTATTGATGAGTTCAACTGTAGGTTATTCATTTTCACTGCTGCATAGTATTCTGTTGTATTGTTTTTAACACAATTCATTGTTCTGCTCATGAGCTTTTGGGTAGTTTCTGGGTTTTTAATGTAAAGAATAATGTAACTATAAATACTATACATGTCATTAGCATATATAAGTAATGGAATTTTTGTTTTGTTTCGTTTTGAGACGGAGTCTCGCTCTGTCGCCCTGGCTGGAGTGCAATGGCACGGTCTTGGCTCACTGCAAGTTCCACCTCCTGGGTTCACACCATTCTCCTGCCTCAGCCTCCCGAGTAGCTGGGACTATAGGTGCCTGCCACCACGCCTGGCTAATTTTTTTTTGTATTTTTGGTAGAGATGGGGTTTCACTGTGCTAGCCAGGATGGTCTCGATCTCCTGACCTTGTGATCCGCCCGCCTCAGCCTCCCAAAGTGCTGGGATTACAGGTGTGAGCCACCGTGCCCGGCCCTAAGTAATGGAATTGTTGATATGTGATAGAGAAATTTTAATGTGCCTTGCTTCTTAAAATTTGAATTAAAATTTGAAGGACTATATAAAATCTGAACATTCTGTCTATACCTGCCAAAAAAAACCCCTAAACAATTATGCTTAGAAGTATCACAACAGTATTTGTGTTGTATTTAAAGTATATCTTTTTTTTTTTTTTTTTGAGATGGAGTCTTGCTCTGTTGCCCAGGCCTCCCAAAGTGCTGGGATTACAGGTGTGAGCCACTGTGCCCGGCATATCCATTGATTTTTAAATATATATTTTAAATTGGGGTGTTTGTTTTTTGTTTTGTTTTGTTTTTAGACAGTTTCTTGCTATCACCCATGTTGGAGTTCAGTGGCTCAGTAATAGCTCACTGCAGCCTAAAACTCCAGAGCTCAGTGATCCTCCTGCCTCAGCCTCCCAAAAAGCTGAGACTATAGGTGTATGCCATCACCCTCAGCTAACCTTTTGTTTTTTTTGTAGAGACCAGGGTCTTACCATGTTGCCCAGCTGGTATCAAACTCCTAGCCTTTGTTTGTTGGAAACAAACTCCAAGCGATCCTCCCGCCTCAGCCTCCCAATGTGCTGAGCCACCACGCCTGGCTGGAGTTTTTTAATAACAATATAAACGTGCAGAAACTATAGAAATGGGAAACATCACCTATCATTTAAAAATATTTGTCTTATACATACATGTTTTAGGCAAGATTGTAATCATAGTACTTATATTTGTTTCCTGCTGTTGCAGCATCATGCACATTTTACTGTATATATCAGGCATCACAGCTTCCTATCTAAATTTTTTTTTTTTGAGACGGAGTCTCACTCTGTTGCCCAGTCTGGAGTGCAGTGGCATGATCTGGGCTCACTGCAGCCTCCGCCTCTTGGGTTCAAGCATTATTTATCTGAATTTTTTTTTTTTTAGATGGAGTCTTGTTCTGTTGCCCAGGCTGGAGTGCAGTGGTGCAATCTTGTCTCAGCACAACCTCCACCTCCTGGGTTCAAGCAATTCTCCCTGCCTCAGCCTCCTGAGTAGCTGGGACTACAGGCGCGCACCACCATGCCTGGCTAATTTTTGTATTTTTAGTAGAGATGGGGTTTCACTCTGTTGGCCAGGCTGGTCTCAAACTCCTGACCTCATGATCTGCCCACCTTGGCCTCCCAAAGTGCTGGGATTACAGGTGTGAGCCACTGTGCCGGGCCTATTTATCTAAATTTTAATAACTGCATATACTTCCAACAGGTAGATAGGAAATAATTTACTTATTTCTTGTTGAAAATTTAGATTTTTTTCCATTGTTTCATTGTAAGTAATACTGTGATGAACATGTGTGGAACTATGATTCTTTCTAGGGATAGCCAAGGAAAAGCATCTCAGTAGCAATCTGGAAACACCTGCAAAACCTTTTTTTTTTTTTTTTTTTTTTTTGAGATGGAGTCTTGCTTTGTCACCCAGGTTGGAGTATAGTGGTATAGCGGCGCCATCTTGGCTCACTGCAACCTCCGCCTCCTGGGTTCAAGCAATTCTCCTGCCTCAGCCTCCCCAGTAGCTGGGACTACAGGCTCACACACCACCATGCCCAGCTAATTTTTGTATTTTTAGTAGAGACTGGGTTTCAACATTTTGGCCAGGCTGGTCTTGAACTCCTGACCTCAAGTGATCCACCTGTCTGCCTCCCAAAGTGCTGGGATTATATGCATGAGCCACTGCACCTGGCCTCAAGCTCCATTCTTTTTTTTTTTTTTTTTTTTGAGATAGAGTTTCACTCTTATTGTCCAGGCTGGAGTGCAGTGCCGCAATCTCAGCTCACTGCAACCTCTGCCTCCCAGGTTCAAGTGAGTCTCCTGCCTCAGCCTCCCAAGTAGCTGGGATTACAGGCGCCTGCTGCCATGCCCAGCTAATTTTGTGTATTCTCAGTAGAGTTGGGGTTTCACCACGTTGGCCAGGCTGGTCTCGAGCTCCTGACCTCAGGTGATCCACCTGCCTTAGCCTCCCAAAGTGCTGGGTTTACATGTGTGAGCCACTGTGTGACCTCAAGCCCCATTCTTAACTTTGCTGTTAGTTAAGATAGCAAAAAAATTTTTTTAAAAAAGATTCTCTGGGGAGAACTACTTTAGGGTCTATGGCGGTGGTTCTTTTTTGTAATACAATAAATCTGAATGAATTTTGTTTTGAAAGCTGTTATCTGTAAATTGTTATTTAAAATTCATTATTTTAACTATAATTGTCTTGACTACACTTTTATTAATACCTTAAGATTTTAATATGTTAAATATCTTTTCCCCTTTTTAGGTATGGCTGATGGCAAGCATTGTACTTTTCCACATCTGCCTGGCAAAACCTTTGTCTATAATGCTTCTGAAGATAGACTGGAATTGTGTGTGGATGCTGCAGGACATTTCCCCATTGGTCCTGATGTTGAAGATTTAGTTAAAGAGGCTGTAAGTCAGGTTCGAGCAGAGGCTACTACAAGAAGTAGGGAATCAAGTCCCTCACATGGGCTATTAAAACTAGGTAGTGGTGGAGTAGTGAAAAAGAAATCTGAGCAACTTCATAACGTAACTGCCTTTCAGGGAAAAGGGCATTCTTTAGGAACTGCATCTGGTAACCCACACCTTGATCCAAGAGCTAGGGAAACTTCAGTTGTAAGAAAGCATAATACAGGGACAGACTTTAGTAATAGTTCCACTAAAACAGAGCCTTCTGTATTCACAGCTTCTTCTAGTAATAGTGAGCTTATTCGAATAGCTCCTGGAGTAGTAACAATGAGAGACGGCAGGCAGCTTGATCCTGATTTGGTTGAGGCCCAGCGAAAAAAATTGCAGGAAATGGTTTCTTCTATTCAGGCTTCAATGGACAGGCACCTTCGGGATCAAAGTACAGAGCAGTCACCATCTGATCTTCCTCAAAGGAAAACAGAAGTTGTGAGTTCTTCTGCAAAGTCTGGGAGTCTTCAGACTGGTTTGCCTGAATCTTTTCCTTTAACTGGTGGTACTGAAAATTTGAATACAGAAACAACTGATGGCTGTGTAGCAGATGCACTGGGAGCAGCCTTTGCCACAAGGTCAAAAGCACAAAGGGGAAATTCCGTGGAGGAGCTTGAAGAGATGGATAGTCAAGATGCTGAGATGACTAACACAACTGAGCCAATGGATCACTCTTGATTTAATTAGAGGCTAATAAAGGCAGAATGTTTATTGTGAATATGTAATATTTGTTGGCTGGGCCACGTAACTTGATTAGTCATTAAAAATCTTGTACGTATATAATTCAAAGATTATATCTTGTTATTCAGTGCATGATAGCAAGTGTGTGATTGGCCATAGCTTTTAATATACTGCTGCCCAGGCTGGCTCTGAATTTCTATAAATTAGCTGTTAGATCTGCTGAGATGACTTTCTTCCATATATGTGGTTCATTGGAAGTTCTTTGTAATTTTAATTCCATGAAAGTCTTAATGTTTCCAACATGAAAATTCTCTTACTTAAATACGTTTGATTTCTGAAAAGCCTACAAATGGAGGGGAAATGAGATTGTGCTAATGTTGATGTCATCAAGGTAACCATCTCATATACTAGTGTCAAAAGGTTTATGTAAACTTGAATTTTATCTGAACTAAATTGTATCTTAAAATTCATACAATTATTTATTAGACAGTGGAATGCAAATGTTTCTATGAACGTAAACACATTCATAGAGATTTCTTGGCGAAAATATCTTGAGAATAGAATGTAACGATATAACATTTTGCTGATTTGTGCAAGATTGGGGAAAAATTTCTTCTAGATTGATGAGGTCAATGTGATTCAGTTGTGTTGCTGTCTGAGCCACAGCCAATTGTGTGTGCTCTATTAATATGTTACCATTATTTTTGATTCCTGGCTTGGTCAAGAACAACCTGATTTTTTTTTTTTTAATCTTGCAGAAAAGTTGATTGCAAAGTGTGGTAGAAAAAGAAATAATGGTAGCAGTAGAGAATTTATAAATAAGAGTTTATCTTTATGAATGAGTTAATTGTTCTACAATTTTGATCAGTGGTATTTAAGCCTGTATATGCTAAGTGTATTTATGCCCCTTTGAGCCAAAATTTTTTTTTTTTTTTCAGAATCCATAAGAGTTTATTTGTTGGCTTCACTTGGGTTTAGATGCAAATTTTACTGCATCACACCCTGATCAGCTGGGTATTTGCTTAGTGTATTCATCAAATCTTCAGTGCCAGTTTCCTTGAGAAGCAGCTTTCATGCTTATTCCTTAAAAACAACAGAAGAGTGTTTATCCTGAGATTGGTATTGCACTATTTTATTTTATTCTGCAAATCTGTATCCTGAAGTGTACATTTCAACCCATATTCTTCTCTGTTCACTGAAATTAAGTTGAATTTGAATGGCTGAAAGACAAAATATATGTTAATACAATCTCTTACCTAGAGCATTCAAAGCCTGGCTGTCTCTGTTTGCACATGTAACAGATGCAGAACTGTGTTTGTAATTCTAAGAAAATGTATGTCAGAAAGTATTTTATCAGATGTTTAAAAATCTCTGCCTGTTGATTCATAAGGGATATAGACAGTACTTTAACTTGTGTTTCCAGATAAGGCAGATTTTGGTCATCTTTCTGTGAAAGTATCTCTAACTGAATCCACTTCTTAAACAAACTACTCTATTTTAAATAAGGAAAGAATGGAGAATCTAGACATTTTACAGGTGTATCTGAGCAAAATATATATTTGGGTTAGTTTTTATCACATTATCACGTTTGTCTTTATATTTTATCTTCATCCTAAATTTTCTCCCTATCAAAACAGCAGGAAATTTTTAAACTTTTATATTGTACACTATTTTTGCATAAAATAAGAGCTGTAGCTACCAAATACTATTTACTACTTAGTAAAGGTGGCTTCTGTGTATTAAACTACGAATTACAAATATCACTTCACTAACCACTATAATTATTTTTGGCTTTTTCAGCCACTGGAACTTTTTTTGGGGGGATTTAAATACAGGAAAACTGTTTAAGCAAAAAATGCACTGCTTTCATGTAAAATGATATAATCTTCTTTAACAAATATTTTCTTCATTGATAACTGACAGATATCTCATAGCATTAACATAAAATACCAGAAACAAACTTTATCTCCCTATTCTTACATTTAGTGCAAATTGGAATGCGTATGTGAATGTTAGAAGATGGACTTAATCTCTGACAACTTTATTAATTTCTCTAGCTACAGCAATGCTATTTAAAAGCCAGTTAGGTATGAATAGTACAGTAATAGTTTGGGTTCTCCCTTGATAAATGAATAAAAGGCTCAATTCTGATAAGTGATCAAATTTCTTGAAATTCTTTCAAATCAGCTGAAAATTTGGTTGGGGTGAATTGATGGTTTTTGAGAAGTAGGCCAGGTATCCTCACAAAGAAGTTTTAGAATAGGGTTTCTTTTAAGTTTTTAAATATCATCCTTTGTCTTTCCATATGGTTTTCATAACCAAATACATGACTATAGCATGGTTATTTTTCTAGTACTGCCATTTGTGATATAGCCACATCTTGGCGTGCAAGCTAGACATCTCAGGTAAATTTGTTTTTTTTTTTTTTTTTAGCCCTAGAGGTAACATTATAACTAAAATGCATTCCTGCAATTCTGTTTGCAGTGCTTCACTAAACATTGAAATAAAGTTGTAAATTTTTTCTTCAGTAATCCATTTTATAGTTAATCATACCAAATTTAAGTTGATGACCTAAAGTCCAGGTAGTGTTGAAGATAGTATGTATCTAGAATACTGGTAATGAGAAATTGTTGTAAATTGAAGAAAACAAGATGCTGCCATATATTAAGATAGAATATAATTAACTCCATGAGAATGGTTACTCAGGAACTAGTTAAAGAGCAAACCCATTTCTCCCGCTTCACTCTGTTTCAGATATTTTTATTGGAAAATGTTAGGGTAGAGGCCTGAGAAAGTTAGCAAATGCTATTGACTGATACTGGCTCTGTGTCTTCCAGTGATTTTTAGTTTGGTTTTTACAGTCAAGCCTACTGCTTGCAATTAAGATATCAATCTGAAATGCATCTGTAATTCCTGGCCACAGGTCCTTATTGCCATTATTTTTAAGTATCTTCATTGGAGATGAACACTGACTTTTGCATATGGTCTCTTACCTCAGGGAAGATCACTTGCTAGCAACTCATACTACTAATGACAGGTTTTTGAGAATTGTACTGACATCACATGTTAGCTACTAAATGCAAAATGTATAAAAGTATTGTTTTATGTAGTTACCTACCAATACTATCTGCTACTGAATAACTCTCTAAATATGTAGACCTCACTAATAACTAACCTTTAGGTAAAAAATTTACTTCTGTCATTAATTACACTTCAACTGGTCAATATAGTGGCAGCATAAAGTGTTTATTTCAGAATATCAATACAGTTTTGTCTTCATTTTTCAACAGTAATTTCAATTGGTTCATACTTAAAATACTACACAGATTTTGAGTTTTATGGTTCTCAAAGCAAGGTTTCCATCTTAAGATTTTTATAAACACAAAGCCTTTGCAAAATTGGATTAAATTCCACCTATCTTAATGTGAATTAAAAACCACCATTTATAATAATAATAGCGCCATATTCTAAGTTGAGTAAATGCATCCTACCATTCAAGGTTATCATATAATTTAACAAAATTGTACAACCTTAAGGCTCTTCACAGTATAAATTAATTTTTCAAACCAGAGCTGTTCACATGAAAATATTCCTTAGTAGAATGTATATTTAAGAAATAAAACAACAAAGGGGAACTATATCACCCATGTAAGTTATAGAGTTAATTACAAGTTCTACCATTCTTGATAATTCTTTGAGATGCTAAGTGTTTCAGTTCATATTTAATGATACTTAAATCGTGGGAATTTTAATGTTTGTTCCAAAATAGCAGAAATTGTAAAAATTATGAATTATTGGAGAAAATGCCATTACTTGTATATCTGACATTTAATTTTTTAATTATGGAGACTACATGCTTTTGTAGTATAATATTAATGATTATTCTCTTGTAAAAGAAAAGGAAAAATTAGTAAAGAAAAAAGTTTTAGTTGATGTTACCTGCTTGTGAGTATCAATTACTTAGTTTTTAAATTTTTAAGGTATTGCCTACTTTTCTTTAGAATGCAGAAATCTCGTCCTGAGCCCTTATTATGCCTGTGGTAGAGCAATGCAAGACTGAAAAGGTTGCCAGTATTTTCAGGCTTATTTGACTAAGAATTAGTGCCAAGAACTGGAAAGTCTACTTTTTGGAGGGAAATGATACTTAGAATTTGTAAACATAAGCAGTAATAGTGTAAATATTTAGAAAAATAGCAAGTGCTTTAACTGCTCAATAAAATAGTATAGATGTTATTTCACCCTTAAGGCACTGGCTGTTGCCCATTATTTTCCGATTTCGTGATTACTGTATATATTACATTTGAGTAATGAATAATTGGTAATAGTGTATTATAGTGTTCTACAGCACACCTTACTGTACAGTATTTGAAGTTTTCTTTTATATCAATAATAAAACTATAAGTTAATACTGATTTTCCCCTGAAATTCTCCACATTAGCTTTTAAAGGTAATTTTATGTTCTTTAGTTTCCTGGAATTATAATGCATGAACATATAGTTCAGTTTTATAAAGAAATTCTTAAATAATAAAGTTTTCTTGTTGAACTTAAGCGGGTTATCGTACAGGAATAGTGATTTTTCCCCTTAATGTAGATTTCATTGCTAGATGAAATGGACCCAGTGAAAAAAGAGTGCGCAATTTAAAAAAAAACCAAAACGGTCTCACTCTGCTGCCCATGCTGGATTGCCGTGGCATGATCAGGGCTCACTGCAGCCTCAACCTCCTGGGCTCAAGTGATCCTCCCACCTCAGCCTCCTGAATAGCTGGGACTACAGGCATGTGCCACCACACCTGGCTAATTTTTGTATTTTTTGTAGAGATAGGGTTTTGCCATGTTGCCCAGGCCGGTCTTGAACCCCTGAGCTCAAGTGATCTGCCCTCCTCTGCCTCTTTAAGTGCTGGGATTACAGGCGTGAGCCACCGCACCCTGCCAGCAAAATTTCTTTAGACATATTACATAATTGGGCCATAATGCTTACTGAATATTTAAAAATGAAGGCAAATTCTAACAGAGAACTTGATTTTGTGGTGGTTTAAAAAAATACTGGTTAGTGATAAGGAAATGAAAGGAAATACAGATAATAGTACTAAATAACGTTTGTGTAGCTTAGCAGTCAACACGTTTACTTCCAAGTTTTATTGTATATGCTTAATATACATTTTATTAGATCATTTAACTCAATAATTTAGAGTATAGCCTTAGACACCAGACTGCCTAGGTCTGACTCCTGGTACGCTGCTTTCTGTGACCTCTCTGTGCATTCCTCTCTGCGAGGATGATGATCACATCTGCTCCCAGGGTGGCTGTCTTAAATGAGTTAACACGTATCTGATGATTAGAAGAGTGCCTGACACATAGTAAACACTCAAATATTTGCTATGTTATATGTTAATGTAATGTGGTAGAGTTCAGTTGCCATTAAGTGGGATAAATCCTCACAGGGCACACATTATTTAAATAATTTGTTACATTAAAACTTATTTTACTTGTACATAATTGACTAAAAAATGGGGGGTTGTACATTCAAACATTTATGACCATGTGCAACACTGAGAATCTCAAACCGACAGTGTGCTCTGTGACCCAAGGCAAGTCTTGGAGCCTTTCAAGGCCTCAATTTCTTCTGTAACCTTGTGGTTTCACAATTGTCAACCTTTTGTTCTGCCGACCATTGTCGTCATAGTCTTACTTGCAGAGGGCATAGTGCTGATGGGACAAGTGACATGGGTATGAGCCCCATGTAAACTAAAACATAATTACCTTTCCTTTAGGTGTTGGCTACAGTTATCCCAAACTTGGACTTGAGGTCTTGTATATGCATGCCATTGGTCACATACCATCAGAATAGAATTCTCAAAAACTCTTTAGTAAATAAGATAAACATCCTACTTATAACAGCTCATTATGGATTTTATTTTTATTGTCTGGCTCTTTCAGACCCCAGCAACTGCAATTCTGACTTAATAATCAATTGTTTCTAATCATTAAAAATGTATATAGAAAAACTGAAGTAAGTCTTTAATTGATTTTCTGAACTGTATATGATACACTGAGGTGAAAAACATATGGGCTCTTCAAATTTGCACACTCTAGAAGTAAACCTGTCTTTGGCCCATTTGTCATACCACGTAAATTATTTGAGAAACAGATAAATTGTGTAGGAATCTGGGGGGATTATTCCTGTTTGTTCTATTTACAGAAACAGGTATAGTACAAAGTCTACCTATAAAGTGATGACATTTTTATATTTGATTTATGGAATCAGTATTTTATTTTTAATTTTCTTTTTTGAGACCGAGTCTCGCTCTGTTGCCCAGGCTGGAGTGCAGTGGCACCATCTTGGCTCACTGCAACCTCCGCCTCCCAGGTTCAAGCAATTCTCCTGCCTTAGCCTCCCGAGTAGCTGGGATTACAGGCACCCGCCACCATGCCCGGCTAATTTTTGTATTAGTAGAGACGGGGTCTCTACTAAATAGAGGGGTCATTCATTATTTTAAACAAGTACTGATAAAATGCCTGTTTTAAAAACTTGGGAAACAGTTCCAAATGAGAGAAATTCCATGCGTCCTTAGAGCTTACATCCCAATGATGGAGACAAGCACAAAACACATTGGTAATAGCTAACATTTAGTGACTCTTTCCCTTGTATCTGGGCAATAGGCTGAACACTACATGCAATAATTAACCGTCAAAAGCCTTTGTGGTTGGGTACTATCATTATCATCTTTTAGGAAACAAGTTGATATAGATTAGTTGGTTTACCTGAAGTCCTGGAGTTAGGTGGCAGAGTTGAGATTTAAATCCAGATGTTTAAGACTCCATAGTCTATGCTGTTAACTTTAATGCTACATTTGTAATTTAGCAAAGGAATAAAATTTGGTGGTCACATAAGTCTTTACAAACATTTATTGTTAAATCTAGCTTGTTTTTAGATACACCAACATGGTTTTAATTGATTTCAGTGTATAGAGTATCTGGCTTTTTTTTTTTTTTTTTAATACAGATGGTCTCTCTGCTGTGCAGGCTGGAGTGCCCAGTGGTGCCATCATAGCTCACTGCAATCTCAAACTCCTGGGCTCAAGTGATCCTGCTGCCTCAGCCTTCCAAATAGCTGGGACTACAGATGTATGTCACCTCACCTGGCTAATTTATTTTTTGTAGAGACGGGGTCTCCCTATGTTGCTCAGGCTAGTCTCAAGTCCCAGAAGTGCTGGGATTACAGGCATGAGCAACAGCTTTAATTTCACTTCCTACTAGTTCCCTTCCTGAACCCTAGTCCTCCATCTCAAGTTCTTCCTTCCTTGGATTTGTTTTCTTGCCTCCTCTAAATTTGGAGGTGCTTTAAGGAAGAGTTTCAGAATTTCTTAGATGACTAACCTGGGTACATTTGAGAATCACTGGTTAAAGTCCAGTTTTTCAAGGACCTAAAATAATTCTTGTTTACTAAGTGGGTCTGCTGCTTTGGAGGGGAGGTTTCCCAAAGGTGATGTTTCTCAAAAAATAGTTCATGGGCTATATGCATCTCAACTAGAAAGTTTATTTCTATGGAATCATGTGTCAGGTACTTTGCTCAACAGAAGGAATAATAAACTGAGAAAGACACTTCCTGCCTTCATTACATTTACATTTTTAGTGAGAGAGAGATACATTTAAATAAGCAAGTAACTACATATTGGGGAAGCATTGGGTGATGTGGGATTATGCTGCAAGAGGAACTAACCTGACCTGCTAAATGGTTAGGGAATGCTTCCTGAGAGGTGATGTACCATCTGAGACCTAAATAATTGATAGGATACTTAAAAATCAAATTGGCCAGCCAGGTGCGGTGGCTCATGTCTGTAATCCCAGCACTTTGGGAAGCTGAGGCCAGCAGATCACGAGGTCAGGAGTTCGAGACCAGCCTGGTCAACATAGTGAAACTCTGTCTCTACTAAAAATACAAAAATTAGCCAGGCATGGTGGCGTGCACCTGTACTCCCAGCTACTTGGGAGGCTGAGACCAGAGAATTGCTTGAACCCGGAACGCGGAAGTTGTGGTGAGCCAAGATGGCGCCACTGCACTCTAGCCTTGGCAACCGAGCAAGACTCCGTCTCAAAAAAAAAAAAAAAAAAATCTAATTGGCCAGGGATGGAGGATAGTGCCCAGTGCATGGGGAGGCAGAGATGGGAGGATCACTTAAGGCCAGGAATTCAAGACCAGCCTGGGCAACATAGCGAGACCCTAACACTATTGGAAAAAAATTAGCTGGGTGTGGTGGTGCATGCCTATAGTCCCAGCTACTCAGGAAGCTGGGGAAGTTTATAAGTGAGCTATGATTGTGTCACGGCACTCAGCCTGGGCAACAGAGTGAGTCCCTGTCTCTTAAAAAATAAATTGGCAAGACTCAGTATCTCCAAAAATAACTTACTAACTAGGTCAGTTCATCAAACAAAATTAAATGGGATGCTTATGTTTGCCGTACTTTAGACTCCAGATCCTTTAAGGGGGCAGTGAGCCAGCTGAATAGAGAAGGATGAGGAACTTTGAGAAAACTGTTGAAAATAGGGTTGCTAGAGAAAAAGAAAAAACTTTAGCAAGGAATGAGATTCTGCACTGAGTATACAAAAGTAACCAGATACATAAGCTTCTCCTTTGAAATGAAAAGGTGTCTTTGTAATATGACCAATGTAAATTAGATACATAGATGAATAACACAAACGTAAGCAAAACAGTAAAGCCAGAATCAAATTAGAGGGTTAGAAGCCCTCAGTTATTCTGATTTCTTTCAACATGACCAGGACTATAGAAAGACTAGTTTCTTTATTTTTTTTGAGGCTGAGTCTTGCCCTATTGCCCAGGTTGGGGTGCAGTGGTGCGTTCTCGGCTCACCGCAACCTCTGCCTCCCGAGTTCAAGTGATTCTCGTGCCTCAGCCTCCCAAGTAGCTGGGACTACAGGCAAACGCCACCACGCCCGGCTAATTTTTGTATTTTTAGTGGAGACAGGGTTTCACCATGTTGCCCAGGCTGGTCTCAAACTCCTGACCTCAAGTGATCTGCCCGCCTCGGCCTCCCAAAGTGCTGGGATTACAGGCATGAGCCACAGCACCCAGCCTCTTTTTTTTTTTTCCTGTGACGGAGTCTTGCTCTGTCTCCCAGGCTGGAGTGCAGTGGCGCGATCTCGGCTCACTGCAAGTTCCACCCCCCGAGTTCACGCCATTCTCCTGCCTAAGCCTCCCGAGTAGCTGGGACTACAGATGCCCGCCACCACACCCGGCTAATTTTTTGTATTTTTTTATTAGAGACAGGGTTTCACCGTGTTAGCCAGGATGGTCTCGATCTCCTGACCTCGTGATCCGCCCGCTTCGGCCTCCCAAAGTGCTGGGATTACAGGCGTGAGCCACCGCGCCTGGCATTTTTATTTTTTTTGGACAGTCTGGCTCTGTTGCCCAGGCTGGAGTGCAGCGGATGATCTTTGTTCATGGGTTCAAGCGATTCTTGTGCCTCAACCTCTCAAGTAGCTGGGACTACAGTCGTATGCCACCACTCTTGGCTAATTTTTGTATTTTTTGTAGAGATGGGGTTTCTCCATGTTGCCCAGGCTGGTCTTGAACTCCTGAACTCAAGCAATCCACCCACCTCGGCTCCCAAAGGGCTGGGATTACAGGCACAAACCATGGTGCCCGACCTAGAAAGATTAGTTTCATTTCTTCCTATAGCTTCTCCCAGCCTATACCAGTATCTGTCACCTCTGTTTCCGTTAAGCAGTGGTACTGCCTAAGTGGCTAGTAATCAAATGCCTATCTTAAATTGTGCTTACAGTATTCCATTTCAATTTAAGATTATCATTATGTGATCTTTCTTATGGCAGGTGATTTGGCTCTTTTGTAAATGTTACAATGTTATTAAATTTATTTTTGGTACATGGGGTAATTAGAACAATTACTATCTGGAAAAGTTCTCATTCAAATAGCCCTTAATTTTTTCCCATTTAAAACTTATTCTCGGCCGGGCTTGGTGGCTCAAGCCCGTAATCCCAGCACTTTGGGAGGCAGAGGCAGGCGGATCATGAGGTCAGGAGATCGAGACCATCCTGGCTAACACGGTGAAACCCCGTCTCTACTAAAAATACAAAAAATTAGTCGAGTGTGGTGGCGGGCGCCTGTAGTCCCGGCTACTCGGGAGGCTGAGGCAGGAGAATGGCGTGAACCCGGGAGGCGGAGCTTGCAGTGAGCCGAGATCGAGCCACTGCACTCCAGCCTGGGCGACAGAGCGAGACTCCGTCTCAAAAACAAAACAAACAGAAAAAACTTATCCTCAAAGCAATACATGTACATGGCTAAAATAATTCAAAACTATAGAAGGCACCCACTTCTCCCATCCCAATCACTAAATCAACCGTTTTATCTTCAGTGGTTACTACAACTTAAATAAGATATAGGTATAATCTCTTGATTTGTCGACTTTAGACGGTATTTTATTCCTCCGTTGTGAAAAATATTAGTTCCCTTGCCCTTTTTAGTTTTCTCTGTAACTTTAAATAATACAGTTAGGTCTCTGTTTATTAATCCACCAATTTCAAACATTATCTCTTGACTCTCCCTATGAAAAATGAGGCAATTAGCATTTTTACACTTTCTGAAATCCCTTATCTTCTCATTCTACTTCCTAATTTTTTATCAGCTATCCTATTTATTACTTTTACATTGTCAAGGTTGATGGGATTCAAGTTATGTTCTTTTAGCCATAAGTGCCTTTTTAAAAATCTATAGTTTAATTAAACTAATAAATAGCCAAGGTGGTCCCAAATGTTAAAATGAAAAAGATTTCACTTTCCCTAGAATAATTAAAAAAATAAAAATAAAATGAAAAGGTTTTTTTTTTCTGGGACACTAATTAGAAGTTGGAGTGTTTTCAAGGCAAACGTTGTAATTGTTTTTTCACCTATTTTTTCACCCAGTGAAATCAAGGCAGTCATTGTAATTTAATTTATTTGGAGAACAAGCCTCTTGTTTTTGCCTGGGTATAAATTCACTAGCAGTTATTCCGCAAGAAGAAAGTAGGAATAGATTGTGGACAAGATTAATAGACACTTCAGCTATCTTGTTTTATGTCCCACTATTCACTCTTTTTTTTTTTTTTTTTTTTTTTTTTTTTGAGATGGAGTCTCGCTCAGTCGCCCAGGCTGGAATGCAGTGGCGCAACCTCAGCTCACTGCAACCTCTGCTTCCCAAATTCAAGCAATTCTCCCTGCCTCAGCCTCCAAGTAGCTGGGATTATAGGCGTGTGCCACCACACCTGGCTAATTTTTGGCATTTTCTTTGAAAATTGTTCTAACTCTACAAATTCAGTTTGTAAATATGATAAATATATTTGTATTTTATTATGTAAATAATAAAAATGCCTAATTCATTTTCTACTCTAAATCTTTAAATTGCTTCCCCAGGAATATGCACCACCCGTATAGCTGTACCTATTGCTTCCCATCCTCCTGTAACGAAAGGACAATACTCCCAGGATTTGCTTATGCTGGTTTGACAAGCCCTGGTTAATCTAGTACCTAGAACGCTATACTTTTTTTTTTTTTTTAAAGAGATGGGATCTTACTCTGTCACCCAGGCTGGAGTGCAGTGGTGTGATTATAGCTCACTGCAGCCTCAAACTCCTGGGTTCAAGGGATCCTTCCACCTCAGCCTCCCCAGTAGCTAGAACTAGAGGGGTGCCACCAGGTCCAGCTATGTTTTTTTTTTTTAATCCTAGAATGAGCAGGCACGGTGGCTCACACCTGTAATCCCAGCACTTTGGGAGGCCCAGGCAAGCGGATTGCCTGAGCTAGGAGCTTCAGACCAGCCTGGGCAACATGTAAAAATACCAAAACAAAACAAAACAAAAAATTAGCCAGGCGTGGTGGCGCAGACCTGTAATTCCAGCTACTCCGGAGGCTGAGGCAGGAGAATTGCTTGAATCCAGGAGGCAGAGGTTTCAGTCAGCCAAGATCGCACCACTGCACTCCAGCCTGGGCGACAGAGCGAGCTCTGTCTACAAAAAAATCAATCAATCAATCAATCAGTCAATCAATCAATCCTAGAAGGAAATAGCTCCAAAAAATAAAAGTACCTGGACAGATATGATGAAACCATGTATTCAATCTGAAAACAAAACTCAGGTTCAGAACTCTATCTTGGATAGAGAAATGTTTGCTCCATTCTCTGTCCCCTCACCACCAATATTTTTGCTAATCTTCAGTCTACATTTAGGGTGCTATTTTAAATTTGATGGAAATTATGAATAGAAATCACACTGTCTAACATAAGCAGTTATAGAATTCTTAGTTTGGCTTTTAAAGTTAAAAATAAGAGCACTTGAACTGCATAGGAAGAAAAATTGTAAAGAGAAAGAAAAGTTTTAGTGTCCCTATTTAAACCCAAGACTCCTTGCTCTATACTTTTGTGGTAGAGAGAATAATGATTTCTCAAGTATCCATGACCGAATACCCAGAGCCTGTGAATATATTACCTTCCATGGCAAAAGGGACTTTACAGATGTGATTAACTTAAGGATCTTGACATGAGGGATTAACCTGGATTTGCCAGGTGGGCCCAGTATAATCACAAGAATACTTAAGAATGGAAGAGGCAGACAGGAGAGTCAGAGAAAGATTTGAAGGTGCTACACCACTGGCTTTGAAAATAGAGGAAGGGGCTGTGAGCCAAGGAGTGCACACTGCCTTTAGGAGCTGGCAAAAACAAGGAAACAAATTCTCCTCTAGAGTTTCCAGAAAACGAACACAACCCTCCTGACACCTTGATTTTAGCCCAGTGAAATCCTTTTTGCACTTCTGGCTTCCAGAACCTTAGGGTAATGTTTGTATTTCTTTCTTCTTTTTTCTTTTTTTTTTTGAGATGGAGTCTCGCTGTGTTGCGCAGAGCGAGTGCAGTGACATGCTCTCAGCTCACTGCAACCTCTGCCTCCCAGGTTCAAGCGATTCTCCTGCCTCAGCCTCCCGAGTAGATGGGACTACAGGCATGTGCCACCACACCCGGCTAATTTTTTGTATTTTTAGTAGAGACAGGGTTTCATCGTTGTTAGCCAGGATGGTTTCTATCTCCTGACCTCGTGATCCGCCCGCCTCGGCCTCCCAAAGTGCTGGGATTATACGCGTGAGCCACCACGCCCGGCCATGTTTGTATTGTTTTAAGCCATTACATTTGTGGTAATTTGTTACAGCAGCAATAGGAAACTGATATACCTTTGCTGAAATTTTCAACATTTTTGGCCTGTAATAATAAAAGTAATGTTTCTCTTCAAAAAGTAATTTTCCATAATGTTCAAATTCTAGTCCTCATTTACAACAAATAAGCCTACTAACTGAGGGTTCAAAATGAAGGATAGGAACTCCAAGTTAGGGAAGAGGGTATTCAGGGCATTAAAATGATAACTTACCAGCATGCCACAAAATCCTCAAAGCAGGGTTATTACTAATTGGTGGGAAACATGACATCCACCAAGATATGAATATGTGTGCTTCTCTTAAATTCTGATCTTTCTACCTCCATTCTAAATGTTATCACCTTCTACTTTAACAGAGATAATAATCTATCTTGTCTTTTTCCAGCCTCTCCTTCTCTACTGGCCTGGCATGTCCAGGCATTACTAATGGGCACAGTGAATTTTTGAAAGTTTAGGGGGAATCTGTGCTTCTTCATGGTGGTTACTGGCATTTAGTGTGCTGGGACTGGGAACACATTGCTCTTGCAATGTGTGAGACAGCCCTGCACGAGGAAGAAGTATCCTGCATTCCATTCACCTTTCAACCAGTCATGTAAGTGAAATACCTGATTATAATTACGTAAGCTAGAACCAGACTTCCTTTTATACAGAAGTGCACAACTGTTTTTTGTACTATTTTAAAATAATTGAGTATTTCCAGAAATGCAACTACCATGTAAACCAAGGAAATATTGTATTTTATTTTGTTCAGGCTGAACCAAGAGTTGTCTCCCCATTTTAGAAAATCACATTACTGAAGGCAACCCAGCTCAAAGACAC
This sequence comes from Homo sapiens, assembly GCF_000001405.40. NCBI lineage: Eukaryota > Metazoa > Chordata > Mammalia > Primates > Hominidae > Homo > Homo sapiens. Next base: position 66,620,469 of record NC_000008.11, on the reverse strand, counting down.
TAATACAGCCCATGTATGGATGTCCGTATTTGTAGATATTGTGTTCATAGTGACTCTACCTATATATATTGGCTGTATTAGTTGTGCCTGAGAGAGATTTTATTATAAATTTCTTGTCTGTCCTCTATATTGTAGGTAGAGCAGTAAAACAATTTTTAAAAAAGTAATGTGTAAGTTATTTATGAATTTCATTTTAGTATGGTACAGGGAATAGAAAATGCTGTTATAAAAAGGGGATATTGGCTCCAGTAGGGTTGAAATCATTGCTTTAAATGTATCCATCCATCCATCCATCCATCCATCCATCCATCCATCCATCCCTCCCTCCCTCCCTCCATAACCATGTATCACTGCCTTGCCTTCCCCTCTCTCTCAAATATCTTCAGAGTGCCTTGACTTCACTACCTAATCAGTTGTCAGTCCTCTTGAAATCTGACTTTTACTACCACCATGCCATTGAAACTGTGGCCACAAAGTCACCAAACCCTGTTAAATCCAATATATACCTGTAGAAAGAAATCAGTCCCAATTTACTTTCTACAGCATTTGAGCTCATTTCTTCCTTTTATTTGAAACTTTCATTCCTTGATTTATATTATATCACCTCCATGATTTCTATCCCTTAAACTCCTTTGCAAGCCTTGCTCTTCTGCCTGTTCCTTGTTGACATTTCCCATTACTTCACTTTTAGCCCTGTTTCTCCCTCTACAATCTTTTCCTAGGCAATCTCATCTACTCCCGTGACTTCAGTCACATCCTGTGATTCACAAATCTTTATTTTCAATCCCAACCCCACTCATGAACTATATCTCTCTCCATCTGGAAGCACCAAATACCCAAAATTCAACATGTTCCAAAATGGAACTCACTTCCTACCCACCAATCTATAATTACTCCTGTATCCTATTCCAAATTAGTAGCACCACCAGTCAGCCAGTCTTTCAAATAAGAACCTGAGAGTTTGGATTCACCTTTTTCTCTCTCCATTATCCTGTCTTCTCCATCACCACTGCCAATGCATCAGTTTAAGCTCCTGTCTCTCACCCAGTTACAGCAAATCTTTTAACTCATCTCCCAGCTTCTAGTCATGTCCAATCCAATCTATCCTCCACATGGTCACCTGGGGTATCTTTTGAAACATAAATCTGTTTATCTCTACCCTGTTTAAAAAGCAAACAAAGAGACAGAAAGTAGAGTAGTTGTTGCCTAGGGCTGAGGACCTCGGGAGAAAATGGGGAATGACTGCTAATGGGTACAGATTTTGGGGGGAGGTATTGAAATGGTATAAAACTGATTGTGGTGATGGTTGCCCAACTCTTTGAAGATACTAAAAACTAAATTGTACACTTTAAATGAATGGATCATATTACTAGAGTATGAGAGAGTAATAGAATATGAACTCGCTAATAGATCTGAATTCAAAATAATTGAGTCAGGCTCAGTGGCTCACATCTGTAATCCCAACACTTTGGAAGGCCAAGGTGGTAGGGTCACTTGAGCCCAGGAGTTTGCAGTGAGCTCTGTTTGTGTCACTGCACTGCATGCAGTACTCCAGTCTGGGCAACATAGCAAGACCCTGTCAAAAAAAAAAGAAAGAAAGAAAGAAAGGAAGGATAATTGGGAGAAGACTTGTAGATTTATATAGTAGAGGAAAAGACTATTCATTTTAATATTGAGAATTAATTTGCCAAATTATAGCTAATCTAAAACATACTTTGCAGGTATTATTAAAATAATAATGAGTGGCCGGGCGCGGTGGCTCACGCCTGTAATCCCAGCACTTTGGGAGGCCGAGGCGGGCGGATCACGAGGTCAGGAGATCGAGACCATCCTGGCTAACACGGTGAAACCCCGTCTCTACTAAAAATACAAAAAATTAGCCGGGCGTGGTAGCGGGCGCCTGTAGTCCCAGCTACTCGGGAGGCTGAGGCAGGAGAATGGCGTGAACCCGGGAGGCGGAGCTTGCAGTGAGCCGAGATCGCGCCACTGCACTCCAGCCTGGGCGACAGAGCGAGACTCCGTCTCAAAAAAAAAAAAAAAAAAAAAAAAAAAAAAAATAATAATAATAATAATAATAATAATAATGAGTATGTCCTTTATGTGTATGTACATGATTTTAAAGTACATTTTCATATATTAAATTTTTTTAAGTTGGTTCTCTCAATTTAGAGATCTATGTTCAAATCTGACTTTGCTATTACTTTAAGTTACTTTCTTTTAGCTAGTTCTACCTAAAAAAATTAACTTAGTTGAAAAATAAGAGTAATTTAGAAGATAGAATGCTTGACTTTCCTGGTAACAGATTAAGGTGCTATACTTGAGACTGCTTTTGAGAGCAAAATTAATCTCTGTAGTACTAATGTGTAGCATGAGTAGGTGTTCAAGAACTGTTCGTTAAATTGAATTAAATAATATTAATAAGATATAAATAAGATTAATAAGCATTTCTTTTATAAGAATAGGGATTCTCAATCTTTATTATAGCACCAGGTGCTATGTGCTCTGTGCAGAAATTTTATATTATACCACTACCTCCCTCTTATGGTAATTTACATGAATATGTACAAGTGAACCAACTTTGCACTAATTTGTTTACTGTGATATTTATCAGTAATTCACTAAAGAGGAACAGCAGAGTATCACTAGCTTTTCAGTATTTGAGTCCAGTATTGCAGCTCTTAAAAGTAGGTTTTTCTAAAACTAAAAATCAGAATGTTGAGATTGTCATTTTCAAAGATTTATCCTTTTACCAAATAAGAAAAAGCCAGCCATTCACAAAGCAGAAAGGGGTCACCATTAGCTATGAATGCTTTCTATGTCTCTGGAGCTTCACATCCAACACAACTATAGCTGTGAGAGAAGGGTGCTGATCCCTTCCTCCCTTCCTCCTTCCCTCTTTCCTTATCTCTCTTTCTTTTTTTCTTGTTGTATCTGACAATGGTTACTTTCTTTTTTTCGAGATGGAGTCTCATTCTGCCGCCCAGGCTGGAGTACAGTGGTGCAATCTTGGCTCACTGCAACTTCTGCCTCCCAGGCTCAAGCTATTCTCCTGCCTCAGCCTCCTGAGTAGCTGGGACTACAGGCACACGCCACCACGCCCAGCTAATTTTTTTATTTTTAGTAGAGACAGGGTTTCACCATGTTGGCCAGGATGGTCTCGATCTCCTGACCTCAGGTGATCCATCTGCCTCAGCCTCCCAAAGTGCTGGGATTATAGGCGTGAGCCACCGCACCTGTCCGATGGTTATTTTCAATCCCAAGACGTACACTTTATCCAGTAAAAATTGGGCTGAAGAATTTAGGAATTCTAAAATAAAAATTTGAATTGGAAAAATAAAAATTTACTTCATGAAGATTAATATATAATAAGGAGAGTGACAGGGGTTGTGAGTGCCCCTTCATTCATGACACTCTAGCTGTCAGGTCTGGGATTTGATTTTACCCTACTTATAAGCTAAGTTAAACTGTTACTGGCTCATGGATCCTTTTACCAGAAGACACAAGACTCTAAGGTTGGGGACAAAGTGTTGGTATTACTTACAGCACAGCAAACACCTTGAGCATCAACATATTTGTGCCAGTTATTCTTGCTTTCAGGTCCCATGGGGCAATGTAATGGTACCAGATGGATGTCATGCATAGAGTGGATTTGTGCTACAGTTGAGAAACACTCAACTTGGGAATCCACTGCTTTTATAGTAAGCAGTAAGTAAACCTAGTTTTTGTCTTGGACTGAGATGTTACCTCATCTCTCAAGGCAACTAGCTGCAAATAACCCTTAGAAATGGCCTGTGTAAAAGAGTACTCAGGGCCTTGCAATCTAGGCACACCCAGCAAGATGTATATAGGAGTGCAAGAAGCCCAAGGAAGATTGTTTTAGTAACCACACCAGCATCTCTAAAGAATGGCCCTAGTTAGGCATAGATGGCTCATGCCTATAATCCCAGCACTTGAGGACGGTGAAGCAGCAGGACTGCTTGAGCCCAGGAGTTCAAGGTTACAGTGAGCTATCATCACACCACTGCAATCCAGCCTGGGCTACACAGCTAGACCCCATCTCTAAAAACGTTACGAAAAGGCCAGGGTCAGTGACTCATGCCTGTAATCCCAGCACTTTGGGAGGCTGAGATGGACGGATCACCTGAGGTCAGGAGCTTGAGACCAGCCTGGCCAACAGGGCAAAACCCCGTCTCTACTAAAAATACAAAAATTAGGCCAGGCATGGTGGCTCATGCCTGTAATCCCAGCACTTCGGGAGGCCGAGGCGGGAGGATCACCTGAGGTCAGGAGTTCCAGACCAGGCTGGTCAACATGGTGAGACCCCATCTCTACTAAAAATACAAAAAATTAGCCTGGGGTGGCAGGATAATTTCTTGAACCCGGGAGGTAGAGGTTGCAGTGAGCCAAGATCATGCCACTGGACTCCAGCCTGGGTGACAGAGTGAGACTCTGTCTCAAAAAACAAAAACCACAAAAATTAGCCGGGCATGGTGACACATGCCTGTAATCCCAGCTGCTTGGGAGGCTGAGGCACAAGAATTGCTTGAACATGGGAGGTGGAGGTTGCAGTGAGTGGTGATCGCGCCAATGCACTCCAGCCTGGGTGACAGAGTGACTGTCTAAAAAAAAAAAAAAAAAAAAAAAAAAAGACCTACTATTTGACAGCACAAGTTGACTAGAGTCAATAACTTGATTGTAGATTTTAAAATAACTAAAATTTATAATAACTAAAAGTAACACAAAGGATAAATACTCAAGGGGATGGATACCCCATCTCCATGATGTGATTATTTCACATTGCATGCCTGTATCAAAACATCTCATGTACCCCACAAATATATACACCTACTATGTACCCACAAAAATTAAAAAACAAACAAAACAAAGCCACTATAAATGTTTTGCAAAATGGCTGAATTCTGCATGCCTAACAGCAATGTATGCAAGTTGTACTTGCTCAGCATTTTCATCTTCACCAACATTTGTATAGTCAGTCATTTTCCCCGCTCATTCTAACAGAAGTGTAGTCTAGTATCTCATTGTGGTTTAATTTGCATTTCTCTAATGACTAATGAGGTGGAACATCATTTAATATGCCTGTCGTGTGTGTGTGTGTGTGTGTGTGTGTGTGTGTGTGTGTGTATGTATATATATATCTCGTTTGGTGAAATCTGTTTAAATCTTTTGCCCATTTTTTAAATGCTTTTTTTCTCACTGAGTTTTGAGAGTTCTTTATATACTCTGAATAAAATCTCTAAACGTTTGCTTAAAAAAAAACTCATCTTAGTTTAGAATACATCTGAGTATGTGTATTCAAATGACTGTGAACCACTTTAATTCCACACTTTGCCCTGAGTTTTATAACTGATTTCAGTAATTTCACAATGTTATCTTTCTGGGAATTGCTTTTCTCTATATGTAAAAATGAGGGAAATTTGTTTTACTGTCAAAATCTAAAACATTTGTCTTCAAGCTCTAAAAAAGGTATTCTGTATAAAACTGAATACAGCCTAAAATATAGCAGAAGCTCTGCTTCCTGTTAGATATAAATAAGTGAAGTAATGTACGACCCAGGGGTAAATAAGAAAACAGTGAAACAGTGATTCCAAATGACATTGGGAACATAATGAAATTTGGGAACTCATTTCTAAATTATTTTTTATTTTTTTATTTTTACTGAACCAGCAACCCAGTAAGGAATGATCTGGAAGAAACGCTTGGCCAGGTGTTGTGGCGCGCGCCTGTAGTCCCAGCTACTTTGGAGGCTGAGGCAAGAGGATCGCTGTTCGAGGCTACTGTAAGCTATGATTGTGCCACTGCACTCCAGCATGGGGAATAGAGTGAGACCTAGTCTCAAAAAAAAAACAACAAAAAAAAAAACAGGAGAGAAAAAGAAAAGCTGTTTTATCTTCCCTTACCTTCCCAGAATCTATACCTTGAAAAAAGGAACTGTTAAAAAAAAAAAAGCCAGTGTGTTTAGGTTTTGACAGCAGTGCATGCAAGCTTCTCTCTTAATTCAGCTCCTCTTAATTCACTCTGCACCTGCATCTGATTTGCAAAAGATGAAGCGTAAAATTTCAAAATAGCAAGTGTTTGTTACAGTGTTAACATGTGGCTCAGTGCTCTATGCAATAGACCATGTTGCCTTGCAAATTTTCCTTAGCCAAGTGTAATTGTTACTGTAGCAAATCTACTTTAATGCTACTTGAAATGAACAGTTCGTAGTTATTAGACTGGAACCTCAAGTAGCTGCAACCGCTAGAAACTCCTCCGGTGGTTCCCCCCTCCCTGGTCTCTCCAGAGGGAAGAAGGTCACCTTCTACACTTAACTACCATGCTCATTCATCTGGACGAAATGCCCAGTCCACTGTCTTCTTCACGCGTTATTCTCCAGGACAGGGCTCCTCCGCCGCGCACGTTATTTCCTGTAGAGCGGGCACGAAATTAAGCACCTTGAAGACCAGCGGTAGACACAGATTATCTCCGGTTCCAAGCACGTCTCCCGCTAGGAACTTTTTTCACTTGTCACTCTTCTGCTGCTTTTTGAGGAAAACAGGTGATATTTGGTTTCCTGCCAGAGTCTTCGTCACTCTCGTAACTATGATGTCTGGGTAAAAATAGCTCACATTTTTGCTTAAAAAATAACGGCCGCGCAAATTTATGGTTAGATTTGTCTCAAGTCTGAAGACCGCGCATCCTAACTAGTGAGGCGGAAGACACCTAAGGAGCCAGGAGCTGTCGCCGAGGCGAGGCTGCGGAGACGTTCCCTTGGTGGGCCGCGGGACCACCCACCCCGCCAGAAACTCGGTTCGCTCACCCTAAGAATTTTGGGGCAACTGGACTTCTCCACCGCCCGCTTCCGGACCCGCTCCGGCGCCGCTTCCGGACCCACTCCTCGGCGAGCGCAGGAACTCGCTCTCCCAGCAGGCCCCGCGCGGTGCGCCTCTCGGCGCGTTCCGGGTCCTATGACAGCTCGGCTCGCATGCGCCACCTACGGCCCCACCCGCGGCCCCACCCCCTGGCTCCCGGCTCCTTCCCCGACTCCCGCGAGTTCCAGTCCCAGCTTCCAGCTCCCCAGCCCCGCCCTCAGCCGCGCGCGCTCTCCCCTCCCCGCCCTCGCTTCTTCGCGTGCGGCCCCCACAGCCAATGAGGTTCAGGGCCGCGTGCGCAGATTCAAACGGCGGCTCTTGAGGGAGGCTGGGCGCGAGATTCGGCGGTGCGGACAAAACCCTGCAGGAGACTGCGAGCCCTGCAGAACTGCTAGCTGCGGGGGAGAGGGCAGGGGTCGGGCGCCTGTGGCGGAGCCGGGCTGGGGCCAGGGCAGGGAGGCTGACAAGCGGCGGGAGAAGCCGGCGGAGGGCGGGATCGCGCCTCCTGACATGTTGGGGGTATCCCTGGCCGGGCCGGGCCGGGGCTAAGAGCGGCGCTGCGGGCCGGGGTCGGGGTCGGGTCGCGGTCCGCCCCCGCTGTCCCTCCGTCCTGCCCTGTCGAGGACGTGCGTTCCGCACTCGGCCGCCTCCAGAGGGAGCGAGGGAAGCGGCTAGAGGATCGGGGAGAAGGAGCATTCGCCGGAGGCTGGAGGAGGCTGACCCGCGTCCCCGCCCAGCCTGCTCCTATGCGGTACTTGAAGGATGGCGAAGAGGTCGCGCAGGTGGGTGGCACCCCTTTCGCCCAGGCCTGTCGGCGCCGTCTCGGCTCAGATTCTCTTTCCTATCCCGCTGCCCCCTCCCGCCATAAGGCCCTCCCTGGCGAGGGCAGAGGTTTTTCTTCCCGCGTCCCCGCGGCCGCTTGGCCTCGATGACCGGAGGGCAGCTGCGACGTGTGGAGAGTTGGGGACCAGGGTGTTTGAGGCGCGGGACGTAAGAGATGCCCAGGTTTCTCGGTGACTCTCCCCGTAATGCGCGTCCAGATTTCTGACCTCATGCTGCCACTTCTTCGAGGCAGGTTTCTTGCCAGGTAAGTCGAGCGCTTTTAGGGAGTCCGCTACGCAGAGAAAACTGACTGTGTCCTGCCGGGAGGACTTGAAAATGGTGTTCGGGCGACTCTTTTCTGAATGACGGTACAGTCAAAATAGGAACTCCGCGGTGAACCTGGGCGGCCACCCCTCTGCCAACTTGGCTATCTTGAAACGTTGTGGAAAATCCTCTGGGGAATAGCTGAGAGGACTTTTTTGATGTTTTCTGTAATTCCTATACCCATATGCTCAGCTTTATGTATATATGTATATTTTAATATCCTCTCTTGGGACCATGTCACATAGTAACAACTAGTAGTAACAACTAGTAGCTTGATCTTGAAATAAAACAATGTGTTTGATTCACTTAATATTTTGAGTGTCTGTGTTTGGCTCTGACCGTACCTAAGTGTTCCACAGAGGTAAGGCACTTTTTTCCACCTTTGCCTGGAAAATGTGCTAGGATGAATTTATGCATCTAATTTTCGTTTACATGCCATTACAGCAGCTACTCATAAATTATGTGGAGTAATTGCTTAGATAACAAAAATATAGGATGTCTTCCGATTTTCAGCATTATCAAATAAACCTGAAAAGATGTTTGGCAGGATTTCCAAATATTTATTTATCTAGATCCACAGCCCCAAAATCTTAACTAGAGATGTATTTCCTAAGTTGAAATTTAGTAATGGGGGTCATTCATTGCAGAGTTCTGCTAAAAATTGGCAGTAACTATACATAATTGTTTTTTCCTTAGTTTTCTGTTAAGCATCTGCTGTGTGCAGGATGCTTCTGCAGAAATCCTTAAGTCTCTGTAAGCTTATTAGTTTTGAAGTAAGTTATAGGACAAACTCTTGAGATGAAATAAATGTGTACACAGACCCCTCTAAAACTGTTTTCAGCCTTTGCACTATTGACATCTTGGACCAGATAATTCTTTGTAATGGGGAGATGTTTAGCAGCATCGCTGGCTTCTACCCAGTAGAGATAGTAACACTCCACTTCCCTCAGTCATGACAGTAAAAATGTCTCCAGACATTGCCAAATATCTTTTGGGGGACAAAATCACCCAGGAAAGAACCACCCTTCTAGAACTTCAAGGACCCAATTAACATCAATCTTCAGAAAAGATAGATATTTAAAGCTCTTGTAATTATGATTGCCGAAGTACTGGTTTAGGCTTTTTGAATTTTTAAATATAAAAAAATTTAAAAATAAGATGACAATTGAATATGTTAACTCAATAACAAGTTTATTAATGTGTGATATTATCTACTTATCAGTATTGATGTTAATCTTATTTGAAACAGTTTCTTGGCTAATTCTGTCATCAGCATTTAGTTAAATTAAAATTATGGCTAGACACGAATGTTTAAATGTCAGAACCTTCCCCTCCCCATGGGTTTTCTGTCCATTTCATATGTGTGAAGTGTATGTTTCATAATAATGGACAAAGAAAGGAGAAACAACTTAATGTTAGTTTGCATATATAAGTTGTTTTATTGAGAATACTGTGAGCTTGAAATCTAAATATTGTACTTTTGACATTTATCCCTTGACAGTTGTGTAAGTTAATTTAAACATGATAGAATGATTTAAAGGGTCGTAAATCTGGAGTAATTAAATGTGGTGGGGTGAAGCTATACTCTCCCTGGGAGTATACAGATAGAGGATGTGGGGAGAAATTATCATCTCTGAATGATGTATCTCTTAAGTCTTCATACTTAAATGTGTTTCATACTCTGAATTACATTTCTTGCCCACGTAAATATGATTTACATATCTTAGAAGATAGTAGATGCTCTGCTTTTGTGCTTCAACAAAAAACAAAAGAGGATAGAGTGTGAATTGTTTTGAAGCAAAAATAATGTCATTGGGAAAAATCTCTCTTGCCTTTTACCTAAGTATCTTAATATATTTGAACTCAATTTATAGTTGAAAGGGAAAAGAAATAATTCAGTTACTTCAAGTTGTAATTTGAGATCTCCAGTATACAACCACTTAAGCGTTCAAGTGAAAACTATACTTTGCTGTATAAAAGTTTTGCCTAAGAGCATAGGCGTAAATCCTGTAATATATGTTTCCTATGTGAACTGAAAAAAAAAAACCCAAAAAAACCTAAGAGTAGAAAACTAAGTGTTACCTCAAGTGTGAACAACTGCAGGATGTTAGCTGTTTTGATCTTTAAGATAGCCGTAGTATCTGTCCTCTAGATTTACATAAAGGAAGACTCATTTGTATTGTGACTTTAAATAATTTTACATCCCACTGGGAATTGCGATGACAATTTACAGGCAATACTAAAATTAATATATCTGTTACTAACATATATTTAACTTTTAAGCATATTTATATATACGTAATTAATTTTAGATTCGAAAGTCAGTTTTACCCTTTAAAGTAAGCTTTAAAAAATGTCATTTAGAAACCTGTTTACTAGTAACAGATTATTTACACTTGAGATGACCTATGACTACACTAACCTGAAAAGATAAAAGCCAGCTCTTGAAATAGAAGATGTTTTTTGCAGTGTTATGTATATGTGTGTGTATAGGAACCAATTTTACTGTGTTGTTTCCAGCAAAATGGGTGGGAGTGAAATTATACTGAAATATGAGAACTGATCTTTTAATCGGTTTTGTCATTAACTGGCAATATTGTTTGGGGAAGCAGGTAAACTCTGCCTCAGTTTTTCATCTGGTTAATATATAGAGTTTGGATTTTATGGTCTGTAAGGTAGTTTCTAGCTTTAATGTATATATTTGAAGACATTTTGTAATCTTATTTAAAAGTATATACATACTAATGAAATAGAAATTTTCTCACAATGTTTTTGTTTATGGAATTACTAGGTAGAACTCTCCTCAATATTGCTGTTAATAATGATCAAAGGTTTTGTAAAGTTTGTCTTACTATAATACTGCTAGTTTGCACAGTCCAGATTTGGAAATAAAATATTCATGTATGCAGTACATATATTAACCACTGGGTGGCCTAATTTCACTTTATTAAATCAACCTGGTAAATTTTCATACCTTGAATATGATTGGACTTGTCCTCAAGATTGTATAATAAAGATTTTTTTTTTGTCTGTGATAAAGATTTCGGACTTGAGTTAATTTGTGATTAAAAATATTATCAACTTGATGCGATTTTACTAGAGCAAATTTATAGAACCGGTATTTCTCTTTCTTTTAGAATAAAAAATTTAAAAAAATTTCAGTTTCCTCCTTGGAATACCTCATTTACTGGTTTAAGTGATATAATTGTTATCCTCTAAAATTGAACTTCTAAATGTTTTATCTTAACATCACATGTGAATTATTTCATCAAGTGCGTGTTATTTCACGGACAAAGTCATGACTATCATGTCCTGTTAGCTTGTACACCAATGTAAAGTTACTCTTAAACTATTTTCCTGGCCTAATGAGTTCTACAATTTTTTTGTGTGCTTCCTTTGACTGTTTTATAATCACCCTAATCACTTTAATTCACAGTCTATGAAACTGTTTCCATTTGAATATAGTAGTTTGGTTATGTATTAGACATTTATCACATAAATATTTTCTTTGACTTAGGTAAACTGGCAGAATCATTCTGGAAACCGAGTCCTGGGCTGGAGAGCCAAAGACCAAATTAATCTATTATTGCTTTGTGACTAGAGAAATAATGTCACTTTATTTTGCTGTCTTCTAGATAATTACACTAGGCTAGGAATGGTTTATTTAACTACATAGTAGGAAGCCAATTTTATTAAATTATTACATATTACCAGCATTGATTGTTATAATACAGAAATGTCAAAAGATTATGTAAAAGTAGACAAATAGAGCAGATCCATTTTGATGATATCTAACCATTTTTCAGTGATGGGACTTTTTCACTGTTAAATGGTGAAAGTGGGATATTGGTGCAGTGATTTGTGGGGTTTTATCCTTTCCCTGTTTTCTTTGCAAATTATACACATTCTCAGGCATCTTTCTTTGTAGCTAGTGATGTTGATAGATATCTAGGATCTTTTTTTTGGTCTCATGTATTGGAAAGTTAACATTGTCTTTTCAATACTCATATATATGTAGAGATAACTTGATGCTATAACTAAGAAGTAGGTAGACTCTAGGAAAGTCAGAGTGGTAGATAATTCTAAGAATTCTACTTGCTTCTTCACACTTACCCATTCAAAAAGCCCAGCTTACTGAACATTGAATGGGCTATATAACTCAGTGTCTGAAACTGATGACCATGCTGAAATGCAAAATAGAGAATGAAACCTCATGTAGAAATAGAAATTTCTCACAATAAAGTATGTGGGTAAAAAGTAAGGGGCAAAATTTTACAGTTAAAATGAACTAGTTTTTAGGAAAATTACTCTTTGAAAACTCAGCTTTTTGACCAAAATAATGTTTTTGTACTCATATCCTTAAAATATTTTGTAAGAACCTTAAAGTGGGTTTCGTATGATTAAATGTGATGTAGATTTGTGAATACTCAAGATTTATATGGGCAAATTCCCAAGGTAAAAATTATTTTGACTTAGAAATAACCTGTATTTTAAAGCAGTCTCAAATATACTGTTATGGAAACTTTGAGGATCTGAAGAGAGGGAGGAAAAGAAAGAGACCCTGTGAAAAGCATGCCTGAGGGCTATTTGGGGTGTCAGGAAGTGGTAATGTTGCTGGTGGCATTTCTAAGAAAGGTTAAACAGTACAGTAGATACCTTCAAATAACCTTTTCTGTATTGAATATTTAAAATGTTTGTTTCAGCAGGTTCTGCTTCTTAAAATTCTACCACTTGGAGGTGTTTTTTTTTTTTTTTGGGTTTTGAAAGTCTTCTTTAACAAATAAGAATGCTTTTACCTCTTCCTAGAGGTATTTTCATTTGTTAAAAAGTTTTCTTTCTCAGATCCACTTTGAGATCACATGTATTGAAGAAGGTGGAAGTTTTGGTTGGGTTGGAAAGGAGTGAGATAATTTTGGAATATAGAGCTCTTGGTGAAGCTGGAAGATTAGGGAAGATTGTTCATTAGTTTTACAAATATTTGAGTGGCAGGTACTGTGCTTAGTTAGTCCTGAGAGGTGAACGTGGTAGACATGGTCTGCACTCATGAGCTTACTTTTTGGATGTGGAGGTTGGCAAATGTGATAAACATTAAAAAGAAGAAAGGTAGGTGCTCTTAGTACATACAAATAGGACAGAAAGCTGCAGTGTGGTGTTTTATCTGATTCGGTAGCTTTCTTAGAAATTTATGAAGTCATTGGACCCTGAAGCATGTCGAACTTAACAATTTAATATTGGCCTATCAGGTGATATTTCTGATAGCTGAAAATGGCTGCATGTATCAGATATTTAATCAAGCCTGTAGAGTTTTTTTTTTTTTTTTTTTTTGTTGTTTTAACACAGTTTAATAAAACAACCATATATGGGCCAGGCGTGGTTGCTCAAACCTGTAATCCCAGCATTTTGGGAGGCCAAGGTTGGCGGATCACCTGAGGTCAGGAGTTCGAGACCAGCCTGGCTAACATGCTGAAACCCCGTCTCTACGAAAAAAATTCAAAAATTAGCCAGGCATGATGGCAGACGCCTGTAATTCCTTCTACCTGGGAGGCTGAGGAAGGAGAATTGCTTGAACCAGGGAGGTGGAGGTTGCAGTGAGCCGAGATTGCGCCACTGCACTCCAGCCTGGGCAACAGAGCAAGACTCCATCTCAAAAAAGAAAAAAAAAAAACAGCCATGTATGGAAGGAGAACTGGTGGATTATTGTTACAAATAGACAATGGCTTCAGGGAGAGCGAACACTGGACTATTGAAGTGTGTTGAACTGTAGAAGCAGATCATAGGGGAATGGGAGAATCTTGGTGTTTTGCCTGGTCAAATATGAAGAATTTTGTTCCAATGGAATTGACAAGTCAATGGAAGTTAGACGTTCCTACAAAGGATCTATAGACAGTATATATTAAATCTGGGCCTTCATTTTTCAATTTTGTAAGATTAAAATTACATAACTTACATAGATATTAGAAACTACTTGCATGCGCTTAACTATATTAGAGTAAGGTTAAACAAATCTTCAAATTTTGCTCTGTGAAATCAGAATGAATTTTTGAGAAAGAGTTGAATCTAGTAAGGCAAAAATAATTTTGAATACTATTAGGTGATCAGCCTATGCACGTAATACTAATATTGAGGCACCTTTCTGTGCCATGTGCTGTATGAGGTGTTATATATGTTTTCTCATTTAATTTTATCCTTAAAGCAGCACTATAAGGTAGGTGGTATTATTATCATTTTACAAACAAGTAAACTAAACCCCTGAGAGGTTAACATGTTCAAGGTTACAGAGTGAGTAATTAAGTTAGAACCAGAACCTTGTTCTGATTCCAAAATGAACTTGAGGTTTGTCTTTAGTATCTTCCAGCTTCCTAGCACTTTCCCCCTATTTTTCCAGTATGTCGTAGTATAGCGGTTAAGTAGTGACTGTGGGCAAGAGGTTACATTTCTGAGTCAAAGTTTCCTATTCCGTGAAATGGGAATAATGATAATATTCCCCTCTTCCAGTTGTGAGGCTTTAAGAGAAAAATTTAATAGACTACTTAGAAAGTTTTAAATAAATGGTAGACTGTGTTATTTTCAGATGCCATGACTTTATTCAGTCCACTGCCTACTCAGAATCCTCTAATTCAGTTTACTTATTTATTTATTGAGACGGAGTCTTGCTCTGTCACCTGGGCTGGAGTGCAATGGTGCAATCTCGGCTCACTGTAACCTCTACCTCCCGGGTTCAAGTGATTCTCCTGCCTCAGCCTCCCGAGTAGCTGGCATTACAGGCACCCACCATCATGCTCCGCTAATTTTTGTATTTTTAGTAGGGGTTTCACCATGTTGGCCAGGCTGGTCTTGAACTCCTGACTTCAGGTGATCCGCCTGCCTCAGCCTCCCAAAGTGCTGGGATTACAGGTGGGAGCCACTGCGCCTGGCCTTGTATTTCAGTTTATCATTAAGGCTTGCCCTTTTTTATGGGGCTTTATTCTTTAAAATTGCTTTTTCTTTTTTTACTCCATCAAAACTCAGGTTCTGACTTTGGCCCCTTCCTCACTTTATTAATTTTCCTTGGGTCATCCTGTGCCCTCAGCTATTCTTTGTATGCTGGCCAAAACTGCATCTCTACCCTAGACCTTGTATTTGAGCAGGTCCACATGCTCATTTGCCTTCTAGATTTGCTCTGCCCTGTAGGATAGCCATTAGCCACATGTGGCTATTGAGCTCTTGAACTGTGGCTAGTCTGAATTGTAATGAACTCTAACTACAAAACACACACCAGATTTTGAAGACTTTAGTAAGAAAAAAATATGTAAAACATTTCATTTATACTTTTTTATGTTGATTACATGTTGAAATGATTATATTTTTGATATATTAAGCTAAGGAATATTGACTATTGAAGTACATTTCACTTATTTCTCTTTTTTTAAAAAATGTGGCTACTAGAAAATTACATATGTGGCTTGTATTATGTCTCTGTTGGGAAGTGCTGTTCCAGACATCCACCTGTGTATTTTTCAAGTACCTTGAAAACAGCTAGTCCCAAACTATACATACTCTCCCCATTTTCTTCTCTCTCCCAAAGTTCTGTTTCTCCTTCTATCATTTTCCATAGTAAATAGCTCTACTTATGTTTTCAAAGCCAGAAACTTTGGAGTCATCCTTAATTCCTCCTTCTTCCATGTCCCTCATCTATCAGTTGCAAAATCCTTTCTTTTCTACTTTTTAAATATCTCTCAGTTTAATATATTTCTTTCAATTCCTAATATCATTACCTTGGTTGATCTATTTTATCACTTCCAGATTTTTGTCACATTTACCTGTCTTTTACTCAAGGATATGAAAAGTAGACTTCTTTTCTGTTTTCTTATAGTACTATTATGGTTTCATGTAAAAAATGTAAATAATTGCTTCACTCCAGTTTATTTTATTGTAAAGTAGGACACCATCTTTTTTTTTTTTTAATTTTGAAATGGAGGTTCTCTTGGTTGCCCAGGCTGGAGTGCAGTGGTGCAGTCTTGGCTCACTGGGTACAAGCGATTCTCCTGCTTCAGCCTCCCAAGTAGCTGGGATTACAGGCACATACCACCACACCCAGATAATTTTTGCAATTTTAGTAGAGACAGGGTTTTGCCATGTTGGTCAGGCTGGTCTCGAACTCCTGACCTCAAATGATCTGCTCGACTCAGCCTCCCAAAGTGCTGGGATTACAGGTGTCCACGCCCAGCCCATCTTAATTTTAAAAAATGGCTACCCAGTGTCTTAACACCATTTATTGAAAAGTCTACCTTTACTCCACTGATTTGAAATGTTACTGTTATAATTTACCAAATTCCATGTGGGTCTTTTTTCTTTTCTAAATGTTCTGTTCCATTTATCTATGTGTGTGTTCGTGTGGTAGTACCATTCTGTTTTATTTCTCTACAGTGTATTTTGATATTGGGTAGTGGTAATTCTCTGATTATTCTTTTTTAAAACTTTTCTTGCCATTCTTCTTGATTTTTTTTTTTCATATGAATTGTAGATTCAGCTTGTCTAGTTGCCTCCCAAAGTCTATTGGTATTTTTATTCATTTAATTTAATTTATGAATTAGGGAGAATGGACATCTCCCTAAATTAGAGAATGGACATATCTATAATATTGTTTTCTTATCCAATAATATGGTCAGGAGGCTGGGCATGGTGATGCATGCCTGTAATCTCAAGCGTGGGATTTGGGAGGCTGAGGCAGGAGGATCACTTGAGCTCAGGAGTTCAAGACCAGCATTGCGGGTGGAGCAACATAGCAAAACCCCATCTCTACAAAAAATAGAAAAAATTAGCTGGGCATGATGGTGCATGCCTGTAGTCCCAGCTACTCGGGAGACTGAGGTGGG
The DNA here is from genome assembly GCF_000001405.40 of Homo sapiens. NCBI lineage: Eukaryota > Metazoa > Chordata > Mammalia > Primates > Hominidae > Homo > Homo sapiens. The sequence continues at coordinate 66,603,599 of NC_000008.11, read as the reverse complement.
AGGATTGCCTGAGCCTGGGAGTTTGAGGCTACAGTGAGCTGTGATTGTGCCACTGCACTCCAGCCTGGGTGACAGAGCAAGCTGAGACCCTGTCTGGAAAAAAAAAAAAAAGTCAGAATGTTCTTCCATTTGTTCAAGACATCTGTGTCTCACAACAGTGTCTTGTCACTTACTGTACCTTTATCTTGTATGTTAAATTTTTTTTATTGTTGGTATTGTTAATTGGATCACTTCTATTGTGTCTTTTAATTGGCTGCGGTTTATATTTTACCATTACCATTTGTCAGGCCCCAATAATTTCTTGCTTGGGTTGTTGTGAAGATTACTAATTGGTTTTTCTTTTTCAGTTTCACCACACTCTTGTCACTGATTTTTCTAAAACACAAGATATCTGTCTTTTGTCTTTTGCTGTGTTAAAATTATTTAACTCTTTAGAATAAAGGTCAAATAAAGAATAAAGGTCAAATTCCTTAACATGACGTACAAGGTTATGATTTTTCCCGTAGTGGCATATCCAACCTCATGTGTTTGGTGTCAGTAAGAAGTATAGTTCCAGGCCAGGTGCAGTGGCTCACGCCTGTAATCCCAGCACATTGGGAGGCCGAGTCGGGCAGATCACAAGGTCAGGAGATCGAGACCATCCTGGTTAACACGGTGAAACCCTGCCTCTACTAAAAATACAAAAAATTAGCTGGGCGTAGTGGTGGGCGCCCGTAGTCCCAGCTACTCGAGAGGCTGAGGCAGGAGAATGGCGTGAACCTGGGAGGCGGAGCTTGCAGTGAGCCGAGATCATGCCACTGCACTCCAGCCTGGGCGACAGAGCGAGACTCCGTCTCAGAAAAAAAAAAAAAAAAAAAAAAAAAAAATATATATATATATATATATATATATATATATATAGCTCCACCCCACCCCGCTGTCTGACTCTTAATTTTTTGTACTTTGAATAATTTCATTGTGAATATGACTTGTAGTCTGTATGATTTCTTCAGTCATACCTGCACACACAAGTTCAGTGTTTGAATTTACAAATTTAAATAAAATTCTTGATATCACAAATTGTGTTTTTTTTGTAGTGAGGATGAGGATGATGACCTTCAGTATGCCGATCATGATTATGAAGTACCACAACAAAAAGGACTGAAGAAACTCTGGAACAGAGTAAAATGGACAAGGGACGAGGTAATTATCTGACAAGGTTTCATAGTTTCTTACATGTATTTATTGGTTAATACTGCTATAGTTATACGGCCAGGTGTGGTGGCTCACGCCTGTAATCCCAGCCCTTTGGGAGGCCGAGATGGGCGGATCACTTGAGGTTAGGAGTTCAAGACCAGCCTGGCCAACATGATGAAACCCCGTCTCTACTAAAATACAAAAATTAGCCTGGTATGGTGGCGCATGTCTGTAATCCTAATCCTACTTGGGAGGCTGAGGCAGGAGGATCACTTGAACCTGGGAGGCAGAGGGTTGCAGTGAGCCGAGATTGCACCACTGCACTCCAGCCTGGGTGACAGAGCGAGACTCCATCTCAAAAACAAAAAAAAAATGCTGCTATAGTTATGAAAGATATTTAAAAACAAAATATGAGAAAAGATATGCATCAAATTAACTGTACGTTCTTTTTCTTCAACCAGAGACATGAATAACTGATGACATTGGAACTTAGAGAAACAGTATAATAAATGGAAGAATTTGTATTATAGTGGGTGGCTTTAGTTATTCTATGGTTACCAGATATTCCTTAATAGAATTGGAGAGTTATCTATATTTAGGGGTAGAGGAAAAGGACGGGGGGAAAGCTTTCTAATTTTTGTACTGTTTTAATAGGATGATAAATTAAAGAAGTTGGTTGAACAACATGGAACTGATGATTGGACTCTAATTGCTAGTCATCTTCAAGTAAGTGAAATATTAAATTATATTTCTAACATGGCTGGTTTAAGGCATTGGGTTAAATTTGCTATTTTTCAAAAATGTGTCTACATATTTTAATTTTAGGTTTCCTTCCTAAAAACATCCCTGTTGGTTTGGTCTGCCTCTAGTTGGTTGCTAATGGCTTGGAGAGTCTGGTTTAGAGTCTGGTTTTCTAGTAATGCGTTTATCCAGGGGCCTAAAAAGATTATTAACTTAAAACAAAAATGATAATAAATGTATGTGGGACCTTATAAATATTTGCTAATACACGTTAAAACATTCTGTGAGAAATATATTGAGATATTTGATAGCTAACCAAAAAATCCAGAAAAGCCCTATTAAAAAAAGCTTATCATCTGAGGCTTACCTTTTAAAATGTTGATTTTAAAAACTATTATGCCTATTGTTTACCATACTACTATTCACCTGCTGTTCGTTATATAACTTTATAATTTATGAAGTATTTTCACATGTACTCTTTTTTTTTTTTTTTTTTTTTTTTTTTGAGACGGAGTTTCGCTCTTGTTGCCCAGTCTGGAGGGCAATGGCACGATCTCGGCTCACTGCAACCTCCGCCTCCCAGATTCAAGCGATTCTCCTGCCTCAGCCTCCCGAGTAGCTGGGATTACAGGCATGAACCACCACATCCGTCTAACTTTTTGTATTTTTTTTTTAGTAGAGACGGGGTTTCTCCATGTTGGTCAGGCTGGTCTCAAACTCCCGACCTCAGGTGATCTAACTGCCTCGGCCTCCCAGAGTGCTGGGATTACAGGCGTGAGTTACCGCGCCTGGTCCTCACATATGCTCTTATTTGTATCCTTAATACACTGTGAGTAGTGAGGGAAAATATACATATTTGAATTTAAATATTGACTACTTTGGGTTTCAGAAACCATGTTAACTATGTTTTTTCTATATTGTCATATGACTTTCAACATAACCCAAAAATTGAGATCAAGTAATGGAAAGAGCATAAATTTTGGAGTCAGTTTGAATTATGTTCAAATGTCAGCTCCATGAGCGTGGAAAAATTACTTAGCCTCTTTGATTGTCACCTTCCTTATCTATAATGTCTAGATAATCATACTTGTTTCTGTAGTATGGTTGTGTAGAACTAGAAATAACATATAGGATGTTTGGCACAATTCTTAATATTTAGCAGGTGTTCAATAAATGGAAGCTAGGTTAGAAAAGTTATTTACATTAGCATTAACAGAAATGCTACAAGGACATACAGGAGCAACCTGATTATTTTGAAGAAAGTGTCAGCCTTAAAATGGATTAGCGTTGGTGTACAGAAGCCATAAATGAAGCTGAGTTTGAATAAAAATAATTTTAAGTACATTGGGCAAAAGAGCCATTGGTAGACAAAACATTTTTATCTGTCCCTTTATATGTCTCTAGATTTTCTGTAATCTTGCTTATGAACTAACAATTTTGTAAACTGTGAATCACTAATAAAGTGTTAGGTGTCATTATCCTTGTAATGTATAGGAGTTACCAGGTTCTGGACTGACTAAAATAAGGCTTCATTTATTATTTTTGGAGTTTGAGATGTTTCTACCCAGATACTGCGTAGGATTTCTTATTCTGGTGAATTCATTTTCTTTTTAAGTGTCAACACTTAACCAATTTAGTGAATTCATTTTCTTTTTAAGTGTCAACACTTAACCAATTTAATTGAAATGTAACATTCATCTTCTATGTAGACTATGTAATGTTTTCTTAATAACTTGGAATCATAATTTATAACATCCTTTTGATCCTATGCAGTAGTATAGCAATGCCTTTACATTTCTTTAAAACTGTATAGTTAGGTACTGCTGAACTACGTGAATCCAGACTGATAGGCTATTTGAGTTCTTTTTCTTTTTTTTTTTTGAGATGAGAGTTTCGCTCTTGTTGCCTAGGTTGGAATGCAATGGTGCAATCTCGGCTCACCGCAACCTCCACCTCCTGGGTTCAAGCAATTCTTCTGCCTCAGCCTTATGAGTAGCTGGGATTACAGGCATGCACCACCACATCCGGCTAATTTTGTATTTTTAGTAGAGACGGGGTTTCTCCATGTTGGTCAGGCTGGTCTCGAACTCCAGACCTCAGGTGATCCACCCACCTCGGCCTCCGAAAGTGTTGGGATTACAGGCATGAGCCACTGCGCCTGGCACTATTTGAGTTCTTATGTCAGCTTTGTGTAGTTTTCTGTCCACTGCTTTTTATTCCTCAGTGTTAAATCCATTTCTTTATTTCAGTTATCTGTGTTTTATCTTTGCTGCTTCTGTATTATAAGGTGTAGTGTAAAGATACACACTTTAGTTTTAAATAAATTGTTTTTATTTGTAGTCTAAGCCCTGTTGACTACTATAATTAAGAAAAAACATAATTGGGGCAGAGATATGTAACATAAATGTTACATGTTTAAAGAATGCTATTGAATACACTATTCTTGAAGTCTTTGTTCTAAGGATGTGAGACATAAATTCGGGCTGACTTGCTTTCTGGAAGACAGTTGTTTAATAACAAAATCTTCTAAATTTTTTCAGAATCGCTCTGATTTTCAGTGCCAGCATCGATGGCAGAAAGTTTTAAATCCTGAATTGATAAAGGGTCCTTGGACTAAAGAAGAAGATCAGAGGGTAATGTGTTCATATTCTTTATATTCACTATGTAGGTAGACTAGCTTTTTTCTTTTTAATGTGTTGTTTTGACATATGAAGTACATGTTTAAGTCACTTTGATTTTGTTCTCCGGAGGCTACTTGCATAAGAATTGAATGTTAAGTGTCTGGAAATGTTGTTGGGTTTTTAGAAAATTGAGTCAAACCAAGTATAACATACAGCCCTTTCTTTCTGAGAGTTTGGTTTGCAGAAGGAAAAATACTTGCTGTAAGGTTAGTTACCTTGTTTTGAGCTCAGTTTCACAACTATTAGGGTATAGTTTTTTGTCAAAAATCTAATTAACATTTTAAAACAGATTTTCATTTTATTTTTACATCTAATAACTTGATATGCACGGAAGTCATTCTTAACTTTTTCTCTTAACCTATAATGAGTCCCAGGATTAGACAGATGTCAGAGCATCATGTTTCCAAAGGTTTTGTGATTTAAAAACCAAGGTCATTGTTTGTACTATGAAGTTGGAGATGAATAGAAGTGTTTCTGCACTCTTTAGTTAATGCCCTTTAAGTCATAAAGGTTGCTAATGCAGTTGAGGAATTAGAGCATCCTTACTCCTGCTCAAAACAAACTTTATTTGTTGTTCTTATTTTTTAAATTTTTTAAATAAGTAGAGATGGAATCTCGCTATGTTGCCCAGGCTGGTCTTGAACTCCTGGGCTCAAGCAATCTGCCCATCTTGGCCACTCAAAATGCTGGGATTAGAGGCTGAGCCATCATGCCCAGCCAGAACAAACTTTAAAGTTACTTCACCTAGACTGCACTGATTTACTTGATGGCTACTCCTAAGTTTTAAAATGTGTGATCTTGTTTAAAAATGCATTTACCAAAGCCTGAAATTTTAGTTTTAAAGATAGTAAATAGACACATATAGTGAAAATATCAACATATATTAAACTTAGTCTACCAATATAAAATGTTTATGAGATGATATTTGACATAGGGCAGTGAGGTAAAGTGGGCTGGAATAACTATTCTTGCAATTTTAGGTGAAATAAAAACAACTGTAAAATGTGGAAAAAAGAATATGTAATCTGTGTCCTTTCAGTTTGAGAAAGGAAGAAATGACAACCAATAACTTGGTAGAATCTTTCTGCTTCCTAATTGTATTTTTGTTTTTTGCTTTTGGCTGAAGCGTTTTTTTTTTTTTTTTTTTTTTTTTTAGATGTAGGAGTAGAAAATGTACAAGTTTCAGCATGTTTACAGTTATTTCAAATTAATAGGGTGTGAAAGCAATTGAATTTCAAGAGTCTTTAATTAGCCCCTTGGATTTTTAGATGAGTTTGGCATCAATTTTTGAAGCTGGCAAATGCTAAAGGGGTATTTATTGGTAATTTTTTTTTAACAAATTGTAGTTGTGGCTTGGATTTAATGCATTTATTTAAAATGGTATTCTTGAATTATGTTTTAAAATTCTTTGAAGGTAATGCTTTTTTAAACTTTGTTTTTCTGTTTCCTAGGTTATTGAATTAGTTCAGAAATATGGGCCAAAAAGATGGTCTTTAATTGCAAAACATTTAAAAGGAAGAATAGGCAAGCAGTGTAGAGAAAGATGGCATAATCATCTGAATCCTGAGGTAAAGAAATCTTCCTGGACAGAAGAGGAGGACAGGATCATCTATGAAGCACATAAGCGGTTGGGAAATCGTTGGGCAGAAATTGCCAAACTACTTCCAGGAAGGTGCTTATATAAATGTATATATATTTTTCTGTACTTAAACATGACCTTTATTACCTTACTGTTAAATACATTTGCAAGTCCCCGATGACTTATTTTTTAAATTTGTAATTAAAATGTAGACTATATAACATAAGCAACCTTTGGGACCATTTGTACTAAATTCTGTGGTAAAGGGTATGATTACTTTTTTAATGAATTATTTTATGGCAATAATTTGTACAATAAAATGATAGATTTTAGATTATATAAACATTTAATACACTCCTAAAATCATGTTGACATATCAGTGTCAATCAAGTGAGACCCCCTTTGTATAAACTCTGTTGGAAAAGAATCTAAATCTAAGATTTCTTTCATATTGCGTTCTATGTGTAAGACCAGGGAATGATATGCTAGCTACAGTAAACTGCTATGAAAGTGTGTTGGGGAAAATTCAATCTTAATTAATTATGGTATGATCCAAACCATGGAAGTAGTATATATATTCATGTGGCTAAAATACCAAATTTTCCTCAGAGGCAGTGATGTGCTAAGTACACTCTACATTGTACTGGTTCATATGTTTTCTAATAGCGTTTAGTACAGCAGACCAACAACCTTGTGAAAATTCATAACTTAGAAGATACGCATTTGTCTTTTGTTGCTGTAATCTCTATCTGTATAGTACTTTATAGCATTAAGTGCTTTTTCATGTATTCTTAATTTTTATAGACTTGGAAAGTATACTGAGCAAACATTGCTATCTTTGTTTTATAGATAAGATATTAAGGCATAGTGTTAAATTTTTTATTCAAGTTATTAAACCAGGTCTAGATGCTTTTAATCTCTTATACGTCTTCTTACTTTTCATAGAACCTAGCTTAGTGCCTTAACATTTACTGAAAACCTGCTTTATGTGTGTATATTTTATGAGGGATGAAATTTGCAAGTAACCATAGGTTGAAGATTTTCATTTTTATAAAGGGAACCTTAGATAAGAAGGGAGCCAATTAACTCTTTCTTACCATAAATATTTTGTTCTAAGAAGTGAAAAAGAATACTGGGATTCTTTAGTTTGTGATTTGCTTTTCATGATCATGTTTGTTCCTGGCTTAAGACCTTGGCCCTTGCTATACTCTTTATCTGGAATGCTCTTTTTTTCTTTCTGTTCTCGTATAGCTGGTTTGTTCTAACCAAACCAAAATTACTCCGTTACCCACTTTTCTTATCCTACTTTATTTGCATTGTAGTGAATTTTTTATTCATTTATTTGTTTTTCTATTCTTCCTTCCTTCCCACTCCCACACTTCCAAGGAGAGTGTAAGCTCCACGAGAGCAGTGACCTACTTTGCCTTACTCACTGCAATATTTCTGGTGCTTAGAACTATGCCTGACATATGCACATACAGTTTATCTTTTGAATTTTTAAAAAATACCTATCTTCCTGAGTAGAAACTCCAAAAGAAAAATTAAGAAAAAAGTATCTAATTTCATCAGTGTAAAAATTTGTTTTAAGCACTTTGTACAAGTTAACACAGTGTTGAAATCTGTGGAATCCTTTTTTCTTTTTAAATCATACCTTTCCTTTCTTAGGACTGATAATTCTATCAAAAATCATTGGAATTCTACTATGCGAAGAAAAGTGGAACAGGAGGGCTATTTACAAGATGGAATAAAATCAGAACGATCTTCATCTAAACTTCAACACAAACCTTGTGCAGCTATGGATCATATGCAAACCCAGAATCAGTTTTACATACCTGTTCAGGCACATACTTTTAATACCTTTATTATTTAAAAAATTTTCTTAAGTTGCTATATGGGAAGATGTTTGGTTTCTTAATAGGACAAATACAATGCGTATTAAGGGGTAAATAGACAAACTGAAAAAAATGTGTAACTTTGATTTATAAATATTTTGAGAACAAATTTATTAAAATGTTTCCTTTTATATGTAATTTTTACATCAAGAAACTATGTACATTTCCTAATACTCTGATTCTTTGAATCTTCATTTATGATTCAAAGCTAATGGTCATCTGTGCTTTAACATTCTATTGTACTTTCCATTTAAACAATTTTGGCGTAATTATAGTATTGCTTATCTCTAAGAGGTAGGTATATATAAAATGGCTTAAAAGAGAAAGTAGCAAAAATAAGTAATTGTTTTGGGGGTGTGGTAATTAATTGGATTTTGCTGGCATTCAACTTTGCTTTTCCCCCTAATAACTAATCACTTGGGTAATTTTAGTCTTTGTTTAGATGATTCATTAAAGTAGGTATTACACGAGCTCAAAATGGGGCAAGCTCTATGTTGTCCCTTACAGTGCATTTTTCTACTTGGAAGAAATTAGTGTAGGAGTCTTCATGAGATTTGTTTTACATTTCCCTGTCTACCTGTTATGCCATTTTTCACAATGAGCAATTCTTGGTTCTTGTCACATAAATTGTAAAGATTAAGTCAGGACTTAGTAGTTTTCTACCAAAAGATAAAATTGGGCAAGATATTAAAAATCTGTGCTTACTATGCCTCAGATTTGATTTTTGACATTTTGTGGACATTGTTAAGTTTTTTAAGCATCATTTTAAAAGAACCACTTAGAGTAATGACATTTTCATTAACAATAGGAAAACATGTGAAGACAGTATAATTATCTGCTGATACTCAATACCTTAAGGTTTTTATTATGTTTCTTCACATTTTTCTTTAGAGTCTAGATTTCAGCAGCATAAACTGAAACATTCTGCTTCTGTCTTAGAAAGTTTATCATTTAAATTTATTTTTTTAACTCGTAGAAAGATAATACATGGGGCCAACAGAGTATTTAACAGTCTTAATCTAAATATGTTGGAAAGATGAGGATATTTCTTATACTGTAAGAATTGTTTCCCTTTTAATTTAGATATATTCATTATTCAATTAATTTAAACTAATAAAATAATTTTATTATATGTGTGACTTGATAAAAGAATAGATGGGTTTAAAATACTGTCACAGATTTTCATGAAAAGTTTGGGAAAGATACGTTTCTAATTCATTAGAGTTACCAAGTTGAGCAATAAGTGGTACTAATCGAGTATTCTAAAAGTTAAGCTCTATGTTAGAAGTTATACATAATGATTCTGCATTATATAGTGATTTAGGTAGACCATTACGGAAAGCAGACAATTTCATATTTATGGTTTTTGATTTTAAGGCTTTTTTTTTTTCTTTTTGAGACAGAATCTCTTTCTGTTACCAGGCTGGAATGCAGTGGTGCGCACACAGCTCGCTGCAGCCTCAACCTTCTGGGCTCATGTGATCCTCCTGCTTCGGCCTCCTGAGTAGCTGGGACTACAGGCGTGCTCCACTACACCTGGCTAATTTTTTTATTTTTTGTAAAAACAGGGTCTTGCCATGTTGCCCAGGCTGGTCTTGGACTCCTGGGCTCAAGCGACCATACCCCCTCAGCCTCCCAAAGTGCTGGAATTACAGGGGTGGGCCACTGTACCCGGCCCCGATTTTAAGGCTTTTAAAAACACCTCCTCTCATATTTCTTTCCACTACTGCTTACTAAATTTATATGTATCTTGAAAATTCTTATTACAGATGTTTTAGAAAAGAAGCAGAATGATACTTAGCCTATCATCAGTATATCTATTAAAAGTATGTGAGTGATTCTGATTGTTTTTCTAAGACAAGTAATAGAAGAAGACTTTGGCATGGGGTGGTGATAAAAGTAGGAGATATGAACATTGAAAAACTTGCTTCAGGTCTCTGTCCTTGTGAGTGCTTCATTCATATGGACACATAGGAACACAATTACTTTGTTTTCTTTAGGAGATAGAGCAACCCTTCTAATAGTAGATGTTTAAATATATTTGGTGAATGTCAGATTTAATAAACTGGCTGATAAATCTAGGCTAAGTAATTCTCATATTTCATCTGAAAAAAAGTCTTTTCTAAGTGTTACGACTTTTAATCATAGATTCTAGGAGTGGAGCTGTAGTTATTTAATAGATAAGAAAGTATTATAGGTATAACATTTCAAAATTAATACAGGTACTTTCTAAGTTTTTTATATTGATACTGTGTCAAAAGTTTTTGTCATTTGCTTCAGATTTTCAACATTTATAGCATTATATGTATGATAATAATGCATTAATTACTTTTTAGATCCCTGGGTATCAGTATGTGTCACCTGAAGGCAATTGTATAGAACATGTTCAGCCTACTTCTGCCTTTATTCAGGTAACTTTTATTTATAACGAAAACCAAAGGAAATGTGTTCAGTCACATTTTTAAAAGCCTAATAGTATCTATTTCCTCATCTATTAAACTAGTATAAAAATAATACGATCTGTCCTACTTGGAGTACTCTAACTATAAAGAAGAAAGTGTGTAAGTGAGTTTGAAGAAATATAAACTGTACAAATGTGATTGATGATACCAGTATGGTAGTCATTTCATTCTTTCAAGGTAAAGCATTCAAGTTGGGAATGGACATATTTTTGCTAAATTGTATAGAATATATTTATTAAGATTTAAAAATATAAAATATTTCAGACATACATTTCAGCTGATAGAGATGATGCAACATTTTTTAAGTCATTAAAATTTTCCCAAATCTTTTAAGTTGAAAATATTTGCCAGCACCTCTTTAGATACCAGAGGGATTGTGATAATGAGTAGTTAGTATTTAGTAGCATTAAGCTTTATTAGAAAAAGTATATTTCATGTTGCATAGAAGAAAATAAAAATGAGAATACTAATAATAAAGCAATTATATAAGCATCCTGTTTTCTCTTTTATTTAACTTATTTTAGCAACCCTTCATTGATGAAGATCCTGATAAGGAAAAGAAAATAAAGGAACTTGAGATGCTTCTTATGTCAGCTGAGAATGAAGTTAGAAGAAAGCGAATTCCATCAGTAAGAAATAAGCTTGTTATTTGTATTGTTAGAATCTTTCATATATGCTTTTTGTCATTTTTATCAGCTAGAAAGCATACTCAGTATGACTGCAGATTTTAATATGGAGTAAAAATAGTTTTGTTTTTTTTTAATTTGCAACTTTGAGGTTGCCTGTTTTTTTCTTTTTCTTTTTGAGACAGGGTCTTGCTCTGTCACCCAGGCAGAAATGCAGTGGTGTAATCACTGCTCACTGAAGCCTTGACCTCCTGGGCTCAAATGATGCCCCACCTCAGCCTCTCAAGTAGCTGGGACTACAGGTGCCTGCCACCATGCCTGACAATTTTTTTTTATTTTTGTAGAGATGGGGTTTCACCGTGTTGCTCAGGCTGGTCTCAAACTCCTGGGCTCAAGTGATTCTCCTGCCTTGGCCTCCCAAAGTGCTGGGATTATAGGTGTGAGCCTCTGTGCCTGGCCCAAGGTTGCCTGATTTTGATATGCATTTCTTTGAGCATAATTTACAATGTTCTGTATTAGGATACTTCTTGAGTCATAAATGCAAAGCAGATGTAAAGTAAAATCTTATATATGTGTGTATATATATATAAATATACACACATATATATTTGTGAAAATTATGTGTGTTTAGATTAGGCTTTGGCTTTATTTTAGACATTCCATGTAATGATGGGTTTAATTCTTTTTAAAATAAAGAATTGAATAGATGTAGAGGGATTTATGAGCTCCAAAATTATTTTTATTCTCTTTGAAAATTTTTTCCTATTTACTAGATTTAGAATATGAGTTCAGTAAATTTAAAAAAGTAATAACACTAAAAATATATGGAAAAAGGAACATTTAGATTTTATGCTCTCTAAACAATTCTTCTAAAAGAAGAAATTTTATATAGATGTTGGGTGTTGGTTACCACATGTGAAAACTATTGTGTAAGATTTGGCTGATGAGACTAACTAGGAGTGTTAAGTTAGGATCAAAGGTAATCATTCTAGTAGAATTAAGCAGGTTATGCTAGATTGGTTAAAAGAAAGATACAAGTTTATATTTAAATAACTTTTCTTAGGTTTTTAAATTAAAAAAAAATTTTTTTTTTTTTGAGACAGAGTTTTGCTCTGTTGCCCAGGCTGGAGTGCAGTGGCGTGATCTTGGCTCACTGCAAGCTCCGCCTCCTGGGTTCACGTCATTCTCCTGCCTCAGCCTCTGAGTAGCTGGGACTGCAGGCGCCTGCCACCACTCCCAGCTAATTTTTTATATTTTTAGTAGAGACTAGGTTTCACCGTGTTAGCCAGGATGATCTCGATCTCCTGACCTCGTGATCCTCCTGCCTCAGCCTCCCAAAGTGCTGGGATTAGGGCGTGAGCCACCGCACCTAACCAAATTAAAATTTTTAAATTGGGAAATAATTGTACATATTCGTGGGGTACACAGTGATGTTTCTGTACATGTAATGTATACTGACCAGATCATGGTAATTAGCATATCTATCATCTCAAATTAGTTATAATTTCTCTGTCTTGGGAACATTGAATATCCCTGCTTCTAACTATTTGAAACTATTTAATATTGTTAACTGTAGTCATCCTACAGTGATATAGAACACTAGAACTTGTTCCTTCTATCTAGCTGTGATTTTGTATTCTTTAACATATATTTCCCTGTCCCTCCCTTCATCCTACCCTTCCTTTAAATAACATTTTTAAAAATTTAAAATAATGCCTTGAGCCTTATTATTTTTATTAGTATTAGTATTATTTTTTTTTGAGACAGAGTCTCACTCTCTCACTCAAGCGGGAGTGCAGTGGTGCAATCTTGGCCCTACAAAAAGTTTTTTTTTTTTTTTTGATTAGCTAAGTGTGGTGGTGCACACCTGTGGTCCTAACTACCCAGAAGGCTCCTGGGTTCAAGTGATTCTCCTGCCTCAGCCTCCTGAGTAGCTGGGATTACAGGCATGTACCAACATGCCCGGCTAATTTTTAAAATTGTTTTAGTAGAGATGGCATTTCACCATATTCCCCAGGGTAGTCTTGAACACCTAACCTCAAGTGATTTGCCCACCTTGGCCTCCCAAAGTACTGGGATTACAGACATGAGCCACCATTCCTTGCCCCTTTTTACATTTAGAAAAGGGTTTGTTTGTTTATTTTTTGTTTGGGACTGAATGAGAGGACAGAATATTGAGAGTGACTGGGAACTCAGGCAAAATTACTAAGAAGATAACCTGAGATCTTGAAATAGTATTATGAGGCAACTGGTGATGTCTTTATACTACTTAAGAGGATATTAATAAAAATGATATTTATTGATTATAATAGGCAAGATATATACCATAAGAAAAGCAATTTCTGTTTTTTGTTTTTTTGGGATTTTTTGAGTCAGGGTCTTGGTCTGTTGCCTAGGCTGGAGTGCAGTGGTACGATCATGGCTCACTGCAGCCTCAGCCTCTTAGGTTTAAGCAGTCCTCCCACCTCAGCTTCCTGGGTAGCTAAGACCACAGGTGTGTGCCACCACACTTGGCTAATAAAAAAAAATACTTTTTGTAGAGACGAGATTTCCCTATGTTGCAGTTTCTGTTTTGAAACTGCAAAAACCATGAGCAACTAGGAAGACCTGACATATACTTACCTTAAAGTTAATTTGTTTTGTTAAGAAGCTACAAATAGACTGGGCTTGGTGGCTCATGCCTGTAATCTCAGGACTTTGAGAGGCTGAGGTGGGAGGGTCACTTAAGCCCAGGAGTTTGAGACCAGCCTTGGCAACATAGTGAGACCCCATCTCTACAAAAAATTTAAAAAGAAATAGATAGGCATGGTGGCACATGCCTGTGGCTCCAGCTACTCAGGAGGCTGAGGCAGAAGGATCACTTGAGCCTGGGAGGTCGAGGCTGCAGTCAGCAGTTATCACACCCCTGCACTCCAACCTGGGCAACAGAGCAAGACCCCATCTTAAAAATAAATAAATAAATTAGCCAGGCATGGTGGCACGTGCCTGTAGTCCCAGCTACTCAAAAGGCTGAGGAGGGAGAGGATTGTTTAAGCTCAGGGGTTTGAGGCTGCGGTGAGCTATGATCATATCACTGCACTTCAGCCTGGGTGACAGAGCAAGAACCTGTCTCAAAAAAAAAAAAGCCACAAAGAATTATGGTTAGAGAATCAGCATTTGTAGATGATTATATCATGTTTAAACCATTTTGGATTTTTAATAGAATCTTACCCTTTTTTAATTTAACAGGAAAAATATAACTAAAGGAATGAATATTTTGCATTAAAAAGGAAGAAAGTTATTTTCTTTTTAGAACTCACTATCTAAAATCTGTTCTCATAAAGATTTGGTTGAATAAGTGTATATTCTGAAATCTAGAGGGAAGTTGCTGCAGCCAGTAGAATAGACTCCATACCCATATGAAGCATTTTTTTAATTTCTTTTTGTGTTGGAGTCTTACACTGTCGCCCGGCTGGAGTGCAGTAGCGTGATCTCGGCTCACTGCAACCTCCAACTCCCTGGTTCAAGCGATTCTCCTGCTTCAGCCTCCTGAGTAGCTGAGATTACAGGCATGTGCCACCATACCCAGCTAATTTTTGTGTTATTAGTAGAAACGGGGTTTCATCATGTTGGCCAGGATGGTCTTGATTTCCTGACCTCGTGATCCACCTGCCTTGGCCTCCCAAAGTGTTGGGATTACAGGCATGAGCCACCGTGCCCTCCCTAAAGTTTTTTTTCCTAAACAGTTATGTGACAATATTGACTGCCATTTTACTGAGTATCCATTGAGCTCTACTCTTGTGAATGTTTTATATGTATGCTTGGTAATCCTGATGTTAACTCTGTTAAGTGGGTAGAATTTCATTAGAGAGTTCACATTTAGGGCCGAAT
The DNA here is from genome assembly GCF_000001405.40 of Homo sapiens. Taxonomy (NCBI): domain Eukaryota; kingdom Metazoa; phylum Chordata; class Mammalia; order Primates; family Hominidae; genus Homo; species Homo sapiens. The sequence goes on along the minus strand of NC_000008.11, from coordinate 66,588,572 downwards.
GTAGTGACTCAACGCCTGTAATCCCAACACTTTGGGAGGCTGAGGCAGGCAGATTACTTGAGGCCAGGAGTTCGAGACCAGCCTGGGCAACATGGCGAAACCCTGTCTCTGCAAAAAATACAAAAACTAATCAGGTGTGATGGTGCGCTCCTGTAGTCCCAGCTACTTGGGAAGGTGAGGTGGGAGGATCACTTGAGCCTGGGAGGTGGAGTTTGCAGTGAGCTGAGATCGGGCTAGTGCATTCCAGCCTGGACGACAGAGTGAGACCCTGTCTCAAAAAAAAAAAAAAAAAAAAGAGATTCACATTTAGGTCTGTCTGATTGTAACCTATGGTTTTTTCACTGGGCCCAGTTATCGCCCTATTTGTGTGTTGGATCTTTTTCTCACCTGCATACCAACTGAAAGGTATGTGGTTTGGAGGGAACCACGTGTTCCCTCCAGCATGAGAGGAAAACCATGCTGTCTCCTGAAAGTGATTGTCAAGTCAGAAGGTGGCTATGCTAATGAAATGGAAAATAATGAAATGAAATAAGATTACTTTAATTTCTTTTATTTATAAAACACATCGAATTTGCTTTGCAACAGTGTTTTATTACCTTATTTAGGTTGAAATGTAACATTTTATAGTGAATCCCTAGAACATTCTGAAAATTTTTACTTTTAGTAGTAATAGTTACCATTATTCAGTGCTTCCTATAGACTTCCAGTGTGCTGTCTACCATATGGCAGTTACTAGCCACATTTAATTTTAAACAAAACTTAAAATTCAGTTCATTAGTTGCACTAGCCACATATCAGTTGCTTATATGGCTAGTGGCTCCCATATTGAGCAGCTGGAAATATAGAACATTTTCATCATCTCAGAAAGTTTGGAGTTCCCTCCAAACCACATACCTTTCAGTTGGTATGCGGGTGAGAAAAAGATCCAACACACAAAGAGGGCGATAACTGGGCCCCATGAAAAATGCTACACACTTTACATGTTGTTTCTCATTCATAACTCTTCAAGGCCTCTTTTCTTATTTTTTAATTATAAAACACTAGAAAACTAGGCTTGCAAGATAAGTAAATTGCCTAGTGTACATTTCTAAAGAGATAAAGAAAAATGACATAGTCTCTGACTTCAGGTTTTACTCTGCAGTGGGAACCTACACAAGAAACAGGATAGTATATGATAAAATAAGGCACAAGGGTTTTTTTTTTGCTTTTATTATTATTTTTAATTGACACAATAATTGTACATATTTTCTGGGTGTACAGTGTACTATTTTGATACATGTATGCAATGTGTCTTGGTCAAGTCTTGGTAATTAGCATATCCATCACCTCAAACATTTATCATTTCTTTGTGTTGGGAACATTTAAATCCTGCTTTTATAGTTATTTGAAAATATACAACAAGTTGCTGTTAATTATAGTTACCCTATAGTGCTATAGAACACTGGAACTTACTCCTCCTCTCTAGTTGTACTTATATATCCATTAACCAACCTTTGGCTACTCTCCCTTCTCCGCTTCCCTTCCTTGGCTCCCCTTCTTCTCCTCTAGTAGCCACTATTCTTCTCTATACTTCTATGAGATCTACTTTTTTAGCTTCCACATGTAAGTGAGAACCTACAGTGTTTATCTTTCTCTGCCTGGCTTATTTCATTTAACATAATGTCCTCCAACTTCATTTGTGTTGCCACAAATGATAGAATTTCATGTTATTTTTATGGCTAAATAGTATTATGTGGTTATGTGTCTATGTATGTGTGTGTGTATAAATATACAGACACAGCACATTTTCTTGCTTTATTCATCTGTTGATAGGCAATTAGGTTGATTCCATATCTGTGAATAGTGCTATAATAAACATGGAAGTACATATATGATTTTCTTTCCTTTGGATACATACCCAGTAGTGGGATTACTGCATCATATCATAGTCTATTTTTAGTTTTTTGAAGAGCCTCCATAGTGTTTTTGATAATGGCTGTACTAATTTACATTCCTTCCAACAGTAGAGTTCCCCTTTCTCCACATCTTTGCCAGCATCTGTTATTTTTTGTCTTTTTGATAATAGTCATTCTGACAAGGGTGAGATGATATCTCATCGTGGTTTTGATTTGCATTTCCCTGATGACTAGTGATATTGAGCATTTTTTAATATACCCATTGTCCATTTGTATGTTTTCTTTTGAGAAATATTGGTTCAGCTCATTTGCCTATTTTAAGTCAGATTATTGGCTGGGTGCCTTGTCTCATGCTTGTAATTCCAACACTTTGAGAGGCTAAGGTGGGTAGATTGCTTGAGCTCATGAGTTCGAGACCAGCCTGGGCAACATGGTGAAACCCCATCTTTACAAAAAATACAAAACTTAGCCAGGCGTGGTGGTGAGCACCTGTAGTCCCAGCTACTCAGAATGCTGAGGTGGGAGGATGGCTCGAGCCTGGGAGGTGGAGGGTGCAGTGAGCTGGGATGGCACCATTGCAGTGTAGCCTGGGCAACAGAGCCGGACCTTATCTCAAAAAAAAAAAAAAAAAAAAACACCAAAAAACAAAACCCAAACCAGATTATTATTAGTATTTTTTGTTGTTGATTTTTTTGTCTAGTCTAGATATTAATCCTTTGTTGGTTAATAGTTTGCAAATATTTTCTCCCATCCTGTACATCATTTCTCTCTTCATTCTGTTGATTGCCTCCTTTGCTGTGCAGAAGCTTTTTAGTTTAATATAATCCCATTTGTCTATTTTTGCTTTTACTGCCTGTGTTTTTGAGGTCTTCCCCATAAAATTTTTGCCCAAACAATGTCCTAAAACATTTCTCCTATGTTTTCTTTCTTTTTTTGAGACAAAGCTTCATTCTTGTCACCCAGGCTGGAGTGCAGTGGCAGTGGCGCGATCTCGGTTCACTGCAACCTCCGCCTTTTGGAGGTTCTCCTGCCTCAGCCTCCTGAGTAGCTGGGATTACAGGTGCCTGCCACCACGCCCAGCTAATTTTTTGGTATTTTTAGGAGAGACGAGGTTTCACCATGTTGGCCAGGCTGGTCTCGAACTCCTGACCTCAAGTGATCTGCCTGCCTCGGCCTCCCAAAGTGCTGGGATTACAGGCATGAGGCCACTGTGCCCAGCCTTTATGTTTTCTTCTAGTAGTTTTATATTTTGGGTGTTAAATTTAAGTCTTTCATCCATTTTGAATTGATTTTCTTCTTTCACAAAAAAGGAGGTTTTTTTAATATGGTGAGAGATAGGGAGCTAGTTTCATTTTTCTGCATATGGATATCCAGTTTTCCCAGCATTATTTATTGAAGAGACTCTCTCTTCTTCCATCAGTGTTCTTGGTGCCTTTGTTGAGAGTCTGTAAATGCGTGGATTTATTTCTGGGTTATGTATTCTGTTCCAGTACCATGCTGTTTTGGTTACTACAGCTCTATATAGAATATTTGGAAGCGTGTTAGTGTGATGCCTCCAGCTTTGTTTTTGTTTGTTTGTTTGTTTGTTTTTTTGCTCAGGATTACTTTAGCTATTTGTAGTTTTTTAAATGAATTTTAGCATTGTTTTTGCTACTTTTGGGGAGAATGTCGTTGGTATTTTGATAAAGATTGCACTGAACCGTAGATTACTTTTGGTAATATGGTCATTTTCACAATATTAATTCTTCTAATTCTTGAACATGGGAGATCTTTGTATTTTTTCATGTCCTCTTCAATTTTTTTTATCAGTGTTTTGTAGTTTTTCTTGTAGAAATCTTTTACCTTCTTGGTTTAATTTATCCTACGTATTTTATTTTTTTGTAGCTATTGTAAATGGCATTGCTTTCTTGATTTCTTTTTGTGCTAGTTTGTTGTTGGTGTATAGAAACACTACTGATTTATTTTATTTTATTTTTTAATTTTAGAGATGGGGGTCTCGCTATCTTGCCCAGGCTGGTCTTGAACTCCTGACCTCAAGTGATCCTCCTGCTTTGTCCTCCCAAAGTGCTGATATTACAGGCGTGAGCCACCATGCCCAGCCAAAACACGACTGATTTTTTGTGTGTTGATGTTTTGTCCTGCAACATTACCCCATTTGTTTGTCAGTTCTAAGAGTTTTTTTAGAGGAGCTTTATATAGGGTTATAGGGTTTTCTATATATAAGTTCATGTTGTCTGCAAATGGGGACAGTTTGACTTCCTTTTTTCCATTTTGGATGCCTTTTCTTTTTCTCTTGCCTAATTGTTTTGGCTAGGACTTCCAGTACTGTGTTGAATAGAAGTGGTGAAAATGGACATCCTTGTCTCATTTGAGATCTTAGAGAAAAAGCTTTCAACTTTTCCTTGTTCAGTATGATGTTGGCTGTGGTTTTGTCATATATGGCCTTTATTGTGTGTTTTTTCTATAGTTAACTTGTTGAGAGTTTTTATCGTGAAGGGATGTTGATTTTATCAAATGATTTTTCATGTCTATTGAGATAATCTTTATTCTATTGATATTTGATTTTATTTATTGATTTATGTATGTTGAATCATCCTTACATCCCTGGGATAAATTCCATTTGATCTTGGTGAATGTCTTTTTGCATCTATGTTCATCAGGGATATTGGCTTACAGTTTTCTTTATTTGGTTTTGGTATCAGGGTAATGTTGACCTTGTAGAATGAGTTTGGAAAAATTCCTTACTCTTCAGTTTTCTGAGAGAATTGGAAAAGAATTGATAGTTCTTCTTTATATGTTTGGTAGAATTCTGCAATGAAGCCATTGGGTCCTGGGCTTTAATTTTATAGGAGACGTTTTATTGCACATTCAGTCTTGCTACTTGTAATTGGTCTGTTCAGGTTTTCTGTTTCTTCTTGGTTCAATCTTGATAGGTTATATCTATCCAGAAGTTTATCCATTTCTGGTAAGTTTTCTAATTGGATACACAGTTATTCATGATAACCTCTAATGATCCTTTGTATTCCTGTGGTATTAGTTGTAATGTCTCCTTTTTTGTTTCTGATTTTATTTATTTGGGTCTTTTTTTTTTCTTGGTTAGTCTGGCCAGCAGTTTGTCAATTTCGTTTATTTCTTTAAAAAGTCAACTTCTCATTTCATTGATTATTTGTATTTGTTTGTCTCAGTTTTGTTTATTTCTGCTTTGATTTTTATTATTTATTTTCCTCTGCTAGCTTTGGGTTTGGTTTGTTCTTATTTTTCTAGCTACATTGTTTATTTGAAATGTTTCTACTTTTTTGGTGTAGGTATTTATTTCTATAAACTTCCCTTTTGATACTGCTTTTGCTGTATCCCATAGGTGTTGGTATGTTTGTTTCTACTTTTCATTTGTTTCCAGAAATGTTTTGGTTTCCTTCTTAATTTCTTCATTGACCTATTGGTTGTTCAGGAGCATGTTGTTTAATTTCCGTTTACGATTTCAAAAGTTCCTTTTGTTATTGATTTCTAGTTTTATTTCATTGTGGTCCAAAAAGGTATTTGATATGTCTTTAATTCTGTTAAATTTGTTCAGACTTATTTTGTGGCCTAATACGTGGTCTGTCATGAAGAATGTGCTGATGAAAAGAATGTATATTCTGCAGATATTGGATGAAATATTCTGTAGATGTCTGTTAGGCTCATTCAGTATAAATGTGCAATTTAAAGCCAATGTTTGTTTCTTTGTTGATTTTTCTGTCTAGATGATCTTTCATTGCTGAGAATGGGGTGTTGAAGTCTCCAACTATTTTTTATTGGAATCTATTACTCCTTTTAGATCAAATAGTATTTGCTTGATGTAGCTGGGTGCTCTGATATTGGTGCATATATATTTACAATTATATTCTTTTGCTGAATTGATCCCTTTATCATTATATATTGACCTTTTTTGTCTTTTTTTATAGGGTTTTTTTTTTTTTTTTGAGGCAGGGTTTCACTCCGTCCCCCCAGGCTGAAATACAGTGCTGTGATCTTGGCTCTCTGTAACCTCGACCTTCCAGGCTAAGGTGATGCTTTCACCTCAGCCTCCCAAGTAGCGGGGACCACAGGCATGTGCTGCCATGTCCAGCTAATTTTTTTTTTTTTTTTTTTTTTTTTTTGTAGAGATGGAGTTTTGCCATGTTGCCGAGGCTGGTTTCAAACTCCTGAGCCCACCTTGGCCTCCCAAAGTGCTGTGGTTGCAGGCATGTGCTACCATGCCCAGCTTCTTTTTATAGTTTTTAGTTTAAATTATGCTTTATCTGATATGAGTATAGCTATTCCTGCTTGCTTTTAGTTTCTGTTTGCATAGAATATCTTTTTCCATCCTTTTACATTCAGTCCGTATGTGTCTTTACAGGTGACATGAGTTTTTGTAGGCAGCATATAGTTGGGTCATGTGTTTTTAATCCATTCAGCTAGTCTATGTCTTTTAAGTGTAGAGCTTAATCTGTTTACATTCAGGGTTATTACTGATATGTGAAGACTTACTCTTTTCATTTTGTTAATTATTTTCTGTTTTTGTGTATTCTTTGTTCCTTTCTTCCTCTCTTAATGTTTATTATTGCAGTTTGGTGGTTTTCTGTAGTACAGTGGTTTGATTATTTTATCTTTCTCCTTTGTGTACCTGCTCTACTAGTGAATTTTATACTTTTACATATTTTCATAATAGTGTCTGTTATCTTTTTGCTTTCAGGTATAGGACTTTTTTGAGCACTTCTTGTAAGGCTGATCTAGTGGTGATGAATTCCCACCATTTAAAAAGAAAAAGTCTGGGAAAGACTTTATTTCTCCCTCATTTCTGAAGGATAGCTTTGCTGGGTATTCTTGGCAGGCATTTTTCTTTTTTCAGTGCTTCTCAAATATATCATTTCATTCTCTTCTGGCCTGTAAGATTTTTTCAAATAAATCTGCTGTTATCTAATAAAGATTTCCATATATGGGATGTAATACTTTTACTTTGCAGTTTTTATTTTTAATTTTCTTTTGATAAGGGTCTCACTCTGTCAGCCAGGCTGGAGTGTGGTGGTGTGATCACAGTTTGCTGCAGCCTTGACTTCCTGGGTTCAAGTGATGCCCTCACCTCAGCCTCTCGAGTTCTGGGACTACAGGCGCATGGTACCATGCCCAGCTAATTTTTGTATTTTTTGTAGAGATGGGGTTTCGTTATGTTGGCCAAACTGTTCTCAAACTCCTGGGCTCAAGCAATCTGCCTGCCTTGACTTCCCAAAGTGCTGGGACTATGTGCGTGAGCCACCGTACCTGTTCTCTCTTGCTATTTTTAGAATTCTGTCTTTGAATTTTGACAATTTGTAAGTCACAAAGTTTATGGTAACATACAGGAGAGGTGCTTGATTTAGATTGTTGTCATCAGGGAAGGGTTCCTAGAAGTCCTAAGTGAACTCAGCCTTGAAGGACAATGATTATATATTAGCAAGATAAATGAATTAGGACATTATTATAAATGAAGCAGATAAAAGTGTATAATCAGATGAAGTACTTTCCAGTATTTGAACTGTGTCTTAAGAATAGCTTCCCTTTGGGAGGCTGAGGTGGGCGGATCACCTGAGGTCAGGAGTTTGAGACCAGCCTGGCCAACATGGTGAAACCCTGTCTCTACTAAAAATACAAAAAATTAACCGGGTGTGGTGATGGGTACCTGTAATCCCAGCTACCCGGGAGGCTGAGGCAGGAGAATTGCTTGAACCCAGGAGGTGGAAGTTGCAGTGAGCCGAGAGAGCACCGCTGTACCCCAGCCTGGGCAACTGAGTGAAAACTCCAATCTCAGAAAAAAAAAAAAAAAAGAAGAGCTTCCCTGGTCAGTAGGTTACAGAGCATTTTATTAATAGATAGAGGGAGCAGCAATATGTGCAAAGGCACTCCAGGTCAAAAGAGTATATAATTCACTGGGGAATTGCAAGTGCTATAGTTGGGTATTTCTGATAACTACCAGGAATAAATAGATACACATGATAAGGTTTAAATATATAGCTCTTGAGTAGAAGTGTTGAGAAATGAAGTTTGGAAGGAAGGGAGTAGCCAGATTCTAAGAGTTTGGACTTTATGTTGTATGTAAATGCTTGTTTTATCTCATCATGATTGTATAGATTAAAAATTTTAATTAGAAAAAAGAAACATAGTCAAAGCATGAAGTTTAATGAAAAAAGTATACCAATTTTGAGGAAAGACAAAATATTTGCTACTATGTTTTTAGCCTAATTGAAATGTGTTGAAATCTGAATTTATGCCTACATTGAGAATGACAAATAATATTCAAATTTCTTTTGTACCTTTAGCAGCCTGGAAGTTTTTCTAGCTGGTCTGGTAGTTTCCTCATGGATGATAACATGTCTAATACTCTAAATAGCCTTGACGAGCACACTAGTGAGTTTTACAGTATGGATGAAAATCAGCCTGTGTCTGCTCAGCAGAATTCACCCACAAAGTTCCTGGCCGTGGAGGCAAACGCTGTGTTATCCTCTTTGCAGACCATCCCAGAATTTGCAGAGACTCTAGAACTTATTGAATCTGTAAGTAAAAAATTGTAAGATTATCAAAAGTTCAATTTTAGTTATATGATTTCATGCTCAGAAACTCAGTTTTGGACATTGACCAGTTTTATGTTTTGTATGCCATGCTTAATTTTGTTCTGATATTTTGCAGTGGCTTCTAGGGGAAAAAAGTTTAAATTTTTCTCAAGTATGTGCCTTGTGAGGAATTTTTAAAAATTAAAAACTTAATTCATTTTTTATTATATAAGTTATACAAGTGCATTAGAGAAAGCTGGAAACTAGAGAAAACTATAAAAAAGAAAATTAAAGTCCTTCATAAACCCAGAGTTAATAATTTGATGTATTCCTTTCAGTCTGTGTTCTATACTCAGAAAACATTATATTTTTAAACCCAAAAATACACTTCTGTATTATATTTGTGGATTTTTTTTTGTTTTCCACCCTGTCATGAGCATGTTTCTGTTTCCTTTTTTAAACTTGATTTTTTTTTTTTTAAGATGGCATCTCACTCTGTCGCCCAGGCTGGAGTGTAGTGGTGCAATCTCAGTTCACTGCAACCTGTGCCTCCTGGGTTCAAGCGATTCTCCTGCCTCAGCCTTCTGAGTAGCTGGGATTACAGGTGCCTGCCACCACACCCAGCTAATTTTTATATTTTTAGTGGAGATGGGGTTTCATCATGTTGGCCAGGCTGGTCTTGAACTCCTGACCTCAAGTGATCCTCCCACCTCGGCCTCCCAAAGTGCTGGGATTACAGGCATGAGCCACCATGCCTGGCCTAAATTTGAATTTTAGGGGCTTTGTAGTATTCCATCAAATGAATATAAGAAAATATATTTACCCAACTATTATTATTGGACATTTAGGTAGTGTCTACTTTTTCATTTTTTTAAAAAAAATTTTTTTTTAATTTTTTTATTATTATTATACTTTAAGTTTTAGGGTACATGTGCACAATATGCAGGTTAGTTACATATGTATACGTGTGCCATGCTGGTGTGCTGCACCCATTAACTCGTCATTTAGCATTAGGTATATCTCCTAATGCTATCCCTCCCCACTCCCCCCATCCCACAACAGTCCCCAGAGTGTGATGTTCCCCTTCCTGTGTCCATATGTTCTCATTGTTCAATTCCCATTTATGAGTGAGAACATGCAGTGTTTGGTTTTCTGTCCTTGCGATAGTTTACTGAGAATGATGATTTCCAATTTCATCCATGTCCCTACAAAGGACATGAACTCATCCTTTTTTATGGCTGCATAGTATTCCATGGTATATATGTGCCACATTTTCTTAATCCAGTCTATCATTGTTGGACATTTGGGTTGGTTCCAAGTCTTTGCTATTGTGAATAGTGCCTCAATAAACATATGTGTGCATGTGTCTTTATAGCAGCATGATTTATAGTCCTTTGGGTATATACCCAGTAATGGGATGGCTGGGTCAAATGGTATTTCTATTCTAGATCCCTGAGGAATCGCCACACTGACTTCCGCAATAGTTGAACTAGTTTACAGTCCCACCAACAGTGTAAAAGTGTTCCTATTTCTCCACATCCTCTCCAGCACCTGTTGTTTCCTGACTTTTTAATGATTGCCATTCTAACTGGTGTGAGATGGTATCTCATTGTGGTTTTGATTTGCATTTCTCTGATGGCCAGTGATGATGAGCATTTTTTCAAGTGTCTTTTGGCTGCATAAATGTCTTCTTTTGAGAAGTGTCTGTTGATATCCTTTGCCCACTTTTTGATAGGGTTGTTTGTTTTTTTCTTGTAAATTTGTTTGAGTTCATTGTAGATTCTGGATATTAGCCCTTTGTCAGATGAGTAGGTTGCGAAAATTTTCTCCCATTTTGTAGGTTGCCTGTTCACTCTGATGGTAGTTTCTTTTGCTGTGCAGAAGCTCTTTAGTTTAATTAGATCCCATTTGTCAATTTTGTCTTTTGTTGCCATTGCTTTTGGTGTTTTAGACATGAAGTCCTTGTCCATGCCTATGTCCTGAATGGTAATGCCTAGGTTTTCTTCTCGGGTTTTTATGGTTTTAGGTCTAACGTTTAAGTCTTTAATCCATCTTGAATTAATTTTTGTATAAGGTGTAAGGAAGGGATCCAGTTTCAGCTTTCTGCATATGGCTAGCCAGTTTTCCCAGCACCATTTATTAAATAGGGAATCCTTTCCCCATTGCTTGTTTTTCTCATGTTTGTCAAAGATCAGATAGTTGTAGATAACGCGGCATTATTTCTGAGGGCTCTGTTCTGTTCCATTGATCTATATCTCTGTTTTGGTACCAGTACCATGCTGTTTTGGTTACTGTAGCCTTGTAGTATAGTTTGAAATCAGGTAGCATGATGCCTCCAGCTTTGTTCTTTTGGCTTAGGATTGACTTGGTGATGTGGGCTCTTTTTTGGTTCCATATGAACTTTAAAGTAGTTTTTTCCAATTCTGTGAAGAAAGTCATTGGTAGCTTGATGGGGATGGCACTGAATCTATAAATTACCTTGGGCAGTATGGCCATTTTCACGATATTGATTCTTCCTACCCATGAGCATGGAATGTTCTTCCATTTGTTTGTATCCTCTTTTATTTCATTGAGCAGTAGTTTGTAGTTCTCCTTGAAGAGGTCCTTCACGTCCCTTGTAAGCTGGATTCCTAAGTATTTTATTCTCTTTGAAGCAATTGTGAATGGGAGTTCACTCATGATTTGGCTCTCTGTTTGTCTGTTATTGGTGTATAAGAATGCTTGTGATTTTTGTACATTGATTTTGTATCCTGAGACTTTGCTGAAGTTGCTTATCAGCTTAAGGAGATTTTGGGCTGAGACAATGGGGTTTTCTAGATATACAATCATGTCATCTGCAAACAGGGACAATTTGACTTCCTCTTTTCCTAATTGAATACCCTTTATTTCCTTCTCCTGCCTGATTGCCCTGGCCAGAACTTCCAACACTATGTTGAATAGGAGTGGTGAGAGAGGGCATCCCTGTCTTGTGCCAGTTTTCAAAGGGAATGCTTCCAGTTTTCGCCCATTCAGTATGATATTGGCTGTGGGTTTGTCATAGATAGCTCTTATTATTTTGAGATACGTCCCATCAATACCTAATTTATTGAGAGTTTTTAGCATGAAGGGTTGTTGAATTTTGTCAAAGGCCTTTTCCGCATCTATTGAGATAATCATGTGGTTTTTGTCTTTGGTTTTGTTTATATGCTGGATTACATTTATTGATTTGCGTATATTGAACCAGCCTTGCATCCCAGGGATGAAGCCTGCTTGATCATGGTGGATAAGCTTAGTGTCTACTTTTTCAGTACTACAGATAACATATAAAGCTTTGTGCAAAATCATGATTATGTCTTTAGGTTAAATTGAATTTCTGGATCAAAGTATATCACCATTTTTAACACGTTCCATACACATTACCAAATGATTATGCAGAATTTGATGGTGTCTTCCTGATGTGCAGTAGAATGTGAAGTTTTATGACGAAATATACTTTTTGATAATAACTTAATTTTTGATAATAACTTATCATTTGTTCTTAAAGTACTTTGACAGTAAGCTTCAACTACTGAATTAGATGAACTATTATGTATTTTGGAATCATAGGAAAGCCATAATCTGTTCCTCTTAAATGGTCTTGCTTAAAAAAAATGTCCAAGGAAAGCATTTTTACTGATAAAATGAGTTGTTAATTAACTCTGTGGAAATCATCATCCTGTGTTCAAGAGCAGATTTAACTAGGTTACAGCATTAACTTTATTAACAGTTTAATTTATTGCAGGATCCTGTAGCATGGAGTGACGTTACCAGTTTTGATATTTCTGATGCTGCTGCTTCTCCTATCAAATCCACCCCAGTTAAATTAATGAGAATTCAGCACAATGAAGGAGCCATGGAATGCCAATTTAACGTCAGTCTTGTACTTGAAGGGAAAAAAAACACTTGTAATGGTGGCAACAGTGAAGCTGTTCCTTTAACATCCCCAAATATAGCCAAGTTTAGCACTCCACCAGCCATCCTCAGAAAGAAGAGAAAAATGCGAGTGGGTCATTCCCCAGGCAGCGAACTTAGGGATGGCTCATTGAACGATGGTGGTAATATGGCGCTAAAACATACACCACTGAAAACACTACCATTTTCTCCTTCACAGGTAGTGGTGTTCATTTTGTTTATGTTTCTAAATGTCAATGAGTTACATTAAATTAGATCTTTAACATCCTTACTAGCAGTTGGTAGCTTTGATAACATATAAAAATAATGTGTTTAAATGTATACTTGAGAATACTGAACTCTGAGAGAATAGAAAGTATCTCACAAAATGTAGTAGCTGCAAATATTTATTTATTTATTTATTTATTTATATTTTGGAGACAGGGACTCACTTTGTTGCCGAGGTTGGAGTGCAGTGGCACAAACACGGCTCACCGCAACCTCAACCACCGAGGCTCAAGTGATCTTCCCGCCTCAGCCCCCCAAGTAGCCTGGACTATAGATGCGTGCCACCACACCTAGCTAATTTTTGTATTTTTTGTAGAGATGGGGTTTTACCATGTTGCCCAAGCTGGTCTTGAACTCCTGAGCTCAAGTAATCCACCTGCCTTGGCTCCCAAAGTGTTGGGATTACAGGCGTGAGCCACTGCTCCCGGTTCTACATGATATTATACTACAGTTTTTAGAGGGACATTTTCTTTATCTTGTAGTCCCATATCTTTATAGAACTCATCAGAAAACAAGCCCGGAAAGGTAACATTGATTTGCCCAAAGTTATCTAATGCAAGGCTGAGACTAAGATCCGGTTTCCTGACTGACTACTGTTCGATAGATATACCTGATAAAGATTAAAGTGGCCTTACCTATTTAGAGTAATTTGTTTAGTTTGCCCACTGAGGTTTTTCCTTTTAATGTTCTTTGGAAGAAACTTAGATAATTGCTTACTGTAAGAATTTAATGTGTCAAGAGGTTTCCTAAGGATGTCTAGAACTACCTACTTACTTTCTCCTCTTGTAATATCCCTGGACAGTAGATGTTTATGTTAGGACAGTTTCCTATTGAACACTTGCTATGCTCCAGGCTGTTTGCCAAACGCTTTTTTTTTTTTCTTTGAGATGGAGTTTTGCTCTTGTTGCCCAGGCTGGGGTGCAATGGCACCATCTCGGCTCACCGCAACCTCCGCCTCCCGGGTTCAAGTGATTCTCCTGGCTCAGCCTCCCGAGTAGCTGGGATTACAGGCATGTGCCACCACGCCCGGCTAATTTTGTATTTTTAGTAAAGACAGAGTTTCTCCATGTTGGTCAGGCTGGTCTTGAACTCCCAACCTTAGGTGATCTGCCCGCCTCGGCCTCCCAAAGTGCTGGGATTACAGGCGTGAGCCACTGCTCCCAGCCTCCAAACAATCTTCTTATAGCATCTCAGTTAATGCTCTTTCAAAAGGAGTTAGGTGGAATAAAATTCTGAAGTTGAGCCACTTGTCAAAGGCAACAGTTAGTAAGAGATGAAGCTGATGTTTTCTGAAAGTGTTTGGCAGAGGCTACAAAGTTTAAGGAGGAAGAAGGGAGTTTAATGGTCAAACAAACATGGAGAATGCTGGGATATTATTGGAGGTATATTTTGAGGCTGGGGAGATAAGCAGGATCTGGCAGAACACAGATCTCTAAAAATTGTGCACCCATGCTTCAGGGGATGCCATTTCTGTAGACTACAATGTGAATAGTCTGTTCACTCCCAGCCCTGCTCTCAGAGTTAAAAAGCACTGGAGAAAGTGAAGTAGGCTTGGGCATACTAGCAGTTTTCTATTCTGGAGTTTTGCATGCTAGCAATTTTTGTTGAAGTGTGAATTCTAAGGTAGAAGTGGCTGAAAGATGCTTATTTCCCATGGCAAACTGCTTGGATTTTATCGTGTAAAAGAGGGTTTGATTACTAATCTTAGGGTAAAATAAATTCAAGTATTCAGAGCCAGAAGTGACAGAGCTAGACTTCATTCTAGTTATAAGTAGCTTTGAAGCCATTTCTATGGCTTCATATCACTGTTTCTAATCTTTTGACTGCAAAAATAAATTAGTATTTCACAATTGTAAATTATATAATTTAGAAAATGGACTCTGTTATGCCAGTTTTGACTGCTTAGAGGTTCTGTTCTGTGTTCTAGATAGGCAAATTTGCCAGACAGCTGTATTTCTTATCAGCAAAGCATTATTATTATATTCTAAATTAAAATACTCTCATAGAAAAAGCCACTTAAGGTCATTTATTAATAAGAGCTAAAAAACTTGTTTTTTCAGTTACACACTGTTGTACAAAACTGTTACATTTAACACAGCAGCTGTTTATGGTTTCTATAGATCTCTATTTGATAATATACTGTTTTTTAAATTTTTAGTATTTTTTTTGTAACTTTTGAATATTTGTTAAATGTTTCTTGAATTCCTATATGTGCTAAACACTGTTCTAAGAGCTGGGGAGACAAAAATGAACAAACCAGACAAAAATTCCTACCCTCATGGAGCATAATTTCCATGGAGTATAAGTGTAATATTATTCATAAGCTTTTTTTAAGAGGTATGAAGAAATAATTTGAAAATCTTATCAGTTTAATATTTGTGTAGGGATTTTGATGTTCTAGAAGTCGTCTTTAAACTCTCTTCCCTTTCTAGTTTTTCAACACATGTCCTGGTAATGAACAACTTAATATAGAAAATCCTTCATTTACATCAACCCCTATTTGTGGGCAGAAAGCTCTCATTACAACTCCTCTTCATAAGGAAACAACTCCCAAAGATCAAAAGGAAAATGTAGGGTAAGTAGGTATTAAATAATTGTGTTAGAGAAAATGGGGAGCACAGTGTTAAAGTAGATTAGCTTTTTGTGCATATAAATAGCAAGTATCATAATTCCTATTCCTACAGGACTTAGAATTTTTTTTGTTTTGTTTTGTTTTGTTTGTTTGAGATGGAATTTTGCTCTCGTTGCCCAGGCTGGAATGCAATGGTGAGATCTCGGCTCACTGCAACCTCTGCCTCCCGGGTTCAAGTGATTCTCCTGCCTCAGCCACCCGAGTAGCTGGGATTACAGGCATGTGCCACCATGCCTGGTTAATATTGTGTATGTAGTAGAGATGGGGTTTCACTATGTTGGCCAGGCTGGTCTTGGACTTCTGACCTCAGGTGATCTGCCCATCTCAGCCTCCCAAAGTGCTGGGATTATAGGTGTGAGCCACTGTGGCCGGCCAGAATTTTTTTTTTAAATCATAACCTTATGTTTTCTCCTTAGGACAGTGAAAACCAACTGAAATATAGTGTCAAACTTTGATTTCAATCATTTCTAGTACTTTTTCAAACATTTCTAGTACTTTTTTCTATATTAATTCTTTTTTTCTATTTTAAGATGATTGATTGAAATCAGAATTACCATAGGTGGGCATACTTTAAAATAGTCTTAGAATGTTTAAATGAAGCATATATATATGTGTAAGAAAATTTAGCGTGTGCTTAAATTGCTTTGCTTTCATTAACTTGTATGAAATCAGATCGTGACTATAACATAAATATCTAAATGACTGGATAGGTTTAGAACACCTACTATTAGAAGATCTATACTGGGTACCACACCAAGAACTCCTACTCCTTTTAAGAATGCGCTTGCTGCTCAGGAGAAAAAATATGGACCTCTTAAAATTGTGGTATGTATATTCATTTTATTTTTAATAATTTTCCTAATTTTAATAAAACACAAATTATGATTTTTATCACTTTGATTTTTAACATTTAAAAAAAGATATTTACTGAAACAGATACAAAGCTTTATCTTTTGATTTTCAAGGTTTTTTTTTTGTTTTTTTTTTGAGACGGAGTCTTACTTTGTCGCCCAGGCTAGAGTGAAGTGGCGCGATCTCAGCTCACTGTAACCTCCACCCCCTGGGTTCAAGTGATCCTCATGCCTCAGCCTCCTTAGTAGCTGGTATTACAGGTGCCCGCCACCACACCCAGCTAATTTTTGTATTTTTAGTAGAGATGGGGTTTCACCACATTGGCCAGCCTGGTCTTGAACTCCTGACCTCAGGTGATCCACCCCCCTCCCCCCCACCTCGGCCTCCCAAAGTGCTAGGATTACAAGCGTGAGCCACCACACCTGGCCTAATTTTCAAGTTTGAATTTGTGTTCACCTTTTTCTTTAACTTGTAAATAAACCCTTGCTTGGCTTGTTTTGAATTCTTAACTTTATAGCATCTAGAGAAAACATCAGGTGTCAGTGGAACTCTTTTCCTTTTTCCTTTTTTTTTTTTTTGAGACGCAGTCTTGCTCTGTCACCAGGATGGAGTGCAGTGGCTCATTCTTGGCTCACTGCAACCTCCGCCTCCTGGGTTCAGGTGATTCTCCCCCAGCCTCCTGAGTAGCTTGGACTACAGGCTTGCGCCACCACGCCCAGCTAATTTTTGTATTTTTAGTAGAAATGGGGTTTCACCATGTTGGCCAGGATGGTCTCGATCTCCTGACCTCGTGATCCACCCACCTTCGGCCTCCCAAAGTGCTGGGATTACAGGAGTGAGCCACTGCGCCCTGTCGGAACACTTTTCTTAATACTGAAATATACATTTTAGTAGTTTCAGTCATGGTTACATGTATTAGAATAAAATAATTTTAATATTTTGATATACTGAAGCACTTTCATGATAATATTTAGGAAACTAATCAGGGTACCTCTTTAGGAAACTAATTAGGAAAAGGCTCAGTTTCCTTTTCTATGCAAAGGAGATCATAAAACACACCCCAAATTGTTATTGTGAAGCTGAAAGAGATGATGTAATTAAAGGGGCTTGTCTGAGTTTCAAGTACTGTGTGCTTGGTTGCTGCTATTATTCTAATAATAGTATTTGTGGTAGTAGTTCACGAATGAATAGGACTGGGAAGTGTTCTAGTTACTGTGCTTTCATATATCTTACCACCTTTGAAATACCTTGGAACAGTGATGGGCATTTTAGGCAGATACAGATTTCTGACAAGTTCTTTAGAAATACGATTTTTAAAATATTGGTAACTTCCAGGGTTTTTTAGTTATGTTCTTCTATTTTTAGTCACTTTTTGGTTAGATTCATTAACAAATTCTAGTTTACTTGATTTAATTAATTTTCTGCCCAAAAGCATGTTACACACGCACATCTTCTAGTCTTTTTTTCAAAATACTGTGTTAAAGGGTACGTAGTAGGGTTGATCAAGTCTTTTTGTCATTTAGCTCCATGTACTGCTGTGAACAATCATATTTCCTTTAGAGCTTCCTAGAGTTTTTATTTATGCGTATACATTAATAAAACAAGAGTATGACCACACTTTATTATTTTATAACACTTTTTTAATTTAACCAAGTAAATGTATATATTTATCCCATAATTTTTAACGTTTGCATAATATTCCATTGTATGGAATTACCTGATTGATTTAGGCTGTTTCAGTGTTTTGCTGTTTATTTTAAAAATTCATCATTAATTCAGCAAATATTGATTGAGTGCCTAATAGGTTCCAGGCACTGTACTAGGCTTTAGGGATGGAAAGAATGTTGAAAAGGTCAAGTATGGTTCCTGCCTTCATAGGGTCATGTAGACTAATTGGGGATTAGACAAGTAAACAATGATTTGAAAGCATTTAAAAATTCTGCAGTGAGTCAGGGTCATTTGGTGAACATATAAGTGGAATAAAAATTATAATTTGATAGCTGGGTGTGGTAGTATGCTCTTGTAGTAGTCCTAGGAGGTTTGTTTGAGCCTGGGAAGTGGAGGCTACAGTGAGTGGTGATGAAGCCACTGCACTCCAGCCTAAAGGACAGAGTGCAGCTCTGTTTGAAAAAAAAAAAAAAAGACAAAAACAAAAGTATATTTGTAATAGGTTTCAAATACCTAAAGTCCTTGTCCATTTGTTTACTAGCCTTCTGACATTTTAAATTTAATACCAGCAGCACTCACAGCTCTTTGGATAGAATTTGACCATTGCCAAAATAGATTATTTGCATCAGCAATTTAAGATAAAAGGAAGGCAATGATTTATAAATTAAAATTCCTAGAATATCTATAGGCTCATACATCTCTTTGCAGTAAGCTGACTTTTCATTTCTCCTGCTCCTCCTCCAGTTATTTACTGAGCATCTACTATATGCTAACCACTTAGCTTTCTTTTGTATCTTACTATGAGTCAAATGCACTTCTTGGAGATTGGCTTTGGAATTTTAATCAGGTATATCTTAAATATCTGTTGCCCTTTTAATAAACCGATTCTTTTAATATTTACTATAAATTACTCAAAAGGCTAAAAACTGTAGAAATATTAAGTTTGGTAGTATCAAACCTGAAAAGTATTAAATGCAGGAGTTCTTTGCTTTTGACACATTAGAACAATTAAGAGAATAATTCTTGCTAGTGAATGAATTAATCTGTCTTAGCCCTATTCTAGGACATTTGTATTCTTAAAGGGAGAAAAACCTCCAGATCTTTTTAAGAATACTAGACTAGATCAAGAAAATGTGGGCTGGATGCAGTGGCTCATACCTGTAATTCCAGCACTTTGGGAGATCAAGACAGGCAGATCATTTGAGCTCAGGAATTCAAGACCAGCCTGGGCAACATGGTGAAACCCCATCTCTACTGAAAATACAAAAAATGAACTGGGCATGGTGGTGTGCACCTGTGGCTCTAGCTACTTGGGAGACTGAAGTGGGAGGATCGCTTGACCCTGGGAGGTAGAGGTTGCAGTGAGCTGATATTATACCACTGCACTCTAGCCTGGGTGACAGAGTGAGACCCCACCTCAAAAAAAATTAAGGAAAAAAAAAAAAAAGAAAATGCGGTACGTATGCACCATAGAATACTATGCAGCCATAAAAAAGAATGAGGTCATGTCCTTTGCAAGGACATGGATAGAGCTGGAAGCCATTATCCTCAGCAAACCAACACAGAAACAGAAAACCAAATACTGCATGTTCTCATTTATAAATGGGAGCTAAATGATGGGAACATGTGGACGTATAGAGAGGAACAGCACACACTGGGGCCTTTCAGAGAGTGGAAGGTGGGAAGAGAGAGGATCAGGAAAAATAACTAATGGGTACTAGGCTTAATACTTGGGTGATGAAATAATCTTTTTTCTTTTTTTGAGATGGAGTTTCACCCTTGTTGCCCAGGCTAGAGTGTAGTGGCGCGATCTCGGCTCACTGCAACCTCTGCCTTCTAGTTTCAAGCGATTCTCCTGCCTCAGCTTCCCAAGTAGCTGGGATTACAGGTGCCCACCACCACCCTGGCTAATTTTTGTATTTTTAGTAGAGACGGGGTTTCACCATGTTAGCCAGGATGGTCTTGAACTCCTGACCTCGTGATCTGCCCGCCTCGGTCTCCCAAAGTGCTGGGATTACAGGCATGAGCCACTGCGCCCGGCTGGGTGATGAAATAACCTATACAACAACCCCCCATGTTTACTTATGTAACAAACATGCACTTGGACCCCTGAACTTAAAAGTTAATTTGAAAAAAGAATACTTTATGTTCTTGGTGAAATACCATCATTAAAAAGCTCTTTGAGACCGGGGGTGGTGGCTCACACCTGTGATCCCAGCACTTTGGGAGGCTGAGGTGGGCAAATCACCTCCTGAGGTCAGGAGTTTGAGACCAGCTTGGCCAACATGGTGAAACCCCGTCTCTAGTAAAAATACAAAAAATTAGCCAGGCGTTGTGGCAGGTTGTGCTAGCTACTCGGTTGATCCCAGCTACTCGGGAGGCTGAGGCAGGAGAATCGGTTGAACCAGAGGGTGGGGGTTGTGGAGGTTGCAGTGAACTGAGATTATGCTACTACACTCCAGCCTGGGTGACAGAGCAAGATTCCATCTCAATAAATAAATAAGTAAATAATAATAATAAGCTCTTTGAGAAGTATACGGAAACACTAACATAATTCCTGTATGTCTCAGTCTAGATGAGAATACTTTTAACATTTGTTTTCATCTTAAAAGTTTTTGTAAGTGCTGTGAAATCTCATTTATATATGAATACCATTCTCTCTAACTTTGCTGGCTGGGGACATAAGCTGCTGGTGTTTTTTTGTTTTTTGTTTTGTTGTTGTTGTTTTTTTTTTTTTTTTGAGACGGAGTCTGGCTCTGTTGCCCAGGCTGGAGTCCAGTGGCGTGATTTCGGCTCACTGCAACTTCTGCCTCCTGGGTTCAAGCAATTCTCATGCCTCAGCCTCCCGGGGTGCACACCACCACCCCCGGCTAATTTTTGTGTTTTTAGTAGAGATGGGGTTTCACCATGTTGGCCAGGATGATCATGATCTCTTGACTTCATGATCCACCCGCCTCAGCCTCCCAAAGTGGGATTACAGGCATGAGCCACCATGCCCAGCAGCTGCTGGTTATTAAGTGCTGCCAGTTCTTTTATTTAGTAGAGGTTTTATTACCTTTTCAAGTATATCTTGGTTATGAAAGGTATAAGTTAGATATAATTTTTAAATTTTTTCTGGGTTATAAGTTGTGCTTACCTATTTGACAGAAAGCTAGATGAATAATATTTTGAGACTATTTCATCACTCAGCTGACACTCAAGTGTCTATCTCTCTGTAACCTACCCTCCCACACTACACACACACACACACACACACACACTCACTCTCTCTGTCTTCTTGGATACTGTGTCAGCTCTTTGCTTAGGCTAGGTATACAAAGATGAAAATGACCTGACCATTGCTCTCAAGTATCTCACAATCTTGGTGGTAACAAACGTGTTAACTAGTAATTACATACTATGTAATAAGTACAATAAAAGTAGAATAAGAGCTAGTGTATTCCCAATATGTTCTATATTTCCTGTTTTTATGTAAAAAAAACTTGAGAAATAACATCTTTCTTTTCTGTTTAATTCTGAAGATCCTGACCTGAAGCAGGAGCTACAGTGGTTTCCCCAAAAGGAAGATTTTTGTTTAGTAGCCTAGAAAGAAGAAATTGCTATTCTTTACTCAGTACTTGCAAATGTATAATATTGTTTTGCCACAACATGAATTAATTTAATTAATGTATCTATAGGGGCTAGGAGAAAATTATGACAATAATGGACA
This sequence comes from Homo sapiens, assembly GCF_000001405.40. Lineage (NCBI taxonomy): Eukaryota > Metazoa > Chordata > Mammalia > Primates > Hominidae > Homo > Homo sapiens. The sequence continues at coordinate 66,567,077 of NC_000008.11, read as the reverse complement.
AGTATAAAAGATGGGTTTCCTATATATAGGGAGAAAAAGGAATTGCTATAAATGACTTTTTACAACATTTTAAAAAACAATTTAGTCCCAGCCACTTGCTTTCTTGGAAGAAGATATTCGGGAAGTTTTAAAAGAAGAAACTGGAACAGACCTATTCCTCAAAGAGGAAGATGAACCTGCTTACAAAAGCTGCAAACAAGAGGTAATCTTCTAGTATTATTGTTAATAAAAGTCTTATTGTATCCAAGAGACTTTGCCATAAAGCTTCTACATAAATTACTCATTCTAGAATACCGCTTCTGGGAAGAAAGTCAGAAAATCACTAGTCTTAGATAATTGGGAAAAAGAAGAATCAGGCACTCAACTGTTGACTGAAGACATTTCAGACATGCAGGTTTGTAAAGGATTATTATTGTTGTTATTTTAAATGGTTGCTTTAAGTCCTAGAGGTTCTTATTTCTTACTCATTGTGTAGCCAGTTCATTAGAAATTCATGGAGAATTTTTATCTTAGTATCATTTTGCCTAATTCACAGAGAAACTATTCACTGTAGAGAATATTTTATTTACTTTTTTTTATATTTCTTTTGTTATGAGAGGAGTTAGCTGCCTTATATCTGATGTCAAAAAATCGTAGTTCTCAAGATTTTAAATATCAAAGTTTATCTTTGGTTCATTTCCAAAATAATATTACTACATTACTAGAAATTTCATCAGAGCCAAATGCTTTCTTGGAGGGAAATAAACAGGGCTTCCATTACCACTTACTCAGTAGTCCCTCCATTTGTCTCCATTTTTGAATTAGTTATTTTCCTCTTTCTTTTTTCTCTCTTAGTCAGAAAATAGATTTACTACATCCTTATTAATGATACCATTATTGGAAATACATGACAATAGGTGCAACTTGATTCCTGAAAAACAAGATATAAATTCAACCAACAAAACATATACACTTACTAAAAAGAAACCAAACCCTAACACTTCCAAAGTTGTCAAATTGGAAAAGAATCTTCAGGTATGGATTTATAAATTTCTTTAGTGATTTTTGTTTTTGTTTAGTCAATGATCACTTTGGATTTACTGATCACAAATTATACTTTTTCTTTTAAATTCAAAATTGATTGTAACAGTAACTAAACATTTACCATTATTTTATCACTCACATTTGGGTTTGAGCGACTCATTCATCAGGGCACATATAAACTAAACAATTGAAGCTGTAACCAAAGACTGGTCTGGTGATTTCCTAAGCACTGTATCTTTTTTAAACTAAAGATATATAAATCTACTTCTGGCACCTCTTCTCCTGTAACAAATATGTATAGCCCTAATTGCTATTCTGAAAAAGGGTAAGTGGTTGGAAGCAGTTTCAGCATGATTTTGTTGGTACCATGGTTTCCAGTGAACTTTTTGGCTCAGAAGTTGTAAAACAAAGTCCTTTTTTTTTTCTGTTGGGATACGACCAGTGTGTAACTGCAAATGAAGGTTGGAAAAATTTTTACTGCATTAAGAGTTTACCCCAGAGAATTTGAGAGTTCATTGAGTAGGAAATTTTCTTCTTTATGCCACAGTGACTGCAGCACTAGTATTCCTGATATTGAAGCATACCTTGAAAACGTCTTTGGCAATTACATATGACCACCTTACATCTGTTTTCAGCCACTGCTTTCTAAGAGCCATGTAGCACATTCTCTTAATCCATGTAAAATGATTTGAGTTCCTGGCGTTTAATTAACATAGAACTTTTGGGGAAAGTTATTATATAGAAGATCACATCTATAACATAGTAATCTTTAAAATAAGGGAAGGAAAAAAACATAAGCTTGATTTTTTGTTATGAATATATTTCCTAATTTGTAAATAAAGCATTCTTGGCTCATTTTTTGACATTACATCCTCTCTTTAAATCTTTTGCAAAATTTTGAAGCAATAAAGACTAACATTTATTTCCATGTTAAGACTCATTTGATTTGGGGGGAATTATTGGGGACAAGACTTTTAAACTGCCTCCATAGGCCTGTAAGCAATATAGATAGCTAAAATAATTGACTTTTTAAAAACTTGATAAAAAATATTTCAGTATATATTTTAAAACATTATTATTAAAAAAATACAGTGCCATTGTTAAAACATTTTTATAATTATTGTTTATAAAATATCTAATCAGTTAAAATAACTGACTTTAAGAGTCTAATTGTGATATAGATAGCTATTTTAATAATTTTCATGTCACTATTAATATTTCCTTTCTAGTCAAATTGTGAATGGGAAACAGTGGTTTATGGGAAGACAGAAGACCAACTTATTATGACTGAACAAGCAAGAAGATATCTGAGTACTTACACAGCTACCAGTAGTACTTCAAGAGCTCTCATACTGTAATTGTTATTAAAATTGATGAAATGCCCCACTCCCTTACTGCAGTCTCTACTAAATTAGGTTGCAGTGAAATTTTTCTCAATTAGTTGTTTTTAAAGTTGTAAGATAGCCCTTTTAATACAGCATCTTTTTTCTATTCTATATAGTAGGCAGAAAGCTAGTAAGTCACTTAAGGGGTAGATAGTTTCATAGTTTATTTTTTAAGAGATGAGATTTTTAAAAATTGTTTTTAAAGAACAAGATGGGAAAATAATAGAATGTTCATGGATTTCTAAAAGTAAATTCTCATATATTTTCTTCACAAGATATATGTTGCTACTCTCTTGATGCTGCAGTTTTGTTATAGATAGGTGTATGAGTATATATGATTTCTGAAATTAGTCTATGTATGGAAAGCACACATGATTTTATGAAGTACTTTTGCCCATGTGCTGATTTACTTAGGCTACCATTTACAAAGAAACACATTGAAAAGGAATTTAAAGGAAGGATAGAAAGTTGCACTACTAATTTTTTGTTTTTTTTTTCAGAAGCAGTAAAATTAACTACAGTGTTAAATGTATTTATTTGAGCATAGTACTGAAAACAAAAAGCATTCAAAAAAGAGTTTTTTCTTTATTAGTAAATAGTATTTTCTTAATCTCAGAGGAGCTGAGAGTTTTGTTGAATGTATTGTACAGTATGTAGGAGCAGGAGAACTTTGTAAATTGGAAAGAAGTCTGTTTTTATAATTTATTTTTATTTTTAAAGCTTAAATGTAGATATTTATACGTATACAGGGTGCCTAGAAGCCAATGTTGTTTCCTGTTATTACAGCTAACACAGTAAAGAATAATTTTGACTTTAAGTATGAAACAGTAGTAAGTTATAGCTGCAAAGAATACAATATCTATACTGTATGTCACATCTACCTAAATGTTGCACTATGCCCTTTAAATCATGCTGGTTATAAAGTAGTTCTAAAAATGTACTAAATAATAATTTAATATTTTCTTTTTAAATTATATCGGGGGTGGTCATATACATTAATCTGGTGATTTGTATATGTGTTTGAAATTTTTGCATTTTGTTTAAAAAATAATATGGTACCTTGGTCCCTAAAAACAGTCTGCACTTAGAAGTTTATATTTACTCAGTGTTTCAGAAGTGGAGAACATTATCTTTTATTTATAAAAATATTTTGTCCTTTTTTAAATGTTTTGTGTTTCTCTACAGGTTACAACAGTTGCTTCAGTTGCCTGTTTTAGGTGTTTGCACTTATTTTATTTCTTCTTGAAAGAATTTTTATTTGCTTTTGTGGTAGAGATTATATGTAATTTTTTTTCAGTCATATAATGGTGTGCTGTCAACTTAAACACTGACAGGTAAATAGAATTGTACACTGTAGTTTGAATTATTTATAATTGACACACTCTCTCCCTCTCCACTCCTGAAGTATGCTGCTATAGAAAATAGCAGAATCGGCTTGCTGCTACGAGAGAAGGAAAGAGCGACCACCACTTGCACTGTGTGAAAAGATAAAAAACAAATGATGGCAAGTTCTCAAGTTAACTAAATGGAATCAACCATTACCAGGCAAATTCTTGCAAATACCAAAATACTACTATGCCTTATAAAACAAAATGAAAGCAGGTTAAGATTTTCTGCTCTGTTTGTATGTTAATAGAAATGGAAATACTAAGTATTTTAATGCTTAGCTCTTGAACAGTAGACCTAAAAGGGTTTTAAGCTATTTAAATCTACTTGCTAGTTTTTGCATATTTTATATATATATATATTTATATATATATATAGTGAGAAGTGAAGAAAATGTATGGTACTAAGATTATGCCTTATTGATAAATAGATAAACCAATTTGAATCCTCTTAGCATGTTTAAGTATGTTGATTGCTTTCTAATTAATGAACTTCTCACAGAAATTTCACTTAGTGAAACCAATGATTGTAGCAAACTCATACTGGATCATTTCAGTTACCTTGAACTAATAGCACATAATGGTTTTTTGTTGTTGTTGTTTTTAATGTAGCCCTTACCTGGATATACATAGTCTGCAATCACCAAAGTATAATATCTTGTAAGGCTATATTTTTTAAAGCATATTTTTTCTTGAGCATTAAATTATCCTAAATGGTAATATATTGTGGATAAGTCTGGGCTTATTGGACATAATACATATTTGGGTTGGTACTGGTTGAATCCTTCAGTTAACTGCTTTGTTGCTTTTTGCAAGATTTTTTATCTTAAACATGTCAGGCATCTTAAGTCACCTTTATACTGTTTTGTTCCTCTGAGTTTCTTTCAGTATGTTATACAAATGCCAGACATAACATGTAGCAGCCATACTTGCATGGAAACTGACTACACATACATAATACTGCATTTTATTGTAAGGTTTTCACATTAATACAGCAATTACCCTGACTAAATTGAGTTTTGTGATATATGGAAAACTTCATTGTAAGAGAATCTTGCATACAATGTTGACATATTAACATCCAAAATAAAGCATCTGTGTACAAGCTGACTTGGCATTGCTCATTCACTTGGTTTTGTGCTTTATAAGGACTGATAGAATCCTTAGAGACTTAACATTCTGTTCTTAGGCCTTTTTTCTCATTTAGAACTCTCTTTACGGTGATTTTACCAATAAATACAACATTGCGCCTTTATAGAGCCTCATTTAAAACCAGATTTCCAGCTGTCTTTCAGATACTTTCACATGACACTTCCTGTTGGCGCCTTAAACATATGTTCAAAGCAGATTTCCTCTTTTTCCCAACTTTGACCTGCCCTTTGTTCTGTCACTTAGTGGTATTGCCTTCCCTTCATTTACCCACTGAGTAATCACCCACCTCCACATTGAAGTCAGCTGTGAATTCTCAGCCTGCATATGGCCTCTGTCTCCATTCTATAGAAATGTCAAGAAATTGAGCAGTGGCATAAGGGTGTCATCTGGGAAAGGCACACTGGTCATCCAGGCAGGGCTGTTTGGTATTCTATTACCTCGGTAAATTCATCACCATCTAGATTCTATCTTTAGCCTTGTAGGCTCCGAAGTCTGAGGAAATTAACTCATTAAAAGTGAGTTTACCTCTCAGTAGAAGGCTTACCTCAAGTTTATGACTGATATATGAAATTATAATGCCAGTCTCTTAATTTATAGCGTGAAATAAAACTGAGAGGACTAGGCACATTTTCTCCTTATATGTAAACAGCAACAAATATAAAAAACGACGTTCCATAGTTCTCTGTTGCCTAAATAATAATAATTCTCCTTCTCCTTCACTCCCTAACCTGGACATGACCAACTTTTCCACACTTCATTTTTCAGTCATACTGGCGACTTAGATCTCCCAGGAACATATGTGCACACTCCTATCTCCAGGCCCGTGTTTGTAATACCCTCTTTGCATGACTTTTTTTTTTTGTTTTTTGAGATGGAGTCCCACTCTGTTGCCCAGGCTGGAGTGCAGTGGCACCGTCTTGGCTCACTGAAACCTCCACCTCCCAGGTTCAAACAATTCTCCTACCTCAGCCTCCGGAGTAGCTGGGATTACAGGTGTGCACCTCCACGCCGGCTAATTTTTGTATTTTTAGTAGATGGGGTTTCACCATGTTGGCCAGGCTGGTCTCCAATTCCTGACCTCAACTGATCTGTCCGCCTCAGCCTCCCAAAGTGCTGGGATTACAGGCGTGAGCCACCGCGCCGGGCCCTCTTTGTATGACTTCTTTTCTTTGTCTCCCTAGCCTGTTAAAATCTTAGCCTTCAAGGCATGGGCCTGTGAGTCATTTCCTGATTATCCTAGTGCTTCCATAAAACTTTCCCACCAGACTGCATTTCTGAAGAGTAGGGATTGCTATTTATAACTCCTTCATTTCTGTGTCTAGCATGGTGCTTAGAAAAATCTCGCCAAGTGTTAAATTTAAGTAATTTAAAAAATTAGTCATGACTCAGAATATTAACCATACTTTTTTATACTATGAATTATAAATAGCTTTGATAGTTATCTGCATGAAGCTAGTTTTGCTTCACAGCCAATAAATTGTATTACTTTCTTAAAATCTTTCAGTTCATTTTATAGCCAGATAATTTCCTGCTTGACTTATCCAGTTCTATAGTGGTAGGCTTGCCAGCCAATCAGACCTTTAATTTGTAATGTAAAACTGATGATAGTATTTGAAGACGTGCCTCCTACTTGGTGAGAAGTGAAAATTTATTTTTAATTAAGTAGTAGGAGATAAATTGAACCAAGTAGAATTCTGTTGGAACATTGCACTTTCCCCTGGCCTTTTTTTTTTTTTTTAGAGAGTATGGATATTGTCAATAATGTGAAATATATCAGTAGAAAATCAAGATAAAGTGCACTTGGAAAATACTTGTGACTGATGTGCTAGGAAGAGAGTGTTTTTGAAAATATTTTAGTGTGTTGGTCTAAGTACGTCAAAAGCTGTTGAGTTTGGAGCAAATAGTATTAAAAGTAGTAGTGTGTACTGCCCTTATTTCTGAAGTTTTCAGACCTAGTATGCTTAACTCAAGTTCCAAGTACAGAATGTGCTAGGTTTGATTGGATTTTCCTGGCCAGCACAGGGAAAGAAGGCAGGAGATTCACTTTACTCTGATTTAACTACTGTGATTTTGCCAAACAAAGCTCAGAAGTTTTGAGCAGATTTGAACATAATGTCCTAAGCCCTAATATTGTTAGTACTTAACTATTTATTCAGTTTAGCTAAGTGCTTACGATGCCCTGTGCTAGGCACTGCATATACTATGGTAAACAGTGCATGACCTTTCCCTTAAGGAAGCTGATATTCTAGAAGGGGAGATGAATAAGTATGTAACAGAAATGTCTTTTCTCCTTTGGCCAAAAGTGAGATGGATCAAATAGCCAAGTTCCCTATTGTATGTGTAGATGCTCATTTGTGAATAAAGGAATAGTTGGACTCTGCCCAGATGACATGGATTTTTTCCCTCTCTCATATTCAGAATTGACTGGAGTCTTGCATTACCCGGGAAGTTCACAGACTATAAGTTTGAGTACAGTGTGGCAGCTGCAGCCACACTCCACCCACTGTGCTAAAACCTTTACATACATTATCTCACTTAATCCTCACAATACCCCTATGAGGCAAACACTGTTATAATCCACTTCTCTGGATGTGGAAACAGGGTTAAGAGGCTTTCCAAACTCACAGTGAAATACTGAGCTGGGATTCAATCATCCAAGGTTTAGTTTGATTCTTTAAGCATAGGGCACGAAAGATGACATAGTGTATGATTCCCTTTATATAAAAGTACAAAAACAGGCAGAGCTAATGCATGTTGTTAGAAGTCAGGATAGTGATGGTCCTGGTGGTCCTGGGCGGGAAGGTTGGAAGGAGCACGGGGCAGTTCTGAGTGTGCGATACTCCACTTCTTGCACCAGGTACTGATTTCATGGATGTGTTCACAGTTTGTAAAAATCAAGCTCTACTATTAATGGTATGTGTACTTTATCTACATTATGCCTTAATAACAAGTTTAAAAAATGAAAGCTAGGTTATAACAGGAAAATAAAAGTGCTCAGCCAGAACAAAATATAATGAATCATTTTCTTTTCTTTTCTTTTTTTTGATACAGAGTCTCGCTCTGTCACCCAGGCTGGAGTGCAGTGGCGCGATCTTGGCTCACTGCAACCTCCGCCTCCTGGGTTCAAGCGATTCTCCTGCCTCAGCCTCCCAAGCAGCTGGGACTACAGGTGTGCGCCACCTTGTGATCCACCCGCCTTGGCCTCCCAGAGTGTTGGGATTACAGGCATAAGCCACCACGCCTGGCCAATGAATCATTTTCTATATTCTTCCATTTATATGCTTACTTGTAAGAGTCTACAAAGCTAGCACTCAGAACTTTTCATTATTCTCCAGCAAGTGTTAGGCCCATTTCTCCTGGTAAAATAAATTTATACTAAATTTTTACATGAAATAATTATTTCCTTGAGCTACGTATACTAAATTTTTATGTGTATGACCAAACTCTTTTTATTTCCTTGGTTTTTTGTTTGTTTGTTTTTTGGAGATGGGCTCTCGCTCTGTTGCCCAGGCTGAAGTGCAGTGGTGAGATTTCAACTCACTGCAACCTCTGCTTCCTGGCTCAAGTGATCCTCCTACCTCAGCCTCCTGGGTAGCTGGGACTACAGGCCTGAGTCATCATGCCTGGCTAAGTTTTGTATTTTTGGTAGAGGCAGAGTTTCAGCATGTTGCCCAGGCTGGTCTTGAACTCCTAAGCTCAAGTGATCCACCCACCTCAGCCTCCCAAAGTGCTGGGATTACAGACATGAGCCACGCGCCTGGCCTGTAAGTGCTAACTCTACCTCATTGCATGAATCATTTACTCAAGCCAAGCTACATACTCGCAGTTCTCCATAAATATTCACAATTACCCATCTCTGAATCTCCGCCTCAAAGTTCATACTTTCACTCCCGCCCCCACCAAAATATCCATATTCACCAAATCATTTGTCACAAGATAGTCATCTGTCTAATGTGGTCCACTAGTTACTTTGTACCTTATCAACTGCACTTCTTTATAAGAGATATAAAGAAGAAACCTGGGTTGAATCTTTGGGAAGAATAATTATAGGTATTAGTGTAAATTTCTCATGCCTTTGGACTGTGGAATAAATAGGTGGGCCATATTATATTGAGAGGTGGGATCATGAGGTTTGCCATAGAACCAAAATAATTGTGAATTAATTCACTTCCTCTATACACATCTACAATCTGTTTCTATAACTATATTGAATCTAGAAAAATCAAATACTACTTCAATAAACTCTAGAGTCCTTTAAGTAAATGTTAAAATCAAACCCAGTATACAGTCAGGGCCATTATTATAATTGTCAACATATTGACCTCCTGGGCTCAAGCAATCCTTCCACCTCAGCCCCTACAAGTAGCTGAGACTACAGGTGCTCGCCACCATGCCTGGCTAATTTTTTTCTATTTTAATAAATTTTGTTTAATTGTTTATTTAGAGTTCATATTAACTAACATTTACCCAATAATTGTCATTATGTGCTTTTCAAATCATTTCAAGTTTTGTTTTTTTTAAAATACTATTTTAGGACTTAATGATAACAGTGAACTCAATAAGTAAATGGGTAAATTCTTTCTTTAAAAACAATGTAATAAAATACATTGGATTGTGTTTATTGATTTCCCTTAGACACTTTTAACTTTGAATTTGGTTGGGCTGGGCACACTCTTCTTATTAGAAATCACCATGCATAAAGCTATACTGATACTACCAAAAAAAAAATCAGTTTAGCTTAATGTTTGAAGAATATGGAAGCCAAAATTCAAGATATAAAGAAGAAACCTGGGTTGAATCTTTGGGAAGAACAATTATAGGTATTAGTGTAAATTTCTCATGCCTTTGGACTGTGGAATAAATAGGTGGACCATATTATATTGAGAGGTGGGATCATGAGGTTTGCCATAGAACCAAAAGTTGGTAAAGCAAGTATTTTTTTTTCTATTTTTATAATTTTTTTTTTTTGAGACAGGGTCTCACTTTGTCACCCAGATTGGAGTGCAGTGGCATGATCTTGACTCATTGCAGCCTCAACCTCCTGGGCTCAAGCAATCCTTCCACCTCAGCCGCTACAAGTAGCTGAGACTACAGGTGCTCGCCACCATGCCTGGCTAATTTTTTTTCTATTTTAATAAATTTAATTGAAAATTTGAGGTCAATTCTATCTCTTACAGAATGCGTAATTGCTAGACATATGATATTTAAGGAAATTTGCTTATATGTATTGAACTATCTCCATGTATTTTAAACATACACTCTTTTATATGTGAAAGAAAATTAAAATTTAGAGAAATCTTGGGAAGTAACAGCTGCTTCTTAACAAAAACAACAACAGCTTCTTCTTACTCTTTAAAATTAGCTAATTGGTAGCTGGGCATGGTGGTGCATGCCTGTAGTCCCAGCTACTGGGGAGGCTGAGCCACGAGAATCACTTGAACCTGGGAGGCAGAAGTTGCAGTGAGCACCACTGCACTCCAGCCTGGGCAACAGAGTGAGACCCTGTCTCAAAAAAATAATAAAAATAAAAGTAAAAATATGAATAAATAAATAAAATTAGCTAATTGGTAACTTATTTCCTCTTTCCAGTACTCCCAGGTTAATATATGGCCCATTTTCCTGTCCCCTAGGCCCAGATCTGCTTATGAGATGGTGCCAAGCCTCCATTTCTGCCCACATTGCAGTTCTCTCCACCCTTTCCTTCTTCCAGTATTATATAAAGTGAGGTAGCTCTCAGCTGAGGTGGGAGTAGTTGTAATTGCAGAAGCATTTCTTTCACAATTGTTTAAAATGGAATGAGACAAGTTGGCATCTCTCGCCTGTTGGGGTATTATCACCTTTTCCAAGGTTGTGTATTATTTTTCAGAGCTGGGAGAATATCAGGTAAAATGCAGCCACCTGCAAATCGTCCTTTGAGGGAATTATGTTGTAAACCATGGAATAATGACTTAGGGACAACTTTCAATGATCACTCTCAGGGTTTCCACAGCATTTTGAAAAGTCACTGCAGGAAAGGGTGCCTTTCCTTGGTGAGGAAGCCGTAACAGGAAATAGTCAATAGAAACCTTTGTCGGTTACTTAAACAATAAAAGGATTGTGGCAGCTTCCCGATGGTATGAAGGAAAGCGTTTATGTGTTGCCTAGGCTGGATTTCCCTGTAGTGATTTGTAAAAGCCAAATAATTGAGGGTGGCAAGTCCCTCTGATGACTGCAGGCCACCAGAGAGGCCAGCCCTGAGCAGTGAGGCGTGAAACACACACGTTGCCAGCCTTTTGTTCCATAAGCAGACCAGCTTGGGCAGGAGATTCATCGGAGGCTGCTCTGAATGAGAAACTACAAAGTTATGAATGGCCCGTCTGCTCACAGGCCAGAGCCGTTGGATCTCTTGAGTCCTCTAACCTCTTTCCTAGTTGCTTTAATCCATTTCCTCCAAAATCAGATGTTATTAGGCATTGTTTTCTGAAGAAATAACCAAGGGATAGCACTCAGATAAAGAGTTGCTTTACTTAATTGCCATTTTAGCCATAAATTGCTACAGAAGGATTTGTAAAAACGAACAACATTTACTAGTCTAAAAATCCATTAAAAGTGACATAAGAAAGGAAGGCATAGATTGTTTGTTGAAAAATGACAATAATATAATGGAAAGAAGCTGGTCTCCATAAGAGCACTGCAGGGCTGGCATTAGGGGAATGATAAACGGCCTGGGTGATGCTCCGTGCTTTCCAGCACTAGTTTCTGCATGGTTTCATTTGGTCTTCACTGTAACTTCTGCAGGTAGCTATTAATATAATGATTCCATTTTACAGAGGAACAAACTGAAGACCAGAGAAGTTATTTGACCTGCCCAAGATCATACTGGTAGAGGTGGATTTATTGTAAAGCAAATGAAGCTTAAACATCAAGGCTTGTATGGACTCCTGTGAGCGCAGGGAGTCACACAGTGTGAGATATAGGAGGGGAAACCAGATTGCAATTGGAAAGCATTTCTATATAAGCATTTCTGGTAAATTGCCTAAAGAGCTCTTAGAAGAAAAGATCGAAATCTCCACATCTCCAGAAATGTGTTGTGATTTCCTTTTTAATTCCAAAGAAACAGTCAATTCTTCTAATTTTGTATTCTTAAAGAAAGGGTCCCCAAACTGTAAAAGCTTTGAGCCCCATAAAACCTGCATGTGCTTTTGCAAACAGGTGGTAAGTCATAGAGCTGGGTTTTGAATTTCAGTCTTCTGATTCCAAGACCTATTCTATTTTCAGACTATGTTGAAACACAGAAAAGTATAAATAGGACATCAGAAAAGGCAGGGCATGAGAATTATAATTGTAATAGTGTAAAACCTTACATCTGATAAAAGACTCAAAGGAAACACTTTCAGGCTAAGAACTATGTATTAAAATGTGTAGATTAGTGATTTATCTTCTTTTTTTCCCTAAATTTTCTGAATGCTAAGGTATTTCAATAGTGTAAGATGAAACTGGACATACAGAAGAATTTAAAATTTTTACTGATTTAACAGATTATAATACTAGTTGTTCAAATTTTAAATGTTTATAAAGCAAGGCCAAGTTACCAACAATCAAACTTATAAATTCAGATAAATTCTGGCAAATAGTTTATTTTCTCTGAAGGCATTGATATATCATTTATATTTTCTTGATGGAAGAACTAAGATGGAATTTTATTTCCAAATACCACTAGCTTGCATTTATTTTGCAGTAGATCCTTGACATCCACTGTGCTTACATATTGTTTTTGTTTTGTTTTTTGTTTGTTTGTTTGTTTTGAGACACAGTCTCATTCTGTCCCCCGGGCTGTAGCGCAGTGGTATGATCTCGGCTCACTGCAACCTCTGCCTCCCGGGGTTCAAGCAATTCCACTGCCTCAGGCTCTTGAGTAGCTGGGATTACAGGTGGGCACCACCATGCCTGGCTAATTTTTGTATTTTTAGTAGAGACAGGGTTTCACCATGTTGGCCAGTGTGGTCTGAACTCCTGACCTCAAGTGACGGCCCGCCTTGGCCTCCCAGAGTGCTGGGATTACAGGCGTGAACCACTGTGCCCAGCCGGTTTTTACATATAAAGTAGAACTAATGTTGCTTATCCCTTCTCTAACACCTAGTTTCATTTGTATATAAAGGAGGTGTTGATATTGCACAAAGGGTCAGAAAGAAGGCCAGGATTCTCATCCTAGAGAGAGATCTCTAGAGGAATGATAGATCTGACAGTAGCCTATGTTGGCTACCTTAACCTCTCTGAATTTCAGTCTCCTCTTTTATAGAATGGGAACAGGTATATCTTTGTTACTAACCTCTGAGTTAGGATGAAATGAGCTAATGAGTGTGTATGTGCCTATCAACTACGGAATTGTCTGCAAAGATGAGGCATTTGTATTGGCCAAATGACCAAGTACTGTATTATTATATCAGGAAAACAAGTCATTGTAAATAGAAACCCTGCCTCAAATTTGCAGAAGAGAGTGCCCAATTAGCAGAGGTATGGATGATTAAGAGGGCAGCAAATCATTTCTATCTCATTCAATACTGTAATTCAAGCACATAGTACAGTGCCTGGCATATAGTAGATGCTCAATAATTATTTGTGGAATAAATGTATACATGCATATATGCAAGAATGATTGAAATTTTGCCCTACTCCAATATTGGGCTCCAATATTAGAGGGTAATTTTAATCAATGGAGATGGAGGAATTGAATTTTAGGCAGAGAGAACAAAAATGAGTAAAAGGCTGGAGAATGGAAAATTAAGGATGTACTTAAGGACTGCCAAGTGGCTCCACTTTGGTTGAAGAAATCATGTTGTAAAAATGCACACTGGGGCCAGACCCTAAGGGGCCTTTAAAATCCTGGTAAGAGATTGAACTTTTATACTGAAGGAGTTTGGGAGCCTATGAGTATGTGTTACAAACAGGAAAGTTTGTGCTGGCAATAGGCAAGACGGGCTACCAAGAAATGGCTCACATAGTGATCATTGGCCCCAAGCTTTAATACAGCTAGTGATTATAACTTATTCCCATCCAATCAATCAACAAGTATTTACTGAGTGCCTCTGTGTGCAAGAGCCTGTGTGGACCATGTGTGGCAATCACAGAAGTACAAGACAAAAGTGAAGATTAACATTGTTCACAGCTCCCCCCAGAAAGATGGACATGTGCATGTGAAAAGTTTACCAAAAACACACGGCAGTTCCTGCTGTGGACCAAAGGAAGGGATAGAGACGGAGCGCTTCAAGAGTTTGGGGGAAGATCAGATGCTAGGCCAGAGCAAAAAATTGCCATAAAGGACATTATTGGGACCATGCTTGGGCTGCCATAATAAAATATTATGAACTGGGTAGCTTAACAACAGACATTTATTTCTCACAGATCTGGAGGCTGGTAGTCCAAGATCAGGGTGCTGGCAAACTTGGTTTCTGGAGAGAGTTCTCTTCCTGCCTTGCAAACAGCCATCTTCTTGATGTGTCCTCACACGGCCTTTCTTCTATGCATGTGTGGACAGGCAGGAGAGAGCTCTGGTGTCTCTTCTTATAAAGATACCAGTCCTATCGGATCAGGGCCCCACGCTCAGGACCTCATTTCACCCTAATTACTTCTTTAGAGGCCCCATCTTCAAATACAGCCATGCCAGGGGTTAGGGTTTCAACATATGAATTGTAGAAAGACAGATTCAGTCCATGCAATTAGCAACACTTAAATAAAATTAATATATTAGATAATGGTATTGTATCAGAATTAACTTTCATGATTTTGATCTTTGTAGTATGGCTATTTAAATGAATATTTTTGTTTCTAATAAAGGAGCAGTATTTAGGGATAAAGGAGTAACTCTCAGTTCAAGGGAAATGTTTGTGC